>NC_000002.12:71667625-72292625 GCF_000001405.40 Homo sapiens | reverse complement strand
ATTCTGATTGTTGTGATGGTTACATGAATCAACACATGTGATAAACTTTTATAGAATCATATTCAACACACACACACACACACACACACAAAGCGTGCATGTAAAAACTGGTGAAATCAAACAGGGTCTGTATCTGAATTCCTAGCACTGTACCAACCATCAGTTAACTGGTTTTTGGCAATGTCCTGTGATTATATGAGGTATTATCATCAGGGGAACCTCCCTGAAGGATATACAGACACTCTGTACTACTTCTGCAACTACTTGTGAGCCTATTTCAGAACAGAAATTATATTTTAAAAAAGCAGGAACTATGCAACAGAGGGACAGCTACTCAATTTTATGGATTGATATAGACCAGTAGTTATCAAACCTGGTAGATCTTCAGATTCACTTAATGGGATTTATAAGGTACACACACACACACACACACACACACACACACACACACACTTACTTCTGGATCCTCCTGCCACCACTATCACCACCATCAGATACCTATGGAATCAGGATCTCTAGAAATTAAGCCAAGGAATCTGTGTTTTCAGAAAATTGCTCAAGGTTAGAAAACACTATTACAGAGCCTGGTTACTGAGTCAGGGGTAAGAATGGAGAAAACTGGTGAGTCTGTTCTGTATTAACCTTTGATTGTGATTCTCAAATCTGTTCCATTCTTGTTAGTGTGAAAATCCTTTTCAATCCTGGCAATAGATTAACCATCCGTTTTAGACTTTTGCACTGTTAAGCGTTTTAACTTTTTCTTTAAATTTTTATGAATATTTCAATGGGAAGTTCTTGAGCCTGTGTCATTAGCTACTAATCATTTAAACCAGAAGCAGGACAATAGTATTCTTGTAGATGTACCTTGTCTTTACCTCATTCACATGTGAATTGTGACTTGATTCCAGCTTTTCTCAGTGAGAGACTGCAGACTTCTACTTTATTTGATCAGTTTTTCACACTGATGTGGCATCAACATAAATATGGTTTCCCTCACAATTAGCTAATGAGTGGAAAACAACCAAGGCACACCACAGTGAAAACATCAGTTAGGAAAATTACATCCAAAACCTAAAAGAGGCTGTCACTGAAGTTTTGTTTATGAAAGCTGGAAAAGCTCTCCCTTCTCAGCCGCTGAGATTCCTGATGTATTGTTTTTCTACTGAAAGTTATCCAAAGATGTTTTCAGACATTAACTGATGAAAGCCAAATTTATTGAAGGTGGAGGAGAATGTAAAGATCCCTTATATTTGTGAATTTCTCAGTCCGACATGGCAGCCTTTTAATAGCTATAGTTGACCAGGTTCTTTTGTGCATGTGAAAAATCAGTTGTGGAGCTAAGAAAATGACTCATCATGCAGAAGAGACAGATATCTTGTGCTGCTGCAGAGAACACTGGATCAACAATCAAGAAACTTGCACGTTTACCCTGACTCTGCCACAAACTAAAAATATATCCTCGGTCAAATTGTCTAACTGCTCTAGCCTCAGTTTCTTTGTCTATAAAAGCTGGGGATAGAAATTATACTAAATTAATATTTTCAAACGTTTATGAGCTATGGAATTTACAGTAATTGTAATCTCATTATCAGCCCTCTCTGGAACTTAAAAGATAATGTCATTCTTTAATGATATATGATAAAGAAGCAAACTAAAGAAAAATTCAGATTTTGCATATTATTAAAGATTACATATTTGATTTCAATATAATATTCATACATTTCAATTAAATACATTTCATCTTTTCCCATATAAAATAGATTTTTAAGCTAATTATATAAGAGAAAACATAATTTTTGGATATTCTAACTGTAATGTTTTATTGAATTGTTTGGAAATCAAATATACATCCAAATACAGATCCAAATCAATCAACTTATATAACCTGTTGTCTGAAGTTTTTAATTGTGAATATTAAAAACGTTTTTTTATAGTTTTCAAGTTTGGTTTCTAAATAAAATTAAAGTATTTCATGCTAGTAAGTACAAGTATTTCTCTAAAAATAATAGTCTCAATATGAATAATGTTAAATCCCAGTAAATAAAAAGTCATATGAATACAAACATTTTATGTTAAGTATCAATTTTTAAAAGACTAAGTATATTTTTATGTATATTATAAGGATTCTGATCAGTAAGTGTAATTACAAATTTTGTTGAAGATCATCTTTGAGACTTGTTTGAAAAATTGTAATTATTCTTATGGTCTTCATTTACTTTTATGTTTTACTTTTCTTTATGTTTTCTGCCTTTAACATCATCTATTATGGACAAAATGTAGGTAATATGTGAGTGTATTAGTCATGGTTCTCTGGAGGAACCGAAACAAGAGTCTATAAAAGATGTGTAATATGTATCTATATAAATTTGTATACACACACATACAGATTAATAAGGAATTGGCTCACATGATAATAGAGGCTGACATGTTCCAAAATATGCAGTTGGCAGGCTGGAGAGCCAGCAGAGCCACTGATATAATTACAGTTCAAGTTCAAAGACCTGAGAACCAGGAGAGCCAATGGTGTAGTTCTAGTCCAAATGCCAGCAGGCTTGAGACCCAGGAAAAGTGAATGGTTTGGTTCGAGTCCAAAGGCAAATAAAAACTGATGCCTCAGCTCAGAGGTAGTCAAGCAGGAGGAATTTCTCACAGAAAAGTCAACCTTTGTGGTTTTTTCAGGCCTTCAACTGATTAGGTGAGGCCCATCCACATTAGAGAGAACAATCTACCTTTTCTTTAGAGATGAGGTCTCACTTTGTCACCCAGGCTGAAGTGCAATGGTGTGATCATAGCCCACTGCAGCCTCGATCTTCTGGGCCCTCCCACCTCAGCCTCAGGGACTACAGGTACTAAAGGCATGAGCCACCGTACCTGGCTGGCAATCTTCTTTACTCAGTCTACCAATTCAGGTGTGAATCTCATCTAGAAATACCCTCACAGAGACACCCAGAATAATGCTTGACAAAATATCTGGGCATTCTGTGGCTCAGTAAAGTTGATACATAAAATTAACCATCACAATGAGTAAAAATGAGAACATTTTCAAATTTTGTAATAGTTAAAAAATACACACACACATACACACACAGACACACACTCACAGCACCCAGCTGTTTTCAGCTGAGTGGAATACCAACCGAGTGACTGGATCATGAGTACAGCTTTCTGATCCACTGGCTGCTACTCATGACTTAATCTGTATTCACTTAGAGGATCTCAAGCAGTACATATTTAAAGAGGGAAAGTATTCTATTTATTGACATTTTCAAGTAAACATTTTATTATAGAACAGAAAGATCTATAAATCATAATTATATGGCTTCATGCATTTTCGCAAAGTGAATATACTCATGAAACTCTGATCAAAATACAGAATATTACCGACATCCCTCAAAGGCCCCTTGTTCCTGCTTCCAGTTCCAATGCCTCACACCCAGAAGTAATTAATATGTATATTTCTTTTTTTTTTTGGCCCATGAGCCATTTTATTTGTAAATATGTATTACATCTCTAGAAAAAGAATCCCAGGATTTCCCCTCCTGTGTGTTTTCATCTTGCTTCTTCTTGGTCCGTGATACCAGCTGAGGTTGTCAATACAATGAAACTAAACTGGCGGGATTATTATTCTGCCATTTTTCTAGATCTTTGAGTTGCACAGCAAATCTGGGGCTGATAACTCCACACTTGTTTAGCCTGCTTGTGAGGTTCACAATAATTTTCCCAGCTCTGTGATTTTCAATGATTTTAAATTCACCAATGTAACCATGCTTCAGCAACACAGTTAGAAACTGGACGATGACTTTGGAGCACAGCCTAATAAGAATGTGGCATTTGCCTCTCTTCAGCATTGTTGATGCTGTTAGGAGCATCATCCAGGACATTCATGTGTACCATTTTGGTGGCACGGAAAGAGTTTGTATATATATATATATATATTTCTATCAGATTGATTAGTTGGCCAGTTTTGTACTTTATATGAGTGGGATTATATAGTATCTAGTGGGATTATATAGTATCTACTCTTTTATGTCTAGCTTCTTTCATTAAACATTACATTGATGAGAGTCATCCAAACTGTTGTATGAAGCAGTTTATTCTTTCTCATTGCTGTAAAGTATTATATTATATGACTATGACATACTTTGTTATATTGATCTCTATTTGATTGTTGATGGACATTTGGGTTGTTTACAGATTGAGTTTTTTTGTTGTCTTGTCTTTTTTTTATTTTTACAAATAGTGCTGCTGTGAACAGTCTTGTATATATCTTTTAGTGTACTCATTTCTGTTGGATATGTACCTAGGATTGCAGTTGCAGGTCATAGAGTCTATGTATGTCATGGAATCTATGTATGTAGCTAATAATAGTTTTTCAAAGTGATTGTAATCAGTTTATACCAAGAGCAAAGATAACTCAAGTTCTTCCACATCCCCAAAACACATGGTATTATATTGGTATTTTATTTTTAGCCATCTTAGTGAATGTGTATGGTATCTCATTGTAAGTTTATTTTCTATTTCCCTAATACTAATGATGTTGAGCAACCTTTCATATGTTAATTGGCCATTTTGATACCTTATTTTTGAAGTACCATTTCATGTCCCTTGCCAAATTTTCTATTGGATTTCCTTGCATAAAATAGCCTTTTCAGGTTTTAGAATCAAAGTTATACAAGTCTAATAAAAATAAATTGGAAGTATTCCTTAATTTTATTTCTGAGGAAGAATTTACGTAAGATTGGCCTTACTTCTTTCTTCAGTGTTATAAAGATTCACCAGTGAAATTATATGGACCAGGAAATTTCTTTATGGGAAGTTTATTAATTATGGACTTAATTTCTTTAATACATAAGTGAATAGTCAGATCTTCTGTTTATTCTTATATCAGTTTTGGTAAATTGTGTTTTCTAGGAATTTTCCTGTTTCATCTAAATTTCCAAATCTGTTGGCATAAAGTCATTCATAATATTCTCTCATTATATTTTTAATATCTGTAGGATCTGCAGTTATATACCCTTTTTCATTCCTACTATTGGTTATTTGTGCCTTCTTTCTTTTTTCTTCACATTATTGACGGAGGTTTATCATTTTTACAAGTCTTTTCAAAGAAGCATTTCTTTGCCTTTGTTGATTCCACTTTGCATTTATATTCTTTATTTTTTTATTTTTATTTTTATTTTTATTTTTTTTTTTTTGAGATGAAGTCTCACTCTGTCGGCCAGGCTGGAGTGCAGTGGCGTGATCACTGCTCACTGCAAACTCCACCTCCCGGGTTCACGCCATTCTCCTGCCTCAGCCTCCCTAGTAGCTGGGACTACAGGTGCCTGACACCACGCCCGGCTAATTTTATTTGTATTTTTAGTAGAGACGGGGTTTCATCGTGTTAGCCAGGATGGTCTCGATCTCCTGACCTCGTGATCTGCCCACCTCAGCCTCCCAAAGTGCTGGGATTACAGGCTTGACCACTGCGCCCGGCCTACATTTATATTCTATTTCTCTGATTTTTTTTCTATTAGCAGTAACAGCAGCAGCAATAGTAGTTTGCTATCCTTTAACTTCTTGAGATGCATACCTAGATCCATAATTCTTCTTCAGTCTTTATTTTTTAATGTGTGCATTTAAAGCAATACATTTTCCTGAGACACATTTTTAGCTTTACCCCACAGATCTTGATATGTTTTTCTTTTTAGCATTCAACTCAAAATATTTTCTAATTTCCGTTTTAATTTCTTCTTGAAACATGAGTAATTTAGTAGGGTACTCTTTTCCATTTTTGGATTTGCTAGGTATCTTTTTTTAAAAAGGACTTCGTATTTTTACAGCAATTTTAATTTTACCACAAAATTAAGAGGAATATACAGAGATATCCTAGGTACTTCTTGCCCCCTCTACATGCATAGCCTCCCTCATTATTCGTATTCCCCCCAGAGTGGTATGTTACATGTGATAAACCTACACTGACATATCATTATCACCCAAAATTGATAATTTGCATGAGGGCTCACTCTTGATGTTGTATATTCTATGGATTTGAACAAATATCTAATGACAAGTATCCATCATTATAGTATCATACGTAGTAATTTTGATGCCCTAAAATCCTCTGTACTCCACCTCTTCATTCCCTTCTTGCCCCAACCCCTGGCAGCCACTGATCTTTTTCTTGTCCCCCTCATTGTGCCTTTTCTGGAATGTCATGTAGTTGGAATCATGTAGTATGTAACCTTTATTAGACTGGCTTCTTTAACTTAGTAATATGCATTTAAGTTTCCTCCATAATTTTTCATGGCTTAATGGCTCATTTCTTCTTAATGTGCTGAATAATATTTCATTGTCTGGATTTACCACATTCATTTATCCATTCACCTACTGAAGGATACCTTGATTGCTTCCAAGTTTCAGCAATTATGACTGTAGTTGCTATAAACATTCATGTGCAGATTTTTGTGTGAATATAAGTTTTCAATTCCTTTGGGAAAATATCAGGGAGTATAATTGCTGGATCATATGGTGAGAGTATGTTTAGTTTTGTAAGAAACCACCAAACTATTTGTCTTCCAAAGTGACTATACCATTTTGCATTTTCACCAACAATAGGTGAGAGCTCCTGTTGTTCTACATTCTCATCAGCATTTGGTGTTTAGCAGTGTCCTGGATTTTGGCCATTCTAATAGGTGTATAGTGGTATCTCATTATTGTTTTAATTTGCATTTCCCTGAGGACATATGATGTGGATCGTCTTTTTAATATGCTTATTTTATGCCATGATATCTTCTTCGGTGAGGTATCTGTTAAGATCTTTGCTCCATTTTTTAATTGGATTGTTTGTTTTTTTATTGTGCACTTTAAAAATTCTTTGTATGTTTTGGATAATAGTCCCTTATCAGATGTGTCTTTTGCAAATATTTTCTCCCAGTCTGTGGCTTATCTTTGTATTCTTTTGAGTGTCTTTTGCAGAGCAGAAATTTTTAATTTTAATGAAGTCCAGCTTATAAATATTGTATTTCATGGATTGTGCCTTTGGAGTCATATCTAAAAAGAAGTCATTGCTAATTCCAAGGTTATCTAGATTTTCTCTTATGTTATCTTCTATGAGCTTTATAGTTTTGTATTTTACATTTATTTCTGTGATCCATTTGTAGTTTATTTTTTTGAAAGCTGTGAGTTTGTGTCTAGATTCTTTTCTTTCGTTCATGTGATTGTACAGTTTTTCCAGCACATTTGTCGAAAAGAACATCTTTGTTCCATTGCTTTGCCTTTGCTCATCAGAGGTCTATCTTTTTTATATATATTTTTCTGACTGTATTTATGTGGGTCTGTTTCTGTGCTTTCTGTTTTGTTGCTTTGATCTATTTGCCTAGTTATTCACCAATACCACACTGCCTTGATTACTATAGCTTTATAGTAAGTCTTGAAGTCTGAGAGTGAACAAAGTCTGACTTAGTTCTTCTTTGATATTGTGTTGGCTATTCTGGATATATTGCCTCTTCATATAAACTTTAGAATCAGTTTATCAACATCCATAGAAAAATTTACTGGGGTTTATATTGGGATTGCATTGAATCTATAGATCAAGTTGGAAAGAACTGATATCTTGACAATATTGTCTTCCTATCCATGAATATGAAATAACTCATTTATTTGTTATTCTTTGATATTTTATCAGAGTTTCATAGTTTTTCTCATGTAGATCTTGATGACATATTTTGTTAGATTTATACCTAAGCATTTCATTCTGGGGGTGCTTATATAAATGACATTTTGCTTTTAATTGCAAATTCTACTTGTTCATTGGTGGTATATAGGTAAGTGAATAATTTTTGTATATTAACCTTGTATCCTGCAACCTTGCTGTAATGACTTGTTAGTCCCAGGAATTTTTTTGTCAGTACTTTTGGATTTTCTATAGAAAATCATGTCTTCTACAAAAGAAAAAAAGACAGTTTTCTTTCTTCTCTTTCAATTAGTATGCCTTTTATTTCCTTTTTTGTCTTATTGCATTAGCTAGGACTTCCAATAATATGTTGAAAAGGAGTGGTTTTGATCTTAGTAGGAAAGTTTGTTCTTGATCTTGATCTTAGTAGGAAAGCTTATAGTTTCTCACCATTTAGTATGATGTTAGCTGTAGGTTTTTTGTAGATGTTCTTTATCAAATTGATAAACTTTTCCTACTGTGTTGAGGGTGTTTTTATCGTGAATAATGTTGGATTTTGTCAAATACTTTTTTCTGTATCTGTTGATATGTTTGTGTAATTTTTCTTTCTTAGCCCATTGATATAATGGATTACAATGATTTATTTTCAAATGTTAGTCCAACCTTGCATACCTGGGATAAATCCCACTTAGTTATGGTATACGATTCTTTTATACATTGTTGGATTTGATTTGCTGATATTTTGTTGAGGATGTTTGCATCTATGTTTATGAGTGATATTGATATGTAGTTTTCTTGTAATATCTTTGGCAAGACTTGATATTAGGGTAATGCTGGCCTCGTAAAACAAATTAGGAAGTATCCTTCTACTTCTGTGTTTTGAAAGATTTTGTAAATAATTCCTATAATTTTGTCCTTAAATATTTGGTAGAATTCACCAGTGAACCCATCTGTACTTGGGGCTTTCTGTTTTAGGAGGTTATAATTATTGGTTCAATTTCTATAATATTTATATGCTTTTTCAGATTGACCACTTCTTCTTGTGTGAGTTTTGTCAGACTGTGTTTTTCACGCAATTGATCCATTTAATCTAGGTTATCAAATTTGTGGGCAAAAAGTTGTTCACAATATTTCTTCCACATGGAGTACTATAGCTGGCTATAATTGGGTTATTTCCCCTCCCCCAGGTCAGTTAGGCTTTGATAAAATCACAGTAAGTTAGGGATTAGGTTAGGGTTTGGTTGACTAGTTTCTCCTGGGGCAGATCTTGTTAAGAAATACAGAGGAATGGTTCCTTTACCCCTCTCCCTGCTGAGACTCAGAAGAATTTTTTTTCTGATATTTACTGTGAGAATCTGGCCAACCTCCTAGAGTTAAAACTCACAAAATCATGCCCCTCCCCCTACTCCTCCATGGCTGGGTTCTCCTGGAACTTTTAACTCTAGACTTGTCCAATCCTAGCCTTCAGCAATTCCTCAACTACAGTTCAAGTTTTCCTACTGCAGCACTGGTTCCCATAGAGGTTTCTGCTTCCAGTATGTTGTGACTCTCTTTATCTATCTGTCCTTCCAATTTGAGAGGCAGCAGTTTACCCTGTGCTCTTACTTCTTTTACAAATCTAGGAATTGTTGATTTTTCAGTTTGTTCAGCTTTTACTTGTTAGAATGGAGTGGTGACTTCCAAGCTCCTCTCATACAGATCTGAAAACTGAAGTCTCTGCAGCTGTCTTTTTATATTGATTTCTAGCTTGATTTTACAGTGGTTAGAAAACATAGTGGAATTATTCCTAGTCGTTTGAAGATTGTTCAACCTTTTGGCTTAGCATATGGTATATTTTGGTAAATGTCTTATGTGTCCTTTAAAAGATGTTTTCTGCAGTTATTGGGTGTAGTGTTCTATAGACATCAATTAAATCAAGTTTGTTAATCATGATAGGCAAGTATTCTATATCTCTAATGATTTTTTAGTTTTGTTCTAATTGTTTTGTCAGTTATCAAGAGGTGTGCAACTCTCAAATTATGATTATGGATTTATTTCTCCTGTTAGTCCTGCCATTTTTTCTTAACATATATTAATGCTATGTTACTAGGTGCATATAAATTTAGGATTGTTGCATCTTCTGGGCAGATCAACTCTTTTAACATTGTGATATTCCTTTTTTAATGCTTCTTGCCCAAGGGTCTACTTTGTCTGATGTTAGTATAGTCATGCCAGCTTTCATTTTGGCTAGCATTTGCATGATATGTGTTTTTCCATCATTTTATTTTCAATTTTTCAAGATTGTTATTTTTAAGGTATGCTCTAATGAGCAGCGTGGAGAGTGTTTGCTTCTTTGTTCTAATAAGGTCTGCTTTTTAATTGGAGTATTTAGTTAATTTGCATTTACATTAATTAGTGATACATTGGGATTTAAATATACTCTTATACTTTCTGTTTTCTACTTCTGTTTCTCCCTTTCTTTTTTTTTTAACTTTTTCCTCCTTTCCTGCCTTTTAAAACAGTAATTATATTTTATTGCTCTACTTTTATTTTCTATTAGCCTGTTAATTATACTGTCTTTTATCCTTTTACTGGTTATCCTAAACTCTACAACAATCATTCTTATTAGTCTAATATAATTGTAACAAATCCCAGAAAATCTTCAACTTTAGACTACTTTAATTCAATTTATTCCATTCCTACATTTTTATTGCTGCTATTGTGCATTTTGACTTCATATTTTAAATCCCAAAGATCATCAGTATTATTTTTAGTATGGACAATATTTATTTACATGTATCCATCTATTTACCCTTTTGTTGCTTTTCATATTTTAAAAAATATTTATTTTAGTGTAGGCCTACAGATGTTGAATCATCTCAGCTTTTGTTTGCCTGGAAAAGTCTTTTTGTTGGCAGGGGGTGAGGAGGGCTTCATTATTGAAGAACATTTTCCTTGGGTATTGAATTCTAAGTTGCCAATTATTTTCTTTTAGCATTCAAATATGTAGTTCCATTGTCTTCTGGTTTCTCTCATTTTAAAAAATGAAGTCAGGTATCAGTCTTGTTGCAGCTTCTTGGAAGATGATGTATCTTTCTTATTTGTCTATTTAAAATTTTTATTATTTTAGAGATGTGGTCTCACTGTGTTGCCCAGAATGTTCTCTTCATCTTCAGTTTTTGGCAGTTTTACTCTAATGTGCCTTGGCACATGGTTTTCTTTGTGTTTTTCCTGTGTAGGGTTTAAGATTCCTCTTGAACCTGACTTGATGTCTTTCATCAGTTTAGAAAATTTGCAGTTATTATATCTTCAAATTGTCTTTTTCCCCCATTCTCCATCTTCCACTGGGACTGTATATGCACATATGTTGTTTTGCTTTCCGCTTCAGTCTAGATTTTGCTTCTGTCTAGACATTTTGTACTCACCAGTGTTCCAGTTTACTCATCCTCTATCCAATCTGTTCTTAAATCTCTCTGCTATATTCTTAGTTTTAACTATTCTTTTTTTCAGAGCTAGAATTTATTTTTTAAATATTTCAATTGTGTGGTGAAATTCTGTATTTTATTCTCTATTTTAAAGTCTATTTCTGATTTCACTCACCTGTAGTACTGTTTCTATTGTCTGCTTTTCTCATATCTCTGTTCTTGATAAGTCTGATAACTTTTTACTGAATCCCAGCCATTAGACATGAAAAATTGTAGTGGCCCTGGATATTCTCTTCTAGAGAGATTCATTCTATTTTCTGGCAGGCATCCAGAGTAAAGGGGATCATCACCTCAATACATTCAGGAACTTTGTAGTTCTGCAGCAGCAATGCAGTTTTGCAGCAATGTAGTTTTTCGAAGGTTCAGTCTACATTTTGCTCATACCAACTATTATAGGTATCCCTTTATGTGTCCCAACTGGGAGCATAGTGCATTTTAGCAAGGCTCCTTCTAGGTGGAACCTGGACTCCAATTTTTATCTTGTCAGCATTAGGAGTCTTCAGATAACTCTATTTTTTAGCCATTTTCTGCTTGGCTTTCTGCCCTTTGCCCTCTATAGCTTAGCATTGGCCTATGCCAATAGGCTGTTTTCTGTTCTTCCCTTTTCTCTGCACTCTTGCTCCCCTGGCATCATCAAACTCGTTTTTGTTTATCCAGCTGTGAGTTTGCCAGCAGTTCTCTTAGCCTCTTTGCCTCTCTTTCAACACCAAAAATATATGGTATGTGGCATTTTGTATTCATCTCAGTGAGCTCCCTTTCTCTTCCAGATCTTGTATCCTCAAGTCCTGGATGCCTCAGCAACTCTCTGATGCTTCCAAGCAGCCTTTTTATTTTTTAAAATGTTTGTCTCTGGTTTTTCTAATTGTCTTTGATAGAATATTGGTCTGCTACAAATTACTCCATGATACCCCAAAACTTGTTTAGTGACTTAAAATGGAAATTCTAACTGATGTCATTACCACCTTTAACACTTTGAAACCTCAAGGGTTCCTAAGCATGGCTAGATTAAATGATCTCTGAAGTTATGTTTAATTTTAATGTCCAGTGATTCTTATAGGTTAACATTTTAAACTTTTATACCCATATTGGTATACAGGTCATTTCTTTTTGCTTAATTCTAACATCTGTGTTATCTTGACATTTTCTAAAAAAAAAGGGTTATGAGCACAGGTGTGTAAAAAGAAGCAGAAAAAGTAGTGAGTTAATGTGTTTGAAACATATCTGAATTAATTTATGAAGCAGGCATAAGTGATGCCTGCTTCATCACTGATCTATGATAGGACTCTCAAAAAAAGAATATGATAATGAAACAGAGAAATAAAAGTAAAGAAAGGAGGAAAATGGAAGAACTAGAATGATAAAAAAAATTAATGAAGACCAGAAGTTGTAATGACTAAGGCCCTACATAGATTAAGTACTCAATAAATGCTTGCCATGAGACAAATGAAAAATGTATTTTTAAGAAGCATTTCTTGGTTTCAGTAAAGCAGATTTTTGTTGTTGTTGCCATCATTGTTAGATGTTGTTATTCCTCAGTCATGAGTTTCTAAATGGCTCAGTACCTTTAAAAAAGTTATCTAAATTTAGCCTATAATCTCAGCACATTGGGAGGCTGAGGTGGGTGGATCACTTGAGCTCACGAATTCGAGACCAGCCTGGGCAACATGGCAAAACCCTGTCTCTTAAAAAAAACAAAAACAACAACAACAAAAAAAACCCAAATATTATTAGCTGGGTATGGTTGTGCATGTCTGTAGTCCCAGCTACTCGGGAGGCTGAGGTGGGAGCATGGCTTGAGCCTGGGAGGCAGAGGTTGCAGTGAGCTGAGATCACACCATTGTACTCCAGCCTGGGCAACAGAGCCAGACCTTGTCTCAAAAACATAAAAAAGAAAGAAAAATTATCTACACTTTTTCTGCTATTTCAATAATGTTGATCCATAAGAGAAAGGTAAATTTAGTAGGAGTTCCTTTGCTATTAAAATTTTGTGAAGAATATGGTCTGTAGCTCAGAATCATGTTTTATCACATACAAAAAAAGCTACTCTTTAATATTTGGGCCCTTATACAATTTTTGTGTGCATCAAGGTCCAAATTTCCAAATCCATCTGATCCTCTACTCTAGCCATTTAAATTCTAATTTAAGGACTGGGTCACATAAAGGGAAACTAAAGTGTGATTTTGTAACTCCAGAAGGCCTAGCAGAGGAATACAGGAACAGATCTTAGCACTGGAATATAGTACTGTGACCACAGGACTCTTCACTTCTGAGAATATCCAGTCTCTCTGTTCTAGATCCAGGTTAGCCCTGATTCAAATACTAAAGAGGAAGAGAGAAACAGAGTAAGAAGGAAGAGATAGTGAAGGGAAGGATATGGTGATTGGAATGAAAATCCTTTTGGTATCATGGAGCAACTATTGGTATACTTGCCCTACAAATTGAATATGGCTCTGATTCTGCCTTTTATCTTAGTAGTGTCCTGAATCTAGTTGAATTTAATATATCCTGAGGCTTACCCTGGAACAAACCCAGAGCCATGAGTTTTTTCCACACTCATCCCACAGCTTTAATCCCCTAGAGGTGAGCTTGTATCCTTGAGCCTTGTGGATATTAAATACAAATTGCCTCAGTATTCAAAATTGTGGCAATTTACTTGCAAAGTCGATACATTTCTTTTGTATGTCTCCTTTAACCCTTTATGTACCTAGGGTCTCACATGAGGCCCTAAATCAAATATGCACTAGGAACAGTACTAGATATTTTCATAAATCCTATTTTTTATCTGAAGAATAATCTTGTGAGGTAGCAATTATTATGCCACCTACAGAGATGAGAAACAGATGCCAAAGTGTTCTCAATCAATATCATACAGCCATTAAGTAGCAAATTCTAAATTTGAGTCCCAGTGTTTTGACTTCAAGTTCAATGTTCTTTTTAGGACCCCAGAGGATATCAATATATATTTGGCTGATTGTTGATTGAGAAGGAACAATTCTCTTAAAATGAAAAGCAGACATTAAATGACTTCTTTGCCTTGGTTTGACACTCACCACCTCCTTTGAATGTCAGACAAGGGAAAAGATCAGTTTAATTGTTGCCATTTATAAGTGGGAAAGTTGAGACCAAATATGCTGTATTGAAGGCCTCAGCTTTCAATTGTCCCTCTACATTTCTCATTAAGGAAAGTTGAGATGCATGGAGGTTGTCACCTTGTTGAAGGTCAAATGGAGTGTTTCTGCAATGAATAGAGTCTGATGTGATGACTAGTCTCATATGATCCCTGTGATGACTCAGGATTTCTGGGTGAATGCAGAGTGAGGAAGAGAAGGAGATTTCATTCCTGCTCACTCAAAATGACAAATTCTGCACTGAAAGTAAATTTTTCCTATCTGAAGCAGATAGTGTATTTTTTGAGTTTAATGTAGCAAACATTTTTTGAATGCTTAGTATGGGCTGTGACTTATGAGAAGAACGTATAAACAGGCCAAAGCTCCCGCCTTCAAGAGATGATAATTTTTTTTAATTTTTACAATTTCTGGTTTTTATTTCATACATATATATTGCAACTGAGCAAAATTAGTAACCTTGGAAGAAAGGTGAAAAACAGCCAGTGTCCACTGGGGTTACAGAATGGAGATGATAATTTTATATAAAAAAAAATGGGGTATAATTAATTTTGGTGAAATGATTTGCTACTTACAAATACCTACTTTTGGCCAGGCATGGTGGCTCACACCTGTAATCCCAGCACTTTGGGAGGCTGAGGCAGTAGGATCACTTGAGGTCAGGAGTTCAAGACCAGCCTGTCTGACATGGTGAAACCTCACTACTACTGAAAATACGAAGAAATTAGCTGGGTTTGGTGGTGGGCGCTTGTAATCCCAACTACTCAGGAAGCTGAGGCACAAGAATTGCTTGAACCCAGGAGGCGAAGGTTGCAGTCAGCCAAGATTGTGCCACTGTACTCTGCACTCCAGCATGGGTGACTATCTCCAGAAAAAGAAAAAAAAAAAACAAATACATACTTTCTAATTATTACCAACATCCATATCTTACTAGCTTTGAAGCTGTGTTGCATAGAAGCCAGTAGTTCTATTGAGCTCCCTTGGGTATGATTCTATGCTGTGGTGGTAGAAGTTGGGGGAATGGAGGAAGGTTGAAGGACTGAGCTGATAGGTGTCTGGGTGGTTTAACCAGAAGATTATTGCAATTTGGAAATCATAAATTTGCATAAGCAGCTTTGACTCTATATTTTTATATATTGGACTTTTTTATAAAATTTATTTGTGGGGAAGAAAGGCTCTGCAACTGAAAAAATGTAAATCACTGGATTCAGCAACAATAACAAAACATTCAGTCTTTTATGGGAGGGCACTTAACTAAATGCTTTATGGTCTTGCAGCAACCAAAAATTACCTCCCTGATTTGGAAATCAGCATTGAGATAATCTGTGGTTAAGATTTAGGAGTGAAAGGGGCTGTTATACTACTCACTTGTTTGCCAAAATGATCCTCTGAAGAAGGAATGAGTGAACAGTATAGAAATTGTCGTTTTATCAAAGAAGATTGACAAGGCATATCAGGCTGTAAGAAAGCACATGCAGACCAACCAGGTGGTGATTTAAGTGCCAGGGAAGACTTAAAGCAAGTTGAGGTAAGGTCCCATACTACTCATAATTGTTTCAAGAGGAATAGATGGCCAAGAATAAAATATGTTATTGGATTCTATACTTATTTTTGGTCTCTTTAAGTCAACTTACAAAATGAACAAGTTAATACTATGAGCAGTTGAGTCATTTATATCATTTGAAAAAAATAATTAAAACAAAAATCAGCTTAGCTCTGTGAAATGGGAAATGAGATTTCCATTTCACTTCACACAGTGTGAGTGATGAGTTAAGCAGAAAGCATTCCTGAGAAAAAGCTTTCAGGCCACTAGTTTGAGATTTTAAGTAGGAAAATGGGTCAGTTGGTCCTAGAGAGCATTTTTACAAAACTTGTCATTCTGGCACACGATACATGTAAAAAAATCACATCTGAAATGACTCCTCTCATTGATGTTAACTGGGCTCTTTCAGCCTAAATGATAAGAGAAAGAGCCCTTGTCTGGAGAAAACACCTACCTCTCTGAGAACTTCCTTTTCTATACCTACTCACTGAGAGAGTAGCAGGAATTCAGCTTTTGTCCCAGGTCCCTTCCATGCAGAATCAAACTTCCACTATTGTGATCACTTAAGAATTTAATACAAGGCTGCTTTTGAGCCAGTTTTGTTTCTGGCAGTGATGCAGTCATCGGGTATCTAGAAACTCCTGTAAGAGTCTACCCCCAAAGTGGAGGCCCTTCTCCCATGAGCCAGAATCACCTCACTAAAATGGCCATTGACACTGAACCCCTCAAAACACTCCAGAGGTCAGGTGTTGTGTCTCTCCTTCCCTTTTCCACCCTCCTCTATCTCCATCTCTCTTCCTTCTCCATCCCCCACTCCCTACTTCCTTCATAGCTACTAAGTGCTCTCTCAGGAATGTTTGAAGGTGAGGATTTAGGTCTGGGCAACCTGTTACAAATATGAATTGTTACCATGAACTCCGAGTGGCCTCTCAGCTTTGCTGACAGAAATTTACTCCATGTAGACCACCACCCCCCAAAAAAAATTAAGCAGGTAAGGTCATTTGGAGTTGAAACAAGCATGTAGTCGGTGTGTTTGAAAATGAAATTATAATTAACCTGCTGATGGCTGTGAGGTGTTACCTTGAACTCTGTGTGGCCTCTTGGCACAGCGGCTGAACTTGCTTTATTGAATACCCAGAGACCTGAACAGGTGAAATCAGGATATGTCCAGGGCCAATTGTACTTGTAGAAAGATTATATCTTTTTTAGTGCTGATTGTAAGAGGGTTGAGGATTAATTGAGCAGCACTAATAAGAAAATAAAAATGAGTTTGACCATCCATGTCTATGTGAAGCATAACATTGGTTAAAACTGCTGAGGAAAATGACTTGACATGCTCACTTTGTGAATTGATTTCTGAAGTGATGAGAGGTTACCAGGCCTGATAGTGGCCTAGAAGATTATTGCAATTTGGAAATCATATAGCATCTACATGTTTAGGGAAACTTTGTAATTACCAGCTGTGAGCCATGAAGTGTTGCTTGAACTCCAAGTGGTCTGTTGACACATGGGTTAGACAACTTTATGGAACTATTCAAAATGAGGTAGGTAAAACCCTACAGCAGTAACTTAGCATTGTTAATGACAGGGAGGGGTGGTGAAGTCATTTATGGTGTAGAATGAATGTATCTCAGATAAACTTTAACTCTATCTTGTCCATTAAATGTTATTTTAAAGTAAATATGCAAATTACTAGCTCACATAATCGACGAAATTGAATAATGGTGCTACAGTTATCAAGTGGGTACTAGGTTAAGGGAATACTGTAAACGATTTATTTGACAGTCACTCATGACAGCTGGTCACTGCTTTAGACTGGCAAAAAAATCCATCTCATCCCTTTGTCACACTGAATAAAAAAGAACTCTGCATCATTCTGTTGCCTCTGTCTTCTTATCTATTCCCTCTAATTATGTAATATCATTCCACGGTAAAGTTACACTTTATAAAAGCAAAAAAATTTGGGTCCCTTTTGTTTTGGCTGAGAACATCTTTCGTTAGACTAAACAAACTGTTTAGCTTCACTCTGTGCTTTTGACAGGCTGGCTGGAATGAATGCTTCTGTTGGCTTAATAAACAAAGAATAATAATCCAAAATGGCTTTTATTACGGGGTGGATTTACACTATTCATGAGATTGGAATGATCTAATTGTTCACGTCTCTGCTTAGTTTAAGTATTTATGTGTATAAGTGACGCTGAAGTTTTCCTATTTCAAAAGAAGTTTCAGTTAGGACACACATATAAACCTGCTTTGTCTTCCCAAACTCCTCCCTTAATAGCAGCCTGTGTTAAATACTCTTGTCTTTCCTGTAGAATACTTAAATGAAAAAGAAACTTTACAAGGTACTCACTGGTAACCCAGGCTCCTTATCTCAAGTAAATGTCATTTCACTTGGTTGGTGATTAAGGTTCGACATTGCAAAATACTTTGTATTTGTCCAGTGTATTTTATCTCAATCAAATGCACAAGCTTAGAAATGGACTAGAATCTTTACACCAATTATAGGCATGATCATGTCAGCTTAGTATTTTAAAAAATTGACTTTACAGTCCCATTTCAGGATCCTGTTTAGATTTTGTTGGACTTCTGTGTTATATTTCTGTGTAACTTGGAGTATTTGTCTAAATGTGTAGGACCTCAGGTAATTTTATTTCTCTGATTTCAATGTCTGGTACATGTTCTCCAACTTACAGACACATTCAGATAGTTAGAAGCATCATAGTTTATTTGTTCTATTTCTATACTCTGGGATTAATTTGTTTCTCAGTACCTGCCTTCCTGTGAAGCCTTCCCTCATCATTTCATTCCAAACGCTGAACTCTTATTATATTGTCTATAGCATGTGTAATGGTGGCAGATATATTATAAAACTTACATAGATATCCACATTAACATCAGCATGTATCATAAACTTTATCATAGTTATTTTACATATTTTTCTCAGTGTTCCCACTGCTTTCGCATAGTAGACCCGTCCCCACCCCCATTACTGCTAAAGTGGCCTTTCTGAAAGACAAATTAAATTGATCATTCCTCTGCTTAAAACTCTTCAAGGTCTATCACCTCCAAGGAAGGTCCTAAGCCCTTGCATATAAGTACCTTCTCAGGCCAGCCCCTGCCTGCCTTTCCAGTTTAATTTTCTACCATTCTCTTGGTATATCCACATCAAATGTGTTGCTGTTCCCCAAGCATGACATAGCAAAGTTTCTTCCCTTTAGGCACTTATTTCTCTGGCAAACATTTACTCAACTTTTAAGATTCAGGTCAGATGCTTCCTCCCCTGTGAACCTTTCCCTGACTCTCCCAGGGAGGGACTGGCCCACCCTCTATACTTCTTGAACACCTTACACAAAGATTTGTTGCAGCATATCATACTATACTGTGTTTATTTGCCTGTATGTCTCCTCTACTAGGCTGTGAACTATTTAAGATAGAGATTGTTGTCTTACTCGTTTTTATATCCTTATCTCAGTTCCTGGCACACAACAACTGTTCAATTAATGTTTGCTAAATGAATGAATGAATGAACAAACAAATAAGTAAACATCTTTTTAAAAAATAGAATTAAAAGGAAGTCAAATAATTTCCAACGAGATAGATGCTTAGAAATTAAAGTATTTTACATTGATATATGTCCTGCTTTTTGAACTAATTGTTAAGGGGCCTTTGTGTATTTCAGCAGGGAGTTCAATACCTTGAAATGTATCTTGACCATGGATACCTTGATTTGAGAAAGTCCTCTAGTTTGAGTGGAAGTGATTATTGCCATTATAGTTTATCACACCTAGATTTCAAAGTAGGTCAGGTGAAAAGATGTAAGGGCAGTGTGACTGTAACTGGGAGAGCAGAGTCTAAAATCTCACCTTTTACTTTCTCCTTAATGCAGTGTCTCAGAAAATGAACACTTTTCCTTAGTGTTCTGCAATATTTTTGACCTAAACTTAATAGGAGGGAATTATTCAGTATTCCTCCCACCTGCTTTGTACTTTTAATCATTCTAATCTAATAGTAAGACCCAAGCAATGGCCAGTTCTACCATAAATTAGCACAAAAGAATGATGCCAATAACATCCTATTCACGGCTAGCCCATAGGGCTCCCCCGTCAGCCAACTCTCAGTCTCAAAATCCAGAAGCACAACTCTTAAAATTTAATCTTGTGTTCTTTTCCTGTTACTAAGGCTTAGTTGTTCTACTCTCCAGGGCTCTCTAAGCAGGTAACAGAAGCAATTTAGGAATAAACAGTGAGAAATGCTGTTTTATAGGAGACGAAAACACGGCACACCAAGGTTAAGTAGTTTGTAGATGATGTTGAATAGGTTCAGGTACAGGTCAATGCAGTGATGAGGAAAGCACCTAGGTATACTTGACAGATAGTCCCCTTTGCTTAACACCCAACTCCTCCACCCTGTGCAGTTTAACTTGTGCCAGTGATCACAGGATTTGCTGAATGAATTACCATAATTGGATTTAATTCAGGAAGGGGATGTTTTCTGTACACACCAAACAGGCTGCATACTGGATTATTTTCCCTAGATGACAGGGATGAAGAAACCCAACAGGAAATACATCTTTGCAAATTAGAAAAGTTGATGAGCTAAGTCCTGCAAACATTGGGCACTTATCCAAGATGAACTCCTAGTGACCCCCTGGCACCTTGGCTCACCTCACTGCACTTCACAGCCAGAAGCATACTAGGTGGATTCACTTTTTTACCTCCCTGATAAAGCAATAGGAACTTGCCACACCCAGACTCACATCCATTCTCCTTTCCTACTTCCACTGACCTCAAGTCTGATAAAAACCCAGAGTGATAATGCTATTGAGGTACAGACCATAAACTATATCAGCATGTACGTAAGTGGAGGGAGGGGAAAAGGGGAGGAAAAAGCAAAAACGGCCAAATGGAGAGTTCAGCTTTACCTCTATGTGACCTTGGCAGCATGTGGAGTGGAAGGGAAATTGCCAGGAACTTTCAGCATTTTTTTTTTCCTTGAGCATTGTTTTGACTTGGCTTTGCTACAGAGCAGCTTTCGGGGACCAAGGCAAAATATAGGTCATTGTGAACTGCAGGTGCAGTTTTGATCTTGAAATATGTATAATGTGTTGTGGTATATGTGCAAACCCAGAAGTATTTGTCAAGATGAAAACGTGAGTTTTTCTCTAGAGGTAAACAGGCTACTTTACATTATATAAGGACCAACATAACAAGGGTTTTTTTTTTCCCTAAAATCAAAAGGACACAGTAGATTCTGTCTCCTTCTCTTTCTTTTTCTCCCTCTCCTTCCCCTTCTTCTTCCTCCCTACCTTCCTTCCTCCTTCAGTCCCTCTCTCTGTATCCCTCTCTCCTTCTCTCACTGCCTCCTTCCCCAACTCTCTCCTTCAGTAGATCATCCTTCTCTATTGTGAAACACCTCATTTGACAGACTTTGACTCTCAAGGCCTCCTCCTCAAGAGATACTGCTTAATGTAGGCGACTCACACAAGGATGCAGGATAGGCAAGATATTCAAAAGGCTAGGATTTTAACTATTACTCTCAAGTAGTCAGAATATTCACTGTGATCTTTACCTACTTAATTTAAACTCGAGAGAATGCAGACCAGCATACAAAAAGAACAAATCCCAACAAATGAAAGGGGAAGAGTTTTAAAACCCCTTACTCTTGGTCCCAATCAAGTCACTTAATCCCTCATACCACCTGTTCCCTCAGTTTCTCAACATAATAGGAAACATGTCAAAGTACCTGGCTGCTAAAACAATAGGCACTGTCTCTGGACTGAGAGAAAGATCTGGAGGGAGCATTACTCAAGCAATTATGTACTTGAGAACTGCTAGCAAACATTGCTTGAATTGCTCATCTCTTCCTTCCAAACTATTCTGTACACACAAAGAAGATTCAAAGAGCAGAGATTTAAATTTCAGCAAGAAACATTTAGATTACTTTAGAAATTTTCTGCCACCTATTTCCCTAGGGAAGGAACCATTTAGGTGAGGCTTAATACAAAGGAAATTCAATTTTATTCATTTTCTGATCATCATAATTTTTGAAGATTAATAAATTATTATTTAATTATTAAATTTAATGCATTATTAATTTCAATAAATTATTAAATTATTAAATATTAAAGGAGAAATCTGTATCTGCTACTGATACATTTTGGATAAAGTTATGGTAGTTACCAAAAAATGCTTATGAGAAGCAAGCAGCTAAGAAAAGCAATTTTATTATGTCTTCAACAGATACTTATGATGTGTTCTGGATAGCATGGGTAGGAAAGTGGGCAAGGGTGTTGGGTAGGTAGATGGACTTCACTGAAGGTTTCTTCAAAGTTAGTGGTTAAATATGTCTGAAGAGTTCAAATTTTTTAGTCTTTTATTTCAAATGCTTATTGATATTTGGAGGAATGTGACATCTAGCATTGTCCCTATTATAGAGAGAAGTGAGACTTGGAGTGGACAGATATTTTAGGAAAACTTTTCAGCCTTTGTTTGGGACGCTTGCCTTCTGACACCTGCTCAGGATCCCCTGAGACCACTCCTACTCCTTCCAGGCTTCTTAGAATGAAAACCAGCCACCACTACCTTCCAGTACTCCAAATTTTGACCACCCAGGGGTTTTAGCAGCTGCCAACAGGAAATCTCATTGCTGTGACCTCTGGAACCTATGCTTTTGGAGGGAGCAGTCGTCCAGAGTTGCCACCAGCTATGCCTCTGCATTTCTGTGAGCCTAAAATACCCAGGCCTAGGGACTGCTAACCCAGACCAGTGATGATGGGAAGATATGAGGGGTTGGGGCACATCTGGGAGGCTTTCTGTCCCTGTTTACCACCTCACATCCTGAACCTCTTCACCTCTTCACATCCCCTATTATTATTATGGGAATGTGCCATATTCTTCATATATGATGAATTAAGAAAAGATTAGTTAACTTCAAAAAACTCTTGAAAAATGCTTCCTCAACCCTTTTATTTTTTTCTGTCATTCTTTGAAGATTTCCTGTGTGCTAGACAAATCTATGTAGTGTTATCTCAGGTAATTCTCCAAAGACCATGTGATATAAAAATTATCATTTCCATTTTATAGATGAAGACACTAATGCTCAAAGAGGTTAAGCAGCTTAGTCAAAGTGACACTAAGTGGCTGAACCAGGAGTTGAACCCAGATCTTCTGATGTCAAAGGTTGCCTTTTTTTTAAGAGAGGGTCTCCCTCTGTTCCCCAGGCTGGTCTTGAACTGCTGGGTTTGAGCAATCTGCCCACCTCAGCCTCCCAAAGTGCTGGAATGATAGGTGTGAGCCACTGTGCCTGGGTAGAAATCTTAATTGTTATCTTGTTTTACCTGCTGTCTCCAGTGACCTTGCCTGGAACCAGTATAGCTGAATGGCTGGCTCATACCTAAAATAGCAAGCATTCATTCAGATAGCCATGAACTCTCTGCCTTTTCAGAGGAAATGTTAAACAGTGCTAAGTTTTTACTTCTGTTCAGAATTCTTTACACCCAATATATGTGTTTCTCCATACCTTAAATACAGTCAAGTGACTGGCCCCTTTAAGAACTATTTTTTTTTTGGCAGAAATTTAAATATAATAACAAATACTGTATTCCCACTGTCCAGACTTGAAAATTAACATTTTTATTTGTTTCATCTTTATTTTTATTTAGAAATCTGTAGAGTTAGTAAGAATAAATATAAAAGAAACATAGTTAAAGGAGAAGAAATAAAAGAAGGAACACATTGTAATATATATAACATCGTGTTTGATCCCCAGGCCTAGGCAAGCCCATTTCCTCTGTGAATTTGGTATTTATCTTTCTGGGATTTTTTAAATGCTTTTAAGCCATATATGAGTATGTTAGTCCATTCTTGGATTGCTATAAAGAAATACCTGAGGCTGGATAATTTATAAAGAAAAGAGGTTTAATTGGTTCATTGTTCTGTAGGCTGTACACAAAGCACAGGGCTGGCATCTGCTTCTGATGAGGGCCTCAGGAAGCATACAACCATGGTGGAAGGTGAAGGGGAGCCAGCATGTCACATGGCAAGAATGGGAGCAAGAAGCAGAGGTGGGGAGGTGCCACACTCCTTTAAATAACCAGATTTCACATGAACTCTGAGTGAGAACTCACTCATTATCCTCAAGGACAGCCCCAAGTCATTCATGAGGGATCCGCCCCCATGACCCAAACACCTCCTACCAGTCCCTACCTCCTACATTGGATATCACATTTCAATATGAGATTCCGAGGGGATACACATCCAAACGATATCAATTAGTATTTACAAGCAACAGGTAGTGTTGCTTTGTATATTTTCCAACTTACGTACATGTGTCATACTATGCATCATTCTGCAACATTTTTTTCATTATTATTTTCAATATTTCTCCATGACAATAATGACATTTCATTTTCTCCTTTTATATGTTGAGCTGGGCACAGTGGCTCACACCTGTAACCCAAACACTTTGGGAGGCAGAGGTGGGTGGATCACCTTGAGGCCAGGAGTTTGAGACCACCCTGCCCAATATAACAAAACCCTGTCTCTACTAAAAATACAAAAATTAGCTGGGTGTGGTGGTGCAGGCCTGTAGTCCCAGCTACTCGGGAGGCTGAGGCATAAGAATTGCTTGAACCCAGGAGGCAGAGCTTGCAGTGAGCCAAGATCATGCCACTGCACGCTAGCCTGGGCAACAGAGTGAGACTCTGTCTCAAAAAAACAAAACAAAACAAAAAAACCCAAAACCTTTTATGTGTTGTATAGTCTTCCATTATATTAATATGTCACACTTTATTATCTTTTCTTCTATTAATAAACATTCAAGATGTTCCCATTTTTATTGCTGTCGCAAATAGTACTTCATGGAACATACTTATGTTTGTTTCCTTGTGCATATATATGAGTGTTTCTTGGGGAGTTTTACCTAGAAGTATACCTAGAAGTAGAATGACTGATTTCATTGAGTCATTTTGTCTTGATGCATATGAGATTTTTATTTGTTGAGATGACCCAAGTGAAATTTCTTAGAAATGTCTTCTGCCAGATACCCTAAATTATCTCTTTCAAGTTCAAAGTTCCACAGATCTCTAGGGCATTGGCAAAATGCTGCTAGACTCTTTAAAAGAGAATTTTAGACCAATATCCTTGATGAACATTGATGCAAAAATCCTTAATAAAATACTGGCAGACCGAATCCAGCAGCACATCAAAAAGCTTATCTACCATGATCAAGTGGGCTTCATCCCTGGGATGCAAGGCTGGTTCAATATACGCAAATCAATAAATGTAATCCAGCATATAAACAGAACCAATGACAAAAACCACATGATTATCTCAATAGATGCAGAAAAGACCTTTGACAAAATTCAACAACCTTCATGCTAAAAACTCTCGATAAATTAGGTATTGATGGGATGTATCTCAAAATAATAAGAGCTATCTATGACAAACCCACAGCCAATATCATACTGAATGGGCAAAAACTGGAAGCATTCCCTTTGAAAACTGGCACAAGACAGAGACGCCCTCTCTCACCACTCCTATTCAACATAGTGTTGGAAATTCTGGCCAGGGCAATTAGGCAGGAGAAGGAAATAAAGGGTATTCAATTAGGAAAAGAGGAAGTCAAATTGTCCCTGTTTGCAGACAACATGATTGTATATCTAGAAAACCGCATCGTCTCAGCCCAAAATCTCCTTAAGCTGATAAGCAACTTCAGCAAAGTCTCAGGATACAAAATCAATGTACAAAAATCACAAGCATTCTTATACACCAATAACAGACAAACAGAGAGCCAAATCATGAGTGAACTCCCAATCACAATTGCTTCAAGGAGAATAAAATACTTAGGAATCCAACTTAAAAGGGACGTGAAGGACCTCTTCAAGGAGAACTACAAACCACTGCTCAATGAAATAAAAGAGGAGACAAACAAATGGAAGAACATTCTATGCTCATGGGTAGGAAGAATGAATATCGTGAAAATGGCCATACTGCCCAAGGTAATTTATAAATTCAATGCCATCCCCATCAAGCTACCAATGACTTTCTTCACAGAATTGGAAAAAAACTACTTTAAAGTTCATATGGAACCAAAAAAGAGCCCGCATCACCAAGTCAATCCTAAGCCAAAAGAACAAAGCTGGAGGCATCACGCTACCTGACTTCAAACCATACTACAAGGCTACAGTAACCAAAACAGCATGGTACTGGTACCAAAACAGAGATATAGATCAATGGAACAGAACAGAGCCCTCAGAAATAACACCGCATATCTACAACTATCTGATCTTTGACAAACCTGAGAAAAACAAGCAATGGGGAAAGGATTCCCTATTTAACAAATGGTGCTGGGAAAACTGGCTAGCCATATGTAGAAAGCTGAAACTGGATCCCTTCCTTACACCTTATACAAAAATTAATTCAAGATGGATTAAAGACTTAAACGTTAGACCTAAAACCATAAAAACCCTAGAAGAAAACCTAGGCATTACCATTCAGGACATAGGCATGGGCAAGGACTTCATGTCTAAAACACCAAAAGCAATGGCAACAAAAGCCAAAATTGACAAATGGGATCTCATTAAACTAAAGAGCTTCTGCACAGCAAAAGAAACTACCATCAGAGTGAACAGGCAACCTACAAAATGGGAGAAAATTTTCGCAACCTACTCATCTGGCAAAGGGCTAATATCCAGAATCTACAATGAACTCAAACAAATTTACAAGAAAAAAACAAACAACCCCATCAACAAGTGGGCAAAGGATATGAACAGACACTTCTCAAAAGAAGGCATTTATGCAGCCAAAAGACACATGAAAAAATGCTCATCATCACTGGCCATCAGAGAAATGCAAATCAAAACCACAATGAGATACCATCTCACACCAGTTAGAATGGCAATTATTAAAAAGTCAGGAAACAACAGGTGCTGGAGAGGATGTGGAGAAATAGGAACACTTTTACACTGTTGCTGGGACTGTAAACCGGTTCAACCATTGTGGAAGACAGTGTGGTGATTCCTCAGGGATCTAAAACTAGAAATACCATTTGACCCAGCCATCCCATTACTGGGTATATACCCAAAGGACTATAAATCATGCTGCTATAAAGACACATGCACACATATGTTTATTGCGGCACTATTCACAATAGCAAAGACTTGGAACCAACCCAAATGTCCAACAATGATAGACTGGATTAAGAAAATGTGGCACATATACACCATGGAATACTATGCAGCCATAAAAAATGATGAGTTCATGTCGTTTGTAGGGACATGGATGAAATTGGAAATCATCATTCTCAGTAAACTATCGCAAGGACAAAAAACCAAACACTGCATGTTCTCACTCAGAGATGGGAATTGAACAATGAAAACACAGGGACACAGGAAGGGGAACATCACACTCTGGGGACTGTTGTGGGGTGCGGGGAGGGGGGAGGGATAGCATTAGGAGATATACCTAATGCTAAATGACGAGTTAATGGGTGCAGCACACCAGCATGGCACATGTATACATATGTAACTAACCTGCACATTGTGCACATGTACCCTCAAACTTAAAGTATAATAATAATAATAATAATAATAATAATAAAAGAATAGTTAAGAGTCACCTTTGCTCCAGTTCCCAAGAAGTTCCTCATCTCCATCTGAGACCATCTCAGCCTGGACTTCATTGTCCATATCACTAACAGCATTTTGGTCAAAACCATTCAGGAAGTCTCTAGGAAGTTCCAAACGTTCCATGTCTTCCTGTCTTCTTCTAAGCCCTCTAAACCGTTCCAACCTCTGCTTGTTACCTAGTTCCAAAGTCGCTTCCACGTTTTCAGGTATCTTTATAGCAGCTACCTCACTCTCTGTGGTACCAATGTACTGTATTAGTATGTTCTCATGCTGCTATAAGGACATACTTGAGACTAGGTAATTTATAAAGAAAAGAGGTTTAATTGACTCACAGTTCAGCATGGCTGAGGAGGCCTCAGGAAATTTATGATCATAGAGGAAAGCACCTCTTCACAAGGCAGTAGGAGAGAGAATGAGAGGCAGTAGGGGAAATGCCAGATGCTTATAAAACCATCAGATCTCGTGAGACTCACTCATTATCATGAGAACAGCGTGGGGAAAACTGCCCCCATGATTCAATTACCTCCACCTGGCCCCACCCTTGACACGTGGGGATCATTACAATTCAAAGTGAGATCTTGGTGGGGACATAGAGCCAAACCATATCAAGGTATATGTTGTTGGTGTTTTTGTTTTTGTTTGAGGCAGAATTTCGCTCGTCACCTAGGCTGGAGTGCAATGGCATGATCTTGGCTCACTGCAGCCTCTGCCTCCCAGGTTCAAACAATTCTCCTGCCTCAGTCTCCCGAGTAGCTGGGATTATAGGCACCTGCCATCACGCCTGGCTAATTTTTTGTATTTTTGTAGAGACGGGGTTTCACCATGCTGGCCAGGCTAGTCTCAAATTCCTGACCTGAGGTGATCTGCCCGCCTCGGTCTCCCAAAGTGCTGAGATTACAGGCATGAGCCACTGCGCCTGGCCTCAAGGTATATGTTTATAGTAAGAGAAGAAAGTTGGGAATAGTGTCAATGTTGAGTATAGAAAGAAGAGACTCTGGGTCCCATGAATGTCTTTAACATTGTTCTCATTCAGTGGATGGAATGACAGTCTTCAGCTCTATAGGCAGGAAAGATCAACATGGTTTAGTTGAGCATACAGTATATGACATCTGCTCTGTATTGGTTCATTATCCTTTTTTATACACTTAGGTGTAGTCCCATTCCTTAATTCAGAAAAAGGAAGTAAAATGTCCTATGCCATTGAAACATCCACCAACTCTGTGGTATTCTAAGCAAACTCCTTTCAGAATCTTCATAGCATTCTGCCTGCCTGTCTGGCTGGCTGGCTGGCTGGCTGGCTGTCAGAATGCTTTACTATAGTGCCTGTAGCAGAAGCTGAAAGAGACAATTTCCCTTTGCAGGAGTGGCTGAGAACAGTGAGACTGTGCATTGTCTGGATATTCTGCTGTGTGGATAAAGTATTTATTTACTTTATTTAGTGGCTGTGGCTGTGACTTTATCATCTTCTAGCTCATTTTCCAGCATAACAGGATAAGACCACTCCTGCCATTATGATTTACCATGCAGTAAACAATGAGGGCTTTTGGATTGCATTTTATAGAATTGCTTTATTCAACCTCTCCTTCCAACCCCTTTGGGAAAGAATAGACAATTGATATTTCTCTTTTGGATTTCTCAGTGGATTCAGCATTCATAGATTTAGTTTCTATTTGTTATTTGGCTTGTAAAATTTATTGCTTTGGGGATAAGACTGGCTTGTGTCCAGCATAATAGTTTTCTGCTTACTAGTCTACACAGTGGCAGGAGGGGAAGGACAATGTGGCTTGCCCCAACGCTTTCTCAGTTGTTCTTTTCATATTCTACTCCAAACATAGCAGTGCCCCACTCTCAAACAAACAAGGATTAAATATCACTTTTGGCCATGGAGCGTAGTCTCATCCCAGCAACCTGTCTTCAGTCATGGAAAGTTCAGGTACGTCATAGTCAAAGTACTGCACAGCTGACCATACAGAAACATGCAGACCAGGTCTGACACTGGCTACTATCCTATTGTTAACCTCCTCTGGCAGGCTGTTATCCAGAGCAGCTCACTCTGGGAGCCGGTTAATTTCATAGGGCAAGTTTAGTCCATTGACAAGAAAGGAATTCCTGGATCTCTTGTATTGTGAGACTTTCATGGCATTTCCAATCTGATATCAAAAATTAGTTCTAATTCTAAATTGTCCCCCCCAACTTTGGATCTTGCTTTCAGAGGAAAATCTTCAGTGTTAGGTATGGCTATATTCTGTTTATCCATTTTCTCTAATATCAGTGTGGCTTGTTTATTGTCTACATGTTTGTCTTATTGTTAGTTGCTGAATTTCTTTAAGGCAGACCTTATTCTCTTTTTTTGTGAATTTGAATTCTCAATGCCTTTTGTCTTATTGATTTGCAGTAAGTATATATTGAATTAATTCCATATGTATTTTGAAGGATGAATGCAAAACTTGTGGGAGGTGGGAAAGATAGACAATGAAAGCTCCTAAGCCAAATCTCAACCAGTATGAAACCAGAATGCTGTTTTGCTCAGTGCTCTTGAACTTCTATTGCCCCAGACGTAATATACGTTGCTTCATTCTGCATCTTTGCTCTATACATTTTATATTCAAAATTGATTAAAAGGTGAGTATAGCTTATAAGCCAAGGCTTCCCCACCCCACCACAACTCAGACCAATATTTAATGCTTTGAATTTCTTCAGAGATTAGATGAGATTGGGTGCATTCAGGGTGGTATGGCTGTAGACTGAATGTCTTTATTATTTGTAAGCTGTCTTTAATATCAGGGATACTATTGCCTCAATAAGTTTGAGACTTCAGCTGGGAGGTGCAGGGAACCTGTCTGGGCTATAGTATTGGGCCTCTTAAACAAAGACCAGAAGCCACTCATATGCTTTGATCCTCTGCTACTAGATCCTTCAAGACCTTCTTTACACAGAGAGGTTACCTGAGATACATCTTGTTTTCCTTTGTGGGCAGGAGTGGAGACCCAAGGAAAGGAATTAAGCTGGCCTAGGTGAAGGAAGTTCTTGATCCTAAGACTCATTATTTTTCATTAATTCCTTTTGTCATCACAAAAACTCTGTTATCCATATTGAAAAAGACAAATTCAGATTTTTTCTAACTGATAGGTTATTTTCAGTGAGATATAGGGAAAGAATACTAACTGAAATCAGGAGATCTATGTCCTATTTCCATCTCTGCCACTACCTGCCTGTGTAAATGTGAGCAAGTAATCTAACCTTCCTGGGCATCTCTTTCATCAGCTGTAATTGGAGGCAGTTAGCTATGATAATAAGCCCATACCTAAGGCATTGCGTTTCATTTCAAGCACCACATTTGAAGGAGGACGCTGCTAAAGTACATTAGAAGAAAAAGTTAACCAGGCTGGCAAGAGGCTGAGAAACCTTGTTAAAAGAACTTGGGATATTTTAGCCTAAAGAAAGAGAAGATTGGTAGATTTATAATATCCACCTTCAAATATATGAAAATATAACTTGTCGAGAACTATATGTATATACTTACTTTTGCGTTGCTAACTAGGACCTGTGATTGGAAGTTAAAGGAAAGCAGCCTCAATATAAGAGAAAAAACTTGACAATAGCTGGAGTTCTCAAAAATTGGAACAGGCTATATTTCCTTTAACTAGAGGCATGCCAGCAGAAAACAGATTCACATTTACAAGGGGTGTTTTATATTGGGTAGCAAATTATACTAAGTGATTCCCAAGGTCTCTTCCAAAGCTAAAAGTCTGTGATTTTGTAAATAGGCAAACCCAAACTCCTTCCAGCCTTCAACTCTATGATTCTAAAAGATCTGTACTTTTTAAACAAACTTTTCTTTAAAATTATAAGTATGAGAATAGATAAGGCATGTTGTTTTAGAACTTTCCAATCTGGCTGGACTTCTCAGTCTCTGATATGATCACGAGTTCCCTGGAGGGGGTGCTCCAACCATGTTCTTCTACTTGTTCCGCCTCCCTCCAAGCACATCTGCCACTTTTTTTTCCTTCTTCTTAGTGATTTTTGTATTTCTTTGAATCTTTACAGGTGGTAGCAATTTTGCTTCATCTGACTTGATGGTATGAAATTCTAAATAGTTGGGGGTCATTTGGAGTGATTACTTTTTTCTTTGTATTCTGGGAGCCTGCAAGAGTATGTTTGGAACTGCTTAGTTTATAGACCTTGTCAACATAAACTCTTTATTCATCTTTCCATGTCTCTGAAGAACAGACAGAGGGAGGTCATGATATCACAGATGTCATGCAACAGACACATGCAGAGTAACCAGAATTATAGTTGTTCTAAACTGGGTAAATTTAGTAACTTTCATATTTCTAAATCAATGGTTTAGAGAAAAGAAATTCTGTAGATTATCACCAGATAGAAAATAAGACCTCGGTTTTGGTGGATAGTCTCTTTAATAGGAATTCTGTTGGAATCCCCTCTTGCATGTGGGAATATCTTCCCCATACCATCCCTTCAAGGATTAAGTTACCAAGAATTGCGGCTATTACAAGGAAATTGCCAAAATCTTCTCTGTTCTCTTATCAAATTATCTGGATGGCTCATTTTTACTCCCCCACTCCCCTTGCCGGAGTCTTCTGGAGCCTGTGTTTTATATGATATTCTTTTCCGTTACACTTTCAGGGTGTTTGAAATCCTGTCTAGATTATTGGCCATGGGGCAGGAAAAGGGAATCTTTGAACTTGATCTGTGTGGTGACATATTTTAAATCAGTTGCTTACAACTTCACAGAGGTTTTGCTAATGACACTCTGCTCATAATTGTTGCCTCGCACAATCAAAACTGGATACGACTTCTGTTATCCTACAGGCTGGATACAAAGAATGGATTTTTAGAAGTAGGTTACGTATTTTCTTAATGCCCTCATCAACCTCACCTCACCCTGTGATATCGCTGGAAGTTCAACAGTCTCCATGGACCATAGCATCCCCCTTGGATATACACATAGTTCAATTTCCCTTCATATAGCTACATTTCTATAATATATAATTAAATTGACTAGTGACTGCTTATTATCATATATAAACCTTATTATATATAAACATGAAGAGGGAGCTCAATCACTGCTACATTTTCTTTCTTTCTCTCTTCCTTTTTCTCTCTCTCTCTCTGTCTCTTTCTCTCTTTTCTTTCTTTCAACAGAGTCTCACTATGTCACCCAAGTTTTAGTACAGTGGCGCAATCACAGCTCACTGCAGCCTTGACCTTCTGGGCTCAAGTCATCCTCGCACCTCAGCCTCCTGAGTAGCTGGGACTACAGCTGTGTACCACCACCCCTGGCTAATTTTTGTATTTTTTTGTAGAGACAGGGTTTCTCCATGTTGCCCAGACTGGTCTTGAACTCTTGGGTTCAAGCTATCTGTCTGCCTCAGCTTCCCAAAGTGCTGGGATTACCAGCGTGAGCCACTGTGCCTGGCCGCACTGCTACACTTTCAAAGCAAAAAATCCAGCATGGCATGCTAGGGTGACACTGGCTGCAGCTAAATTATTCAGTAAAAAATTGGCTAATTATAGCAACCCAGTTAGAGCTCTCATACATTGTTGGTAGGCATATAAAATGGTATAACTACTGTGGAAAATGGTTTGGCAGTTTCTTATGAAAGTAAACAGGTACTTACCTTATAACCCAGCACATGCAATCATAGTTGTTTATCCAAGATGAAAGCATATGTCCACGAAAAGACTTGTAAAAGAATGTTCATAGCAACTGCATTAGTAATTTAAAGAAGATGAAAGATCCCAAGAGTTCATGAATATGAGAATGGATAAACAAATTGTAGTATATACATACAATTGAATACTATTCTTCAATAAAAAAGAAATAACTACTGATACACACAACAACACGGACACATTTCTAAAACATACTGAATGAAAGAAATATGCAAAAGAGAACATACTGTATGATCTTGTTTATGTGAAATTTTACAGGTGACAATCTATAATTCATAGATCAAACAAAACTAATCTAGGCGGGAAAAAAATCAAAGCAGTGATTGCCTCTGAGAGGTGGTACTGGGTGATCAAAATATTCTACCTTAATAGGAGTTTGGGTTATATCAGTGTATGCATTTCTCAGAACACACCTAAACTGTATACCTAAGATTTGTGCATTTCATCATATATAAATTTTACTTCAAAATAAAAAGTAGAACTGTAAGCAAGTATTGAACTCTGTATCATGATAAAATTGTGTACAACTTACTTCAAAATGTGTCAAAGAATAGTTGATGAATATATATATGATAAAATATAGTAAAATGTAAATTGTAGATTTAGATGGTGAGTGTATGGATGTTCACTGTGAAATTCTTTCAACTATCTGTATGTTTGAAAATTTTGAAATTAATGTTAGCAGGGGATGGTTAGGAAGCAGTAACAGCTGCAGTGACAAGAAAAGCCAAGTTTAAAATTCTTCATGGAATAATTACTGTCTTTGTATGTACTTGGGCCTTCTAAAACCTTTTATTATTATTATAATTATTCACTCATTTATTTATTCTAAAAGCATTCTTAGGGCCTGGTGTGGTGGCTCATGCCTGTAATCCCAGCACTTTGAGTGGCTAAGGCAGGAGGATCACTTGAGCCCAGGAGTTTGAGACCAGCCTGGGCAACATAGGGAGACCCTTATCTCTATAAAAGAAAAAATTTAAAAAATTAGCCAGGAGTGGTGGTTCATGCCTGTGTCCCAGCTACTCAGGAGGCTAAGGTGAGAGGACTGCTTGAGCCCCCAAGGTCAATGCTGCAGTGAGCCATGATTGTGCCACTTCATTCCAGCCTGGATGACAGAGTAACACCCTGTCTCAAAAAAAAAAAAAAAAAAAAGAAAAAGATAAAAATAAAAAATAAAAGCATTCATAGAGCATCTATTCCATGTTGAGCCCTGGCGTAAGTGCTGAGAACATCAAGATAAAACAAACATCAACCCTGTCGTTAAGGAGCTCACAGACTAATAAGAGAGATAAGAAATGCTTTGGTACTGTTCATGCTTGACTTGTAAAGACAACACTGTTTTCTTGCTGCCTCTGTCAGACTAGTCTGAGAGTTTAAAAAGAAATAGTTGCGAGAATGGTGGACCATTTAGCTTTAAAGAATGTGTAATAATCTAATCATATATAGGCTTTTAGCCTTAAATTACTTAAAAGACTATGAAATTTAGTGAGTAAGCCAATTTCCTTCTAAAAATTTCAGGATGGAAGTTCCCAGAGAATGCCCTTTTTGCAGGACTTAAAACAGAATCGTGGGAAGAGTCCTAGCACTTGACTGAGATATTTCTGTGCCCATTTAACTCCAACTCTTCAAAGAGACTGGAGTTGTAGGAACTAGAAAACTGTCTGGGACCATGTGACCCCCTCCCATCAACCTCGTACTGTCCCATGGCTATGTCGGCTATGGTTGACTAGCCCAGCCCTGGGAAATTGGGTGGTTTGAAATGAACAGAAAAAAATAACTCCTGCTTTGATCTTCCTCAGAATAGGAAGGCATCAGTGTTTCATTGATCTTTCTAAGTCATACTAATTCTGCAGAATTCACAAATCCTGTCTCCATAAGGATATTCTGGTAGCTGACAGACATGTAATTCAAGCTTTATGTGTTAACAGGCCTTGTTAACACACTGCATTAAGCTAGCGGTAAACATTAGAATAATACATTGCCTTCAGTATTGATTTAATGACCAAAGATTAATAGTGGTTTTTCCTTCTGCTAAGATTGGGCTTACTCAGGATCAATTAATTTTAATGATTAAATTTAGGCTCTAAAACAAATGTAATTTATCCAATACTAATATTGTCTGTTTGAGATTAAATTCAGGGAAGAAAAAGGTTAATCTGAGAGCCAAGAAGATAACCTAAGCATGAGTTGTTGTTGTTGTTTTAACTTATTTAGTCAAACAGATCCTTTGCTAAGAAACAAAGATATGGTTTTTTTTTAAGCTCCGTGACTTCTAAAAGATGGAAAAGATTTTGTGAATATTATTCTCAGATGTGGCAAATCCATGTTAGGACTGGTTTGTACTCAAACACTTTGAATGATACCTGTTTCACCTGGCCTGTGTCGTGTCACATATGTGCGTTGTCTTTGTGGAGAGAAAACACTTTGCATAGTCATTTTGTTCCCAGAACATGATGAGATGGGGCATGAGGGAGTCAGCCTAGGGACAGTGACTGCTTATGCAGAGCAAAGGATATTGAGGGTTACTTTAGGCCCAAATTCCATGCCCCTGGAACCTGGAATAAATAGATTCCAGATACCTGCTTTTACATTCAGCCTCCTTGTGTTCATACATATACACAGCTCAATCCATGCAAATATTTAAGTGCTGAAATTATGATAATATGTCTCTAATCCCAAATATAAAATTTAGCACTAGCAGGGATTCAGTAATCATCTAGCTCTGTGATTCCCAAACTTGGTTAATCTTGAATTACCTTGCAGCTTTGTAAAAATAGATAGATTTCAGAGCTGATTTCTCAAGTTGCATTTAGCAGGTTGGGAGTAGGGGCAGTGTGATGAGGGCTGAGAATCTATAGTTGTAAGTAAGTCTCCAACACGATTCAGATGATCAGCCAGTTTTAAACTATACTTAACCTGTACTCATTACCTCTACTCTCAGTTTTACAGAACTAGCAACTAATGCCCAGAGAATTTGTGATCTGCCCAGTCACACAGCTAAAGCCAGAGCTAGAACCCTAATCTAATTCCCATTCCAGTTACTTTTCATTCTACCCTGAAGCAGCAATTGCAAAGATCAACTATTTCATGCTTTTTCTATGAACTGAACTCACTTAAGTTTTCTAAACTTTAGTCACCCTATCTGCAAAATGATTTGATAGTGTCTTCATTGCGATATTACTTTCCTGTGGCTGCCATAACAAATTACCCATAAACTTAATGGCTTAAAGCAAGAATTTTATTTCTAACCGTTCTGGAGGCCACAGTCAAGATATCAGAAAGGCTGTGCTCCCTCCAAATCCTCTAAGGGAGAATCCTTCCTTGCCTTCAGCTTCTGGTGGCCCCAGGAGCTCCCTGGTTTGTGGCTTTGTATTACTCCAATCTCTCCCTCGGTCTTTATATGACCTCTTTTCCTCATGTCTTCTGTTCTTTCTCTTTTAAGGACTTTTGTCATTTAATTAGGGCCTACCCAGTTGATCCAGAATGGTCTCACCTTGAGATCCTTGACTGAATTACATCTACAAAGATCCTGTTTCCAAATAAGCTCGCATTCACAGATACCTGAGGTTATGACTTGGACAAATCTTTTTTGGTATCACCATCCAACCAAATGTAGTTTATCCTCTGGCTCTCAAAAATTAACATTTATTCCACATGCAAAACACATTCAGCCTTTCCCCACATCCCCAGAAGTCTCAATCCATTATTGCATTAACTCTAAGTCTAAAGTCTCATCTAAACATCATCAGCTCAAAAGTCCCACATTTCATCACCTAAATCATCTACGTTAGATATGGGTGGCCCTCTGGGTATGATGCACCCTGGGGCAAAATTCTTCTCTACCTGTGGAACTATGAACTTAGAAAAGAAATGATCTGTTTCCAAAATACAGTGGTGGGATAGGGATACAATAGACATTTTCATTCCAAAAGGGGGAAACTGAGAGAATAAAGGAGCCACCAGTTCCAAGCAAGTTTGAATCCAGCAAGGCAATTTACATTAGATTTCAAGGCCTGGAACTAATTATCTATGGCTCTTGGCGCTGCCTTCCAGGCCTGTGGTGGCTTCATCAGTGTCTACTTCTGCACCCATGGCTCTGACCTAGAAGTCATCCTTTCCTTTTCTTAAAGGGTAGTATATATTTGCAGCTAAGTAGCTTTATCAGCCCATTTTTCTGTTTATAGAATTTTGTTAAGCCCAACAGCAATCCTTCACTTTGTCTTGTCTCCATTCCCTTTATTCTAAGCTGGCAGTATTTCTGCTGATACAGCATTCTTTAAAACCTTGTAGGTGTCCTGTGTATGTCACAGGGATCCCTGCCACTAGACAGAAGGGTCCTGCATTGATCTTTACCGGATAACCCCATCTGTTTCTGGCTTCTGCTGAGATGGTTGAGTGGATCAATGAGACACATGCCAAGTCTCTTCAGCAAAAGGTTGTCCAGCCACACCCTTGGCTTGATATCCACAGCATACTTTCTTTAAGTGTAAGTTTCCTAATTTTGGCATCCTTTGCAATCTGTATATGCCAAGAACCCTCCAAATCATTAAGTGTTGGTTTCTTTCTGCCTAAGATTTCCTTTTTCAATTTATCTCTTTTCTATCACATTTTACCATAAATAGTGAGGCAAAATCAGGCTGCATCTTCAACATTTTGCTTGGAAATCTCAGCTTGATATACAAATTCATTGCTTACAAGCTCTACTTTCTACTCAACTGTACATAATTCAGCCGAGTTTTCTGCCAAAGTGCTAGGATTATAGGTGTGAGCCACCACGCCTGGCCCTGAATTGTGTTTAATGTTTGTGTATATTCCTACCAAGAATATCTTCAATCTAGGCTTTTTCTATCACTTGCCGCAAAAGTTTACCAGCCTCTGCACATTCCCCAATTCCATAGCCACTTCTACATGTTTAGGTATTTAGTACAACAGCACTTATGTTGTAGTTAGCAAAATCTGTATTAGTTTCCTATGGCTATTGTAACAAAATTACTATAAACTTGGTGGCTTAAAACAAAAGAAATTTATTCCCTCACAGGTCTGGAGGCCAGAAATCTGAAATCAAGGCATTGGCAGAGCCGTTGTCCTTCTGAAGGCTCTAAGGGAGACTCTTTCCTTGTCTCTTCCAGCTTCTAATGGTTTTTAGAATTCCTTGGCTTGTGACTTACATAACTCCAGTCTCCACCTCTGTCTTCTCCTCATGTCTTCTACTCTTCTGCTGCTTTTAAGGATACCCATCATTGGGTTCAGGGGTCTACCCAGTTAATCCAGGATGATTTCAAAGACCCTTATTCCAAATAAGGTCACATTCCTAAGTACTGGAGATTAAGACTTGAACATATCTTTTTTTTTTTGAGACAGAGTCTTGCTTTGTCGCCCAGCCTGGAGTGCAGTGGTGTGATCTCGGCTCACTGCAACCTCCTCCTCCTGGGTTCACACCATTCTCCTGCCTCAGCCTCCTGAGTAGCTGGGACTACAGGTGCCCACCACCACGCCCAGCTAATTTTTTATATTTTTAGTAGAGATGGGGTCTCATCGTGTTAGCCAGGATGGTCTTGATCTCCTGACCTTGTGATCCACCCGCCTCAGCCTCCCGAAGTGCTGGGATTACAGGCGTGAGCCACTGTGCCCAGCCGAACATATCTTTTTTTCTTTTAACTTTTATTTTAGGTTCAAGGGTTATGTGTGCAGGTTTGTTGTGTAGGTAAATTGCATGTCATAGGGGTTCAGTGTGCAGATTATTTTGTCACCCAAGTAGTAAGCATAGTACCTGATAGGCAGTTCTTCAGTCCTCATCCTTCTCCTACCCTCCACCCTGGAGTAGGCCCCAGTGCCTCTTGTTCCCTTCTTTGTGTCCATATGTACTCGATATTTAGCTCCCACTTATAAAAATGAGAACATGCGGTGTTTGGTTTTCTGTTCTTGTGTTAGCTCACTTAGGATAATGGCTTCCAGCTCCATCCAGGTTGCTGCAAAGGACATGATCTCATTCTTCTTTATGGCTGCATAGTATTCTATGACATATATGTACCACATTTTCCTATCCGGCCTACCATTGATAGGCATTTAGGTTGATTTCATGACTTTGCTATTGTGAATAGTGCTCGGAAAAATATTTTCATGTGTGTGTCTTTATGGTAGAATGATTTTCATTCCTTTGAGTATATACCTGAAAATGGGATTGCTGGGTCTAATGGTAATTCTGTTTTAAGTTCTTTCAGACATCACCAAACTGCTTTCCTCAGTGGCTGAACTAATTTACATTCCCACCAGCAGTGTATAAGCATTTCCTTTTCTCTGCAACCTCACCAGCATCTGTTATTTTTTGACTTTCTAGTAATAGCCATTGTGACTGGTATGAGATGGTATCTCATGGTTTTGATTTGCATTCCTCAAATGATTAGTGAAGTTGAGCATTTTTTCGTATGCTTTTTGGCCACATGTATGTCTTCTTTTGAAAAGTGTTCATGTCCTTTGCCAACTTTTTAATGGGGTTGTTTTTTGCTTATAAATTCAAGTTCCTTATAGATTGGATATTTTTTTTGAGGTTCACCATTATCCACTGCAGTTTCCATATGTAAGTGAAGCATATTGCTTCTAAAGCTCTTTTCCAGTATTGTGATCTGTGATTTGTTTTTCAACTGTTATTATAGATTAAGGGTTGCATGTGTAGGTTTGTTACATGGGTATATTGCATGATGCTGAGGGCTGGGGCACAAATGATCCCATCACCCAGATAGTGAGCATAGTACACAATAGGTTGTTTTTCAACCCATGCTCCCCTCCCTCCCTGATCTGTGATTTTTATGTCAATGTGCTTAATGTGTATTATGTGTATTATTCATTCATTCCTCACAACTTGTAAAGCAGGTATTATCATTACCATTGTATAGTTGAGAAACTGAGGCTCAGAACTATGAAGTGACTCATTCAGTATCACAAAGTTTATAGTAGAACCAAGATGTGAACCCAAATCTTCCAGATGACAAAACTGAAGCTTTTACTCTGTTTTTTGTTTGTTTGTTTGTTTGTTTGTTTTTTGTGACAGAGTCTCACTCTGTCACCCAGGCTGGAGTGCAATGGCATGACTTTCTATTATATTGCCTTGCAACATTGTTCTCAGTGTAGAGAAAAACTTCGTGGAACAGTATTTTACTCCTATGATAATAGTAGACAGTAGGGATGTGTATTTCATCAGCCCCCAAACACACACACACACACGTGTGAAGAATGTTTACATAGGCAATAGTGGCAGAAATTTTACCCCTGTTTATATAAATGCAATTAAGTAAAATTGTATAATTTCCAAAAGTTGCTGTAACCCCTTCTATGGCTCCAATGCCCATCTTCCCTTTCTTGTGCCCTAATACTACTCAGTAGTAGAATAATTGAAAGATAATGCAACATTTATGTGGTGATAGGAATGATCCAGTAAAGAGGGAAAAGTTGATGATTTTAGGGAGAAAAGGGATAATTGCAGGAATAATGCCCTTGAGTATACACAAAGGAGTGGAATTAAGTGCAGAAATGATGGGACAAGGATTGTTCATTCATTGTAAGAGAAGAAGGGGGGGAAATATGGGTTCAGTTGCAAGAGTGCTGATAGATTTGTTGGTAATAAAATTGTGTAAACTAAACTAGTTATCTAATGTTGATGTTGATCAGATGTGAGGTTTTACACATGCTAAACATTAAATGAAAAGGCTTAAATTTTATTTCAGTTATAGTTACGCTATTCATGATTATACATAATGGATAAAGTTCCAAAAGGGCAGAACCAAGGAAATACTAAATCATTGTCATTGCATGCTATAATCAATACATTCTCTGTAGGAAAAATTACAATATGGGGAAATGTATATTTGCCTGGGACTCAGTTGTCTCAAGAGCTATTGAAATTATGTCTTGAAACTTTATCCATCTTATTTGTCCTACTTAAAAAATAAAAATTAAAATGCTGTCTTCAAACTCTCACATGTATCCCACTAACTAACCTCTTAGTGGTTCTACCCATCTTGCAAATGAATACCTTTAGTTTCACGTGAATAACAGTGGAATGGATGTGGTTCATATCTATTCCTACCCCTGGAGACCTAACCCAGTTGACATGCATATGACAGCATGTGTGTCATTGTCATATCCACTCCTTCCAGATAAGGCATTTAAGTTAAATATTCTTTTAGATCATTATAATGTGGTGGAAAACAAATTGTGTTACCTAAACATAAATTCCTGTATACACTTTGCACACACAGTGCCTAGAAAACCTAAGAGATTAGTTTATAATGAAAAGCTTGGAATCCAAGTAGGAAAAGTTCCTCAAAGAACAAGATCAGGAACAAACATGCTAAGAAATAAAGTAGACAGCAAAAGGAAAAAAAGGCAACTATGGAGACATTGCCAATATTAAATACAAAGTAAGCAAGTAAAGGCCAAGGGGGGCAGATTACGTGAGCTCCCGAGTTCAAGACCAGCCTGGGCAACATAGTGAGACCCCGTCTCCATAAAAAATACACAAAATTAGCCAACTACTCAACTAACCCAGCTACTCCAGAGGCTGAGGTAAGAGGGTCAGGAGGCAGAGGCTGCAGTGAGCTTTCATCACACCACTCCACTCCAGCCTGGGCAACAGCAAAACCTCATCTCAAAAATAAAAATAAACAAACAAACAAAAACCCAAGTAAGCAAGTGAAATAATGAAGACCTGTGCTTCTTTTATCTTCAGGAAACAAATTGAAATTGAGGTTTTTTTTTTACAAGTGATGAGTAAGAGGAACTGTAAATTTTCCAAAAAATCATAATAGATTTCAAATCAAGTAAATTTATTGCTTACAGAGATCTGACTTTTCTTGCCAAATATGCTCATATCTGGCTAGGTGCAGTGACATACACCTGTAATCACAGCAATTTAGGGGGCTGAGGTGGGAAGATCGCTTGAGCTCAGGAGTTCAAGACCAGCCTGGGCAACATGGCAAAACCCTGTCTCTACAAAAAAAAACAAAAATTAGCCAGGCCTGGTGGCATACACCTGTAGTCCCAGCTACTCAGGAGGATGACCTAAGAGGATTGCTTGAGCTCATGAGGCAGAAGTTGCAATGAGCCAAGATCATGCCAATGCACTCCAGCCTGAGTGACAGAGCAAGACCCTGTCTCAAAAAATTAAATTAAATTATAATTTAAAAAATATGTTCCTGTCTAGACAGTACTGTCAGGATCAGAAAGGTACTGATTAATTTGGTCTGATGTAATAGAGGCTCCAACCAAGCAATACATTATGACTTTGATCGGTACCGTGCTTATACAAGAATTTGGAGACTGTTTTCATCCCCCAAATTATAAAAATGATTGAAACTTGATCATAGATTCCTCTACTATGTCATTTAAGCTTTGTGTTACATTCTGCATGAAAGATTTTCTTGAAATAACTCAAAGGTAAAGCATTCATTTATTCAGTCGCTAGGAAGTGTATTACCATGTGCCAGACAATAAGGTTTCTACAGTAAATGAGATAAGCCAAGTCACTACATTCAGGAAGCTTACATTCTAATGAGTAAATCAGGATTGAGTTACCCCTTATGTTTAACCTAAACAACTTGATAAAGCTATTATATTAAGTTGAACTACCAATATGTATGAAGCTACCAATATTCAATAAAAACAGCAATTTCATGCAGTTCAACCAGCTATTAATTAGGTAAATGTCTACCAACCATTCCAAAGAAGAAGATAATTTTTTTCCTGTACCATTGACATAGCTTTCTTGTCATAAAACAGGAATGATCATAAGAAGCAAATAAATTATTGGGTAGTGATAGTGAAAATAAACAACCCATATGACTTTTGTAGATACTGATGTTAGAAGTACCCACTTGGAAGACATTTTACAATTTTTTTTACAAAGTTAAAAATCCTGTATACTTTTTTGTCTACCATCTCACATATAAGAATTCATGCAAAAAAATTTCTTTCCTAGAATTCAGTGCCAAGAAACTGTTTACCTCCTTTTTTTTTTTCTTTTCTTTTTAAAAAAGAGACAAGGTCTCATCCTGGCTAACACGGTGAAACCCCGTCTCTACTAAAAATACAAGAAAATTAGCCGGGTGTAGTGGCGGGCGCCTATAGTCCCAGCTACTCGGGAGGATGAGGCAGGAGAATGACGTGAACCCGGGAGGCTTGCAGTTAGCCGAGATTGCACCACTGCACTCCAGCCTGGGCGACTGAGTGAGACTCCGTCTCAAAAAATAAAAGGGACAAGGTCTCATTCTGTTGCCCAGGCTGGAGTATAAGTGGTATGATCCTAGCTCACTACAGCCTCCAACTCCTGGGCTTAAGTAATCCTCCCACCTCAGCTTCCTGAGTAGCTGGGACTGCAGGCATATTACACCATGCCTGGCTAATTTTAAAATTTGTTTTGGAGGCACACGCTCTCACTATGTTGCCCAGGCTGGTCTCAAACTCCTCTGCTCAATCACTCCTCCCACCTTGGCCTCCCAAAAGCCTGAGATTATAGACTTGAGCTACCACACCCAGCCTTGTTTGCCTCTTCAGATGAATTCTGTTGAAACTAGAAATTTGATGTATTTTCTCTTTTTATTTGACAACCAGGAAGCCAGTAACACTACATTTAATGTTCTTTGACAGTGATCAATTCACCCAGATTTCTGGTTCATCTGTTTTTCTTTCCTATTTTTCTAATCTATTCTTTTTCTGTTTTGTCTTATATTGTATATATTTTAATGTTGCAGGCCACTGTGTGTCTTTTTTTGGTAGTAGGCAGTATGAATAATAATTTAGCTAGATGTTAATGTAAAACTCTTTTTCATTTATTCTACAAATACTTACCGAGCATTTACTCTGCTAGACACAAGAGATTAAGCAATGAACAAGACAGGCAGGATCCATACAAGGTGTAATTATAGGTGAAGATGAACTTTTGATGTTCCCAAATAAATGGTCAGAGTTTGATGTCTTGGTGGAAAACTTTGTGGATATTCAGGAAGCTGAATCAATTTCAGATACCACTCTTTAAGTGAACCTATGCTGTTTATGGCTCATGGTAAAATAGTGAAAATTGGGATAAATTTAAGCTAAAGTGTCTCTCCCTGTGAAGAGTTTACAGTTTTACGAATCCAGATAAAACCATTATATTTGAAGTGTCTCTACTAAGTGCTATTTATGATAAAATGATTATTTATCACACCTAGATCCCTTCTTCAAAGAGCTTCAATTTAGTTGATAAATATGAACACAAAATGAAGATTAAAGGAATAAGGATAGTGTAGGTACTTATACCTGTCATGGGACATGGAATTTTAATAATGAAAAAATGATAACACTTTTTAAAGTTATTATTCATGTCATCATCATTTTTGTATTGTCTAAGTAGTTCAGATTCTGGCAGAGGAAGTCAGGTAATGTGGAAATTGTTTCTAAGAGGTTAGAGAACAAACCAATATCCCAGAGCATAACCTTGACAGAATCACTCTCTGAGATTTGGTTGTATATTATTATAGAATCTTTGGTGAAAGCCTCCTCAGGGACAGCTAGTCTATCTCCCATTTTCCAGGCATCTTTTACCTACACCATAAAAAATAGATGACTCTCCAAGATTCTTAAGAAAGAGATCCAAGTTCAAATTCAGAACATCTTAATATGCCTTCCAAACTTCCCCATAAGATGAATCAAAACAAAGCATTAAAGGACCAAAAGTATTCACTTTGAAAAATCTACCCACTGCCCTCACAGAAAGAATGTCATCTGTGGACCAATCATCATATTCTAAAAAATTTGCAAATTTCCCATTTTTGCTTTCCAAGGCAGCTGTAGAAAAGGAGCTGGGAGTTTACGTGAGTAGTTGCAGTTACAAACTTCAGCCAGCCGAAAAGTTTCTTAATTTCATAGCAAATCTAAAAGGGAGGACTTTTGACATCTGGGCGGACCTGGAAAGGCCAGGGACACACCATCAGTTCATCACAGTATATTATCCTTGAGAAACTTTGGAAGAGCTACAGGGAGATTAGAAACTTTTTTAAAAGCACTAAGCAAACAACTACATCTGTGTGATAATGACAGCAACCCCAGTGTCCTTTTTCTCTTGGGCAGTAGCCTCTGCTGAATTCATTCCCCTACTACTTTAGGTATCCTAGTGCTGTACCTTCAACAATTTTCAGATCCTCACAGTAGGAGTTATAATTCTGTATCTTGGATACATGGTGGTATCAGCAGTACAACTCCCAGGGTCTGCCCATGTCTTGCCTTTCCACTTCTTCATTTCTGCGATGGGAATAAAATAGATCAAATAATCCACAGAACAGCATCTCTGTTCACTAAATAAATTAAAAACATTTATCAGAAAGATTATTTTCATATTCTTAATGATAAAAGATATTTGCCTTATAGCACAAAGTCCTATCTTCTGCATTTCTAGGTAGCAGATTTTGTTACCCTCTTCTAGAAAAGTGTGTTTGGTACAATGTGGACCATTTTCCTCTATAGGCAAAGAACTGTAAAGTTGCTAAATATGGATCACACCATGGGAAACTATATTGTGGAAACTCAGAAACCTCAAAAAACAAGTTCTTAGAAGGCCATCTCTTTCACCTCCCTGCCTTTATAGATTTAAAATGGAAAATGATCTCAGAGAAATATTCTCCAGCCTCTTACCCAGTATTCCAGATCAGTTTAGCTCTGTCTCCATAGATAGGATAACAACTGCTTCCTAAATTAACATATTCCAGGCTGGGTGCAGTTGCTCATGCCTGTAAACCCAGTGCTTTGGGAGGCTGAGGCAGGAGGATTACTTGAGTCCAGGAGTTCAAGACCAGCCTGAGAAACACAGTGAGACCCTGCATGGTGGTGGGCGCCTGTAGTCCTAGTTACTCGGGAGGATGAGGCAGGAGAATGGCATGAACCTCGGAGGCGGAGCTTGCAGTGAGCTGAGATTGCGCCACTGCACTCCAGGCTGGGCAACAGCGCAAGACCCAGTCTCAAAAAAAAAAAAAAAAAATCAATTAGTTAACCTATTCCAGAGAGTATTGGCATTCCGGACTTACATCAGTAAGTCAGTCATCTAATTCTGAGCACCTACTGTGTACCAGGTACTACACATATAACAATGAAAACTATAGGTCCTCCCCTCATGGAGTTACCATTCTAGGGAATAAAACAGGCAGTCTAATATGACAGTAAGTTGGATTCTATGAAAGGGGAAATATAAAGTGTTAGGGAAGCATAATTTATAGGGACCTAGCTTTATCTGTAAGAGTTGGGGACACCTTTTGTTAGGAAGTGACATCCAAACTGAAATTTGAAGATGAGTGACACAAGGCTGGACATGGTGGTTCATGCCTGTAATCTCAACACTTTGGGAGACTGGGGTGGGAGGATTGCTTGAGATTAAGAGTTCAAGACAAGCCTAGACAACATAGTGAGACCCTGTCCCTATGTAAAAAAGTAAAATAAGTAAATTAATTTGTTTAAAAGAGTGGCAAAGACTGGTACATTTGAGGAACTAAAAGAATCACATTTTATCCAAAAAACAATTAGCCATCAATGGAATTTAAGCAAGGCACTGATCTAATGATTTTTGTTTTTTAAATCATTCTAACTACAGAAAGAATCAGTGTAAGAGACCAATCTGGAGATTTTTTGCAGTAGTTCAGATGTTTTTTTAAAAGGTGACTTTTTAAAATTGATGAGTGAATATTAATACATTATCTTTAAGTTCCATAATTTACATAATGGTCTGTTCTTTGTATTGTACATTCTGTGGGTTTTGGCAAATATATAACATGTATCCACCATTATATATCATTACAGAATAGTTTCACTGCCCTGCGCTCTGCCTCTTCTTCTCTCCCTCACTTTCCCTGAACCCCTGGCAACTACTGTCTTCATAGTTTTGTCCTTTCAGGAATGTCATATATTTGGAATCATACAACATATAGCCTTTTCAGATTGGCATTTTTCACTTACCAATATGCTTTCAAGGTTGCTCCATGTCTTTTTTGGCTAGATAGCTCATTTCTTTTTAACGTTGAATAATGTCCCATTGTATGGATGTATCAGTTTGTCTGTCCATACATGTGGGGTGATGTCCAGTTGTTCCAGGAACTTTTGCTGAAAAGACTCTTATTAAATTGCCTTTCCTTGTTTGTCTATATACAGTTCAGTTTACTATATTTGCATGGATTTATTTGTAGACCTTTTATTCTGTCCCATTGATCTCTTTGTCTGTTCTTTTCCCAATACCCACCATTTTGATTGCTGCAGATTTATGGTAAGTTTTAGAAACAGGTAGTGTCAATCTTCTGACATTCTTCTCCTTCAGTAATATGTTGGCTATAATGGGTCTTTTGCCTTTCTATATAAACTTTAGGTAATCAGTTTGTTGATATTCACAAAATAACTTGCTGGGATTTTATTGGGATTGTATTGAAACTATAGATCAAGTTGGAAAGAGCTAATATCTTGACAATGTTGAGTCTTCCTATCCATGAACATGGAATAACTCTTCATTTACTTAGATCTTTGATTTCTTTCATCATATTTTTGTAGTTTTCCTCATATAAATCTGTACGTTTTGTTAATTTATACCTAAGTATTTCATTTTTTAGAGTGACAAATGTAAATGATATTATGTTTTTAATTTCAAATTCCAGTTCTTCATTTCTGGTATATAAGATAGCTATTGACCTTTATATATTCATCTTGTATCCTGCACCCTCGCTATAGTTGCTACTAGTTCCTGTAATATTCCTTTATTCTTAGTTTAATGTTAATGGTGTATCAGTCATGATAGCCCCTTTTTCATTTCTGATATTGGTAATTTGTGTCTTCAATCTTTTCTTCTTAGATAGCCTGGCTAGAAGTTTATCATTTCTATTGAAATTTTTAAAGAACCAGGTTTTTGTCAATTTTCATCAGTTTTATGTTTCAGTTTTATTGGTTTCTGCCCTAATTTTTATTGCTTTTTTTTCTTCTGATTACTTTGGATTTAATATGCTCTTCTTTCTTCTAGTTTTCTTTTGTGGCAGCTTAGATTATTGATTTTAGATCTTCCTTCTTTGGTAATTTATGGATTCAATGTTATAAATTTCCTTTTGAAAATTACGTTTGCTGCATCCACAAATTTTAATGAGTTGTATTTTCATTTTTATTTAGTTAAACATATTATTTAATTCCCCTTGACATGACTATTTTGACTCATGCTTTATCCAGAAATGTACTGTTTAATCTCCAGGTATTTTGGCATTTCTCAGCCATCTTTCTTTTTTACATTTCTCATTTAGCTCCATTATGGCATTATTAGAGCACACTTTGTATCATTTCTACTTGTTTAAATCTGTTAAGGTATATCTTATGGCCCAGAACGTGGTCAGTCTTAGTGAATATTCTGTATGACTTTGAGAAGAATGTATATTCTGCTTTTGTTGAAGTTTTATATGAATGCCAATTTGGTCTATTTGATTGATGGTGCTATTCAGTTCAGCTGTTTTCTTACTGATTTTCTGCCTGCTGGATCTGACAATTACTGATAATGGTCTGTTGAAGCCTCTAACTATAATAGTGAACTAACATATTTCTCCTTGCAATTCTATCAGTTGTTGCCAAATGTACTTTTTACATTCTGTTCTTAGGTGGATACATGCTAAAGACTGTTATGTCCCTTTGGAGAATTAACCTCTTTATCATTATGTAATGTTCCTCTTTATCCCTGATAATTTTCTTTTGTTTTTTCGTTTTTGTTCTTGTTTTTATTTATTTTTTAAAATTATACTTTAAGTTCTAGGATACATGTGCACAATGTGCAGGTTTGTTACATAGGCATACATGTGCCATGTTGGTGTGCTGCACCCATTAATTTGTCATTCACATTAGGTATTTTTCCTAATGCTATCCCTCCCTGTGCCCCCCACCCCACAGCAGGCCCCAGGGAGTGATGTTCCCCACCCTGTGTCCAGGTGTTCTCATTGTTCCATTCCCACCTATGAGTGAGAACATGGGGTGTTTGGTTTTCTGTCCTTGCGATAGTTTGCTCAGAATGATGGTTTCCAGCTTCATCCATGTCCCTGCAATGGACATGAACTCATCCTTTTTTATGGCTGCATAGTATTCCATGGTGTATATGTGCCACATTTTCTTAATCCAGTCTATCATTGATGGATATTTGGGTTGGTTCCAAGTCTTTGCTATTGTGTATAGTGCCATAATAAACATACGTGTGCATGTGTCTTTATAGTAGCATGATTTATAATCCTTTGGGTATATACCCAGTAATGAAATCTCTGGGTCAAATGATATTTCTAGTTCTAGATCCTTGATGAAGTGCCACACTGATTGTAAGTTTCCTGAGGCCTCCCCATTCATGCTGAACTCTGAGTCAATTAAACCTTTTCTTTATAAATTACCCAGTCTCGGGTATGTCCTTATAGCAGCATGAGAACAGACTGATACAACCTGTGTATTTGTATTTTCAATGGATTTCTTGGCCAGGCACAGTGGCTCATGCCTGTAATCCCAACACTAGGAAAAGGAGGATCTCTTAAGCCCAAGAGTTTAAGACAAGCCTGGGCAACACAGTGAGACCCCATCTCTACAAAAAAAATTTAAATATTAGCAAGGCGTGGTAGCACATACCTATAGTCCTAGCTACTCAGGAAGCTGAGGTGGGAAGATCACTTGAGCCCAGGAGTTCAAGGCTTCAGTGAGCTATGATTGCACTACTGTACTCCAGCCTGGGTGACAGAGTGAGACCTTGCCTATAAATAAATAGTTTCTTATATATAACATATAATTGGGTCTTATTATTTTATTCACTCTGAAAATCTCTGTCTTTTAATTGGCATTTAGACCGTTTTGTGTTTGAAGTGACTATTGATATTGTTGGATTAATATCTACCATATCTGTTACTGTTTTCTCTTGGTTGCCTTGTTCTTGGTTCCTTTTTTTGTCTTTCATTCTTTTCCTGCCCTCTGTGATTTTAATTGAACATTTCAATAATTCTTTTTTCTTTTCTCTTAGCATATCATATGGTTTCCCTAGAGTTTGCAATATACATTTACAGATAATCCAGGTTTACTTTCAAATAACACTATGCTGCATCATGTGTGAGTGCAAATACATTATAACAGAGTTTTTCCAATTCTTCCCTCTTGTCCCTTATAATATTACTTCGTTTATTTCACTTATTCATAACTATAGTTGCTGAATACATTGGTTATTTTTGTTCTAAAGAAAGTATTGTCTGTTAGACCAATTAAGAATAAGAAAATTAAGATTTTCTGTGATCTTTATGCCTTATTTAGGGCTTTTTCTTTTCTTTGACAGAGTCTTGTTTTGTCACCCAGGCTGGAGTGCAGTGGCACGATGATAGCTCACTGCAGCCTCGACCTCCTGGGCTCAAGTGGTCTTCCAGTAGCTGGGACTACAGCTGTGTGCCACTACGCCTGGGTAATTTTCATTTTATTTTTTTGTAGAGACGAGGTCTTGGTATGTTGCCCAGGCTGGTCACTTCTGGGCTCAAGCAATCCTCCCACCTCAGCCTCCCAAAGTGCTGGGATTACAGGTGTGAGCCACCACACCTGGCCAGGCTCTTTCTTTAGATCCACTTTTCTGACCAATATTATTTTCTTTCTTTTCTGAAGAACTTCTTTTAAAATTTCTTGCGAGCAGGTCTACCAGCACAAATTTCCTCAATATTTGTTTGTTTGAGGAAGTCTTTATTTCACTTTCACTTTTGAAGGATAATCTCTGTAGGTCTAGAATTCTTTATTGGTGGATTTTTTTCTTTCAACATTTTAAATATTTCTATCTTCTTGCTTCCATGGTTTCTGAGAAAAGTCAGATGTAATTCTTATTCTTGCTTCTATATAGGTAAGATTCTCCCCTGACGCTCCCCCTCCCCAACTTCTTTTAAGATTTTTTTCTTTGCCTTTGATTTTCTGTAGTTTGAATATGATTATCTCTAAGTGTAGGATTTTTTGGTATTTATCTTGCTTCATGTTCTCCAAGATTCCTGGATCTGTGGTTTGATATCTCTAGGAAAATTCTGTTACTTCAAGTACTTCTTCTGTTCCTTTCTTTCTTCTCATTTTGATATTCTCATTACAAATATATTGCACCTTTTGCAATTGTCCCATGATTCTTAGAAATCTTTTCTGCCTTTTTCATACTTTTTCTCTTTGCATTTCAGTTTTGAAGTTTCCATTGACATTTGTTCAAGCTCAGATTCTTTCCTTAGCCATATACAGTCTATTGAGGACCCCATCAAAGGCATTCTACATTTCTGTTACAGTGTGTTTTTTATTTCCAGCATTTCCTTTAGATTCTTTCTTTGAGTTTCCATTTTTCTTCTTACGTTACCCATGTGGTCTTGCATGTTGTCCATTTTTCCACTAGAACCCTTAGCATATTAATCACAGTTGTTTTATATTCAGTTTTTATCTTTCAATCTTGTCCACAATAAGCCTCTAGCTGATTGCAAATTATAGCTTCAGTTTTTCTGCCCTAGTACTGGCTCCAGTGGTTATTTCTGCTTCTTTGTTTCTGCTCCAGTAAAATGTATTCTCTATATCCACCGGCCTGTTTGTCCAATTTTTGAGGCAGTGATTTGCCCTGTGACTCTAATCTCTGATGTGTCTAATATGACTTCCTGATTTTTATTCACTTTTTCTTTGTTGTAAGAACTGTAGTGACAAATTCTAAGCCTCTTATATGCTAGAATAGAAACTAGTTGTCATTATTTCTCTTTTTAACTTATGCTACATGGTTTAAATGTGTTTCTTTTGTTTTTTTCTTTATAGTAGCATATAACACTCCTATTAAGAGGTCTGGTAAGTGCCTTATCTTATCCAGCAGATGATTGTAGGCCAGGGGTCTGACCAGTCACTATCATTGTCCATCTCAAATGAACCCCCATGGACAACCTCATCCTTTTAATTTTTCGCTAACATCCGGGCTCAAGAGAACTTCAGAGTAAAAGTCATTTGGAATATATATAGGTCATTCCTATGTATACTCCCTTGTTTCCTCAACAGTCAGTTAAAGCACTATACATTTTAGTGTTGCTTTATTATTTTTTTTTCCGTAAGTATTAAATTAGAATGGTTTTCTGTTTTGGGCTTTGATACTCAAGAATAGGAGTTCAAGTGCATTTTTCTGTTTGGATATATTGTATTGTTATTTGTTTTTTCCTCTTGAAGAAAGCATTAAACCTTTCGAAAACTGCTTAAAAAGCAAAGGCCTTCCCCTGTGACCTGGAACAAGACAGGGATATCTACTTTTACCATTTCTATTCAACACTGTACTGGAGGTACTAGGTAGGACAATTAGGCAAGAAAAGGAAATAGAAGGCATTCAGATTGGAAAGGCAGAAGTAACACTATCTTTATTTGTAGATGACATGATGTTATACTTAGAAAATACTGAGTAATCCACTAAAAATCTATTAGAACTGACAAATGAATCCAGCAAGTTTGCAGGATACAACCATGTACTTGTACCTTGGTATATTATACAGAAATTACATAAATTAATTATATTTCTGTACAGTAGCAATGAACAAATTAAAAATGAAATGAAGAAAACTTCACTTATAAAATAAAAAATAATAAAATATTAATACATAGTAATAAATTTAACATGAAGTACAAGGTTTACTTTAAAAACTGTAAAACATCGTTGAAAGAAATTGAAGAGCACCAAAATATATGGAAATATATCTCATGCTCATGGATTGGTAGACTAAATATTGTTAAAATGCTCAAAATTGATTTATAGATTCAACACAATTCCTATTGAAATCCCCATTAACTTATTTGCAGAAATTGATAAGCTGATCTTAATATGGAAACAAAGAACAGTCAAAACAATCTTGAGAAAGAACAAAGTTGGAAGATTCACACTTCTTGATTTCAAAATTTAGTACAAAGCTACAATAATCAAGATTGTGTTATACTGGCACTAAGGATAGACATGTAGCTTAATGGAATAGAGTTGAAGTTGAGGAAAAACCTCTTGCATTTATGGCCAATTAACTTTTGACAAGTATGCAAAGACAATTCAGTGAGGGAAAGAATAGTCTTTTCCACAAATGGTACTGTGACAACTGGATATCCACAGGTAAAGGAATGAAGTTGAATCCTTTAATTATACCACACAAAAATTAACTCAAAGTGTATCAAAGACCTAAATGTAAGCTAAAACTATAATCCTGAGAAAGAAACATTGAAGTAAATCTTCTGACCTTGAGTTAGGCAACACCGTATAAACACACACTCGAAAAAAGAAAAAGTAGCTTTGACTTAATCAAAATTAAAAACACGCCACGCACAGTGGCTCACGCTCATAATCCCAGCACTTTGAGAGGCCAAGGTGGGAAGGTTGCTTGAGCCCAGGAGTTTGAGACTAGCCTGGGCAACATGGTGAAACCTCGACTCTACAAAAAATTAGCCGGGTGCAGTGGTGCACACCTGTAGTCCCAGCTGCCCAGGAGGCTGAGGTGGGAGGATCCCCTGAGCCTGGGAGGTTGAGGCTGCAGTGAGCTGTGATTGCTCCACTGCACTCCAGCCGGGGCAACAGAGTGAGACTCTGTCTAAAAAACAAGCAAACAAAAAAACTAAAAACATTTGAGCTGCTAACAATACCATCAAGAAAGTGGAAAGACAAACCACAGAATGGGAGAAAATATTGGCAAATCATATATCTGATAAGGAACTTATATCTAGAATACATAAATAATTTCACAACTCAATAATAAAAAGATAGCATAATTTTAAAATGCAAAAGATTTAAATGGACATTTCTCCAAAGAAAATATACAAATGGCCAACAATTACATGAACAAAATGCTTAGCATCATTAGTCAGTAGGGAAATTAAAATAAAAACCAAGAGAGATACCATCACACACACACTAGGATAGCTAGAATAAAAAAGACAAGTAACAACAAGCATTGGTGGGGATGTGGAGAAATTGACACTTTCATACATTGCTGGGGAAATGCAAAATTGTACAGCCACTTTAGAAAACAGTCTGGCAGTTCCTCAAAAAGTTAAACAGGGAGTTAACCATATAACCCAGCAATTCCATTCCTATGTATATACTCAAGATGAAAACATTTGTCCATACCAAAACTTATACATGGATGTTCATAGCAGCATTATTTATAATAGCCAACAAATGAAAATAATCCAAATGGCCATGAACTGATTAATGGAAAAACAAAATATTCATACAATGAAATATTATTTAGCAATAAAAAGGAATGAAGTAATGATGTGTGCCACAACATGAATGAGCCTTGAAAATCATACATTAAGTGAAGGAAGCAAGCACAAAAGGCCACATATTATATGATTCCATCTACATGAATGTTCAGAATAGGCAAATCTATAGAGACAGAAGTAGAGTAGTAATTGCCAGAAGCTGGGGGATGGGAATGAAGAGTGACTGAAAATGGGTACAGGGTTTCTTTCTGGAGTGATGAAAATGTTCTAAAGTGACTATGGTGCTGGTTGCACAATCCTGTAATTATCCTAAAGACAATTGAGATGTATACTTTAAATGGGGGAATTATATGGTATGTGAATTATATTTTAACTAAGCTGTTAAAAAAAAAAAGCAAATGCTTCCCTAAGTCCAAAAGTGAGAGAAACTTTTGTTTCCTTCTTTCTTTCCAGTCTTGGCTCTCTCTTGCCTCTTCTCCATCCACACTTCAAGTCAGCAGCCTCCAAGGATCACTCAGTTTATAGCCTCTGCTGCCATAATGTCAGACTCTGTAGAAATATATTATACAAAGCAGAAATCAAAGAGTCATAGCATGTGAAGTCCGACACGAACTGGCAATTACACAGAGATTCAGAGGTCAGGCAGGGGGTGAGGGTAAGGATAGGGTTGACTCTGTAACACATTTAAATTCACTTTGCCATCTAGCAAAGTGTAGCATGCTTTAGATTTTTAGCCAGAGGCTTTACTTCATTTATAGTCAGTTTTCTTTGTGTTTTGTTCATAATCCATATGTTGGTTTCTTTGCATATTTTTTTTCTTAGATATATTTGCTGAATCTCTGTTTCCTTGAAATATTTGCCCTCTTCTATTAAACATGTTTGATTTGAAATTTGCATACTTATTTTCAACCTCTTGATTATATTCTCTAAGAGAAAATATATCTGGCCAATGATAAAAATCAATGAGCAAAACTAAATGTGGCATCCCAGTGACCAGATACCTGTCACACAGCACACATGCCTTGCTAGCTTGGACAAATTGACATCTAAGTGATACATTGAACTTCAGGAGTTTAATGTTTTGTATTCCCACAGCCTCATATAACGCCTGTTACTTCCTATGTGCTCCATAAATATTTTTGAGTGAATGAATCAATGAATGAGCTACCTAAGGGCCTCTACCTGGCACTGGCACTTCCACATTCTTCTGTTTTCCATGGACCACTATGCCTTTTTTTTTCCCCAAGTCTTTCTAACTTGAGGTCTCAGGAAATATTAACTATGTGTAGATTTTATAGCAATGTCATCTTTCTATCTAGCAAGTAGAAAATCATTCCAGAAGAGAAAAACAGGACTACTACTCTGCTGTGTTTAAATATGGGACTCGTAATCTGTTGTTGATAGTTATCAGAGGTAGTACAGACTTTGCCAAAGAGCAGTGGAGTCACCTGAGACAGCGCAGGAGAAACTAAGACTGCCCATGGTCCCCTGAATTTTGATAGCCCTCTTTGCTTGTCCCACTATTAATCTATTTATACTAAATCTGGCAAGATGACAATTAAATCAAAAGTTGCCAGGAAAATAACCATGTCTTTCAAGACTCTTCTGCTGAGTCACAAAAATTTCAGCCACTTTGCCTGTGAATTGCATTGCTAATTGATTGAATCATCATGGGCCAAACATGCCAAAACAATTCAGAGACAAGGACAGTGCCAGCATGAAGTTTCCAAGAAATGCTGCAGAAACTAAAATTACTTGAATTTATTGGTAGCTGTCTTGCTGGGAAGTGTATTGAAAATTACATTGTACCTAAAAACCAAATATTTGGCGATTTTGGAAATCTAAATTAAAGATAGTAATGACAAGCCAGTGCCAGGATGTGATTTTTCTATTTCTCTTTGCCCTCAGAATAACATATCCAATAGGTCATTTTCTAAGCTCGGAGAAAACCAGGATTCAGAATATTTCAAACCATTTAATCTCGTCTTGTGTATTAGTGGCCCAATATTACTGCCCTATTCTCCAGCTGCCATGTGCCTGCAAGCATAAATCAATACTGACTATGCTGGTAAGCAACCACTGTTACTGAAGGGATTATGCACTTTGATTTGCCAAGAGGCTGCCTGCTCTAGTAAGGAGAGGAACCTTCTCAGTTCATTTTGGTTCAGCTCAAGAATCCAAGGGAAGTAAATTAACTCTTCTAGACATCACTTTTTGTTTCTGTAAAATGTGAGTAGGAATCCTTTCTTCTCAGAAATAGTCAGAATGATTAATATAGCATTTGTCCTTTAAGCTCTATCATCAACTGACATCTGTTAAGCACTTCTATATGGCTATTTTAGCCTTGAAAGGTTTATAGTGCCCTTGAAGGGGGGGCAAAATATACCTATAAAAAGATAAGCCACAGTGCAAAGTGGCGTATTATAAATACCAAAAAAGCAGTACAAATAGTGGGAAGAAAAGGTGATGGCAGAGGCTGCATTGGTATGGAAAGGCTACCGAGACACCAAGGACCTTAACCGTGCAGCAAAGGGGCAGACAAGGGTGGCACCACATGAAACAGGCAGCATATTCAAAGGGCTGTGGCTGAGAAAGGGGTCTAGAATAAAGGAAGTTATAAATGGGAAAGTCCCATACACCTATTCTTATGTTTCACTCAGTTTCTAGACAGCATCATCTAGAAGCTAGATTTATCAATTCTGCCTAAATTTCTTTTTTTCTAACTTTTATTTTAGGTTCAGGGATACATGTGCAGAGTTGTTATATAGGTAAATTGCATGTCACAGAGGTTTGGTGTGTAGATTATCTTGTCATCCAGATAATAAACAAAGTACCCAATAGGTAGTTTTTCGATCCTCTCCCTCTTTCCAGCCTCCACCTTCAAGTAGGCCCTGGTGTCTGTTCTGCCCTTCTTTGTGTCCGTGTGTACTTGATATTTAGCTCCTAAGTGAGCTAAATAAGTGAAAACATGCAGTATTTGGTTTGCTGTTCCTGTATTAGTTCACTTAGTATTATGGCTTCTAGCTCCATCCATGTTTCTGAAAAGGACATGATCTCATTCTTTTTTATGGCTACATAGTATTCCATGGTGTATATGTACCACATTTTCTTTATCCAGTCTACTGTTGATGGGCATTTAGGTTGATTCCATGTCTTTGTTATTGTGAATAGTGCTGCAATGAACATACACATGCTTGCATCTTTATGGTAGGATGATTTCTATTCCTTTGGGTATATACTTAGTAGTGGGATTGCTGGCTCAAATGATACTTCTGCTTTAAGTTCTTTGAGAAATCGCCACATGCTTTCCACAATGGCTGAACTAATTTACATTCCCACCAGCAGTGTATAAGCATTTCCTTTTCTCTACAATCTTGCCAACATCTGTTTTTTTTTGTTTTTTACTTTTTAATAATAGCCTTTCTGACTGGTATGAGATGGTGTCTCATGATTTTGATTTGCATTTCTCTAATGATTTTACATGTTTCTGTATGCTTGTTGGCTGCATGTGTATCTCCTTTTGAAAAGTGTCGTTCATGTCCTTTGCCCACATTTTAATGGGCTTGTTTGTTTTTTGCTTAATTTATGTTCCCTATAGATTCTGGATAATAGAGCTTTGTCAGATGCATAGTTTGCAAATATTCTCTCCCATTCTAGGTTGTCTGTTTACTCTGTTGATAGTTTCTTTTTCTGTGCAGAAGCTCTTTAGTTTAATTTGGTACCATTTATTAATTTTTGTTTTTGTTGCAATTGCTTTTGGTGTTTTCATAATGAAATCTTTGCCGGGGGCCTATGTCCAGAAGTATTGTCTAGGTTATCTTCCAGGGTTTTTATAGTTTTATGTTTTACATTTAATTCTTTAATCCATCTTGAGTTGAATTTTGTACATAAAGTAAAGAAGAAGGCTGGGCGCAGTGCCTCACACCTGTAATCCCAGCACTTTGGGAGGCTGAGGCAGGTGGATCACGAGGTCAGGAGTTCAAGACCAGCCTGGCCAAGATGGTGAAACCCGTCTCTACTAAAAATACAAAAAATTAGCTGGTGTGGTGGCACGTGCCTGTAATCCCAGCTACTCAGGAGGCTGAGGCAGAGAATTGCTTAAACCGGGGGGACGGAGGTTGCAGTGAGCTGAGATTGCACCACTGCACTCCAGCCTAGGCGTCAGCCTAAGACTCTGTCTTAAAAAAAAAAAAAAAAAAAAAGAGGCGGTCCAGCTTCAATCTTCTGCATATGGGAAGCCAGGACTGCTGGGCTGGACACTCTAGCAGGCATTGCCCACCTGGCTACCAGTGTCCGGTGGATGGGGCACACGCCTTACCATCCGAGTGCTTCCTGGGACAGCAGAAGGCCACAGCCTCCAGCTGAGTTCACCCAGAAGTGGGACTGCTGGGCTGGAAGCTCTAGCAGGCATTGCCCACCTGGCTACTAGTGGTGGGGGTAGGTAGGGGCACACACCCTGCCGTAGGGTGCTTCTTGGGACAGCAGGAAGCTGTGGCTGCCAGCCAAAGTCGTGCTGAAGCAGGACCGATAGGCCAGAAGCTGGAGTGAAGCCGCATTTAGTGAGGGTGTGGAACAATCTTAGTGCTCCCAGGTGCCACAACTGTGTCTTCTGTTGAGGCTATGGCACTGGTTCTGGTCTGCTCTAGGACCTAAGGCTTGTAGAGGTCCCCCTGGACTCAAGAGTTGCCCCCACAGAATATCCAGCTGGCTCTCTGCCTCAGTCTAGAAGCACAGTGGGGGTTTGCGAGGAGGGTGAGGGGGATTCTCCTATTCCCATTCTTGCTCAAGTTCCTGTGGAGAGTGTGAATCCTCCAGGTGGCTGTCCCTCTCTCCCCTTTCCCATGTTGGAGAGGTTTTCCTGGCTCCCCACAGAGCCCAGACAGGCTGGGGCCCAGCTTCACTCCTCTCTGCCCTCTGTGTTCCCTGCTGCCTTGATGGGTCCCGACATGGTTTCTCAGGTGATTGGCCTGCAGGGTCAGTGTTCACCAGCCCCTTCCTTTCCTCTCCATCACATGGTGCACTGAGCTGCTTCTAGTCCACCACCTTGGCCTCTCCTGCCACCCTGCCTGAATTTCCTGGTGTCTTTTATTTAATTACAAAAATATGATTCCACAGTTATGTGATCCTTTGAGATTTTTGGTCCTCATAGTAGCTTTTTAAAGGGTATCTTATGTACTAGGGTTTCTTTCTTTTTTCTTTTTTTCTTTTTTTTTTGGGACGGAGTTTCACTCTGTCACCCAGGCTGGGGTGCAGTGGCATGGTCTCGGCTCACTGAAACCTCCACCTCCCTGATTCAAGTGATTCTCTTGCCTCAGCCCCCCAAGTACCTAGGATTACAGGCACCCGCAACCACACCCAGCTAATTTTTGTGTTTATAGTAGAGACGGAATTTCACCATGTTGCACAGGCTGGTCTCAAACTCCTGACCTCAGGTGATCCACCCGCCTCAGCCTGCCAAAGGCTAGGATTATAGGCATGAGCCACTGCGCCTGGCCCGGGTTTCTTTATAATAAAAGTAATACATATTTCTTATGGACATTTTGAAATATGGTATCTTACAAATTTGAAATAATGTTTAAGATATTATTTACATAGATTTGTGTCTTGCAGTTTTCACTTAATGTTATGAGCATCTCCTATTATTAACAACTACACAAACATTATTTTTTATATTCTGCCTTTTAAAGTACAATTTTTAATGACTTTTCTGTGGTTAAGCATTTAGATTGTTTCTGGTTTGCCCTAGTATAAATAACACTACAATGAACATCTGGTATTTTTATCTTTATCTAGATTTTCTTAAGAGTTCCTTAGGATCAATTCCCAGAAGAAGAATTACTAGGTTAAACTATGTGAATGTTTAATGGCTCTTATGCATATTAACAAATTACTTTCCAGAACATTTTTACCAATTTACTCCCATGTATAATACATGAGAGGGCCCATTTTAATCTCACTATAACCGGTATTAAATATTCTCAGTTTTTAAAAAATCTTTGCTAATAGGCAGAGGCTGGGCACAGTGGCTCACACCTGTAATACCAGCACTTTGGGAGGCTGAGGCAGATGGATCACTTGAGGTCCGGAGTTTGAAACAAGCCTGGCCAACGTATTGAAACCCCATCTCTACTAAAAATACAAAAAATTATCCAGGAGTGGTGGTGCACGCCTGTAGTCCCAGCTACTCAAGAGGCTGGGGCAGGAGAATCGCTTGAACCTGTAGGCGGAGGTTGCAGTGAGCCAAGACTGTGCCACTGCACTCCAACCTGGGTGACAGAGCCAGACTGTCTCAAAAAAAAATTATATATAATTTTTTTTGCATCTTTATGGTAGGATGATTTCTGTTCCTTTGGGTATATACTCAGTAGTGGGATAGCTGGGTCAAATGATACTTCTGCTTTAAGTTCTCTGAGAAATCGCCACATGCTTTCCACAATGGCTGAACTAATTTACATTCCCACCAGCAGTGTATAAGCACATATATATATATTTGCTAATAGTCAAAATGTATCTCATTCTTTTGATTTGCATTTTTGATTGCCCTTGCAGCTGAGCATTCTTTAATGTTTATTATGCATTTGTGTTTCTTCATTGGTGAAGTTTTTCATAATTTCCATTGTCCTTTGCCCATGTTTCATGGGCATATCAAATTTTCATCAGTTGTAGCTCTTCATATAGTAGAGTTACTACTCTTTTTTCATATTTACTAAAGGAAGACATTTTCCCAGTTTATTTGCCCATTTTTTATATACTTATTTTAAATTTGTATGTATTCAAATGTATAACTTCCCTTTGTGATTTCTCTGATTGCTTTTACTCTTCAAAAAGAATAAGAATTTCTCTTATTGTTCTATTCTGATTCTGATTCACAATCAGAAATAAGATTAATACCCCCATTTTCTTCTTTACTGTTCCATTTTAAAATATTTAGATTACAAATGCATCTATAATTTATTTTGGAGAAGGATCTGAAACTAAGATTTAATTTGTTTTGTTTCATACAGCCAGTTTTCCCAGCACTCTTGTTGACTAATCTATTTCCCCAGATTTGGCAATCAGGTCTTTTAAATTTACAGTGCTATCATTATTTAGAGAGAGTGAGAGCAGAGAAAGAGAGGGAGTGTATATATGCCTATATTCATGGGTAATAGGAAGTTGGGAAAGTTGGGGAAATCTTTCACTGTGTTGAACCAGAACTGGATTCTACTTTTCATGGGTACTCTTAAGTCAAATATACTCAGTAAGTTTGATTTTATTAAATCAATGTTAACTGCTTTATTCTTTATCTCTAGCTGTTCTCATTCACTGGAAAAGCATTTTAACTGTTTCTTTTGACGTTTTTAAAACTACTGTTCTCCAACACATACCTGGAAAGCCTGTTTCTTCATCTTAGGAATATGTCATTTTTATTCCTGCTTCCATTCATATTGTTCCTTGCCTAAAATATCCTCTATCTGACTATTCCTAGCAATACTTCAATACTCACATCAAATCCTAATTCCTACAACTAGCTTTAATAGTTCTTTGCTCTGAATTCTAGTAGCACTGAGAGTCTATATCTAACAATTGCACACTTAAATTTATTTTATCCTATATGTAAATCTTATTTACCAGCTATTGTAAGCTTTTCACACAACCTATTTCTTCTTTTCCTTAGTACCTAACAAGAAGAGTTTTTTAAAACCTCATTTAAATATATGGACCAGGTCGTTAGTTAAAATGTTAGAATGCAGGGGATCCATTGTTATGTATTTATGACCCTCACTGCTGGCATCTCATGTTAGTATAAGAGACTGTAGAATAGAGGTGAAATAAATTCTTATCCTCATTTGACACAAGAAGGAATTGCATTGCAAAAAGATAGTGATATGCCTTTAAATACTTAAAGACATCATTCAGAAGTTAGACCTCCCAAATTCAATCTTGTCTTTCTACTAGTTCTTCCCTTTCCAAAGCTACTTTGTTATCAAATAATTTTTTCTAACTTAGTTCATATTTATCAAAGTACATTCAGCAGAACTGTAGTTCCACAGCATGCTAATAAGTGTCCCGCAGTGAAGGAGTTCCATAGTAAATAAATTTGGGACACGCGGAGTTAAATTTTAGTGAGTTTCTTTATAGCAGGACTTAGAACCCTCAATATGGCACTGACCATAGTTAATCAAACTTACTAGTTGCAGAACCCTTTTTTTTTCCCACAGAGACTCTTGTGAATGTACTTTGGGAAATAGTGCTGTTCCATTCCTCCCCCTCCTTACTCACCTCATTTTTCCTGCTTTGTCTGTTCCTTCTTTGGTTTTCTAACTAGGTAACATTGTACAGTGAAGTGATCTTGCCTTTTTAAGATGCTTTGAGATGGGAATACCTGTCAGAAAGAGTCCCCTGTTGTGATATAATTATATCCAGTACCACAAAAATGGCCAAAGCTTCCCTAACAGTGTAAATTTTAAGGCAACTTATTAGGTAGCACGTGGTATCCATTTGCACATAGGCAACTTTTCTAAAAAATATTTTGAGTTAATATGCTATCATTTACCGATTTGAATCTTCATTGGGAATTCAGGTTATTTCTTATTTTTGCTCTTGCAGGTGACTCTATAATAAACATTTTCATACAGTATTAACTATGAATATAACTATAATAGAATGAAAATTGAATAGATATTTGCATTTGTGGATTGTCTCTCTCTTCATCCTTTTATGGGATGCTCTAGAGCCTTCACTGGGGAGCTCCCTGCCTGTCTCCCTCTGATAATACCTGGCTTCTTTCAGGTCTGGAAAGAGGTGTCTTGCTTATTGTTAGAACCATAAATTGTTGCACTAAACTTGTCCTGTTGTCATAAAGAGTGTAGCTTTAAAGCAAATGGTAACATGACCCTGCTTTGCTCAATTTCAGGCAACTTGAATTTTCTAACTCCTAATCTCCGCCTGCTTCTCTTTGCTTCGTAATCTTCGTAAATGCTCCCATCACTGTTGGAGTTAGATCTTAACGACGTCTCCCTATTTCAAATGTAGTATATCCTGAACTCCATGTGTTACTTTTTCTCCTCTTCTACCTGCTTTACCATTTTTCTCTTTTCCTCCTCCCCATTAAAGGCATCACTACTCAATCAGTCACTCATACTAAGAAACCTGAGATTTATTTGAAACAAATTTACAAGAAAAAAACAAACAACCCCATCAAAAAGTGGGTGAAGGATATGAACAGACACTTCTCAAAAGAAGACATTTATGCAGCCAAAAGACACATGAAAAAATGCTCACTATCACTGGCCATCAGAGAAATGCAAATCAAAACCACAATGAGATACCATCTCACACCAATTAGAATAGCGATCATTAAAAAGTCAGGAAACAACAGGTGCTGGAGAGGATGTGGAGAAATAGGAACACTTTTACACTGTTGGTGGGACTGTAAACTGGTTCAACCATTGTGGAAGTCAGTGTGGCGATTCCTCAGGGATCTAGAACTAGAAATACCATTGGACCCAGCCATCCCATTACTGGGTATATACCCAAAGGATTATAAATCATGCTGCTATAAAGACACATACACACGTATGTTTATTGCAGCACTATTCACAATAGCAAAGACTTGGAACCAAGCCAAATGTCCAACAATGTTAGACTGGATTAAGAAAATATGGCACATATACACCATGGAATACTATGCAGCCATAAAAAATGATGAGTTCATGTCCTTTGTAGGGACATGGATGAAGCTGGAAACCATCATTCTCAGCAAACTATCGCAAGGAAAAAACCAAACACCGCATGTTCTCACTCATAGGTGGGAATTGAACAATGAGAACACGTGGACACAGGAAGGGGAACATCACACACTGGGGCCTATTGTGGGGTGAGGGGAGGGGGGAGGGATAGCATTAGGAGATATACCTAATGTTAAATGACGAGTTAATGGGTGCAGCACACCAACATGGCACATGTATACATATGTAACAAACCTGCACGTTGTGCACATGTACCCTAAAACTTAAAGTATAATAAAAAAAAAGAAACCTGAGATTTATTCTTGATTCTTCTTTTTCTCCCATTTTACTCATTTCCCTGGACATAAGGTGCATTATCAAGTGATGTCAACTCCATGTCCTACCATACCTCATCAGCCCCATACTTAGACACTTTTGATCGCTTCCCTTTGCCTAAATGACCAAAACCAAACATCCTTCTCCTGGTAAAATCCGAACTTCCTGACTCCAATCTACTTTAACAGCCTTTTCTACTTTTTCTCTCTCATCTATACTTCAATCATACCTTCCCCCAAATTCCTTGCCCTTTCATATCATTTTATCTTTGCAATCACTCTTCCTCCATCATCAATACTCTTCTTGGCCTGGTGAATAACATTAGGAAGCCACATTAGTTGTGTAACACTAAAATAAAGCTATCACCTCCTTAGTTTTGTTTTTACACTACAAAGTTGTTTTGCTAAGTTGAGTAAAATTATAAACATCCTAGGGAAAGACTCTTGTTAAAAAGAAGACATATAGATTTAAGTTATTTATTTATAATTTTATTTCAGTGATTAAAAGAATGTGGTATTTATTAAGGTTTGCTTTATAGCATCTTTGTGGCCAATATTTGTAAATGCTCCATGGATCCTTGAAAGAATGTGTATTCTCTGGTAAATGAATGCAATGTTACATATCCAGTGGATAAAACATATCAGTTGTGCTCTTCAAATCTACTACATTTTTACTAATTTTTAAAAATCTTCTTTTATCCGTTACTGAAAGAAGGTGCTAAAATCTCCCTCTGTGATTATGGTATATCAGTTTACCCTTATAATAGTTTCAGTTTTCACTTTGTGTATTTGTGTGTTTTCAGACTATGTTATTGGTTATGTACAAGTTTAGAAATTTTATGTCTTCTTGGTGAATTATTCTTTTACTAGTGTGTAGTGACCCTTTTTATTCCTATTAATGCTTTTTCACCTGATAGTTTTTACTGGACCGGTTTTCCTTTTCAGTACTTGCTCAGTATGTGTTTTTCCATTGCTTGACTTTGAACTTTCTGCATCCTCATATTTTAAATTTATCTCTTATAGGCAGCATATAGTTGGATTTGCTTATTAATACAATCTGAGAACCTCTATCTTTTAACTGATGAATTTAGATCATTGCTGTCATATTTTCCTTTTTAACATCTTATTGTGCTATTTATCATACCTTTTATTTGCTTCTCTTGTTTTGTTATCTTTTATTTTTTATATTTTGGTTTTAAAATGTTAGCATTACAGCTATGAATGTATGGAATGCAGATATAATTCTTTTGGTTTTATATAGTGGTTGTCAATTCCATTGCTTCCTACCTATCTAACAAATTTGCTTCTGGTTAAGAGGGCAGATTCCCAAATCTTAAAACACTTGTTTTTGCTTTTGACATTATTTAATTGACTGACAGAGATGTCAAATATATATAATAATCACCACTTGGCTGTTCACATACTGTACCTTGAAAACCAATTCACTGATGTGCCAGGTCTACTGACTTAATGAGCGAAGTTAGTCCCTTCATAAGTGCTGCCAGAATGAGAGTGCTTTGGTAATGACATTATGACCTAGTCAAAGTGAACATAAAACCTAAATTCACACTTTTTCTGTAAAACATGACAACCTAAGTAAACCTAGATTTTTAAAGGGAATGGCAGGGAAAATGGAATAATGAAACAACTTACACATTAAGAGTACAACTTTACTTTCCAGCAACACCAAACTGCCCTGTAGTTCCTTGTGTGGATGGTGCTATTTTCTTCCTTCATGTCTTTCCTTCTACTGCCTCCTCCCCTGCTGGGATAGCCTTGTCTTTTTCGCTCTGTTTTTTTAAATAAACTTTTGGGGGAATAATTTTAGATTTACAGAAAAGTTGCAAAGACAGTATTTAAGAGTGCCTGTGTGCCCTTACTCAGTTTCTCCTAATGTTAACATCTGTTTTTTATTACAGTGAAACATTTGTCACAACAAGAAATTAACAATGATATATTACTATTAACTAAACTGTAGACTTTATTTGAATTTCATTAGTTTTTCTACTAATGCCATTTTTCTGTTTTAAGACCCAGTTGAGGATACCTCGTTGCATTCAATCATCATATCTCCTTAGTCTCTCTGTCTTCTATTTGATTGTTTTTTAAATCCCCTTTCCCCTCTTTTTCCAGCAAATGGTTGTTTTACATTCTCTTTCTATTCTTTTAAAAGGGGTTTTACATTCGATTTCTAGTCTTTTAGAAGTTACCAACACACTGTTTCTTAGGGTGTGGCGAGAGAGTCACATACGCGGTTGTTGCTGTAGTACTATAAATGGATACAACTTCTGAGGAGGGAATTTGATGTGCATGTCTTTTGATCCAGCAGCTCCACTCCAGGGACTCAGTCCTACAGATTTATATACTTACATGCATTTACCAAATTATTCACTGTGTCATTTTTTATAGTTGTTTAATAGGATACTAATAAAGAGGTGCTTTATATATGGATAAGAAATAATGCCCAATATATAGTTAAATGAATAGGGATAGGGGGTGAAAAATGTAAAACTGTATTTTACTTTAGTATGCCATGATAAAAAGGTTTCCTTATCATCTCCCTATACCAAGGGGTAGATTTGTTTTCTGGTCTACCCTTTCACCAAGGTTCAGCTCTTGAAGAGCCCTGTCTTCACACAGAAGTCTTAATTCTAACCTTGCTCCATAGACAAGTCTAAGTAATTGTCTCACAGTCTCCACGTAGGCTTGTAAACCCAAGCCTCGGATCCTCCCTGTCCTCTAGGGCCACTAAAGGAATATTTATGTCACTATCTCATTCCAATAATGATTTTTTAATTCAGTGTCAAATGTGTCAACAACTCTTTCACCTAGAAATATGAAAATTTAATAAAGAATAATGTCTGCAAAGAACTTAGCCCAATACCTGACACATCAAGTGCTCAGTAAGCATTAATTTGTCATTGTTGTTTTGTTATAATTTTCTGACTGTTGTTAGACTTGTTATTGATATTTATATTGCCATTTCTCAAACTTTCTTATACTTCTTTTAATGAACATAAAAATATGATATCCTATGTAGTATTATTTCAAATTATAAAATAAAGCAGTTTGATGTCTAAAATAAAATAGGCTGGGCGCGGTGCCTCATGCCTATAATCCCAGCACTTTGGGAGGCCACAGTGGATGCATCACTTCAGCCCAGGAGTTTGAGACCAACCTGGACAACATGGCGAAACCCCATCTCTACTAAAAAAAAAAAAAAGTATGTGTATTTATATATATATACACACACACACATACAGAGAGAGATGTATATACACATACAGAAATATATGTATACACAGACATATATATACACATATATACACATCTATATATATACACACATAGATGTATATATATATATACACTTACGTATACATATATATATATACACACACATACACACATACACACACGCACACACACACACACACACACAGATTAGCTGGACGTGGCAGCATGCATCTGTAGTCCCAGCTGCTTGGGAGACTGAGGTGGGAGGATCACTTGAGCACAGGAGGTTGAGGCTGCAGTGAGTGGAGATTGCACCACTGCACTCCAGCCTGGGCAACAGAGCGAGACTTTGTCTCAAATAAATAAGAGCAGTGATAATTCTCAATATGCTTTTTGAAACTACACATATATTTATTTGTTCCTTCCTCCTTTTCTCTCCAAGAAGATTCTGATGTACATCCTTCCAATGAAAGAGTACTTGTACCCTACTTGAAATCCATTTATTTAGTGTGTTTCCAATTTTGTACTGTTGATTTTATTTTTAAATTTTTTTCCTGAGAATTGAGTAGTATGTATCTTTGTACATATAGCATTTTTAGTCTAGTAGATGATTCCCTTCAGGTAAATGTTTATGAGTGAAATCGTTGTGGTAGGGGGTAGAAATATTTTGTGATTCACAAGAGATAAGGTAATATTTCTTTCAAAATGATTTGTCATCGTGCTATTTGCAGTGGAGGAGTATGCTGATTTTACCAAAACCTTGCAGAGGAGTTAATATTTTTAATTTATTTGCTAATCGTTAGGTGTAAAATAGCAACTTCTCATTGCTTTGTTGCCTATTTCCCTGATTACTAGCAAATGCAAACTAGATGTTTATATAACATACATTTCTAATACCTTTTATTAATTTAATGCATACTGGCCAGGCATAAATCTCAAAAATCCTCGTTTAGGTGCTGGAAAAAAATTGGAGCTTAAATAAACCAAAATAGGAGAGAAATTAAACAGAAAGTGGCTGTGTTTATAAACAAACAGCCTTGAAACATAAGACCATTGTGATAATTGGAATCGCCTGTATTCCAAAATGTCCTGTTTAATAGATGCCAAGTTCACCAACTAGCTGGGAAAAGACAGAGCAGTGTGTTTACCCCTAAGGTGGTCAGACAAGACAAATCTGAATTCCTAGGCTCCACAATTACTCTCTACCCAAAAACTTATGCCCCAGTCCATCTGAGTGTTTGCATTAGGGATTCTGTCCTCCTGAAGTGTTACAGGACTCTTGCTTTAAAACAAACAAACAAACAAACAAACAAACAAAAAACAGGCCTTCACTAGGTCTGAGAGCCTTCTGTCTTTATAAATGTATTTAATAGTAAATCAGAAACACATGTTCTTTTTCCAAACACCATTTTAATTCAAAAAAGCCCTTTTCATTAGATGATATATACACAAAGGCTACAGATTACAAAGGCAAAAAATTTAATTTTAAACTATACAAGGATGCTTGGGAAAAAATCTTAACAGGATAGTAATCAGAGATGCTAACCCTTCTGGCTTGCTCTGTTTGCAATCTACTATTCATCAGGAATACTGTCTAGGGAGAGCCTGAAATGGTTTCATAATCTGTAACCACAAAGGGATAACTCAGATTTTTATCTTTTATACACTGCACTCATAACTTGGTGGTTTACTCACTTTCCCAAAGTCTAAGTGTGTATGGTCCGATTTAAAACAAGCTGAATGAGTCTTTGTGTTTTGTTGTTTTGTTTTTCCACTGTATTTTCTGAGTAGTGGTCTCTCAGTGACTGTTAGCTATTGAAATCAGTTAACCCTCATACCTTTATCTGCCTGTTGGGCTCCTTCTACATTTTCAACGAATTAGAGCAGAGCCTGGTGACCAAGGAACAGGCAGCTGTGGTTTTTGGCATAGGATGGAGGCAGGGGTATAGATCAGAGAAGATGAATCTTAGAGACATACTGAACACAGATGCTATTGCTGCTACACATTTTCAGTGCTAGTGACTCACATATATAACCACTAATCTGTGAAGAGAGAGTGAGTATATTGCAAACCCTTACATAAAAGTACCTCCTCAGTGCCTTAGCCGTCAGCCTCACCTTATTGCTTTAGTTACTGAAGGATAATGAATATGTGAGATGCCTAGCAGGAGAGTTCCCTCTGCCCAGTTAGGGTTCAAAGTAGCTTGTGATAAGTTATTTGAAATGCTGGTGATGCATTAAATGAGATACACAGCTCATTGTGCAATAATAATAATATTTTCCACAAAAATGACCCATGTAGCCCACCAGCTGCATGACCTATCTCTAAAACAGCCTAGTACCAGATATTTCCTGAGGAATATACTTGTACCCCATAAGGACACAATTATGAGACACTGTATGTATCATAAGAAGAAAGGTTATGTGCTCTCTCCAGCTGATAATCAGCTTAGCTTCTAGTCCAGGGCATTTTATTTGTTTTTGAGATTATCAATAACTAGATACAGTGACACTCAAATATACAAGGTTTTTGTATTTTAAAATGATTAAGAAGCTTCTTGAATAAACTGTCCCTTGCCTTTGGCTCTGCCTATAAAAATATAATCATTATATACTTGTTCTTGTGGTCTACACAAAAAACATTTTCCCCCATACTTTAAGGCCCACCTTTCCTGTAGAAAGCCTTTTGCGATCAATTGTGGACACAGAGCCAACCCTTTGAACTTTTCCACACATTGCATTTTCCTAGAGCAGTGTAGAGTGGCAGTCATAGTATTCCCTATATCTTCTAGGACTCACTATTCAAGTACCTAGAACACACCAGGTAGTGGGATCCAGCAAAAAACAGAACAGAAGTTGTACATGTTTAAAAGAGTCCCCATCTTCCCTGGCTATTCCATTAGTGAATTCTCCATGAAGCTCTTACTGACTTATCATGGTGAGTTCACTGGCCATTTCTCAATACTTCTGGATCTCTGCTCAGTCATCTTTCACCTTTTCCTTCATCTCCCTTGCCCTTACCCAGTTTCACCTCCTCATCTTGATGCTGTTAATTGGCTGGCTAATTCATAAGAGTTTCCCCAAACCAAAGAGAAGACAGATAAAAGAATTTAGTCACAGAGTATTTATGATTTTCAGATATAACGTCAATCAAATAGAACATGATTTTAAATATCTTCTGGGCCCAAACCCTGAGCTGAGTATAGTGACAATTCAGAAGAAATTAGTTCTACCCCTGGGTAATTTAAAAGTTAATTATTCTTAGAGGATTATTCATTCATTCACTTATTCACCATATGTTTGCTAAACATCTGCTATGTCCCAGGCACTTGAGATACATCAATGAACAAAACAGGCTGAGATTCCTGACCTCATGGAGTTTACAGTTTAGGGTAGACGAGTAAGGAAATAGATAAATAATAAGCATAAATAATAGATTCTGTAGTTGTAGTTGTAAATAAGTGCTGTAGAAGGAATTAGAAAGCAGAAAAAGGGAAAGGGATTGGAGAGTATGGGGATTTGGGAGGACAGGTTGCAGTGTTAAATACTGTAGTCAGAGTAGGCCTGATTGAGGTGAGAGATGACAGTGCCTTGAGGGAGATGAAATAGGCGGATATCTGTGAGAATAGCTTTGCAGGCAGTGGGAGAGCCATGGTTTATCATTTAAAATTTACTGGCATTTTTAAATTTAGTAACTAACGTAGAGTCCTTTAGTCTTATTTTTCACAAGTAGAAACTCGTTGTACCAACTGAATGTCAATCCTGGCTTAAAGTGACTTTCATTTGAGGCAGATTTTTGACAGAAGCCATTGTGTTTGTTTTACAGATTGGAAAAGTAAGTCTCAGAAAAGAAATGGGAACTAACTAGGGTGTGGGAGAAGGATGAAGAGAAGTTGACTAATGGCTACAAATACATGGTTTGATAGAAGAAATAAGACCTAGCGTTCAACAGATCAGTAGAGTGACTATGGTTTACAGTAATCTATTGTGCGTTTCAAAATAGCTAGAGAGAATAACTTGAATGTTTCTAGCACACAGAAAAGACAAATATTTAAGGTGATGGATATCCTAAGTAAACTGATTTGGTGTTTACAAAGTATGTGAATGTATTAAATTATCACCTGTACCCCTAAACTATGTACACCTATTATACCTCAATTAAAAAAATTAATAAGGAAATAAATGTCTTTAGAGTCACAAAACTGAACAACATTACCCAGGGTACAATGTTTGAGGTTAGTACAGCAGTAGTGTATCGTGCACAGTTTGTCTTCATCGTTCTTTAGAGATTTTTTTTCTTATAAAGTAAATTGATTTCAAATATTTTCTTTGATATGATGTTGTCACGAATTTCCCTATGCAATATAATAAGCTTGTTATAAAACAAGTTAAGTGAATTTCATTGAAGGGATGAAATATATAGCCTGAAGATCCGAAATACAAGCCTAGATCACTTTTTAGTGGCCAGAACCACACAGTACTTTCTTTGAATGCCCTGCAAATTATTAGGGATGTTTTCTTGGAGGTCAGAGTGCCCATCTGGAAGGTTTCTAGGGCTAATGATAGGAGTCTGCTTGTGATCATCTCTGCTGCCCCCAGGGGGCATGAGGAGGCAGCCCTCCTTCCTGTATTTTCTAGTTGCCTTGGCCAGATTCTAGAGAGCAACACATCTGCTTGGGCTCAACTGGGGGAGGGGCAGCAGAGATAGGACTTGCAAGTAGCAGGGCCAGCACCTAGAAGCAATTAAGAAAGAATGGAGTATAGTCCTTAAACGAGCTCAATCCACTTTCTTCAGGCCCTGGAAAATACGAATGCCAGCAGATAAATTCACCTGATTTCCATCTATGGATACCTAGTGGAGCCTTAACATTAAAAGCTTATTAAAACATTTATGTAGTATTTGAAATTTCCAAATCCCTTTACAATTGTTTATTGGCTACTTAATCTCTGCAGCTTCCCTGAGAAGTAAGTTGATACTTTCATCCCCATTTTGGAGATTAGTCACAAAAAGGTTAAGTGACTTACCGGAGGCTGTACCGTGAGTCAGGTCCCCAGTAACTTCATGGTACATGGACCCGTCTTCAACTGTGTCTCCATCAGCACAAATCACTTAACCAATCTGAGCCTTAGTTTTTCATAAATACATGGGATACTAATGATCTTTGTACTACCAATTACAAAAAAAAGATTGTGAAAATAAAATGAGGCAAACTGAAAGTGCTATAATGATAGTTATAATTAGGTGATGGATTAAGGCAGAAGGATGCTGCAGCCTCATTATTTCATATTTAGGGAGTGCTACTTGTTTGAGGCCAGAGCAGAAAAAAATGAAAAGAGAAAACCTATGGCTGACCCTCTAACAACACTAATTCCTTCCTCTTCCTGTTTGACTTAGCTTAGGTTAGATAGAGTAGGGAAGAGAAGGAAAACAAAGAATAATAAACTAAATATTTAAAGAGTGAGGAATGCTAGGAGGAGAAAAAATGAAAGAGGTAAAATTGTGAGTCCTCAAGACTAGAATGACAATACTATAAACTGCTAATCTTGACATAAGACTTATTGTATGAACTCAAGCAGTATTGCAGCATGGAGAGAGGGGCTTAAAATTTGAGAGCAGAGAAGTCTTTAGTAGCTGGATTCTGCTGTCCAAACCATTGGTCTGTGTCCCAGATCTGGTAATGATCATTGAAGATCATATAGTCCTGCCCTCTTCCCCCTCCTCCTTCCCCCTTGCTCCCTCTTGCCACTGTCTGAGCCAAGCTTTAGAAAGTGAGACCAGTAACGGTTATCAGTGTTCACACATGGCTAGGCACTTGATGATTGCAATCGATGTTCCCTTCAGCCTTCTCTTCTCTGGTCTTAGGAATCCCAGACCAATCCTTTATTTCAGTATTATCACTATGGAATGCCAGTGCCTCTTGTCGCCCATAGAAAGCAAGGCCCCCTGATACAAACAACCACAGGTACAATTAAGTTACTAAGACATTGGTTGTTATTTTCATTCTCTCCATTTTTTTTCCTTTGTTCCTTTTTTTTTTTTTAAGAAATAGCATATTGGCCAGGGGTGGTGGCTCATGCCTGTAATCCCAGCACTTTGGGAGGCCAAGGTGGGCAGATCACGAGTTTCATCATGGCCAATGTGATGAAACCCTGTCTCTACTAAAAATACAAAAATTAGTTGGGCATGGTGGCACGTGCCTGTAATCCCAGCTACTCAGGAGGCTGAGGCAGGAGAATTGCTTGAACCAGGGAGTCGGAGGTTGCAGTGAGCCTAGATCGCCACTGCACTCCAGCCTGGTGACAGAACGAGACTCCATCTCAAAAAACAAACAAAAAAAGAAATGGCATATTAAGAGTAGAGCTGACGGATCAAGGCAATATAAAAACTGGAGCAAGCAATGAGGGATAAATGCAAAGAAGAGGTTCTGGGAACAAATGAAAACTTATCAATGTAAGGAACAGTGTCAGAAGACAGTGAAGAAATAAATCATTACTAATCAGGTTAAGTTGGTTAATTAAAGTGATTAGTAATTGTTATAAATACATACATATACATATGCACACATGCACACACACACATATTATGTTCTGGGACCCTTATTGAGTGGCCTCTTTATTCTAGGTTGAGTCCCTAGAAATTAAGACAGGATCAAAGAATTCATGAATATGCATAAATGCTAAACTGTAAATGACTTTATGCTTAGGATTAAAGTTTTGTAGCTACTAGAATAGGAAGCAACCTGAAACATTCACCTTGCTGATGACTTGAACGCTAAGTTGCCACTTTGCAGCCTTACTGTGCACATCCACAAATGCGTTTATGAGGTATAGTTGACAAAAGGCAAGTATGTAAATTGTTTTCCTCTGACTGGGCATTGACTTATAAACCGGCAAAACCTCCTCCCTTCATCTCCCCTAATAGCATGGGTTCTCCTTTTTCCAAAGAGCCCTTCAGTGATCTGGAACAAGTTACTTAACTTCTGTGGCCTTATTCTTTTCATCTGTAAAGTGGGTTTACTAATAAACCCTGCCACCTTTAATTATCTTGTTTGAATATAATTAAAATAATATATAAAAATGCTTAGCATAGTGTCTGGTACATAATGACCATATTAGTGCTATTACTTACTAAATGCTTATATGCTAGGTCCTGTCCAAGTTGAGGCATAAAGAAAATAAAGCATAATCAAGGAGACTTCAAGATGCTCATCATCTTTTCAATTCCTGGAAGTTCCTAACTAAAAATGCCAGATATCAGTCCTTTGAAGCAGACCCCAAGAAGGAAGCCCTCAGTCATCCATATTCATGCTGTGATTGTCTTTTATCATTTTCCCTGACCTCCACTCTTGTGTCTGGCCCTCTGAAGGTAAATTCATCCTCTTCTACCTTGAACAAGGAGGGCCCCTGTTTTGTAAGACCATGTCTTGGCCATTAGACCAGAAACTCCCCAATGGGGGAGTTTTTCTTTCTTACTTTGTTGGCAGGCACTTGGCACATAAAAAGTCTTGCACACAGTGAGTGCTCTGAATGTACCTTTTTTTAAATACTAGCTCCTTTTTGTAGCTGAGGGACTCTGTGTAGCAGAGGTAGTTAATACCCTGATTCTGTGCCACTGAGTTTAGAAGTCTGACTTGGGTATCTGTGCTCTACCAACTCAGAATATCCTGTTTCTTGACCCTCCTTTTTCAAGTAAAATGGAGAGAAAGTAGCTAAGAGGGAGGGATTGTGAGGTTTAGGTACCAGAATTGCATGATGTTTTTTAACCTCCAACTTCTCCTGACCTGTGAATATTGGTATTATCAGGGCTGGCCTGCAATGGGAAAGTAAGGAATAATAGTGGTATTCTATGGGAAACACACAGTGTAAACCTTTAGTTCACAAAATTGGGCTACAAAATAGGAGAGGGGAGAATACCTTGGTTCAGGCTACCTTCTCATACCTTGGTTACTATACTTTTTTTTTTTTTTTTGATATGGAGTCGCCCAGGCTGGATGGAGTGCCGTGGTGTGATCTCGGCTCACTGCAACCTCCGCCTCCCAGGTTCAAGCAATTCTCCTGCCTCAGCCTCCCAAGTATCTCTCCCTCCCCTTGCGCCCCTGGCCCCAACAGGCCCCGGTGTGTTTTGTTCCCCTCCCTGTGTCCATGTGTTCTCATTGTTCAGGTCCCACTTATGAATGAGAACATGTGGTGTTTGGTTTTCTGTTCCTGTGTTAGTTTGCTGAGAATGATGGCTTCCTGCTTCACCCGTGTCCCTGCAAAGGACATGATCTCATTCCTTTTTATGACTGCATAGTTTTCCATGGTGTATATGTACCACATTTTCTTTATCCAGTCTATCACTGATGGGCATTTGGGTTGGTTCCATGTCTTTGCTATTGGAATAGTGCTGCAATAAACATATGTGTGCATGTGTCTTTATAAAAGAATGATTTATATTGCTTTGGGTATATACTCAGTAATGGGATTACTGGGTCAAATGGTATTTCTGGTTCTAGATCCTTAACGAATGGTCACACTGTCTTCCACAATGGTTGAACTAATTTACATTCCCACCAACAGTGTAAAAGCATTCCTATTTCTCCACATCCTCTCCAGCATCTGTTGTTTTGACTTTTTAATAATTGCCATGCTGACTGGTGTGAGATGGTATATCATTGTGGTTTTAATTTGCATTTCTCTAATGATCAGTGATGTTGAACTTTTTTTCATATGTTTGTCAGATGCATAAATGTCTTCTTTTGAGAAGTGTCTATTCATGTCCTTTGCCCAAAAAGTAGACATTCTTGTTTTAAGTCTTCCCTTTGTGCTTCATCTTACAGTGTCTCTACCCCAGAAGTTTAGTGTTGGCATTGATTATTCATTGCTTGCTAGCTTGGTTTTGAGGGGTAGAAGTGTTCATATTTTCCATTCTCGGTGATCGTTTTCCTACCTAAGCAGTAAGGGACCTCTAAGGATCTGGACCCAGTTCCTTTTTCTGTCTTTCTCCCATAGATACAAGGGTTTTTTGTTTTGGTTTGTTTTTTATTCCATTCACCACAGCTGCACTGGGTCTTCCCTTGTGCCCTGAAGGCAATAGGGTTTGCTGCCCTTTCTTTCCTCAGCAGCCTACAGCTTTTGCAATGGAGAAAGGACAGAAGCACCTAAGGCTAAGCTTTTTTCCTTTCCTGCAGTGACTACTATACATCTCCTCAAGGCCTCCAGAAGGAGGCCTTTTCTGGTCTCCTCCCCTGTTTCCAATCTCTTATGAACAATGAAGTCTATAAAGAAGTCTCCTAACAGGTGCAAATTTCTCATGTATATTGATCCCAAAGGTTCTGTACTCATGGTACGCGCTCAGCTTTTAGTTGTTAACAATTTTAGCTGCCTTCTTTCAGCTTGCTTGGCACCCATCATCTGTCCCAGGTAAGCAAAAGCTCATGTCCCCTGTCTGTTTGAAGGTGCCTGTCTTTCTTTAGATTTCAGTCTAGTTGGTTCTGCAATCAACTTCCTATGAAGTTTTTACTCTGATTTCCTTGGTCATTTGAGGGTGGTGATCATAACGATTTCTTTCTTGGAAATTAGGTTTAGGTAATAAGCGTTGTGTGAAATAAGGGAGTGAGACAGTTTGGTGAGATAATGTGAAGGAGAAGATCCATCTGCTTTGGCCTTTTGGTTACTGGGTGACGCTAGAGTGATAAATTAAAGAGATGCCATGAAACTTGTGCCTGGTCCAGGGCAATCCCAGAATGAAACATAATTTCTCCTCCATAACATCCTACCTCAAAGGAGAACCATGAAACAGTAAGACTTACTGATTTGGATATCCATCCCTTCTTCTGGTGTTCAGCCTGCCAAGAGAAGTGTCCCTTAAGTAGGCAAGTGGAAAGATGGGATTATTTGGCCCTCTCACCATTCAGCAAGAGAAGAGATGTGATGTCCCCACGAGTAGCTCTTGCTCCCCATTTCCAATATAAGCCAGACTCTTATGATTAATGAGAGAGGGCATTCACTTGTGCTTTTGAAAGATGGATCATTGTGAAAGAGCCCAACCCTCTTTGCTGCATTTCCTCCCTAAAAGCAGTCAGTCTTGACAGAAACTATGCAAGTCATCCTGTCTCCCATTAACAATGACCTCAACTGTTTGTTTTAAAGAGTTCACAACCCCAAAGCAAAATTTTCGCATGCAAAAACATAGCATCAACCTTTTGGAAAAGCTTCCCCTGAGTTCTCAGCTTTTGTTTCTGTTCATAAAATCAAATTAATCTTTTTATGGTAGGTGGGAATCTCCCATCAATGGCATTGATCTGGTCTTAAAGAAAGAAGCCTGCAAGTGGCCATCTCCTCACATACCTGATTCATTCTAACTGCAGATCAGCTGATAAGTGGAAAGTATGGGCAGCACAAAGGAAATAGAAGAAATGATTCCACAGAAATGTGGTAGATTGGCTGGTGAATCCTAGCCAAAAGAGGCACTGAAAAGGGGCTTGGGTTACCACAATCATGTGTGATAATAAGTAATCTTTTTTTTTTTTTTTTTGACAAGTCTCACTCAGTCGCCCAGGCCAGAGTGCAGTGGCGCAATCTTGGCTCACTGCAAGCTCCGCCTCCCAGGTTCACGCCATTCTCCTGCCTCAGCCTCCCGAGTAGCTGGGACTACAGGTGCCCGCCACCACGCCCGGCTAATTTTGTTTTTGTATTTTTAGTAGAGACGGGGTTTCACCATGTTAGCCAGGATGGTCTTGGTCTCCTAACCTCATGATCCGCCCGCCTCAGCTTCCCAAAGTGCTGGGATTACAGGCATGAGCCACCGTGCACGGCCGATAAGAAGTAATCTTAAGGGAGGATACTTAGCACATCCTGTGCTCCAGGCACCAGTCACAGTTTTCAATAATATCAGATGACAATATGAACAGAAATGATGTATTCTTGACTTTAGTTTTCCACAGCAGGAATGGGCTTTATGGGGTGGTGGGCAGAACAGCATCAGTGGAGCACCTTCTTAAACAAGAAGAGTTTCTGTTCCAAGAGCTACCAGCCTACAGAGGAAAAACCAATTTCCCGTTGTTTTAGTCCATTCGGGCTGCTATAACAAAATATCATAAACTGGGTAGCCTAGAAACAACAGAAATTTACTTCTCACAGTTGTGAGAAGTCCAGGATCAAGGCAGATTCCGTGTCCAGTGAGGGTACACTTTCTGGCATGGAAACTTCTTGCTGTGTCCTCGCATGATGGAAGGGGTAAGAGGTTTCTCTCAGGTCTCTTTTATGGGGGCACTAATTCCATTGATGAGGGTTCTGCCCTCATGACCTAATCACTTCTCAAAGGTCCCATGTCCTAATACTATCACCTTGGAGCTAGGATTTCATCATAAGGATGTTGGGGAGATGCACTCATTTAGATCATAGCACACCTTGAAGGCTCCCTATCAGGAAGTCCCATCCTGAAGTTCTAACAAGAGTCACTGTAGAGATTCTAAGGCAATTCATTCCTCCATTTTCTCCATGTCCAGTGGATTGTTAAATCCAGAAAGGTGAAGTTGATACCACAGATTGCCTCTGCCTAAGTTTACAAAACAGATGGCTGTCTCTCCTTTTCCTAGAATTTCTCTAGGAGGAATATTTCCACCTGTTTATTTTTTATTACATTAACAAGATAACCCCAAACTTAGTGACTTTAAGTAACAACCATTTTATTTGTTCATTATTCTGTGGGTCAGGAATTTGGCCAGGGCTCAGCTAGGCAGTTTTACGTGGTATTAGCTAGCATCTCTCATGAGGTTGCAATCGGATGGTTGCTGGGGCTTAAATACCAGGATGGCTTCACTCACAAGTCTGGTGCCTTGGCAGGGTTGGCTGGGAGGCTGAGACCTCTCTTTACCTCTCCAGATGGCTAGCTTAACCTTCTTTATTTGGCAACTGGATTTCAGGAGTCAGCATTCCAAATGGTGAAGCAGAAGCTAGTAGTATCTGTTAAGGCCCAGCCTCAGAAGGTCTATAGCATCACTTTTGTCATATTCTCTTGAGGAAATCAAGTCCTAAAGCTAGCCCAGATTCAGAGGGATGGTAATAGGCTCTACCTCTTGATGGGAAAGTGACAGTGTTATTTTGCAAAACAGCACATGGGATGGGAGTTACTGTTGCAGCCATCTTTGGAAACACACTCTACTACACCACTTAAGGTTCTCCTTCAAGTGCCTCTTATCCTGCTATAGTAAGAACTGTTTTGTATTTAACCTAAGCATCATGTACTACAATTGGTATTCAAGTTTTTTTGTTCACTTTATAGTGGAGATAGAGAACATAAGAGTTGTCACTCTCCATACATTCCTGAAAGGCTGATTATCCTTGGCTTGAGCTCTGCTTCTCTTACATAAGATAGAAGTTGTGAGGAAAAACCTGGAAGGATACAAGTTGCAAATTCTTGGTCCATTTCCTCCATTATTGTCTAAGTCAAATGCATTTTTATTAAGTTAAAGGCGTTTTATTATGCACTCAGGGATTTTCAGTTCAGTTAATATGCTTGATACTGACATTTAATTTTTTTTATTGCTTTCTTCTTTTATCCCTTCTCAGTACCAGCAACTCCAAGTCCTCTTTTATAGGGCTATTATTTTCTAGGGCTATTCTGTTCCTATGTGTGTTGGAAACTCAGATTTATCTCTATGATATGTTAGTAATTAACGCAAATCTCTACAAGTCATAAAACAGCCTGCCCTGCCCCAAGAAACTAGAATTGTGGAGTGAATTAAGAGCTGAATCAGGCTGTTGGTAGCTGGTGGATACCATTACACCCTTTGAAAACAATGTTTTTGCTCCTTACATCTAGACATCCCCCAAGGGCAAAATTATACCTTCCTACAGAGACAGGCACCAACTAGGCCTAGGGCAGACCCTGTCAACCACCTTTAGAAACAGCACTCATTTTGATACACCATTCTTGGGGCAAAGGGAGAAATGCCCTCTGCATATTCCAAAGCAATGGAGCCTCTTTTTTTTTTTCCACTTCGGCACACTTAAGGGATTCCACACACTCCCATCTGTGTCAGAGGCTCATGGCTCATTAGAGCAGTGAGTCTTTGGGAGAGCTATGTGGTTTGGAAAAAGTCCACCATTGAGAATCACTGGGATAAACTTTAAGCAGCATAAGATAACACTGGGTAACAGAAAAAGTCAAACCAAAGCAACAGGTAAACCAAATTGATATACAACCTCCTAAATCCTTCATATAGTTTCTAAGATTGACAAAAACAAATATACTTTTATCTAAAATCACATTGGTTTCATAGCAATCTAAGATTATGCTACCTGACCACATATCAAATTTACCATGGGAATTAGGGAGATGTATGTTAAAAATCATTCAGAACTCTACGTATCACCTTCTAGCAACCTCATTATGCATGGTGATTCATGTGAAATCACCATAAAACCCAGCTTATGGTGGGTGTGGCATAAAGTTCCATCTTAAGCAAGGACAAAGTTTTTGTTTCTGTTATGGCTTCACGTTGTCTTGGGTACATGGAGGCATTCATTAAATGGTGAGTGAGTAAAGGTGCATGTGCAGAAAAAACAGGGCCCAGCCTTAGTCCTGAGCTTATACCAGACTTCTCCCAAGGCTTTCCTTTGCCTGACAGTACAGCTCTAGCAGAAGAGGAGGGCCCATTTTCTCACCTCAGTCTCTCATTGGAGAATATGGAACATTTATTAATAGAAAGTAAGTTTCAGAACTGGAAAAGGGCCCTTGGAAATCAATTAGTCCAAAAACTTCATTTTTTTGGAGAAATTGTGTCCAGAAATATGACTTTCTAGGATCACCTGTCAGTACGTCACTAACTGAGTCTCTGCAAGGGCACATGGAAACTGGTCCACTGAGGAATGAGTCTTACAGGTTGCAGGCGCCCAGGCAGTTAGTGAAGATAGGATGCATTTCAGGTTGAGAGGGAAGAGGGTAAAATTGCTAATACTTTCCTGAATCAACCCCAGCTGGAGAAAGCTGTGGCTGCCTGGAGGGAACCGGAGGTGGTGCTTCACCTTCTACAGATAACATTTAACTCAGGCTAATCAGCACCCTAAAATAAGTGCCAAGCAAAAACATTTTGAAGAAATGCCTTTGTAAACAAGGGTTGTTCTCTTGTAACTCAGCCATAATATCCAAGAGTCCACAGCCGACTGACCTTTTGGGATGTATGTGTGCTTTGCTGAGGAAACAAGGGCAAGGATTCCAAAGTTTCCACCTCACCACTGAAGACCTGTAATCCCACCTTGCTGCTGCCCACAAGAAAAACAAAGTGCAAACCAAGCTTCCACGGGCACTGTGCCTGGAGAAGTAGACACACTGACTTGTAAGATGAGGCACAGCCCCCTTTGGGATAGCTGCCAGAAAACTGTACAACCTTCTGGAGATTGTAATGACTCAGGGGCCCTTTGGGGAAGGTAGGTATCCTGGAAAACACCTAGTCCCTTAGCTTTGAAATAGATGGCAGGTCAGGAGAGGGGGCAGTTCATTACATTTATTGAGTATCTGTTGTGTCTGGTACTGTGCTGGGAAATGGGTATCCAGCTATCCAGTATGAACAAAATATTATTGTCTGCTGCTCTTCCTTCTAAACTTTCTGTGGTGATCCCTACCGTACTTCACATTGACGTGTTCATTTTGTTTAGGATTAATGGAAAGTTAGCAATATGCCGTCCATAAAAATGCATTTCGATTGACTTAAATATGTGGATCTGGCTCCTTAATTAATTGTAAATTCCTTGAGGGAAGAGGTTGTATTTTCTCCTTTCTTAAGAGTCCTCACAGCGTTTTGCATGACAGTAAATCAGAGAAAATACTCAATGAAGGTTGATTGAGTAGATGCCTAAAAAACAGTGTTTGGAGACAAATCAGGGGAGACTAGGGAGGAGGCTGAGAGCAAGCAAAGGTTTAGGACCCAAAAGATCAGCACACCCTACACATGGCAGCTACAGATACCCACCAAAAGAAAGTCTTAGTATTTATAATTCTTTTTTAAAAATTATGCCTGCATAATCCATGTGTAGCAGCATCATTAGGTGCATCATATTTGAATGTGAAAAGCAACAACATAAAAATCTTATCACTGAGGACCAAATTTAAATACCATTAATTTTAAGAAAGAGTCTGCCTTGATGATTGTCCTTGGTAAGTAAGAGTGTATTCAAATATGCACAGTTGTATTTTCAGCACCCTAGCCTTGATTTTGACACACGCAGGATGAGTTACAACACTAATTCTCTGATGTAGCTGTAAGCCTTTACTTAAGCAAAAAATGCTATAGTGATCAGAAATGTAACAAAAGCCCAGTTTTTAAAGGAGCCATTTGTTTTTTTCTGCTATAAGCATAGGTCTGCACTGGGTGTTTGGCTGAAACACATGTAGTTTCTAATAGAATGAGATGCTCACACTTCCTATTAGCAGAGGAGGGTGCTAAGATAAAGAATTTTAGGGAAGTCTGAGCTTTGCTTCTTTAGAAACCTGAAAAAAAAATTTTTGGAGACAAGGTCTGGATCTGTTGCCCAGGCTGGAGTACAGTGGCACAATCTTGGCTCACTGCAATCTCTGCTTCCCGGGCTCGAGCCATCCTCCCACCTCAGCCTCAGAAACCTGAAAATTTAAGAAAGAAGATTTTATTGGAGCAGGATAGAAACAGCTAAGGGACTTTTACTTGTTCAGTCCTGGTAAATGCTCACAGTTAATGAAGGGAGAGACAACTAAGTAAGATTAAATATTTCTTTTTTCTTTTCTTTTCTTTTCTTTTCTTTTTTTTTTTTTTTTTTTTTTTTGAGACTGAGTTTTGCTGTTGTTGCCCAGGCTGGAGTGCAATGGCGCGATCTCAGCTCACCACAACCTCTGCCTCCCGGGTTCAAGCGATTCTCCTGTCTCAGCCTCCAGAATAGCTGGGATTACAGGCATGCGCCAACACACCAGGCTAGTTTTGTATTTTTAGTAGAGATGGGGTTTCTCCATGTTGGTCAGGCTGGTCTTGAACTCTTGACCTCAGGTGATCCACCCTCCTCAGCTTCCCAAAGTGCTGGGATTACAGGCATGAGCCACCGTGCCCAGCAAGATTAAATATTTCAAACTACTTATGGTAACAAGATTGTATCTGTAACTCCTTGCCTATGTATTCATTTGATGTAAGAGTTTCTAGAAAGTAGAGAGAAAAAGCTGTATTGTAAGGTTAAAATCCACAGAAAAGGAGTTTCTTAATGCTTAGTGACATTGGAAGATTTCTAGTAAGAGAATACAAGAGAGCTCTTTGGAACTGGTGTTTTTGAGGTAAAGGGTGCAGGTACCCTGGGTTTCATTCTGAGGCAGAGGGCTGGATCTTAGGTTCTAGAAAAGGGTTAAGATGAGACCTGAACTTAAAACAGAGCTCCCATTTGACCCAGCAATCCCTTTACTGGGTATATACCTAAAGGAAAATAAATCATTCTACCAAAAAGGCACACGCATTTGTTTGTTCATTGCCATGCTATTCACAATAGCAAAGACATGGAATCATCCTAGGTGCCCATCAGTAGTGGATTGGATAAAGAAAATGTGGTACATATACACCATGGAATACTATGCAACCATAAAAAGGAATTAAATTATGCCCTTTGCAGCAACATGGATGCAGCTAGAGGCCATACCCTAAGCAAATTAATGCAGGAACAGAAAGCCAAACACTGCATGTTCTCAATTATAAGTGGGAACAAAACATTGAGCTCACATGGGCATAAAGATGGGAACAACAGACACTGCAGACTACTAGATGGGGAAGGGAGGGAGGGAAACATGGGTGGAAAAGCTACCTATTGGGTACTGTGCTCACTACCTGGGTGATGGGATCTGTACCCCAAACCTCAGCATTGTGTAATATACCCACGTAACAAATCTGCACATATACCCCCTGTATCTAAAATAAAAACTGAAATTTTTTTTAAAAAGATGAAACCTGACATCCCTTTGGTTATTTTGTAATCTAATCATCACTCACTTGTCCCAGTTAGAGAGTATAAATTTGCATAGCCAATAAGTTAGGTGGTGTTTGAACCGAAAAATGAGAATATATTTGAAAACATTTTGTGAACTATAAAGCACTTTCTAAGTGCAAGTTAGCACTCTCCTTCTAAGGTGTTCCAGGGATTTTCAACTTGTTTTTATTATTTTCATTACATTTATATGATTTAGGAATAGGGCAAGGAAGCATGGTATTTTATGATAGAAAGGGATCATTGAGATGATAAACCTAAAGCTTGTTGTTTAGTGAGATAGTCCCTCTAGTGTTTTGACAAATGTACATCAAAACATCTAATACTTCCATTCAAAAACACTGTGATACCTGCTAATGGGAATGTAAATCGTTACACTATTCTGGAAAGCAGTTTATTGATGGATATCAAAAGCTTTGACCTAGAATTCTGCTTCCAGGAATTTACCATTATCATCCTTATCATCAATTATCACCATCATTGCTAACATTTGTTCAGCATTTACTCCATAAAAGGCACTGTCCTGAGTGCTTTTGCGTGAATTAACTATTTCAATATGCATGCCTACCTAATTATATATGTACTATTATCTGCATTATATAAATGATCAGACTGGATTATAGAGGTTAGATGATTTGCCCAAGTTCACAAAGCTGATGAGTTGCTATCTAGATCCAGAGTTGACACTTTTAACCACTGTGCTGTATTGTAACTCACACTATTCCCTAAGGAAACACTTGAAGAAATGTACAAAGATGTATATTCAAGTATTTTCATCAAGACATTGGGTAATGTAGAAAAAGATTGGGGAAAAATCTCAAAATACCCATCAATAAGGGATTTGTTCAAGTTAGTACGGTATATAGCTGTTAAAAATAGATTCTGTGAAGTCTTTAAAATTGGTTACATTTATCTATATGTATTTACATGTAAAAGATGTCTATTCTGAATTCGTGGGAAAAATCTGCTTTTGACAGTATCTATAATTTGCTCTATTTTGGTGAGAAAAAAAAGTGTTAAAGGCTAGATACCAAATTGTTGACAGTCATTATGCCTAGGGAATGAGGTTTATGGATGATGGTTTCCCATTATGCTTTTCTGAATTAAATAAGTTTTTTCTGAATTTTTTTTGCAAAAAGCATATGTTGTTTTTATAAAGAAATACACAATAAAACTACATTATCTTGAGGAAAAATACTAAAGAAGTAGAACTTATTCTACTTTCACACATTCACACATTTCACTCATTCTGTTCCAGCACATTCCACTAATGAACAACTCTCTTTATTATAAAGTGTATCCTTATTTAATACATCAAGAGCTTTTTGTTAGTCTCTGTGGAGTTTAGTCACAGTATGTTGAGGTTCTACTGTGTGTCCCTTGCTCAAAGAGTTGACATTCTATTCTGGGAGATATAAGCATAAAACACTTGGGTTTCTCTGTATATCAACATCTGGTTTACTGACATAATCAACAGTTCAACTGTGAGGCACAAACACTGGAAGAATAGAAAAATATGTGATATAGTGCTTCCTGTGCACCATGAACAATAGGTACAAATGGAGTTCAGAGAAGGGATAAATCTAAGGAACTGATAGTAGTGTTCAAGGAGGTTTCCTAAAGGAGATGGGTACTTAAGAAGGGTCTTGAAGGATGGTGGGAAAAGGAGGAGGACACTTTATTCAGTCTGCCTAGCATGAACTTTGGTAGATTTCCTTGATTCTATGTTTCTAAGATTTTACTCTCATATTTAAAGATGCATTGAATCAGATAGACCTGGTTTCCGATTCTGACTTCCTTGCTTAATAGCAGTGTGATTCTGAGCAGTTGCTTAAATTGTCCTGTGCCTCAATTACCTTATCGGTAAAATAGGCCTGAGAAATAGTATCTTCCTCTTAGAATCACACTAATTGAGACTGTACCAATAATGCATTTAATATATACCTGGCCCATCTGGCTTGCAATGAATGTACATTTTATTATCCTTTTTCCCCTGTGTTTCTACCCAATAGTCTCGTCTCTCACAGAACTCACACTGAGAGGCAGGAATCCATTCTGTTTCTTCTCCAAGTCCAGGCCAGAGTTTTGAACACAGGTTGCCCCTGGGGACCAGAGATTGACTTCAGAACTCCCACGCAAAACTTCAATATCCCCAATATTGCCCTGACACTGGCCATTTCACTTCCTGGCTCATCTCTGTGTGTCAGAGGCAATGCCTGAGAATTTCCACAGGCCTGTTTTTTGACTCCTGGCTGATTCTTAAAAGCAGCAAGAGATCTTGCTGAGAGTCAGAGCTAAGCTAAGCCATCAACCGCCTTCCTCATGTGGATGGACCCTGGACTTTGCTGCTTTTATGGGCAAGGCCTTGCCAACTATAGAAACAATGAGCCTCTTTAGCACCCCTGTCACTGCCATAGGGTAACCAGAGACAGAGCGACTCCTTTCCAAAGGTGGCTTTGCTGGCCAGCGCCTATCACCTCAGTCTGGGCTTCCTGACCACTTTTTACAATTGTTTTGGATTAAATAGAGCATTCCCTGGCCTTTTCTGGTTATAGAGGTCTCATTGTTTCATGGTCAGCACAGGCCTTTTGCAGGCGTATCTTGGCTTTGGAATCCTAGAGGGTTTAACAAATTTTACTTCAGTGGAATATCCTTTTTTTTTTTTCTACTTTAAGCATAAAATAGTGAATCATAGAAATAAATGTTCTTAGGTCATCTGGTCAGTCTCCTGGGTACAGCTACAGGGTGTTTCCTTTAGAACACGGTCTAGTCTTTATCCAGTCTCTGTTTAAATGTCCCAGATGTTGGGGCTTCCTCATCTCTCATAGCAGCTCAAAGAACAAAATGAACTGTGTTGTCTTGCAGCCTTCTTTCCCCTGCCTGCTGCTCTGTCAGTTGCCTCATGCCCTCTCTCTTCCATTCTCTCTCTCTCTGGCAAAAGTATTATTTCAGGGATACCCTTCATGAGAAGCCAGGAGCAAGGACCAGAGCAGGTTTGTGTTTCATCTGTAGACTTGCAGACTGTCTGGAAATGGGACCAGGAGCACCTCAGCTATTCCGTTGAGTTTTAGGCTTTGCAGGCTTCTAGAGCTTTAATTTCTCTCACATGGCCAAATTTCTTTCTCCTTCTTTCTGGGACACCTATGCAATGTTTTCTCTTTTGTTCAGAGCTGTGAAAAGGAACTGTTTGTTTGACTGTGTGTTTCCCTTTTTTAACTCCCCCCACCCCAAACCCATTGCCCTCTTCCTCTCCCAAAGAAGAAGAGGAAAGCAAGGCACAATAATACTTCTGTAAATTTATGGCCACTCTGTAATGTTTAATCACAGCTACGTGACTGGGGGCTTCAGAGCAGGCGTACAAGTTCAGCGCAAGGTGAATCTTGTCTGAGATAATCTGAAAGTTCATTCAGAGGTGAGGGCAGCAGCCTTTTGCAGACGGCTGAGGTTAACAGGAGGTCACCTGCTTTTTTTTTTTTCTTCTTCTGGTCTTCTCCCCTTTAATGTGTAAACAAAGAGAAAATGTAACTTCCAATGAACTTGGCATATGTTGTGCTCACGCTAATCTTGGCCTGGCCAACTGTAAACAGTCCAGTATCCTGTGGCTGAGCCTTTCCACCCATTCTCTGCCTTTTGGAGAATGTGAAGAAACAGCAACAGAAAGCAGAGACTAGAACCTTGTGGAGCCAGACCCCGGGACCCCAGAGAACCTCAAGGAGCCAGAGGGCGGGGAGCTCAGGGAGAGGTGTTTGCTCTGATACATTCAGGGCCTTGCCACAACGGTGGCCTCCTACAATACTTTCTCATAATTATCAGGCAGAACACATTTTTTTGAGATCCTTCTCTACTCTACCACACAGTGCTGAACACTAATAAGACAAAAATGGACAAGGCCTTAAGCTGCTCACAGGCTGAAAGGGGAGAGTGTCTATTATCTGACCTTAGAGATAGGAGGAAGAAGGACAGGGACTTTGCTGGTATCCAGAGAAAGCAGAAGACAGCATCAAGATAGAACTCCGTTGGAAGTTCCTTCCCATTGTAGGGCTATGCTATAGTTTCCAGCCCATTTGCAGAAAGGCCTCCAGGCCAGAGAATTCCAGAAGCTTAGAGATGCAGTGTATAATACCTTGAAGGCCCACAGCCTGAGCGTCAACAACTTACAGAAGAGCAGTGGCCACTTGATGATTTCTTACCAACTCTTATTTGCCATAATCTCAATATCTTGATGGTCCAGAGCCTCTGGGCCAGTACAGACATGCATGGGGGAAATACCTCTGTTGTACCTCAGCAGCCCTCTTGAGAATGTGGGAATACAATTCATTCTCCAATATCAGGAGCAGGAATAATTGCTTAGTGAATTCTTGGTGGTTAAGTATTAAATCTCGAACTAGCTTCTATAATCTCTTACTCATTTGAGGCTCATTCAGGGAATATAGACTTTTTATTCCTGTAGCCAATATAGGACCATTTTAGTTGTATGAATTGATAATGGAAGTCCAGTTGAGCAGCCAGAAAGACACAGCCTTTAGCTGTGAAATTCCCTTTGTACTGTGCTTAGTACCACTCTGTGACCAGCAAATAGAAATTCCCTTGACTATACTCGATGCTAAGTATATCACGCATACCATGGGCTCAGACATGTGTCAGGTAGAAGCACAGAAAAAGATCCTTGTTCTTAAAGAGCGTATAATCTCCCTGGGGAGACAAGACAAAAGAAATAATTCATAATTTAAGATAGGCTATGATACTACCAATTGAAATATTGTGCCTGGGACTGATTGAAAAGGACTTCTTAAGGTTCTCTTAGAATGGGAAGGATTTAGATAGGACAAAGAGAAAAGAAGAGGCATTGTAAATCAGAACAGCAAGTGTGAAGAAGTGAAGGCAGGAATAAGTTTGCCATCTTCATTGTCATTATCATCATCATCGCCAGTATTTGCTGAACGTTTGTGCCAGGCACTATGCTGAATACTCTACCAAGGCAAATATTATTTTCATTTTAGAGAGAGGTTAGTAATTTGCCCAAAGGCACAAAAGTAAGAAACGATGAACGTCGTGAACTGGCCGGCTCTTAGGCAGAATGGTCTGGATTTGCCTCACCACCCTCCTCAGTGTGACTTTCAGGATTCCTAAACTCCCTACCCTCTGTCCCCGGCTCAGTGCTATAAAATGTTTGTGAAATCCATAAAGGGGACAGGAGGTGGGAAAGTTTGGGGAATATTTAGCTGCTAAAGAGATCTTCAAGTCAGGAATGTGACTCGTCACTAGATGAGAAGGACTAGTCAAGGAGACTGGCTAAAACAAGGTGATTTTTCAGTGTCACCTTAGTATCTACTTCTGAATGATTTTCTTGTAGACATGGGAGAGATCTCAGGTAAAAAAAATAGGTTTTTTTCTCCCACAGCTTGCTCATGGTATAAACTGTGGGTGTTCCCCTTCAAATAATCACTGCTTATGATCTGGCCCTTGGTAAGGTCCTAGAGGGAACTCTGCTTCCACAGAACAAGCCATGTGGATAAATGCTAATCTGGAGAATACCTGTCTGTCCTGGGCTCACACAGAATATGGACATGATGGTTCTGGGGTTGGGAGAAGGGAATTGTAACTTGGATGAAAGCCAGGGGCTGCTGTCTATATTACATTGAAGCAAAAGTCAGAACAACTCCTGTTGTTTTAAAGTTCACAAAGGGCAGTTTTTAGTTGCTTTTTAAAAATCTCCTTGAATAATAAGGATACCCTGTGGTAATGGTGTTGTTAACTATAATAACAAGATGAAGTTTTCAAGTGCTTTCACTTACTGTGTCTCCTCTCATATCCTTATTCAAGAAATTGGAGCAGGTTTTTAAAAATTCACCTGATTGAGAAACTGCTGCACAACAAGCCATATATAGACCAGAAATGATAAATACATAGATCTAATGTTGGATCAAGGCTTCCTTGCCATCAGAGACTAAGACCTTATTGCTTAGCCACACAAGAAATTAGAAGATTAAGCTTGTCCATGTAGAATAAGGCAAGAAGTCTTTCCATCCTAGCATCTTTGAGAATGATACCAAGCTTTCCCACAACAAGGAGGTTTCTTTTTTCTCCTAGTATCTTCTTCCCATCCAACCCAAACACTGGTAGTGGGCACTTAGCTGAATTCAATAAATTCAGTAATTTATTGAAGTTCAAGGAAAATGTAAACTTGGACTCTCAATTCAATAACTTGCAACCTCACACAATAACTATGGAAGCAGAGCCTGTTCCTCTCTACCATCCTGGGTCAGCCTCAAATACTTTTGAAAATCTTATAGAGACTTGCTGATCCATTCCCAAAGACTTAGAAATGGGGATGTAACTCCCTAACATTACAATTCAGAGAAGAAATAGTTTGTGTTTATCTTAATTCTGGTCAGGGTAGGCATAGTGATGTCAGCTTTACTGTGCTTTCTTTATTCCTCTCCATGTTCTCTTCCAAGGAGAGATGAATTTCCTTTCAGTTATCTCATTAAGAGTCCTTCCTGAACTAATCATCTGAGTTTTCTCTGCCACTTGCTGTGGGATCAAATTCAGGGAGTATTTAAGCTGGTTCACTAAATGGCCTGCTATTTTTTTTTACATCATTTCACATATATAGTGATAAAGGATGATAACCCCTTCTCACCATACTCACCTAGCAGGCTGCCTGCTTTCTGGGCACAAGCAACACCCCATTCTTCTATCATCTGGAAACACAACTGTACAAATTTCCATCATGAAAAAATTGATGAATACATTGTAGTATATTTAAGTATACTTCTGCGGTGGAAAACACTATTTGGCAGTTAAATGAACTAGATTTAGATGGATCAACATGGATGGATCTTGAAAACATAAGATTGAATGAAAAAAGCAAGTTGCAGAATATTATGTATAATGTCACATATGTATGCCTAGTATGTGTGTGTGTGTATATATATATATAAACTAAAAAACAGAACATTACCATATATTATTTATCTATTAAAAGCATAAAAACATATAGCAGATACATAACAAAATCATGATAGCAGCCTTCATCAGGAAGGTGAAAGAATGGAGAGAAGGCAGGGGGATTTCATCTTTATTTATGATGTTTTATTTTTTAAAACAAAGGGAGGATCTGAAGTAAACTGGACAAATCATTAACATTTGTTCACTGAGGTAAGATGGATTTTACATTCTCTTTTATTTTTATTTTTTAATTAAAAAACGAAACTCCCTTTCCTTCTCCTTCACCTCTCTAGGCACCTGACCTGTGTACTATTCTCAAAGATTTTTGTTCTCCTCTAGCTGATTAAATTGCATCATATATTAGAAAGAAAAGTGGATTCAAATCAGGGGCCTGTATTCCAACCACAGCCCCATTCATGGTAGCTTTGCTGTAATGAATCTTTCCAGACCTCAGTTTCCTCCTGTGCAAGATGAAATAATAGTACAGTTCTCTACAATTCCTCACGGTCTATCATTTTATCAGTCCCATTTCTGCTAAATGCTAAGAACTACTCTCTATACCATAGCTTCACTGGCCTGGCACAGTGGCTTGTGCCTGTAATCCCAGCACTTTGGAAGGCCAAGATAGTGGGAGAACAAAAGTTTGAGACCAGCTTTGGCAATATAGCAAAACCCTGTCTCTACCAAAAATAAATAAATAAAAATTATTTTAAAAAGAAATTCATTAGATTTAGAATCTTAGAGCTGGAGGGACATTAGATATCTGGTCATCAGTAAATGTGAGTTTTAGAAGGAATCCTGAGTTGCAAGGCTACTAATGACAAATCCAGGGCTACAGTACTGGTCTTCTCTCTTCTATTTCAGAAGTCTAAAAATCTCTCAAGCCGGGTGCAGTGGCTCATGCTTGTAATTCCAGCACTTTGGGAGGCCAAGGTGGGCGGATCACCTGAGGTCAGGAGTTCAAGACCAGCCTGGCCAACATGGTGAAACCCCGTTTCTACTACAAATACAAAAATTAGCAGGGGGTGGTGGCACACGCTTGTAATCCCAGCTACTCGGGAGGCTGAGGCAGGAGAATCACTTGAACCCGGGAGGTGGAGGTTGCAGTGAGCCGAGATCGTGCCGTTGCACTCCAGTCTGGGTGAGAAGAATGAAACTCCGTCTCAAAATAAAAATAAAAATAAAAACCTCCCAAAAGCCGAAAGAATATGTCTGCAGCTACCAAAGGAAAGCAGGATGACTAATGGTATGTTTGTTAACCAAAAGACAGATAATATGGAACAAACTAAAAGGTCTAGGGTTTCAGGATGTTTTGAAAATGCCAGGCAGAATTCGGGCAAAAATTGTTTCATGTAGGATGCTTGATCCCTTAGATGAGAATTCTGAGAAGTAATATTGTGACAGTTTCTGGCATGAGGACAGAAAGGAGATTCTGATAGAAAAGGAAGGGTATTCATGGTGATGGGGAATGGCGGTGGAGAGGAAGCTATTTGTCCTACTAGGGTTTAGGTAATTTAAAACCTCACTGTTTCTTTGAGCATTAACTGCCCTTGGTCATTGAAACCTGCCAGAGGCCCGTAGCCAGCCTTACCCTCTGCCTATAAAAATTCATAGTGAGCAAAGACAAAGAGAAAAATTAAGACATATCTCTTCACTTTCCCCATCCTCCCAAATACAAACACGTATTTCTGAATAGTCTTCAGCAAGTTTTGCTTCTTAGACTTGGCCAAGATTTTTAGCAAGCACTTACCTACTGGGCCTGCTTGTATGCATTGCCTTTGAGGATCCTGGAATTGAGTGTGGTGCTGAACTGTAAGGTAGCCTTACCCTTTAAGTCAGCTGTCTAATAAAATCACCTTGAAAATCTAAATAGAATTTCCAATCTTCCGTGGTGTGTGGCTCAATATTACAGCCTAGTGGTTGTCAGAAATCACAGTGACTCACTAGCCAGCTCTGGGTGGGACTCTGTTCTTTCGTCTGATATTCACACTTACTGCACCACTCTCTCTTCATGTGGTTCCCTTAGTGAATTCTGTTGCTTCCTGGAATCTCATTGAGTTTCTGCTCTGCTCTTCTTGGAGGTTCTTTCCAGCTTTAAACATGAATAAAGGCTAGGAAAGCCAGGCAATGATTCAACCAGCCCTTGTCACACAGTCATAGTTGCCTCATACCAGGATTTAAATATGGTCCCCACTTTGGACTTTCCTGACCCATGCACCCCAGATTAGTAGTCATCTGATTTCAGTGTTGTTTCCTGTTGAATTGTGTAAGTACTGGCATAGCTTAAGCAAAAGACACATACAAAAGAACTCAGAGATGTATTGGTTCATCTGCTTTTGTTTGGAATGAGAACAGTTATGGGGAACAGTGCAGACCTGAGCTCTTGGCATAGTAGAAGGATGTTAAAGAGACTTAACTTCAAATCTAGTAGCTTTGGAGTTAAAGAGACTTAAATTCATATCTAAGGCCTGCTATTTACTACTTTCTTTGTACTTACTACTTACTTTGTACTTACTACTACTTTGCTATTTATTTACTTTCTTATTCACATCTAGCAAAATAATAACCTATCTCACAGAATTATGTAAAGGATCCAATAACGTTATCTAAGTTAAACATATGTCACTTAGCCAACACTTGGTTCTCAGTAAATATCTATAAATTTCTTTTTCTCTGCCTTATAATTTTACTTGGCCTGATCTGAAAAGTCCTTTTCAAAATGGACCCAGCTAGTAGAGAAAGGGGAAAAGGAGGAGGCAGCCTGCTCTGTGAGAGAGCAGGCCCTTAATGCTTTGTTGGTTTTCCTTGGAGGCAAGAGTTCTTTTGGGATCTGTTCTGAAGGCCATTTGTTTAGCTCATCTGAAAACATGGTGTTCTAAGCAGGCTTGACAACACTGGCTTGAACCTGAAATATGTTTCTTTTCATATTGGCCCTATGTCCTCTTTGTGGGACATATATGTCAGCTCAGCTGGTGGGCAAAAGTTAGGACTGGTAATGACCCTAATTAATGTGGTATACCCTGCCAATGAGAGAACGCTCTGGGAATGTGAGAGGCATGTAGATCATGGGGCAATATCCAACATTCTCCTCTTTGCTCTGTCCTGTGTCCTATCCAGCTTCAAAACCCTATACAAAAGTTTCAGACTGATGGCCCAATGAGTGATTGGCATAATGTTTTTAAAACATCTAAATGTGAATGCCTTTAGGAGGATTATGTACTCTAGTTTTCCATAGCCCCCACTACCCACTATCATATTTCATCTGCCTGATTCATTCATTTATATTGTGTGCCTGGTCTCTAAAGGCAACTGATTTTGAAAAACCTGCCTTGTGATCACATTTTAGTCTTCCTTGTCTCCTCCAACATTCAGTCAGCCTTCAAATCCTTCAGTCCGACCTGAGACAGTGGCCATTCCTCTGTCATCCTGTTGTTGCCATCCCAATCCAGATCCTCATTGTCTCAGATCTTCCTGATTAGAAATTTTCTCCTCTAGTCCATCTTGTATGCTACTGCCAAATTTATCCCACTAAATAAATTGCTACTGAAATGTTACCACTCCCCGTGGAATATAGATTATTTTTAAGTCCTTAGACTGAGAGTCAGTACTCCAGTACTCTGCATAGTCTAACCCCACCACTTCCTCTTCAGCCTCTTCACTGCTATTCCTTTATATGCCCTCTGCTTTCATCCAATTAGCCCTTGACAGAGGCTCGAAAGGGAATGGAGGAAAAGATCAGGCTTGGGAGTCAGATTGTCATGGGTCCAAGTCCTGACTCTGTCACTTACTGCATATGTTCCTTTTGGCCCATTCTTTTAACCTTTTTGGGATTTCTTTTCTTTATCTATAAAATGGAGGTACCTACCTCTTCTGCTGTTGATTTTCCTCGGGATCAAATGAAATGGGTAAGTAAGATAACTAGCCCAGTATGGCACATAATAGGTATTCAAGAAATGTCTATTTTCTTCTTCCTTTGAATACATCTCAGCTACTCCTATTTCTGCTCCTTTGCTTCCACTAGTCTCTTTGCTTGAAATTCCCTTCATTCTCTTCTGTTTACCTAAATCATGCCCAACTTTTTGGCAGACTGGAACTTAAAATATTTTGGGCCTGATTTTCCCTTGATCTGAATGCATATGGTACTCAATGCCTGGGCCCCTCCTTTGACCCTCAAGGACAGATAGCATGCTGGTGAACACTTTTTATCTATTTATTTAATCCCACTTATGTCCAAAGTAGACTTGAAGTGGCTCGTTAAATTTTTACATAAAAACTAATTAGTAAATAGAATTGAAAGGAGGAAAATGAACTTAATGACAAAGGAAGTAACAAATATACCACCACTATAGGTCTGAAACTATCGTCTTCCTGGGAACTAGTGTTTACTTAACAAAATGTTTGGGAGGCAGAACCCTTTTGAAATTTGAAGTTTATGGATGGAAAACAAACAAACAAAAATGATCCCTTGGTGGTCAAGAACCACTTATCTAATGCTTCTTTGCTGAAACTATTGATTAGTTCCAAAATTTGGCAATGAAATTCTGAGTTGCAATTTTACTCAGTCTCTAGCCTTCAAATCCAAGTAAACAAAATTGATTTTAAATGCATATCTAGTTGGGCTAAAGATCTTAAGAAGTTAATTTGTCTAGTGCTGAGTCTTTCTACCAGACTCAAGCATATTTCATAGGCCACAGAGAGCCTAGCTTATTCTAAATTTACCCAGGGTATAAGGACATTACCTGCTTTACGATCCCTTAATGTTAGGTATTTTTTCTTCTGCCTATCATAGGATGCCTGGGTTGTAATTTGTAATAATGACTCATATAAGGCAAGATGTAATTTTCTACAACTATGTTTCTTAATTTATCCATTTATAAAAAATAACTTGAATCATTTTCATTATGAATTTGCAGTAGTTTTTCCTGCAGGTTATCACCCAGTGTCTCCAAAGTTTTTTGATTGAAATTCACTGTTGGTAAAAGACATTTTAAGGGCTGACCCCTAATATAGTTGTGTGTATAAAAATTTACTAATAAATTATAATTAGACATTGAGTAGCTGCAAAAGGTTATTCCCACATATAACTTTCTTCCCACTGCAGTTTAATAGACAGAACATTATCATTACCTTTGAAAGTCTGCTTGTACATACACACATACTAATATTAATAATTCAAGGCACAATATGTACTCAGGTTAAGTAAATTTCATTTTTCATAATAATGAATACAAATAATATAAATAGCTTTTTTGATAATTTCAGATTTGGGGGACTGACTTATCAAATCTGATTAGCTTATTACTATTATTATTTTATAATGTGGCTGATAAAGAGCTTGTATTATGATTAGGAGATTTTTGAGCTCTGCCATTTTCTCGATATTTGCTTACACTTACATTGTTAGTATTGTCTTCACTCTGTGGTCTCTTTGCAGGGATTTTATTTAAGCCACTTAGTCATTTTGTCCAGAGAGGGAGGGTAGTTTAGTTAACAACTCAATAATATAGTCCCTAATTCACCCACCTAGGAACCTTTAACAAGTCACACTATACTGCAAGAAAATAAACACTGGTCCATGGCTCCTACCTTCTTCTCCTACAACATCTGTGGCAGCAGTTCCATTGAAAATTCACACCTGCCTGCTTCTGCCACCCCAACAAGGGACAACTGAGTCAGCCCATGACAGGGGCCTCCCATCCTCCCCTTGAACATGTATGTGTACATGGTTATTATCAGCCAGTGTGATAATAGGTTTTCCTTCTGGTCCCTGCAGCAGGATAGATGCTGTCATCAGTGAGAAATGGCCCTACAGGACAGTCTCGGACTCAAAGGAATACTTGGTGTTGGCATTTTTATTTGGGAGTCTTCCTCTAGGCACCAGCTGGTAACAACAGGAGAATCTGAAGCCTCCCTATCTTTCTTTTTTTCTCTTTACCAAGAGAGAAAAGGTGAAAATTTTAGACAGAAAACCTATAAATCCACATTTATGCGGCAAATAAATATTTCTCAGGGTGATGTTCCCTTTCAGAGGAAGCTGCTGATAGGCAATTGGTCACTGATAAAGAACTTAATGAAGCTTCCATCCACCTGGAGCTGGGCTGCAGGGAAAGCAGGGAGCTGCACAGCCACTCTTTGTGCCTTCCCCTACCTCTTCTTCTGCCTTCACTCAACTAGGGAAAAGAAGAGGAGTTCAGACGTAGGGCCAGGAACCAACCTGTTACTGGCCGTTGTTGCAAAGCTCAGGTATAAGCTTGACCCCCTTAATCTACAGAGATCAGAAAAATTTGGAACCTCTCTCTACCACAGTTCCATAGCCTATGGAAAATCCAAAGGCCTCCTCCAGATTTCTGTGAATCCGTAGACACCTCCAGCCTTCTTGCTTCCTGCACTCCCAGTTCCATAGGGCAGTTCTGCAGCTTTCTAGGTGTGAAACAGCTTCTGCTCTGAGTTGTGCACACACACATATGCACACACACACACAGAGAGAGAGAGAGAGAGAGAGAGAGAGAAATCATTCACCCAAGCAATTGGGAGCAGAGTGGATTTGTCTAAAGACCGGGATTGAGGGGTTGGGTTTGTAAAGAAGGTTGATTGTGTCATGAATTGCACAGCAAACAGTTTTGAAAAGTCACTTACTAGATTCCCCAGGTCTCCAAAGTTGTCTGGAACCACAATACCATGAAGGATTTTCTTCTTAGCCCTTCTCACACATGTTAGTTAATCTCCTCTCTTCACATTCTGCCTCTCAAGAACCAGAATACCAAATTCCTTCTACCTTCTCTACTAGATGTCTTGGCACCTTGGGGGTCTCACCAAGCAGGATATTTCCCCAAACATGTTTTTCTCCCATAAAATAATTCTTACGCCAGTTGTTAAGATAATGAATTTTATGCCATCTCATTATAATGGGAAGGGTCTCTCTAAAGCCATTTTTTTCTTCTTTCTTTACTAGGTATTAAATGCCTTACATCTGAGAGAATTTCAGAGCATACTGCCCTCCCTGCCTTGGATCTACAGGCAAACCTTTTCTGTAAAAGACTGGATAGTGGATATTTTAAGCTTCCCATGTCATATGGTCTCTGTCACAACTACTTACCTCAGCTATTATAGCATAAAAGCAGCATAGATAATTATGTAAATCAATGAACATGGCTATGTTTCAACAAAACTTTATTTACAACAGGTGGTGACTTTAGTTTTCCATCTTCTGATCTAGAAAAAAGCAGGTAGCAGCAGTGATGAGAACAAGCAGAGAAGTCTCTAGGCTAAAATCAATCTCCTTAGCTTAGCATATGAGGCCTCATTTGTCTTGGTTATTCCCAAAGCACTCCTGAGAGATCTAGCCATGTCAGATTCCTTGCTTGACACCCCCACCCCATCCTACCAGTCACCACCTACCTGGCTCAGGCTTAGATGCCCTTCTTTTGAACTTTCTTTGTAACCTGTTAGAGTACCTGTTAGGGTATTCACATCATTCTGTATCAATTTATTTACCAGACTGATTTCCTCAAGACTAGAGATAACGTCTTAACATCATTTCATATGCAGTACCTAGAAGAGTGACTGAGACATTGTTGGTACTCAATTTATGTTTGTCGAAATAAGCCCTGCTTTGCATTTTCTACATTTGCCCAGATTTCTGTGTCAGGAAGTGCTCCTGAGGAGACACAGGAGGCAGACTCAGGATGCCCTTCTTTGAATCACAGAGGCCCAGCACCAGAGACAGGGAGTTGGAGGAAATCTTGGGCAATAAACACAAATGGGTCATTGGTCAATTCTATGCTTTTTAGTAGACTTTACAATTGTTCTCTTAATCTGCTCTCAGCTGCTGATAGAAGCTATTATGATTCCACATCTGAACCAGAAAAACAGATTTGGTGTCATGCCTGGGGTCACACTATCAGTCAGAGGACCCTCAGCCTTGGAACTCTTTTTGCTGTGCTCTACTGCCTCCAAAAAAAGGCAGATGTGGATCAGTGATTATGAAAATACTTTATAATGATGTAATTAGTTTCATCCTGTCAAAGGCAGGGAGTGGACAAATGAAGCTGCTCTGGGGTTAGTGTTCTGTATGTTAGTGAAAGTGGACTGCACTTTATACAGTGGCCATGCTCTGAAGAGGTAGAATTTTTAGAATTTTTCTTGGATTATATGTTAAGTGTCCCAGAAAAGCATGTTATTTGAAATCATTTTGTAGTCTATCCTGTTTAACATGAAGAATTCTTCTGGAATGTATATAAAGTGCAAATTCAGGTTTTCCTACATCAAATTTACTTCAAGGATGCACCTGCTTTGGGAGCGCAGTTCTCTACAGGACTCAGTGTTCCTGTTCAAGCGAAAACATGCATGTAAAGAAAATCACCCCTGGGGAAGAGGGGTATGGTCACTGTCAGTGTGTCTTAGCATCTGTGTCTGTCTGCATGCCTACCTTAGCTCATACTACCCTTTGCTTCCCATGGAATCTTTGCAGGTTTTCTGGAAAGAGGAGGCTTTCTCTAACATGAGGTAGGCCCCATGCTGCCTACTAAGACCCAGCCCACATGTCACCAAACATCTGCTGTGTTCCCAGTCACTAGTCATAGGTGTCTTCCATTGGAACCTTGAATTCAAATGTCTGGGACTGGATTCCCACTCACCTGTCATAGGTATCACATCTCCTGTTTGATGCTTCCTTCTTCCTTATACAACTTTTCTTCTAGTGCTGGGCAAGAGGAGCTTAGGTTTGGTCCATTTGAATGTTTGATATGAGAAGCACAAAGTATAAGTCTCTCCCACCATCTGGCCAGTATCATTGCTACAAAATGTTAGCTGACCTATTTAATTCCATGTGCCATGTCTTTGCTGACTACCTGCTGAGAATCTAGCCATTTGATAGTCTATGCTGTTGAGGAGTCAGAAGGAAAAGACATAATCCCCATCCTTGGGGAGCTCCTGTCTACGTGGGAGATGAGGCTCATATCCCAAGAATTGGCAACGAAGGTAGGGTACGTCCAACAATTCTCTTCACTCATGAATAGGCATGATATGAATTGATTTGGTAACAGACAGTCCAGGAGGAGGAACAAGCAGGCCATTCTCCACCAGGCTCCATATTTCTATTTTCTGAGTTTTTTTGGGTAATCCTTTCTGCCAAAGAAAACTTAAGTACCCCCCGGATGGTTTGCTTGAATATTGCCCTTAATTTTTATTTGACGATTTCCTTCTAATCCTTTAGCCATGAGCAACTCATCCATCTGAATTATTTCTAGACTTGCTGCTGGAGACATGTATATTTGTGTGCACTAACAAGGATCAACAGAGTCCTGCTTTATCCTAATAATAATCGCATTCCTAAGGTCATTCCTGGAACTTTGCATTTGTTCTACTATTATAATGCTGTCTGTTCTCTGTCCAGTTAACTCACTGTATGGCCTTGGACTGGTTTCCACTTTGGCTTGTTTGGATTTTTCTAGTCTTTCCCAGCTACTCTGGCAAAAAAGAAAGTCTGTTCAGAAATTTGGCCTAGTCTCAGATGAGTAGCTAACTCAGACAGAATCAATCAGGATTAAAAAATCAAAACAAAACAAAACAACAACAACAACAACAAACAACCAGCTGTGGCATCTTGGGGAGTGTGAGCCAACAAACTGTCTCTACCACTTGTCTACTTTGTGATTTTTAGCAAGTTGCTTATGCTTTCTAGTTCTTGGTCCTCTCCACTGTTCCCACCCTCCATGAAATCAGAATTACAATTTGAGTCTTTCTAAGCTAAGGGAATTTTCTGAAAAAAACAAGGAAATATAGCAGAGGCAGCTTTAGAACTTTGCCAAAGCCCTAGTTAAGAGTCACACAGATAAAAGTTATATAGGAAGAAAAAAAAGTATCCTATCATAGTGGCCTGTTGAATATATAAACTGATTACAAATGTCTCCCCTTGTCATATCTTTTTCCACTTACACACATTTTTGTATAATAACCAGTAATCACATAATTTACCATTTTAATTAACCTATATAGCTTATAAAGTATTACATCAACCACTACACTAGTTTAGTTCCCCTGTTCTATTAAATACCACAAACAGATAACTCTGTGTTTGAAATCAAAGCATCATTAATGATGGGTTGAGTTTGCTTTTGATTGAATTAGCCTTAACATTTATCAGAATTTCCTACTCTAAAAATCTAACACTCTCCTATTCTACCAAGTTAACATGAAATGCTCCAAAATGTAATGTCTGGTCTGTCCCTTGAAAATGACTTTACTTACCTAGTTTACAAAAACCGCATTTTCATGAATAAATCAAGAATATAATCATTAATGAGGAATGAGCTTCTGGGGAGTGAGTTCTAGGATACACCATTACATGACAAAACAAAGCATAAAAGAGTAGCTGTGATGTGCTACCCTTCAAGAGAGAAAGAGGAAGATATAAGAAAATACATATGTTTCTGCTCATTGGCGTAAAATAAATAAAAGAAGGATAAACGAGAAACTAGATTGGTTATCTACAGGAATGAATAGGAAATATGTAGAAAGAAGTGGGGAGAATGGGAACAGGTTGGGATGAGGAGGGAGTAATACTTCTCTGAGAACACTTTTTTATATTGCTGTTACTCTCAGAACTATAGTATTGTTTCACATACCCCAAAATTAATAATGAAAATCAACTGGAATGTGGGGGAATCAAAAATGGAACACAAGCAGTGAAAAATGAACATAGCTGAATTATAGAAGAAAAACACAACCATATTGAAAGTAATGACAAAGAAAATACTAACCTAAGTAACTTTAGAAATCAGTACTTTCTGGGGCAGGAGTATCACTGGAGCCCAGGAGTTCCAGACCAGCCTGGGCAACATAGCAAGACCTCATCTCTACAAAAATAAAAATTTAAAAGTTAACCTGGTCATAGTGGTGTGTGCCTGTAGTCCTAGCTACTCAGGGAGGTGAAGGTGGGAGGATTACTTGAGCCCAGGAGTTCTAGGCTGCAGTGAGCTATGATTGCACCACTGCACTCCAGCCTGGGCAACAGAGCAAGAACTGGTCTCTTAGGAAAAAAGAGAGAAGAAGGAAGGAAGGGAGGGAGGGAGGGAAAGAAGGAAAAGATGTAGTCCCAGCTACTCGGGAGGCTGAGGCAGGAGAATGGCGTGAACCCAGGAGGCAGAGCTTGCAGTGAGCCCAGTGACAGCCTGGATGACAGAGCGAGACTCTGCCTCAAAAAAAAAAAAAAAAAAAAGAAGAAGAAGGAGAAAGAGAGAGAGAGAGACAGAGAGAATGAAGGAAAGAGAAAGAGAAAGAAGGAAGGAAAGGAAAGGAAAGGAGAAAAGAAAGGGGAAGGAAGAAAGAAAGGAAGGAAGGGGAGGGGAGGGGAGGGGCACGGTGGCGAGTTTGTGCCAATAACAAATGGATAGATAGATTAATAGCAGGGAAGAGAGAGTACTTGCTTACAGTAGAATGAGTGACAACTCATAAATGTGCAAGGAAGGATGGTGTTGAGATATCAGCAGTTTTCAACCGTCATAGTAAAGATTGGGTTAGGCAAGAATCCTCACTGGATAACAGATATTTGAATGTCTTAAATCTTCACAGTTCCAAAGGAAAACATAATAACCAGATGTTGGAAGAAATCAGACAACATCTTAATCAGGTGATCAAAATTAATATCACCAATGAGGGAAAAATGAGCATTTGTATGCCTCCAGAGGTGATACCCTGAGGAGGACATAGCATCACTTACATAGTGTTCTGCTAAAGAATTCAGTCTTGAATCTTACAAGAAGCCACTAGACAAAACCAAACTGGGAAAAAATGGAGGCAGGGGAACTATATTCTTCAAAAGTATCAATATCATATAAGAAAAAGAAAGGTTGTATAAATATTCCAGATTAAAGGAAACTAAAGAGACATGACAGCTAAACATAATACTCAATCCTAAAATTATATCATGTAGTGGAACAAAAATAAAAGAGGCTATAAAGGACATTACTGGGTCAACTTACAAAATTGAATATGGATCATATCAACATTAAATTAACTGAAGTTGAAAATTATACTGTGATTATATAAGAAAATATTCCTAATCCTTAGGAACACTGAAGTATTTGGGAATAAAGTCTCAGTTTACTTTGAAGAAACTCAAGAAAAGAAATAGCATATGTGTACATGCATGGGTGTATGTGTGTGAAGAGAAAGAGAATTCAAGTGCTGGAGCATGTGGGGTAGAATATTGACAGTGGATGGATCTGGATGGAAGCAATATGTTGCTCTTTATACTATGCTTATTCCTTCAACTTTCTGATAAATTTGAAATATTTCCAAATGAAAGATTTAAAAATAAAAAAGGAATATTAGTGGTCACTAATGATGATTGAGTGTCCTTGCAGGAGAATTTATAGCAATCTAACAAGGTTGTTGTATGTGGAGAATCAGGCTGGGAGGGTCTGATTGACCTTGAAAGTCAGTCTGGAAATCAAAGTACTATACGGATAAATAGACCTGCTGGTTTTCTTGGCCGTTCATTCTAACACTGTTTTATGGAATCCAGTAGAAGTGTGCCTCCAAGCAGCTAACTTAGTTAAGTACCCTCAGAGTTCACTCTCTGTCCATCTGTCTCAGAGAAGGCCATATGACCTAGCTTCAGGCCACCCTAAAAGACTGTGGGAAGCAACATGGACCCAGAGTGTGATCTATAGGCTCATGGTGGTTGAACTTAATAGAGTTATGTAGCTTCCATGACTGTAGGGGAATAAATTAGATAGCTTGTCATTCCAGAGCTCTTAGGCTCACCATTGGCATTGACTTTGGCAGGAAGACAAAAATGGAAATCCTTATGATGATAGTGGCTGCCCTAAATGGCCCACCACTGCCATCATGCTGGCTGCAGCAGGGAGGCAAGACTGGGGCTGCAGACTCCATGGAGCTGGTGGGAGCTGGGGAGCAGGCAAGAGCCCTACCCTCCTGGGCACAACTGCAGCCACCCAAACCACAGCTGCAGACCTGGGCCTCCTGCTCCATGGAGCAGGCAGGAACCCGGTCCTCCACCCCCAGCACAGCTGCAGCCACCCAAACTGTGGCTGCAGACCCAGGCATCCCTTCACTCTTGGGGGCCTGGGAAGGCCCTCCCTGCCCTTGTAGGCTTGGAAGTGCCTGCTCCCACTACATGGTTTCTCCCTGTTGTCAGTGCTGCTCCAATCTCGGAGCAAAGTTGGGGCCAACCCCAGGTGCCATGAATGGGAGCAGAAAGCAGACAGGTTCCTGGGCAGAATGGGGCAGGTCCCCAGTGAGGCCTGACCTTCAGGCCACAGAAGGCCTGAAGGCTTGTGACCAGGCTGCCAGTCCCACGGACCAGAGTAGGGACTTGGCTGCCTGTGGACCAGTTGGCATGCACTTCCTCCCCTCTGAGGCCCATAAAAGCCCTGGGCTCAGCCAGAGCAGAGGAGAGGACAGAGAGACAACAGGACGACCAGCTGCAGAGAGGAGCCACTCTCTCTGCTGATAGCTGAACACTTATCGAGACAACCTGCCTGCAGAGAGGAGCAACCCTTTCTGCTAGAAGCTGAATACTTGCCGGGACACCCTGGCTACTGAGAGGAGCTTCCCACTGTGGGTCATCTCTGAGCTGTTCTATTGCTCAATAAATCTCTTCATTTTTCTCATCCTCTGCTTGTCTGTGTACCTCATTCTTCCTGGTCGCAGGAAAAGAACTTGAGACCCACTGAATGGTAAGGCTAAAAGAGCTGGGGTAACACAAACATGGCTGAAATATGCCCCCTGCTTGCCACATTATGGGTGAAGAGAAGGAGAGAAGAGCTGCAGCCCTTTGTAGAGCCCAGACCTGGGAGCTCCCTGAGCCAGGGCTGTGACTCCCTCTTTGGGGCCCTGTGGTTCCTGGCATCTCCAAGCTTCTGGGTGCTGCCACATTCCCTGGTGCCATCCAGGAAAGCTGCATGCAGTGCACCTGGTCCAGCTGCATTCTCACAGAGAATTGGTGCCCATGCCGGCACCTGGAGCTGCCCACCCCATGGCAGCACCCAGCATGTCTGACTGTTCAGTGGCCGGACTCCACACTTACTCACACACACCCCTTGCTGCTCCACACCTGACTCCAGTGTCCCTGGCAGGCATGAGCTCAGCCTCCCAGGCCAAGTGGGTGGAACAAACCCAGTGGGCCAGAGCAAAACTCAGGCAAAGGTGCCACTGGCCACAGGTTTCCGGCCAGAAAAGCGACACCCCAAAGATCCCATAACTTACAGCTAAGCCATGAACTTCTCTCCACTGTCCACTAGTGACTTCCCATGTGTCATTAACCAGAAATACATGGTAGTATTAGCAATAAATCTGAAATACTAATACATTAATTCCATCACAGAAATTAGGAATTCATTTAAAAAGAAGGTAGTTTTATTACATGCATGTATATGTCCATATATGCTGAAAAAGTAATATCTAAAATAGCTTTAAGAAATGGTTTTCCAACTAGACTTTTCTGATTTTCATTCACTTTTCTTATCAGCTCCTCAATAGGCAAATAGTAAAAGGCTTCCTAGGGTTTTTTTTTTATTTGTGAAAAAAATTTTAATTGAAAAAACGCTATCCTTTTTCATAGTTCTTTCCCTAGGAGTTGCAGGAAAATATAGTGAAATGTGTAAAGCACAGTACTGAAAGAACTTTAGAACAAGGGGTACTCTCAGTACCTGTCGTGGTCCCAGGAAGCAAGTAAAGTGGAGCTGTCTTGAGTGGTCTTTGAAGACTACAGGACAGAAATGCTGATGCTACAGTGTGGCAATTCCTCAAGGATCTAGGAATAGAAATACCATTTGACCCAGCCATCCCATTACTGGGTATATACCCAAAGGATTATAAATCATGCTGCTATAAAGACACATGCACACATGTTTATTGTGGCACTATTCACAATAGCAAAGACTTGGAACCAACCCAAATGTCCAACAGTGATAGACTGGATTAAGAAAATGTGGCACATATACACCATGGAATACTATGCAGCCATAAAAAAGGATGAGTTCATGTACTTTGTAAGGACATGGATGAAGCTGGAAACCATCATTCTCAGCAAACTATCTATCGCAAGGACAAAAACCAAACACCTCATGTTCTCACTCATAGGTGGGAATTGAACAATGAGAACACATGGACACAGGAAGGGGAACATCACACACCGGGGCCTGTCGTGGGGTTGGGGGGAGGGGGAGGGATAGCATTAGGAGATATACATAATGTAAATGACGAGTTAATGGGTGCAGCACACCAACATGGCACATGTATACATATGTAACAAACCTGCACGTTGTGCACATGTACCCTAGAACTTAAAGTATAATTAAAAAAAAAAAAAAGAAAGAAATACTGATACTAGAGTAGAAAGTCAAGGGAAATTCTCTTCTAAAGGATAACTCTCTGAGGCCTTGGGTCAACAGAAGGAAGTGGTAGAAGCCTTTTAACTTGCTAATGAAAATAGGCATGACCTGAAAATGGCCTGAGGGGCCGTTTGGGACCATCCTGGCCCAGACCAACCAGTGTGCCTGTCTCTCCCCCACTCCTTCTCTCATCTCTAAAATCCCTTTCTTGGCTGAGGGTATAGGGACTTTTCTAAGTTTTAGGTTTGGGACTTCAGCCAATTCCCATCCTGCTTCAGGAAGTTCATAACAGCTATTCTAAGAAACTGGATGAAGTGGAGACTTGGCCAAACAGGGCAAGGCCCATACTGCCTGTTTGCCCAGCTGCACAGTGAAGACAGACATGGAGGAAGGTGTGCCTAGAGCCCAGGCTCTGGCATTGGATATGACTGCACTCTTGGCCCTCTGCCTTTGTTCTGCACAACCAGCCATCTACTTGTCCTCATCAGCACTTACCTATCTCCTGGAAAGGGAGAAATGGAGAATGTCTTGAGTCAAAAAGTACTGTGAGGGTTCTCCCTCTATGCAGTGATATGAGTCTGGGACTGTGCCCCTTCTAGAAGCTTTTATTTGTTTGTTTTACTTAGTTACAATTTTTGAATATTTGTTAGTGTGATGTCTGAGGCTAAAACTGACTGGGAAGGAAAGCCTTTGACAAAAGTTTAGTTTCTCTCAGTCAAAATCTCCCGTGTCAGAACTCAGCTCACCCTCAGAAAGCTCTCATTGTCTTTTCACACATCTAGCTCTTGGCACTTCTCTTTAACACTCATAACCCAATTCTAGCTAGACTCTGTGTCCTCAATCATGGGCTAATCTACTATGGCCCTGATTTCATCTTCTTAGCCTGTGTCTGCATAGACGTAACACATATTGCCTCTTATAAATGCTACATGATCCATTTATGCCTTGTTTCAGTGTTTCTGTGTTATCTGTGTGTCCTATTTGTATATAGGCATGTGTATATGTCTGTATTACCTAAGTCACTTGGGCTAAGTCAGTACAGCAAGTCACAGAACTGATACTTGAACCCAGACCTTTTAACCTTGAAGTTCAAACAATTGTATATGTGGCACTGGACTACATCCACCTTTATTTGTTCTTTGTTGAATACTGAGAATGGTTCTTGGCATGTTGAAGGCATTTGATAAGTATTTATTAAATGAGTAAGTGAATAATTATTATGATATTATTATCATATTTGATTCAGTCCCGTGTTAGTTTCTTTACAGGGTTGCCTCTGAGAGCTGACTGCTGGCATATAGTCTTAGCAATGTTTCCATACTGCTTATGGCAGAGATAAGTCTGCCATCTAATGTTTACTCACTTATTTTCTTGGTTGAAAGAATAGTCTGCAGCTGTTCTTTTTCTTATTATATTTTAATTTTTATATATCCAATTTATTAGCTGGTAGTGAAGGATGATGAAGTTTCTGGAATCTTGGTTTGTCTTGTCTGTCTGACTAATCCCTGGGGTGGGGTTTGGATATTTTACAGCTTTTGGATCTTTTCATCCAGTGGGATTGGTCAACCTACCTTGCTGACTATGGTCAGCCCAACTGCAAGTACCTCCGGGTAAACCCAGTGACTGCTCTGACCCTGCTTGAGAAGTGAGTACCTTGTCCAATGGTCTGTGTTGGGAGGTGGGGAGACAGGGATTGGGGGTTGGCGTAGAAGATAATTTTGCCACTGCCAATACCTTGAAAGATAGCCTTGTTCTGGAAGTTGCCATAGGCCCTGGGTGCTGTCAGCAATCTCAGTCACTGGACTTGGCAGGCCAGTCTTCCTCCTGTGGCTTATTAATTCCTGAGCCCCCAACAAGCCAGGCCAAGTATGGATCAGAATTGGATTCTGACATTACCTTCTAGTTTAATGGGTCTCTTACTAGCGTCTCTTACTAGATATGGCAAGAGAAAAAAAAATGGCTCGGTTTGGGGCTCAGGCCAGCCTGGTGAACAGAATGAGGCTGCCCTAGTCACCTGGGGTATGATGATGGATAGTGCAACTCCACAGAACAGATGGTTTCTCTGGTTCCTAGTAGAGAATCCCTGGAAATTATTTAGAATTATTGAAACCTTCATCTGTTCCCAGCTCCCACCCCCTGCCAGACTGAGCTTTATTGTGCTGACTATCCCAACAAAGCTGTGTTGGAGAAGGTGTCTAATTCTTGCCTTAAGCAGTCACTAGCCTGCAGAGGGTTCCCTGCCACAGAGCTGTAGCCTCTCTGAAGCAGAGGTGCTACCACTGAAAGTAAGTTAGGCAGCTCCAGGAAATCTCAGGGCTAACAAATATGTCACCCAGAAGCTGGGAAATGCTATGTATTACAGCCTGGCTCTGGCTTTGCTAATCTATTAGAGAGCTGGCAGGTCAGAGACCAAGACCCATATAAAAAGGCAGGTTTCTCTTGAAATCTGAGAAACTAGTTAAGCCCCAGCTACTTGGAAGAATGCCCTGCATCTAGGCAGTGTAGGAAGTCTACATATATGGCCAGTCAACCATGTCTCAAATCCTAGGAAGACAAGGCTCAGAGTCCAGGAAGTCAGAGTGGAGCCTTAAGCAGAAGGAGAGGTCAAAGTCTATCCTTCTTACTATGTAATATGAAAGGGGGAGAAAAGGGGAAGAGATGAAGGGTAGGCAAGAGCATGATGCAGGTGTATGTATTTGGAGCCAAGAGACTAAAAACTCAGACTGCAGTTTTCTCCTGACCACGTCAGAGATTGATGTTTCCATTTTAACTTTGTTTCCCATGGTTCTCTCTCCCACTGACCTTCCGCCCTAGGATATCTAGAGAGTAAGTATATTATTCACTTGGGCCTTTTCCATCACTTTGAGGCAAGTCCTTCTGGTTTCCTCATTGACACTAATGACTACACTAAAATCCCTAGCCTCTGAGTTGTCCCCGCCCTGACATACTAATCTACTAAACCAGCCTGGTGCCAACTGGCTGGCTGCCTTCTCTATCCTTGGCCCTTACAGTGACCCTTGGCTTACTAATTCCTTTGGGGCTGGGAGTGGCGGCAGGGATTTTCTCCCATTGTGCCAGGTAAAGGGTTGTTCCCATTCAGCTTCTTGGCACACTCAATACTCTTGCTAGTGTGGGGCCTGAAATAAAGCCCTGACCGAAGGGAGCTCCTCAGCAGCCTCCCCTACCTCTTGGTGGCTTTAAAATCTAGAACCTGCATCTCTTATAGAAGACCCTTTATTAGAGGCAAGGCTTAATCCCACAGTTCTTGGTGCCAAGCTGAAAGAAGGGAACATTTTGACCTTTGAGGTGGTGCTTAAATGGTCATATTTAATGGTCATATGTGTCCTTCAAATGGGCTCTGGGATTCCCTTCAGTTATTTACATCTCTCAGCAGTCCTTTACTCCTCCGTTCCCAGGAATCTCTGGATCTAGGAAATACTGGCTTATCCACTCCCTATGGCTCAACAATAGTCTAAAATAATTAGCCTCTCCCTACCATTCTGGAGCGTTGGCCAGTAAAGAAACTATGTGCTTAGCCCTAGCAATCAGAAGAGTTTAAAAGCTTCCTTCCAAACACAGCAGAGCAAAGGGCATCCAGATCACTACAATCCGTATCTCCCAGCCTCATAGGAATTGACCCCTTTACCTGACCTATTCCTGCTTTTCCACAGCCAGTTCTACCATCAGATCTTGACTCTCCTTTTCAACCTGGCCCTTCTTAGCAGGGCGAAACAGAAAGACAAAAGACCTGCTAAAGACATTGAGGGAAAAGAAGTGGCCCCTGCATCATTGAGAGGTGGCCATAGCTGTTAATAAAGTAGAACAGGATATTGGGCTTTCAGAATGGGATGGAAGGTGGGAGGGCTGACTTTTGTTTTTGGAGCATTCCTGAGTAGAAACCAGCAGGCCACCACTAGCCCTCAGGGTACTTGAGTTTATCTTTACAGTGCCTAGTTCCAACTCCAGGTCTTAATGGCCAAGAAATTCTAGCCTTTGTGGCCAAAGACTACCCTCTTTCTCCTAGATAATTACAGGAGCTTCCCTGTGGGAGCCAAAAGCCAGCGGGCTGCCTGTCTCTCAGCTGCTTCCAGGAGTCATGAAATTAATGATAATGTAGGATATTAAACTAAATGTCCTATGAATATAGGAAGTGGTTTTCTTCATTTCTTTTTGTTTGTTTTCTGTTGTTGTTAATGTTTAGATATATTGTATACTCAGCGGAGGAAAGGGAATCTTTCTTTGGAACTATCTAAAACTAGGCCAGTTCTACAAATGTAATTGTGCAACTAGTGTGTTAGGGAACAAATACAGTAATTATCAGAGTCTTAAGGACCCTCGTGCTTTCTCTTCAACTAGCGCAGTCACTTCCCCTTCTTCTTCCCTTCCAAGCACAGGCCTCCACATGTGGGTGGTCGTACCTTATATTCAATGTTCTGAGTTTGCTTGATGAGTAATTCCAGCCTGAAGGCTCTTGAGCTTAGATTAGTGAGATAATTCTTTTTTTTTTTTTTGAGACGGAGTCTCGCTCTGCCACCCAGACTGGAGTGCAGTGGTGTGATCTTGGCTCACTGCAAGCTCCGCCTCCTGGGTTCACACCATTCTCCTGCCTCAGCCTCTCGAATAGCTGGGACTACAGGCACCTGCCACCACACCCGGCCTACTTTCTGGATTTTTAGTAGAGATGGGGTTTCACCGTGTTAGTCAGGATGGTCTTGATCTCCTGACCTCATGATCCACCCGCCTCGGCCTCCCAAAGTGCTGGGATTACAGGCGTGAGCTACCGCGCCCAGCCGAAAGAATTCTTAATTAGTTTGTGGCTATCACTGTTAGCCAGAGCCATACAGCTGTGGTGCTCATTAGAACCTTTTTGCCATATATAATGCCCTTATGGAATATATATATTGTAAATTTATATCATATATACCAAACATAAATGCCCCTGTGGGAATCTCTGGCTTTTTGACTCACTGGCCTCTAATCTGCTCCTCTGCAAAGGGCCACCCACAGTGGGGGAGAAAATGGTGCAGGATTGGCCCAAAGTCCCCTGGGAAATAGCCTGGGGGCAATTTATAGCCCGGTGCCATGTTCCTTCCCTCCTCTCTTCTAGCCTGTCTCCATACAGCCCAGGGAGCAGTGAAGTCAGAGGGCTGGCCCAACTCTGGTGAAGACTGGCCTGCCCCTATCCCAGAGAGAAATCTGTCTTGGCATGTTCTCAATTGTCTAACACTGGAACTAGCTGTGGGATATGGGTCTGGTGTGCAGCAGCTAGGACAAGAGTTAGTGGCCACCAATAGATGTCAGAGGTTGTGGGCCCTCTGCAGGGAATAGCAGATTCCTGAATTCTGTCACAGTTGCTTAGTCAGACTTGGGGGTTCTGTGACCATCTCAGCCTAGTCTTGACTTTCTTGTCCATGTTTCCCAGTTAGGGCTGTCTGTCTGAAAGAACCACTGGCCAGAATTACCCATGGTTTGTGTTCTAGGAATATGCCATCTATGAAGCTTTAGCATGACCCAAAGGTCAAAGGTCCAGGGGTACAGACAGCCATTGAGAACTCAAAGGCTTCTCATGTAAAAAGCTCTGGTTTATGGAGTGAGAGGATGGCCCAGCCATTTGGCCCATGCTTTCCTCAGCACTCTACTCTCTTAGCCACCACACCACCTATGTGCCTTTACCCTGAGACGAAAGGAAAAAGGTCAGTCAAGCCCTTAGTTTTGTTGGGGATAGGATAGAGTAGCCAGCTAGAGTGAGGTTTAGAAATATACAGTGGCCTTCAGTTATTCATGTTCTGTTGGAATTGCTAGTTAAGAACACTTTTCCTGCTTTACCTTTCAAATATTATCTCAAAGGTCCTATCAGGATTTAGTAGGTTCATGAGGTAATGAGTGGATCCTAGACATTCTATAAGGGCTTATTGACCAGCAGAGCTGTTCCCTGTCCCAGACACCTACAGCAGGTACATACCTGCTGAGAGAAGAGAATGAATTAGGTGGAGCAGGTATAAGGGGTAGGGAGATTGACCCCTCCAAAACTGGGTCTTGACCAGTTTCCAAAGGTGACTGAAGTTGGGAGGGCTATAGGTGCCAGAATGCCAGCTTCCTGATGAGTAGGTGAGTGTGGGCCTGACAGTGGAGATATTCTGGACTCTCTCATTACTCTGGGTAGTGGTTAAGATGCATTGCCATCCTGCTTCCTGCAGGTTCTCCTTCCACCATTGTTTCCTCAAACATGTTGCCCTCTTTCTTTCCTTCTCTGTTTAGGATGAAGGATACTAGCCGCAAGAACAACATGTTTGCACAGTTTCGGAAAAATGAGCGAGACAAGCAGAAACTCATTGACACCGTGGCCAAGCAGCTCCGAGGACTCATCAGCAGCCACCACTCATGAAGGGTGACCCCGGACCCACAGAGGCGACCTGCTGCAGCCTCTGTGTCAGTCTGGGGTCCAGCCCCAGCTGACCCTGCATTTGTGCATTCTTCTTCAAAGAGAGCATATGTATTTTTTTATTAACCCCTGTGCAGTATTCACATAACATTTCCCTATAGTAAAAGAGGCACAAGAATAAGCAAGTACATGAGATGTTGCTAGGCTGGGACTCAGGGGAAGTTATTACTACACTATCTGTGTTATCTTAGAGATGGTGGTATCATCAATTCCACAGTGATGAACCACCTTTCATCCATGGCTCTAAAGCTTAGGTCTGGGGCTTAGGAACCATAAAAAGTGGGTATCTGGCGCTGGGAGGTAGAGTGAGTAAGCAAAAGGATACTAAAATATGTCCTGTTCACTCTTGGATGCCCATTCACCACATAGATGAGGCTGATTCTTCTCAATACAAGGAAAGGGCATGGCAAACATTACTATTTAGTACACTAAGGGCAGCTCTGGAGGGTCATCTCCTCAGTCTGCTGACTTTCACTGGCTTGTGAACAAGCATGGCATATGGCAAGATGACAGCTTCATTCCAATCCCCCAAGAATGGCGGTTTCTTTAGCCTGATCTAACCCCAGGCTTTTATTGCAATTTTTTCTAGGGCAGGATACAGCTAAGTAGACAGCAGTAATAATTGGATCCCATGTTTAACTGCATATTGCCCCAGCTCTAGGAGTGTTGAGTCTCAACTCGAAGAGTTTTTCTGGATCTTGAAAGCCAGTTTTCATGGAATCAGAGACCCAATCCCTTCCCTGTTCATCTCATTTCCTTCACTTACAGTCAGAGCACTTGGTTCAGGACATAAATCAACAGTTACTTCCATAGGCCTTCACAGGGCGTTTCAGACTTAGCCTCCTCCAGTAATGCCATTGAAATAGTTCAGATTTCGGAAGCCTAAAAATGGCCTTTACCTTACCCTTAGGTGTAACCTGAGGATTAGTTGGGATTGTTCCTTTATGTTTTAAAACCAGCTTTTTGGTTATCATCTTTAAGGAAATGTCACCAGCTCTGCACTGTGGGGGCAGCCATGCCTGGACTGGATGCCTCTAGGGATGGAGACATTGTTACCATAAAGTCGACAGAGCCAACCATGGCTTGTGGCTTGTTGCCTCTGGCCCAACTGTCCTTCACTAAATAATATCCTAGATATTATTTTGTTGCTCAAGCCCAAGGTTCCCACCCTCTTTTGAGATCCCCAAAGCCATCTTTGGCCTTGTCTAAGAAAGATTGCCTATAATCCTGTCCTCCAAACTCTAAAGCCTGGAGCAGCTTAGCGTGGAGGCTGCACTCATTGACCCAGATGGACTCCTGAGACTTAACGCAAGGGCTTTGCTATGAGGTCAGTCGGGGGAAACTGTACTTTAAGACACTTCAGAAAGATGCTACTGGCTAGTAGCAGAAAGATGGCTAGTGGCAAGAGTATAATTGTGCATCACCAAACAATGACAAATAAGCCACACAGGCATTTCCAGCTTGGATTGATGGGAGGAGAGACTCATCAAACAGAATTCTTCACTACCTTTGTCAGCTACTGAGTTGCTTCTGGGGAGGGAAGTACTTCCTTGCCCCTCCCCAACCCCCCTACCTCACCATATCCTATCATATCTTGATAGTCATGGGGAAGAGGATGTGCACACAGACATACAAATTTCCTCAAAGCTGGAGAGACCAGGCTACATGTGAGCTCATAGATGCTGCTGAGGCTCATCCTGAGGGCTGGATGGTTGGCCAGGGTTTCAGAATGAGGGTAAGGGATGAGCACTGCCACCCAGAACTTGATAAGCCAAGAGAAGGCAGGAGCCAAAATGGCATCGCCAAGCTCTCATCTTTGTTGAAACAAGTGAGAAACGATTATATTAATCTGAAGTTCTATTGCTTGAGAAGAGTTCAAAACACTTCTCTTTGCTAGTACCCAGTTTGCAGCAAGATCTCTTCAGCTTTAAGTGCTGAGAGACTTTGAAGTGGAAATGGAGAGATGTGTAAGCATGGCACAGTGTTTGTCTTTTTAGAGGATCATCATTGCTGGTCTGGTCTCAAACCTCTGCCTTGGAAGAACTGTGCTATACAGGAAAAAGTGAACAAGGTGGAGGAATAGGGGTTATTCTGCACAGAAGTCCCATGAAAGGAAAAGCTTATTCAAGCTCAAGACATAAAGATGGACCCTTTGATATATCTTCTCTCCATTCTTAGTCTGCCTTCACCTTATCTAACAAAAAACAACATGCAGCTACTGAGTTGTATGTAGAGACATACTCTTGGTGGGCCAGGGAAGGTAAAAACAGGGACCAGCAATGTCAAGTTTTTGAACTAGAAAAGTGGGATGTTTTTAGTTTTGTCTATAACCTGTAGCTGGGCCAACCCTTGAGAGGACTTGTGCAAAGCATGTGTGCCCAGACCCATCAGACTCCTCAGATATGGCCTCAAATACCTAGAGATGTAGAAGTACCGTGGAGGGCCTCAATAAGAGGGCAAGCACACAGATGGCTAGAAGCCTGTATGGCTTCTGGTCAGGATGAACCCTTGGCCAAGTTCTTGAGGAAACCAGGTCTATATTCCTGAAGGGACAGTTCAGTTTGGGACTCTATTAGGTTTCAGTAGTAATATAGGCTGCTTGCATCATTTTAACATTCATAGGGAAAATCTCTTTGAGCAGGCTATAAATGAAGCTGTTGCAGGTAGGGAAGAACAGGACCTGAAAATGGGAACCAGGAAGTGAGATCCTGTTGGCAAAGGGAATGTAGAGCTTCCAGGGTGCATTGCCCACTGTTCTCATTGCATACCAGTCCTCCAAGTCAGTCTAGCCTTACTGTACACTTGACAAGTGCTTACTCAGCAAGTCCCAGACCCACGGCCTTTTATCTCCCAAGACTGGCTTTGGCCATGACCTTCCTCATCAGGCCTCTGAGCACACTCTCTAGGAACTGCTGCAGAAATTCCCCTACCTTAGCCTCCCTTCTCCCAGGACTCCTCTCTTGACTGCAATTGCCTCTTCTTCTTCTTCTTCTTCTTCCTTTTTGTTTTTTTTTTTTTTGCCTGCATTCACAATTACTTTTCACAAAGGTGTTGGAAATGGCATTTTTATTTTACACAGATAGTTGCACATATATAGAGAAAATTAGGAAAGTCCATTTTTAACTCTAAAGGGAACTTTTTTCTCTAAAACTTACTTGTAAAGCTACTGATACAGATGGGCCGCATGGTTAGGGGAAAGCTCCTCTGTGAAAAGAGCATGTTTATTCCTCTTGTACATTTTCCTCTTTTAACTGCTATTAAACAAGAAAGCCTACATACCTGTTTCAAAAGCCACGGTGTTGTCTCATGGGTATTTTGTTCTTCCATCCTTTTTGCACAGTGCAGCTGTGGTTGGTGAACTGGATGGCTGACATTGCATCCCCACTCAGCTGGACTGAGGACTAGAGCAGGCAAGAGCCTAGTGGGGAAGAGAAAGCCTACCTTCCACACAAGGCAAGGAGCCGTACTGTGGCCTTGGAAACATCCCTAACCCCTGGGTTACGTTTTTTCCTGCTTATGCAGCTAACACTGGCATCATCATCAAGAAGAACTTTTTGAAATGCTTGAGTTATGTGGAACACTGGGCTAGGCAACTTAGAACGCAATGTTGAACACTAGCCCTGCCAAGGAAAGGCTCCCAGTCAAGATGGAGTGTTGTAGGATTATCCAGAACAAAGCCAGGCTGGAGAAAAGGGAGAGATGAGCCTATTTTAGACTCAGTGCAGGAGGGGTACAGTCATCCTGGCCTAGTGAAGGAAAGGGTCTGGTTAGGAAAGACAGCTCAGAAGAAGCAGAATGTTAATTAGCTGGGCCTTGAAGGAATGCAAGTCAAATTTTGTTAAGTCATAGGAATGAGTATTTTTGGTGCAGACCATATTAGAGTACAATGTTGGCATGAGCCTGGTATGTTCTGGGATGTAATGAAGAACCTCCTAGGCACATCTGGAACCATGGTAAGTAAGACCAGCAATGCCAGTGTAGCAACACCCAGCCTGCTTGCCCTCCAGGCTAGCACACAAGCAATGGGAATAGACTAGAAACAATTTTCTCCAGTAAGAAATCTGACTACTGCAACTGGGCTTTCATGCCCGAGACCGGGGCTTTGATCTCTGCAATGCCACTTACTAGCCCCTGACCTTGACAATTACTAAACGAGCTCCCTAAATATCATCATCCTCATCCATGAAAGCAGACTGGTAGTCTCCAATTTACAGGTTTGTTGTGAAGTGTAAATGAGCTGTGGAAGGTCAAAATGCTTAGCCAGTATCAAACTGAGCAATAGCACATGCAATATTTAAGGCCTTTTCCTCCCTACCTTCCAATTCCACAACATGCCTCATGGCTGAGCGCTGGACAAAAGTGTCCAGGGCTTCTCTGCCTCCTGACATCCTCTCCCCAAGTCCACTTCAGGATTGGTGATAGCCATCCCCGCCAAGCACCTGTATATGAAACAGAGGGACACGCCTTTCAAATCAGCCAGCCGCCTGGCTCTGAGGACAGCCTATCCTTAACACTACATGGAATCTTCTCTACTCTTACTTTGGTGCCAAAACTTACACCTTCTTCTATTGGGAGTTCTTAACCAGGTGTCCAAGAACCCTTGCAGATGTGTGTGTGTGTGTGTGTGTTTGCATGCATGTGTGCATGCCATCCATTTTTTTCTGGAAAGAAGGTTCATGGCTTTCATCAATGTCTATGAAAGATTCATGACTAAAGTACTGAATAATAACCAAATCCCTTCGGACATGTAGCTCTCCCCATGGGGGAAAGCCAGAAGCTCTAAGCAGTGACTCTTCTCCCTGCCTCATAGAGCTCTGACAGATTTTTCAAGCCCTGCTGGTCTGCCACCCACCTTCTCCAGGAGCCTCCCCCTGAACCCCATGTCACACCTAAAGATCGGTGAAACCGCTACTCCTGGCTTTCTCTCAGCATGGTGGGGTCCTGAGTGGGGACGGGAGGACTCTGCACTCCTGAAAATACGGAGGCTGCCAACTCGTTGGGGAGATGACAGAGTTCAGTACAGAGACTTGGGCCGTCACAGTCAAACAACCTGACTCACCCCAGAACATTTCCCGCAGCCTCAGCACTGACTGTTATGACTTCCGGCCCAAGGCCTTGTCCAGAGAGGGACCAGCAACCCTGTGGGGTGCTCTGAGGCAGAAAAACAAAGCAAATCAAAACAGCCCAGGCAAGGATGTGAAGCAGTCACCACCTTGCCCCTTTTCTCACAGCTGGGCTTCTTATCTGCCTGCCAGGCAGATGCGGATGGGGAATAGCTGGTGGGAGATAAGAGGAGGCAGGGAAAGAAAGTGCCAAACCCTTTCCCCAGAGGCCTCATTTTGAATTTAATGGACAGAGTTTGCCGGGAATGAGAGAGGCTACAGGCCCTAGGGACCAGAAGACAAAGGCTCTTGAGGAAGTGCAAGGAGGAGGAGGAGAGGAGTGAGGGCCAGGCATTGTGTGGGAGAGCTACCCCTCTATCTGTTTCAATCGCTGGTGGGGTTAGGGTTACTCTGCATTTGGGGCCCCAGCTGCTTTGTAGGGTCTGTGACATCAGCTGTTGTGATGGTAATGGATGGGCCTCTTGCAGGGGGTACCCCCTCCTTGGCCAGCCCCTAGAGAAGATAGAAGCTTCTATCTCCTCAGGGTGGGGGCCGGCTGGGGGCCCAGAATCGGACCCAAGACAGCAGCACCCCCCTCCTACCAGTCTGAACCCACTGCTAAGTGTAACTTCCAAGCCCAAGCTATGACCTTCCTCTTTCCAAAGCTCCAGAAAAGGAATGGAATCTGAACATTGAGACGCTTTTCTGGCCCTAAACAATCCTCCCATTCTCTAGGCTCAATGATGGGTCTATTTCCTCCTGTAAATGGGTCTCGTAATCTTCAACTTTTACCTTTGCTTCTAAGGGTAATTAATTGGATCTGCCTCTTGTTCTTCCCACACACTCCCCTCTCTGTTACAAGGCTCAGGTTATGCTGGGTAGATGGCTTTCTTTTTATTCCATGGGGTGCTTATTCTTAAAGCTGATGGAGTAAGGCCCTGCCCTCTCCAGTGATCCCCTTTTCCAGAGAAGCCTGCTGGGGAAACATCTTTTCCGTGGGTACTTGTAAGGGGCCTATGACTGACAAGCCAAAGGCTTTTCAGATAGCCAGTTTTAAGCAACCATTAGGCTTTTTCCCAAGATTTTAGGGAAGGCATTTTCATGTAACCGTCTCAGGAGCTAAGTGGGAATTCATTGGTGGTCTGGACACTGGAGACGGAGGCAAAGATGGGCAGCACCTAGCCCAGCAAATGGCACATGGGCACTCATGGTCAAATGAATGAGATTTTCAGAAGGGCAGTCATGTGCAAACGTGGGGGTTGTGAGAGCAGTACCCTTGCTGGGAGGGCTATTTTGCCATTGGCATTGTTTAGAATTGCCAACATAGAGTAGATAATAAAAAAGCAAGCCAACTTTTAGTCTGCTTTATTGTGGTTTTAAATTTTTCAACAAACATGTACCATCCTACCCTTGTCATGCCACAGAGTAGGGAGCAGGTTGACAACAGGTTAAGAGTCAGGTGAGAAACCAAAGTAGCAGTTTAATTCCTGATGGGCAGGATGTGGTCCTGGTGGTAGTGATAAATGTGTGTGTAGATGAGTATTGTGTATGAGTATGTGGGTATCCGACAGAATTAGGGCTTTCCCCACTGAACCCTAATCCCATTTCCCACATCTGATCATAACAGTGATCACACTAGTAACAGTTAGTGTGATGATATTCTATCTAATTATTTTAATCTGTATATACCGTCACAAAAAATTATAATCATAGTGTATTATATTACAGTTTTACTTTTTACTTAATTTATCTTAAATATATTTTATTGGCAACATACAGAATTTCTTCATCCTTTATGAAGCCCATAAAGATCTTTCATTGCATGAATGTACCATGAGTTTATTTAACCAGTTCTGAATTGATGAATATTTAGAATGCTTCCAGTATTCCACTCTTATAAACAATACTGCAAGATATTTGTATACATCTTTGCCTACTTGCTTAGGTATTACCATAGCATACAATTTCAGGAGTGGAATTGGTTGGTTAAAAGCTATGAATATTGGCCAGGTGCAGTGGCTCGCACCTGTAATCCCAGCACTTTGGGAGGCCGAGGCAGGTGGATCACCTGAGGTCAGAGGTTCAAGACCAGCCTGGCCAACATGGTGAAACCCCATCTCTACTAAAAATACAAAAATTAGCCCAGCCTGATGGCGGGCACATGTAATCCCAGCTACTTGGGAGGCTGAGGCAGGAGAATCACTTGAACCTTGCAGGCGGAGGTTGCAGTGAGCTGAGATCGGGCCACTGCACTCCAGCCTAAGTGATAAAATGAGACTCCATCTCAAAAAACAAAACAAAACAAAACAAAAAACCCCAAAAACCTATGAGTATTTAAATGTTAATAGAAAGTATATAATTACTCTTTTGAAAATCACCAATTTACACTTTCTCCAATAGGTTATGAGAGAATCTGTCTCCCTATGAATTCTCAGCCCTAAGTAATATTAATGTTTTCTTTCCATTTTTGTCAGCCTTTCAAGTGAAAAATCATTTTCCTTTGTTCTTATTTACTTTTCTTTAATTTATAGTGAACTTAAGCATCTATTGATATTGTTTGGTTGTTATTTGTATTTCCTTTTGTATGAACTATTGAGATAGTCTGCCTTTTAAAAAATTAGGTTATTTTCTTTTCATATTGATTTGTAGTTCTTTGTTTTAGGGATTTTAGCTATTTGTCATTTGCATTGCACATATTTTCCCAGTTTGTCTTTTGAGTTTGTTCATTGGTTCATATTAGTTAGAACCCTTTATTTTGCAGGTAACAAAAACCCAACTCAGAAAATATTTACTGGCTGAAAATCCAGAGGTGATTCAGGGTTAGTATGATTCAATGACTAAAAAAATGTGAAGTCTGTTTCCTTTCCTCCCCTCTACTCTGCCTTTTATGGTAAGAAGACCATCCTAAATCTTACTTCCCTCATGGTGCCTAAATGGCTGCCATTTTTCTAGATTTCACATCCCCGCACTACATTGTGCAGAAACTTCCAGTGGCTCTCTTAAAAGAACAAGGAATTTTTAATCCAATAAGCCTCCAATATTGAGAACCCTAAATTGGATTATATGTCATTCTTTTTTATCAGGAGCATGCCATGAATTTACTGCTTTTATCAGGGTTACTTGAACCAATCACTGTGGCAAGGGCAAGAAGATTACCTCCATAGGTTAAAACAATCAAGTCTCACCCTTGGAATTTAGAGTAAGGAGGTATGGATACCTACCCCCAAACAAACTGCATAGCAGCCACACAATGGGGAAGACGGTGGAAAGAATGTGGAGGAGACAGCCACAATATTCACTATGTGGTGTTTTTTGCTGTATAGAATGTTTTTGTTTTCTTCTTCTTCTTTTTTTTTTTTTTTTTTTTTTTGAGACAAGGTCTCACTCTGTCACCCAGACTAGAGTGTGGTGGCATGATCAAGGCTTACTGCAGCCTTGACCTCCCTGGCTCAAGCAAATCCTCCCACCTCAGCCTTCTGAGTAGCTGATGCTACAGGCATGTACCACCATGCCCACCTAATTTTTTTTATTTTTTGTAGAGATAGGGGTCTCACTTTGTTGCCCAGGCTGGTCTCAAACTCCTAGACTCAAGCGATCCTCCCACCTCAGCCTCCCAATGTGCTGGGGATTACAAGCGTGACCCATCACACCTGGCCGGTTTTTCATTCTTGAAATGTCAAATTACAAGGCTTTTCCTTTATGATGTTTAGATTTCATGTGATACTTAGATTTCCCCACTTCAAAATTATAAAAATATTGTACCATGTATTCTTCTGATATTTCATTTTTAATATATTAATCATTTATCAATTTGAAATTTCCTTTGATGTGAGGAGCATGATAGGGATCCAGCCTTTTCTTTTTTCCAAATGGCTAACTAGTTGTCTGCAACATCATTGATTAATTTTAAAATGTCATCTTTATCATATATTTAATTCATATTTATCTTTGGTCTATTTCTGGATTTTCTTTATGGTGTCATGATCATTCTGTTTCTGAGCCATTACCAAATTGTTTTAATTACCATATCTTTGTAGTCTGTTTTAATATCTAATAGCCCATTCCTATTAGAGGAAATACACCATACTTTCCTCTTTCAGAATGTTCCCAGATATTTATTCTTCCAGGTTAATTTTATAATTTTTTTCATTTCCAGTGTTCTATTGTGATTTCATTGGAGTTGCATTGAATTTATAAAATAATTTATAGGTTAAGGACATATTTGTAACACAAAGGCCCTGTCCATTTACTCGTCATATTCACATTCCTCAAACAGTTTAACATTTTCTGCATTTGGATTCTTCACATGTCTTACTTAGTACAATCATGAATGTTTTATGTTTTCAGTACTGTTAAAAATGAGATCTCTTCATTCGTGTTCTATGTGTTCTTTTTTGTTTTAATTACGAAAGTAGTATGTACTCATCTATCAGATTGGCAAAAATCTTAAAGTCTGATATTACCAATTATTGATGAGGATATGTAGAAACAAGATCTCATAAAGGTGGGAAGATAAATGAATACACCTACTTTACAGAGAAGCTTGGTGTTACAGATCCAAATCCCTTACTGGCAATTCAGAAATTGAAAAAGCTCATTCTTTCTTTACTGATTTGGTGCAAAATCTGACCTAATGGGAAGTTATTTATCATCTGTATTTATCCCACTTAATGTGGATATTTATACTTTTCAACACAGAAAAAGTAACATATTTGATTATGTCTATTTCCCAAACCCTACTGAGGGTGTTATATATGGCACATATGCCATATTGCCTTCCTAAAATTCAATAAGTCTTATCCTGAAACATAACTGGCCCCAGAGGTTTTGAACAACATATTGTGGACCTGTATCTAGTAGAATTAAACATGTGCATATCCTAGAGAAATCTATCCACATGTGCACAAGGAGACATGTACAAGAATGTTTATTACAGCACTGTTTATAATGATGAATAATTAGAAATAACCTAAATGTTCATCAGTGGGAAAATAGATATTCTATTAATCTAATAGAATACTACACAGCAGTTAAAATGAACTATACCTACATGGGTCAACATGAATAAACATTTTTTAAAGTTATTGACTTTTTTAAAAAAGTAAGTTAAATTATAGATAACAATACAATACAATTTAAACTTTAAAACGTGCATGAAGATGATAAACACCAAATTTGGTATAGTAGTTATCCCTGCAGAGGGAGAAAAAAATGAGGGACATGGGGGTACAAAGTAGGCTTTTTAACTTTATAAAGTCTAGTTTCTTTTTTAAAAATTAAATGAATATAGCAAAATGTTGAAATGTTTTCACAAATAGATTTGTATTCCACATAACGTTCTCGGTCTTTTTAGTGGCTGCATAGTATTCCTCAGTATGACTGTATCTTAATTTGTTTAGCCATTTCCTCATTATTTAACTTTCTTTCACTTGCTAATCATTACAAGAACTACTGAAGCAAACATCTTTGATATCTTTTTGCATATATACAAACATTCTGTAGATCAGTAATGTCAGTTGTCTTTAAAAAAAAAAAAAAAAAAAGGCTGTACCAGTTTATACCCTTACCAACAACATGGGAGAAGGTCCACTTCCCCACACCCTCAATAAGACTGTCGTGAGGAAACTGGAGTGAGGAAAAATGGCATATTAATTTTCAATTGCCAGTTTCTGTTGGGCTGAATCATCTTTCCACATCTCAGCCATTTTTAGTTATTATCAATAAATTGCCTGTTGATAACTTCATCAATTAGAAGTGTGTTCAGCTACTCATTCAAAATGTCATATGAGTGCAGTGAAGAAATGGGTAGGGCTTTTTCTGGTTTGGGGGCTTTTGGAATTTTTTTGTTTTGTTTTTGTTTTTTGAAGTTTGAGGAATTCTGGAGGTTTAAGCATAAACAATACAGGACTGGAGCAGCAGAGACCTAGACACTCTCTGTCTTTCTGTTCTGTCATCCTTAGTATGTTTATCCTTTAATAGGCACAGAAAAGCTGCTTCACCTCCAGACATCACATTCACTTTCCAGGCAGGAAGAAGGAAGAAAAGCAAAGAGATAAAGAGCCACGCAGGCTGAATCCCTTTCTTAAAAGCCTATGATTTCCATCTTTACTTAGGCTTACAGATTTACTTTTTACCCTAAAATTATGTAAGTATTCTCAAAATTATTTATTTATATTTATTTTTAGAGCTGGAGTCTTGCTCTGTCACCCAGGCTGAAGTGCAGTGTCATAATCATAACTCTCTGCAGCCTCAAACCTCTGGGCTCAAGTGATCCTCCCACCTCAGCCTCCAGAATGTAAATTATTATTTAAAATTATCTCTTCATATTACTTCCTCTTACATCTTTTTGGCCAGAACTGGATCACATGGGCACCCCCAAACCAGTCATGACCAGAAGGAGTAAGATCATCATGTCTGGTTAATACCAGTCATGGTTCATACCCTGTAAGTTCCTGCAGCTGTAAGCAGGATGTTTTATTCATAGCTTTATCCGCAGTATCTAGAAGAGTTTCTGCCACATAAAATATGCTTAAGAAATTTTGTTGAATGAACTGATTGTATGCATGAATGGAAAGATAAATGGATAGAATAGGGGCATGATATCAAGGTATCTTCACCACTATTTGAGCCAGTCTGAATGCTTTCTGCAGGGAGATGAGGGGGAAATGAATGTTGTCAAGAGATGGGGTCTGTCACAAGATCCTTGACCCATTGATCCTCTTGATGATAATTACATACTTGTTCAGTACATATGAGCAAATATTTTCTCCTAGTCTTCCACTTCCTTTTAAATAAACTTTTTATTTTGGACTAATTTTAGGTTTAGAGATAAGTTGCAAAGTGGTAGAGAGTTTCCAGATATTACTCACTCAGTAAGCCCTATTTTAACGTCTTACATTACAATGTACACTTGTGAAAACTTTTTATACCACATTGGCACATAGTATTAACTAGGACTTCATTCAGATTTCACCAGCTTTTCCAGTAATGTTTTTTTTGTGTTCCAGGATTCAGTGTAGGATACTATATTGCATTTAGCTGTCATATCTCCTTAGTGTCTTCTGGTCTGTGACAGTTTCTCAGTCTTTCTTTCTTTCCCATGACCTTAACAGTTTTTAGGAGTGATAGGTATTTTGTAGAATGTCCCTCACTTTGTGTTGAAGTTTTTCTCTTGATTAGATTGGGCCTATGGATTTTTTGAAAGAATACACCAAAGGCAAAGTGACTTCCTTATCATATATCAGTGTATACATGACATTCACATGACATCACTGGTGATGTTAACCTTCATCACTAGTTAAGGCAGCATTTGCCAGGTTTCTCCACTATAAAATTACTACTTTTCCCTTTCCAGATTCTATTTATTAGAAGCAAATCACTAACTGCAGCCTATACTGAAGGGGCAGGGAAGGGCAGGAGGGTTAAGCTTTACCTCCCACAAAGACTCTCTCAATAAATTATTTGGAATTCTTCTGTAAGAAAGAATTGTCTCTTCAATACTGTTTGTTTATTTGACCAATAATTTAAGTCACTTATTTATATTAGTATGAACTTATATGGATTTTTGGCACTTATTTTGGGCTTTCTTTTTGTATTTATTGAGACGTAACTCACAACATAAAACTCACCATTTCAAAGCATACAGTTCAGTGGTTTACAGTATATTCACAATGTTATGCAACCAACGTCGTCTAACTTCAGAAGATGTCCATCCTCCCAAAAGGAAATTCTATACCTATTAGTAATCACTCCCAATTCCCCTCTTCCCCTCTCCCTAATCTATTTTCTCTCTCTATGAATTTGCCTATTCTGGACATCTCATATAAGTGGAATCATATAATATCCAACCTTTTGTGCCTGGCTTCTGTCACTTAGCATAATGTTTTCAAGGTTCATCTATGTTGTAGCATACTCAGTACTTCATATCTGTTATGGCTGAATAATATTTCATTGTATATGTTTTGTTTATCCATTCATCCATTGATGAGCCCGTGGGTTGTTTCCACTTTTTGGCCATTACTGATAATGCCACTATGAACATCGGTATACAAGTTTTTGTTTGAACATGTGTTTTCAATTCTCTTGGGTATATACCTGGGAGTGAAATTGCTGTGTCATACGGTAACTATGTTTAACTTGTTGAGAAACTGCCAAAATGTTTCCTAAGGCAGTTGCTTCATTTTCTATTCCCATCAGCAATATATGAGGGTTCCAATTTCTCCACATTCTTGCTAACACTTCCTATTTTCCATTTTTTTGTTTATGTTTTTAAGTAATAGTCATCCTAGTGGGTGTGAAGAGGCACCTCACTGTAGTTTTGACTTGAGTTTCCCTAATGACTAATGATGTTGAGAATTTTTCCATGACCATTTGATATACAAATGGTCAATATATACAATATATGTGATATAAAAATGGTCATGATGATGACCATTTTTATATCGTATTCAAATTCTTTTTAAATTGGGCAATTTGTTTTTTAATTGTTGACTTGTAAGAGTTCTTCAGATAGTCTGGATTTTAGATCCTTATCAGATATATGATTTGCAAATATTTTAACCTATTCTATGGGTCTTTTCACTTTTTGACAGTATCCTTGATGCAAAAGGTTTTAAATTTTGATGAGGTCCAAATTTATCCATTTTTTTCTTGTTGTTGCTTGTGCTTTTGGTATAATATCTAAGAATCTAAGAAAGAACTGCTTAATCCAAAGTCAAGAAGATTTATGCCTTTGTTTCCTTCTAAGAGTTTTATGGTTTTAGCTCTTACAGTTAGGTCTTTGATCCACTTTGAACTGATTTTTGTATATGAACAATTCAAATTATATTAGTTTTCCAAACACTATTGTTGAAAAGACTGTTCTTTCCCACTGAATGGTCTTGGCATCCATGCTAAGAATCAATTAATTGTAGATGTATGGCTTTATATCTGGAATCTCAGTTCTCTCCCATTGATCTATGTAGCTATCCTTTGCCTTACGTATTTATTCTATCCTTTGGGTTATAATCCAATTCCATGTTACTTACCTATTTTGTTACTTAAATTATTCCAGGTTTGGTCACTGGGAACTCTTTCAGACTGGCTCTTGTGTGCCTTTGACATACCCTTATCCTTTTGTTTTTTGATGATTTCCTTGCTCTATGATACTCAAGATGCTGCAAGATTATCTTGTACTTTCCCTGTCCTAGCCCTAGCATTAACCAGTTCTTCATGGAGCACTGGTTCCTTTTATTGAAGAGGGGTATTTTAAAATCAAGATCTGGGTGCTGGGTATGCTCATTGCTCCTGGGGTGTCATTGCTTTTATGCTCTCAGCAGACAGCTAGATACTGTATTATGTAAGATAATGCATGTATATACAATATTTCTAGTTGTTTCTGTATCTGTACATCTCTGTGTGTGTTTGTGTTATGAGGCATACTCTCTCTCTCTTTCTCTCTCTCTCTCTCTGTCTCTCTCTCTCTCTATATATATATAAAACTTGAATTCATACTGATGTCTCCAAATGTAATCCAGTACCCCAGGGATCATTCTAGTCTTTCCTTATTGCTTATCTCTCTCCAAGAGTGAGATCCTGTCTCCTGCCATATACTAGCCATTTACTTAGTTATTCAACCCTTGCATACAGTTTCATAATTATTAACCCATACTTCCCACTTTCACCTATTTGTAATGTTTGTTTATGGCATCTTTCATCAGACAGATATTTGAAATTTAATATAGTTTAATCATCAGTCTTTTCCTTTAAGCTCTTGAGTTTTATATCTTACATAAGAAAGCTTTCTCACCCACCACTACCACCAGATTATAAAAATATTTTAGTTTCATTTTATATTTAAATATTAAATCTATCTAGATTTTATTTGGGGTTATATAAAATGCAAATATAACCTTTTTTTTCAAATGGCTATCTGAAGATCCTAAGTGCTTATTATTATCAGTCAACCCATTCCTCACTGCTTTGCAATACATGGGTCTGTTTCTAGACTCTATATTCTACTGGTCTATTTCTGTGCCAATTTGAGATCATTATAATTTATGTAACCTTAAAATATGTTCTGATATTTAATAGAGAAAGTCTCTACTATTGATCTTTTTCAAAAATGTCTAGTCTCTCCTTGTGTGTTTAGTTTCACAGATGAGCTTCAGAATTAGTGAAGTATCATTTTGAAAACCTCTTGTGGATTTTGATTAGGATTACATTGAATTTATTAAATTTGGGGGAAACTGACATCCCAACATGGTAAGTCTCTATTTAGGTCCTTTTTTATGTATTTCACAAAGGATTATGTTTTCTTCCCATAAGTCTTACATGACTCATGAATTCACATTACTCAAATGAATTCACATGAATATGCACATTATTTGTTATATATTTGAAATTATATTTCCAAGTTTATTGTTATAAACACATAAGGAAGCTATTGATTATGTTCATCATGTATCCAAAGAAGTTATTGCATGTTTTTATCAGATCTAATAGGTTTGCAGTTGATTCCCTGGAAAATTCTATTGTAGATAGTCCTAATATCCATATAAATAATGTTGAGGATACTTTATATAATTTTGTGGAAATAAATCTGTAAACCTAAAGGAAGATGGATTATGCTTCTAGAAAAATAAGTATTACCTGAATTGAACCAGGAAAACACAGAACACTCCAAAAGAGCAATAGTCATGAAAGAAGTTGAGAAAGTGGTTCAAGATCTATCACTAATATTTATATATTTGTGCTTTAGATTTTTCCTTGCATTTCTGATTTTTTTCTGATTTAATTGGCTAAGACAACCAGACAGTGTTTTATAATGGTGGTAATGGTAAGAACTTGTCTCTCCTTGCTTCAGTGGAAGTGCTTCTAAGTTAGTTATTAATTGTGAGACTTGCTATAGTTTTATCAAGTTAAGGGAGTTTTCTGCTCTTCCTACTTTACTGTTAGCTTTTAAAAGAAATTAGTGTTGAATTTTATCAAATACTTCTTTTTAGCCTCTATTGAAATCACTTTTTTCCCTTACCTTTTAATATAGTAAAATCCTAAGTTGAAACATCTTTTGGCTCATTTATTATTTCAGCCACGCTTAATCAAAATATCTTATTATTTTAGCAAACATCTGTATTTTACTTGGTAACATTTAACTTAGGATTCTTATATAAATATTCATAATATTTGTCTGTACTTAACTGTTTCTTTGCTTTTTTTTTTTTTTTTTTTTTTTTGAGACAGAGTCTCACTCTGTCACCAGGCTGGAGTGCATGCAGTGGCACAATCACGGCTCACTGCAGCCTCAATTTCCCAGGCTTGAGCAATCCTCCCACCTCAGCCTTCCGAGTACCTGGGACTACAGGTGCACACCACCATGCCCAGCTAACTTTTAAAAAATATTTTGTAGAGGCATGGTCTCACCATATTGCCTAGGCTGGTATCAAACTCCTGGGTTCAAGCAATCCTCCCGCCTCATCCTGCTAAGGTGCTAGGATTACAGGCATGAGCCACCATGCCCAGCCACGTACATAACTGTTTCTATGCTGCCTTCAAAAGGTTTTGTTTTGGTACGTAGGAATAATTTTTTGAGAAATCTTATTCTTCCTCTCTTTGCTTTAGTGTATCAAGGGTTATCTGTTTCTTGACAAAACTTGTAAAACTAACTTCATCTGGAGCAGGGGAAGATAGCTAGAGTGCTGGTCATTGATGATTTGCAATTCCTATAACATGTCAGACGAGTCTGTAGATGGAGAAGCAGTTAGGGTGGGATGTAACCTACCAAAACAGGTTACCAGACGACTTAAATTGTACACATTGTCTCTAAACAAACTCATACCCAATCTGAAGATTCTTCTACTCTGAGAACAGTGCAAATGAGGATGGAGATGAGGAGCATATTTAAGTATCAACTGGAAAGGTGAATTAATGAATTAATGCACTTCTAGTTCACTAAGTAGCCAGGGAGGTGGGAAAATGATAGAGTTGCTAAAGCAAAATATTCCAGAGGAGGATTGGTTTGAAGGAAGATGGGGAATTCAATTTTGGACATGTGTGAAGATATTTTTTGGAAGCTTGGTGAAGGAAAGAGAATGGATGCACAGTGCTGTCGCATGGTTGTGTAAAACAACAAACCTAGCTCCATTGTGTAAGAAAGGGTACATGAACTCCCCAGAGTCTTTTAATTCTAATTACCATGCTCTTTCCTTTGCATCCCATCCTTTGTGAAATGTCAGCCTGGAGTTCATTGGCATTAAGAGAAAGTCTTTCTAGGCTAAGAGAGATATTGGCTTGGTTATAGACAGAAGGGGAGAAACATTTAGAAATAGCTAAGATAAAGCTGTTTGAGATAGAATTGAGTGAGATCCTGAAGTACCTAAGAGATAATTTATTCAGAGAAACACTTATTGACAGCATAGACACTGGAACCATGAAGAAGAATGCACAATTTCAGTATTTAAAGTCCTTTGAATCCATCAAGAGAAAGGCTTATATAATTAACTGCTTGACTTCCCAGCTCCTACCTATACAATCTACCTCACTCCTTCCTCACCTCCTCTCTCCCCCTACCCCATGGTTTCCTGAGGCAGGAACCATTTCTGCCTTAATTGACAAGGTTGACGGGGGCGGGGTGGTGGGGGGGGCGGTGGCGGTTGTATAAATGAGAAAGAAGGAAAGGCTTACAGTGATATAATTACTAGGATGGTCTGCACAGGATGTTCTGTAGCACCAAGGAAGGAATGGCAAACTGGAAAACTTCACAAAGAATATGATACTAGATTTGGATTTTGAAAGATAAGTAGGAGTTTACCAGGCAGTGAAAGGAGGATGTTTAAAGCAGAATGATATTAAAAGGAAAGATGTTCAGAGCAGCGGTAACTGCTATGTGTAAAGGCTTAGGGCACTTTACACCTGTCAGACTGACAAATCAGACAGTGGAATCATGCAAGTTGAGGATGAGGGAGGCGGCACCTTTGTGAGCTGCTGAAGTGTTGGACTAGAGCAGCCCTCTGGAGAGTCACCCGGCAGAACTTGTACACACGTCCCCAAGGACCTGGTAAGTTCCCTCCTGGTTAAACACGTGGAGAAAATGAATTCACTGCCACTGTAGAAATGAGCAGTTGGAGGCAATCTAGGTGTCTGTCACTCATATTTGAGAATATTTTGCAGCAGTCAGAAGTAATAAACTAGAAGTACATGAGGCAACATGAAAAAATCTCAAAACAGTGTTAAATGTCTTTAAAGATCCAAACAAGAGAGCTGTATAGTGCAAGATCATTGATGAAAGTTAAAAAGGCATCCATACATAAGACAGCACTGTTTTTAAGGATACATATCCACCACCAGGGCCATACATCAACACAATGGAGTGTGTATCTAGGGGCAGAAGCTGAGGATCAAGAGTGGGGCTGGCAATTGAAGAGGAAAAGGAAACTAGAGTAAAGCCTGCACTGGCTGAAATGTTAAACTGAGTAGTATGATGATCACCTTCCTACCCATCCGGTCTAAATGAAGGCCCTATGAGTATAAGCTGCATGGTATGCTTTCTTCACAGAAGAAGCTGGGTGAGGCCAAGGGAGCCCAGAGCTGAGGCTGGGACAGAGGCTGCAGTCAGAGTGCGGCCCGGGTGATGGCCCCCAATCCTGAAAGGCAACAGGCAGCTGCTAACAGCTTTTAAGCAGGAAAGAACATTTTGTTTTAAAAAGGATAAGGAAAGACTTGGACAGTGTAATGTTTAGACACCTACTTTAAAATTACAGGAGAAAAATACAGAGATCAGAACGAGTGTAGGTAGGAGGGGCAGCACAGCGGTGGGTAGTCTGGAATGGTGCCCTCGGTGGGGTGCCCTCCACAGGGACCCACAGTGTACTACCTTCTTTTGGAAGAGAAGCAGTCATTGGTGTCACCCATCTCAGTAAACCTCTTGAGGGGTGGGAAGGCCTCCAGCAGCAGCGAGGCCAGAGTGAGGTTGTCTCTCCCCTCCTAGCCCATTCCCTCCTCCATCCCTGGCTACGCTGGCACAGAAAGCAGAAGACTCAAGTTCTAATTCCACTTCTTCCTTCTGGTTCCAGAAGTGACCTTAGACAGGTCACACCTCTCTGGGCCTCACTTCCCTTGTTTTCCCTTTTCAGCTTACACTTTCGTTGGCTCCATATTATTCCCCTAGTAATAGCCCCCAACAGGGAAATCTTGCCCCCTCTCAAAATCCCCCCAAGTGTCTCCAAAGTCCTGACATCCTCCTTAATCTTCCAGATCCACTGCCCCACCTTGGTAAGGAGGAGCAACAAATTGGTATCGTAATGGCCCTGCTGATTGCATTATGGGTGTCTAATGCAATATGCCCTCATGAGGACCATCCATCAGGGCACAGCCCCTCCCCAGTCCCTGCCACCACAGTCACATTAGTCAGGCAGCCCATTCATCACTACCGCACACCTCCATGGAGACTGGCCTAGACAGATGAGGGGCCAAATCAGATTTATGGGGAGGGATCGTGGAAAAAATCAGCCCCATCCATCTCTCAGACACTGAGGAGGGAGCCCTGTGTCTCCACTCCCTCCAAGCCTCCTTAGGGAACGGGTGCTAATCGAGAAAGCAGCCAAGTTGCCTTTGTTTTCCTTAAGGCCCATTCTTGAGCCTCCGTGTTGCCTAGCACAGCCCTAGAACTGGCTCCTCTAGGAGGTCATAATTTTCGGAGCAAAGCCTCTGCCAGGATCGGGACACAGTGCTCGGAGTGGGCCACAACTTTGGAGAGTTCCAGAGCATGTCTTCAATGGGTTTCTGGGTTGGTTTGACTGCTGCAAAGAGTGTGGGGAGGAGTAGGCACCAAGCTCAGTTTAGTAATGAGGCCAGGCCTAGGACAACCTTCACATGGAAGGGTGACTTCACCCCAGCTTTCCATCTGGGCCGAGGCCTTGCTCTGGGCTCGTTTTAACTCTCCCTGGCCAAACTGAGCGACTCTCCCTCAGTGGATGGGGAACACATTGAGTGGATTGAGAATGGGGTGGGACAAGAGGGGCAACAACTACCTTTCAGGTCCCTGGATTTGTGGAGCCTGAGGCTTGTATGATTTGAGGAAACTTCCTTAAGAAAATAACATAAAATTATTATTCTAGGGCTTTGAAAGGAGCCTGTACATATGAGGGTCCCTAAAGCTTCAGCTTCCTTGGCTTTGCCATGAATCTGTACTGGCTGTGTGCCTGACACCCTGCCAAGTGCTTGGCATGCATTATCTTTGTGCATGACCCTCACAACTATCACTTGTCCAGTAAGGCAAGACTTATTCTCTCCAGTTTTATAAGAAAATTGTGCCTCAGAGAGGTGAAGTGACTTGGCCAAGACTGTACAACTGGTAAGTGACAGAACTAGGTCCATTCAACTCCACATTCCACTGTTGAATGAGCTCTGCTCACTCCTCTGGTCCTTGGCCTGAGTTGAGTTGCTTAGTTATGTGGTGGGCTGGGAGGAGCCTCTGGCCCAAATGTCCCCCGTCTCCACAGTTGCTCTATAACCAGTGCTGCGGCTGCCCTGGAGTGGGGGTGGAGAGCGATCAGGCAGACGCAGAAACAGGGACAGGAAGGGTGGGAGAAAGCCTTGTAACAGGACCGCAGGGATCAGTGGATGAGTGCTCTAAGCCTGGGGCTGCCCTTCCACCATAATAGTCAAGCTTGCCTCCCCCAGACTGACCATGGGCCCACGGGAACTGGGTCCTGGTGGGGAGAGCTCAGAGGCTAAGCAGAGGGGGAAGCCCACATCCCACATCTGGGGGCCAGACAGAAGGCCATGCAGGGTCTTTTCCTATTGGTGTGGACTTCTGAGAAGGCTGCCCCACACCACGCCCACATCCATTCTAGCATGACTTCCTTTTTCCTCTCCACATGTGCTCTAGTGTGGGGTCCCTCACAAAGCAGCCAAGCTTCTCTGGGTAGGAAGGTCCTGAGAGTGGTGGATGGCCCTCCTCCTGCCAGGCAAGAGTCTCAGAGCCATGAAGCTCAGCCCCTGAACCAACTCATGGAGAATGGGGAGGGGCTGGGCATGTGTCCTGGGCAGAGATCATGTGGATTTCTGGGAGCAGGGGCAGGAGCATCTGTGAGAGCAAAAATGTGTGCATCCACCCAGCAGAGGAAGCTTTGCCAGCTTTCCTCCGCTCCTTTGGTCTCCATTTGGTGGTCTTGCCAGGGAGCTTCCCCACAGTTGCTCAGAGCAATGCCTCATCCCTATCAGAGGCTATACCTAGCCCAGGGCTGTCTGAGCTGGTGCTTTAATAACTAGCATTATCATGTGAAGACCTTGCCCAAGCACCTCCATCCTCCTCCCTCTCCCTCACCTATCACCTGCCCTTCTGTCCTCACTAGCCTCTAAATGCAAATTTCAGGTGGAGGCTGAAATTGCCAGCTTCCGAGTTCCTTGATAACCCTGAGATTCTAAGTATTAAGGGGAAAAAGCTGGGCATGATGGCTCACGCCTGTAATCTCAGCACTTTGGGAGGCCAAGGCAGGTGGATCACTTGAGGTCAGGAGTTTGAGACCAGCCTGGCCAAGATGGCAAAACCCTGTATCTACTAAAAATATGAAAATTAGCTGGGCACGGTGGCACATGCCTGTAGTCCCAGCTACTCAGGAGGCTGAGGCAGGAGAATCGTTTGAGCCCGGAAGGCGGAGGTTGCAGTGAGCCAAGATCGCATCACTGCACCCCAGCCTGGGCGACAGAGCAAGACTGTCTCAATAAATAAATAAATAAGTACTAAGGGGAAACAAACAAAAGAAATAATCACTTTCAAGTGAGGCTAAACGGGATGTGTGGGCAAAGGAAAGAGGTTGCTGTTTCCCAGACTCCTTTCCTCTCTTTGTATCTTCAATGCTGGTGTTTCTGGGGCTCTCTCCTCTCGGTGTAGGCTTCTCTACTCCTGTGTCCCCCATTAGCATGTGAATGCAGATGATGTCCAAGTCTCTGTCCTGTCCAGATCTGTCTTCTGCACTCCAGACCTCTATGTCCAACAGCTAGCAGACAGTTCCATTGGCATATCCCTTCACCACCTGGAGCCTACTCTGTCCCAAACCAAACTCAACATCTTGTTCCCCAAGTCTTCTCTTTCTCCCGAGTTCCCCACCTCAGTACATATCATCACCACACACCCAGTTCCCCAGCCTGGAATCCTGGCCTCGCTCCCTACCACCTGCCCCCACCCCTAATCAGTTGCCAAATCTGTCCACTTTTTAATTCTAACTCTGAATATTTCTAAAATCTGTACACTTCTCTTCATCATCACTGCTACTAGCTTCATTTAGTCTTTAGTATGCCAGCTAACAGCTCAGATTCTAATCCACATTCCCTGGATTTGAATTTTAGAGGAGATTAAATTTAACCTCAAAAGTACAGATGGATGAACTTGGGCAAGCTACTGAACCACTTAGTATCTCAGAGTCTTCCTCTGTAAAGCAAGGATAATAGTATCTACCTGTCCACCTCCTGGGGTTGCTGTGAGGGCCAGCTGAAATAAGTGAAGTGCTTTTTAAACTGCCTGGCAGGTAGGAAGGTGCTAAATAAGTGTTAGTTTTTATTACTTTGTTATTATTATCACTTTTACTGTTATTACCTGAGTTATCACCATAGTCTCCTAACTGGTCTCCCTGCCTCAACTCCCACTCTGTTCTAACCCATTCTCCACACTGGAGAAGCACCTGAGGCCTAGATAGGTAAAGTATATTGCTCAAGCCAGTAAGTGGCAGAGCAGATTTTAAGCCTACTTCTAACTGACTCCAGAACCCTTGTTCTTAGCTACTAAGCCACTCTGCCTGTTTGGAAGCATGAAGAATTAATACATTTGGAATAGCAGGATAGTGAGGAAAGAATGAAACCAATGGAGGGAAAATTAGAAGAGAGACTCAGAGGTGCTCCGGATTTTCCATACAGAAAGGATATCAGAGCTGCCATCTGGTTGCTGGGGGTGTGGCACCAAGGAGCTTGTATTGAAGCTGGGTTTGACAGAAAGCATAGAGCTTTGGTGGGGATGCTGATGGACACAATGTACTAGAAAGGCAACAGTTCTTCCAAGAACTTCTTGGGCAGAGTGGTCAGGCCCAGGCAGTGGGGGACCAGGTGAAATCTTCACAGGCATGTGCCAGAATAACCTTGGCTGTCAGAACAGTGGAGATGGGGAGTGGGAGTCTCGCCGGAAATTGTTCTCTTATGCTCCAGCCGCCACACCAGTGTCTGGAGAAGAAACTAGCTAAAGCTCCAGCAGCAGGGCCCCTGTGAGCTTGGAGCTGGGCTGTAGGCATGAGAAGAAAGGTAGATATTCAGGCAGGCCACCACCCAGCCTCTCTGCTCTGCCTCTCCATCTCCTGAGAGGCGGTGGGCAGGAGTCTCAGCCTCAGGCGAGAGGAAGTGATTTGGTAGCATTTTGGACTTGGGAATGGAGAGCTCTGCCAACTAGATTCTCAGGTTGACTCTGCTCTCTGAGGTCTCTGGGCGAGGCTCCTGGTTAGTTGGCTGGTCTGCCTGTGGTGGGCTTATGAACAAAAGCCAGCTGGGAACAGCAGGCAGGGTGGACTTGCTTCAGGTATCGTCTCCAAGCTCTAGATAAGGGGATATTTTTCCTCTTAGCCTTCTGCACCTGAGGCTGGTCACTTAGGTTGTTGGCTTCCCTTCTGCTCCCAAAGAATGCGAACCTCTGAGATAAACAGTCCAGGGCCCCTGTGTGCTCTGCTTCCAGGCCAAACCTGCCCCCAGAGTCCATTCTTCTCCATCTAGCAACCCTCGGAGTTCAAGTGCAGGACAGAACTTTGAATGGCAGGGAGAAGCCCACCCCATTCCTGTCCCAACTGTACCCCTAAGGAGAAGCTGGCTGGACAGACTGAAGTGAGCAGTATGGAGGGCACTGGATCTTGGTAAGTGACCTCTCAGAGGAGGCTTCCCTGGCATGGGAGGCTGGAAAGAGAACCTGGGGGCCCTGCGGGAGGAGGCTGTGCCCCAGCTTGTCTGATTCAGCCTGTGCCAAAATGAACAGTGTTCCTTTTAAAAATCAACAATCTTGCAATTTCTGGGATCTGTGAGATGTTTGTAGCTTGGGTGGAGGGTGGGGGGAAGCAGTTTTTAACACCAAGCAACATGAAGACAAATTCACTGAAAGCCACCCAACCACACCCCCCTCTTTTCATATCCGTGTTTTACCTTCGACAAAAGCTCTGGGTTCTCTGTCATGCCTCTTTTTTCTTCCTGGATCCCAATTGTCAAGCCTTCAAGAAAATGCACTTCAGTCCTTTGTCACTGAGTGTAATTTGATAAACTGAGCAGAAACACACTGCTCTCCCCATCCTTTCAAAAACTGTTACTGCCAGAGAAAGAGGATGAGGGAATGAGATCTGAGGTCTTTGAATGGACGTTTAAGCACGAGCACATGCCCACTCACACACACACACACACTCACACACACACACACACACACAGTCTCGTACACATACCAGGACATACAGTTGCCTTGGTGGGAGGAGGTTGAATCCCAGATTCTTGTGTGTGGGGCCCTGGCCCTGGGGTCCTGGGACGAATGCCCTCCCAGCTCCTAGAGACTCCCCTAGTTGCAGGCCCTCGTTGCAACCGCCCAGTAGGCGGTGCCAGGGCAGGTTTCAGGCTATAAAGGGCTCTTGGCTCCCCGGGCCTGAGGGAACGCCATCACTGCAGCAGTGTCGCTGCCAGCCACAGCCAGCTTGGGGCACTGCCGGTGTCCCATTGCCACCGAGCAGGCTACTCTTTTCCAGGCCGTGCTGATTTGGACACAGCTGTCAGCTGCGTTCTTCGCACCTACCCGTCCTCTCCATTGGCAAGTCCTTTTTTGGATTGCTTTCACTGGGGTTGGGTGTGGGGTGGGAGGAAAAGGACTGAGTTTGGGGCTTTGACAGGGGATGATGGGGGTATTTCCACTTCTTTTTGAAAATTCCTTTTGAGGCAAGTCTCTGAAGCTGAGATTTCTGAGATGAGGTATGACGTGAGGCTTGTTTCATATTCAGGCAAAGGGGAAAGAAGCAAAGTTCTTTCCCAAAGGCCACCGCCTTCGTAGAAGGCTGCAGAGGAGTGGGTGAGGGGCTCCCTCCTCACTGTTCCTCTCTGAGGGGCTGGGAGTGAGGGGCCAGGCTGTGCCTGCATCTGGCTCTGCCAGGTAGAGATGCCTGGATAGTGGTTGTTATCTAAAACAAAACGAAATCAAAATCCGAAGATACCTGGGGGTGGGGTGGGAGCAAGTGGCACTAAGGAACAAAGAAGGAGAAGAAGCCAGCCTTTAGGAAATAAACACACAGAGCCCAGAACCCAGCTCTGTTTCAGCAACACTGAAACAGCAGGATGGCCTCTCCAAGGCGCGGGTGGGCTGGGTGGGTTTCTGGCAGGCGGTGGTTTTCGGGGGTCAGTGAATTCTCTACACAGCCTCAGAGCCCCTGAAGCTGCAAGGGGTGGGGGGAGGAGAAGAGTTTAGCCCCTAAAGGCAGAATTCCTGGTACCGCGGTGATTTCCAAGCTGAGCTGGGTTGAGTGCCACCATACACCCCTATCCCCACCCAGCCTGGACAGCAGGGATCCCAGCCCCTGTCAGAACAGCCAGGGCACAGGCAGGGAGCGCCCTCTAAGCTGCCCTTGAGGACTGGGCACTGGATGGGGGCTGCCGATCTTGTGGCGCCGGCTCTGGAGGGAGGGCACGAAGTGGGGGAAGGGTAGGCACCTGGGCCTCGGGATGAATATCTGGGGCCACAAGCTGGGTTCCAGGGGAAAGCGGCATCCCTGACCCACCGGAGTCACAGTTTCTGCTCTGGCTCTGGAGAAGGGTCTGGGCAGGACCTGCCGCCCCAGGTCCCTCTCCTCCATAGCTCCTCAGAAATGTCGTTTCCCCATGGGACTTGGTATCTTGCAGGCAAAGGGCCCCGCCACTGTCAGGCAGTGTACCAAGAAGACTTAGAACAGAAGGGAGCCAGCCCGAGGCCCTGGGAAGAATGAGAAGGAGCCGAGAGCTGAGTTTTCCAAGGACTCCTTCATGCCAGCAAGGCAGGACAGGACTAAGAGCAAAGAGCTCCCTGAGGCGAAATCCTGGGCTTTGTCCCTCAGGCTAGACAGCCCAAGGTGCAGGCCAGAGGCTGGGAGGGCTTTCGCAAACTCTTCTGGTCCCTGAACACACGGCTCTGCCTCCTGCTCACTGCCTCCTGGTCTCTTTGCTCTCTGGACTCCCTGGCCAGTAGGGCCAAGTGGTCGTCTTGATCCTGGACATTTTCCCCCTTTCTGTTTGGCTCCGGGTGGAAGGATTAGAAATAATTTTAGGGGAAAAAAAGCAAATTAGCATCAATTGAAAAAATTCAAGGCCAAAACTATACAAAATTGAGTGTAAAATTGACAGCTCCTTCTGTTGTCGGCTTTAGTTGTCAGAAGCATGGACATTAAACAAAGAGAAAGCTGCCGAATGGACAGGATCTCATGGCTCCTGGAGATGTGTGCTTGTGTGGTGGGAGGGGAAACAGGACAATACAGTGTGTGTGTGTGTGTGTGTGTGTGTGTGTGTGTGTGTGTGTGTGTGTATGTGTGGCGGGAGTGGGCATTGAGGGACTCTGGCCCTCTGTTTTCTCATCAATGCAAAATGTAACAAGTAAATCTAATATCTAAAAATAGTATTATCTCACTATTTTATCTCACTGAAATATAATAGCTGTGGAAGAGAATTACTGGCTACACAGGACTGCACGCATGTAAGGGACTTGTAAGGGGTAATGCCTTCATTCTCCTGGGTGTAGCAAGTCCAGGGCAGACAGTACCGCTGTGTAGCTTTGTGTCTTTGTGAGCAGCAGGACTTTAGGCAGACCTGCCCCTGTATGCAGTGTTTTCTGAGCTAGGGAAGTGGGTGCAGAGGCTGTGCTTGCCCATTGCCTGCATATTCCGAGTGCCTGAGGCCTACCTTCTGTATTTCCCAGGCCCTTTCTGCCAAAGACTGCAAATGTCACCAGGCAGAGCTCCACTTGAACCAGCATCTCCTTACTCATGTCCCAGGCTGCTCTGACTGATTTCAAAGTGCCAGAAAGGCTACAGGGTCGTGTGACGCAGGCCCTGAACTGCAGCACTGCAGGCAATAGCTGAAGCCTGGGGGTATGCTCTGGGCCTATGGGAAAGAGTTGTCTCTGTGTGTGTGTGTGTGTGTGTGTGTGTGTGTGTGTGTGTGTGTGTGGTGGGGCGTGGCAGTCTGGGAGTTCCTACAACCAGCCCGGAGGGAGAGGGATGACCACTAGGCAACAGGCTTATCATCCCAAGGCTAGAATGAGGCAAATATTCCCTCCTAGAACACACTTGTGCTCCCAAGTGCCTCAGGGGTTGAGCTGTGCCGCAGCTTTGGGGCAGTCTACAAGGGGCCAGTCATACTTTTGTAGCCAAAGTGATACTTGGTAGTACTGGGATTCAGTCTGGACTTTGAGACAGGGTCAATCTTTGACCAGGATTAAGGATCATTCTGGGATTAGACTCAGAGGTCTGTTTTAGGTCAGGGTTACAGGCTAGACTGAGGTTTGGAGCAGGGCTCTGTCTGGGATCAGAGTCAGAAGTCTATCTGAGGTTAATGAAAGAAAGTCCTCTGATGGAATCTGACTGGCAAAGACAGTTGCCGAGCTTTCTCTGTCCTAGCCACCCTCTTCACAAGCCTGTCCATGGCCTCAGCACCCCCACTCTCCACAGCACCTCCAGGAAGTCTTAGAGTGGAGTACCATGCTCTCCTTTTCATCTTTCCGAAGTACTTTTTGAGATTTGAGCAGAGAGGCGGTTCTAATTAGGAAATCCAGCAACTATTGCTGTGGGGCTGTGACATCCCTGCAGACTTTCCCCAGGATCCCACTTGGCACAGGGTGTAAGGACTCAGAATTTCTCCTCCACAACCCTCCCAACTCCTCCTCTATACCTGAACAGGAAAAGAGGCTGAGCAGTGGAGGACAAAAGGGCACAAAGCCACCCCCACCCAGGAGTGAGGGGATGGGAGGAAGGCAATTGGCGTGTTGGGGGACTTCTGGGGCTGTGATCCCCACACGGCAGACACCTCCTGTGGTCTCTTGGGTTGGTGGCTGGAAGGTGGGTGTTTTGTGACTGTGACAATGATCCTTTGTGTGTGTGTGTGTGCTCAGTATCAGCCTGTACATCTATCTGCATCTCTATAAAGCTGTGTGCATGTCTGTCCTTTAGGAGATGGAGATTTCCACAGGTGAGTTTTCCTGGGTTACCTTGCCCATTTCACCACCTTGTGGCCAGTGCTGTGTCTGGGGGTCAGGCTAGATTCTTAGAGCTCTTCAAGCCAGCAAGACCTTAACAATCTCCCCCAACCCCATTTTATGTTAGCCTCATCCTCAGATAGGGTGTGGGGTGGCTCTGGCACTTTGACGTGCCCTGTTCAGATGTGACTGTTTTGTGAAACCACCCTGCTTCGAGGGTGCTTCCTAGCCCCCTGTTTCAGGACCACAGTGATCCTGACAGGGCCTTCGTAAGTGTCCGGCCCCAAGCATCCTGGGGTGGACGTCTGAGGTCACTGACACAGGAGCGGGGTGCTTTGGGAGCCTACAACCCGGCCCTTTGGAGCTGATCTCCCACTATGAAGGGCGAGTGCGGAAAGGGAGCAGAGGGAATTGTTTCCCCGAATCTGTAGTACTATAACTGCCCACCAGGTGGGGTTCCAGGGCAGAGAGTGAAGCCGAGGTGACCCAGCGCTAGGAGCTAGACCAGCGTTTAGATCTCCTGCCACACCAGCCTCGGAAGCGCTCACACAGGGAGGGACAACACATCTGTGCGCACCTTAGACGCTCACACACATTCTCGTCTCGTGAACTCTAAAGCAGAACTCGTACTGGGTGCAGGCAAGGTGTTAAAAGCGGAGTCTAGTATCGTTGACACACACACTACTCTAAACTAAAGATGGGATATCGACTCTGGCTCCGGGAGTGTGAGAGTGAACGCCAGAGCCAAGGGGGGCTGAGGGAAGCAGGATGCACGGGAGAGAGAGGGGCAGACATTAGCTAGACCAATGTCGGGGTTGCTGTACGCAGCTCCATGTTAACACAGGCTCGCAGGAGGAGAGGCCAGATGACAGATGCACGGATGCGCAGACACACTCATGGCTCTACAAAGAATACACAAACCCACAGACATACCACGTCGCTCCTCAGACGTCGGGCCGACGCAAGGCCACGCGCGCGAACACACAGGTGCGGCCCCGGGCCACACGCACACCGTACACAGGCACGCGCGCCGGGCCCTCTGCTGCCAGCGCTGAGAAGGTGGCCGTGCTCACCCAGCATGTTTATTTACTCATTTGTATCAATGAACGTTTGTGCCCGTCTTCTCCCGCCTCTGGGTACCGGGGCCGCCGCGTTTGTCCCCGCGCAGGACACTTGCCGGACCAGTATCGGGGTTCCCCGACGCTGCGGGCGGTGGAGGGGGACTACAAAAGCAGGGGAGGGGGGTCCCAATGTGCAGGAAAGGAGGGGCTGCAGAGTCAGCAGCCTGGGACGCTGACGGGGACAGGAGAACCTCCAGGTTCCGTAGGGTAAGAGACATATGGCGGGGGCGGACCTTAGCATCGGAGGTGTGAGGATATAGGGATCGGGAATGGGGGATCTGGCTTAGGGGGATTGGGACTGGTAACTCAGGGGTCCCTGGAGATAAGAGCCAGCGGGATCCCGGGGGTTGGAAGCTCGGGACCCTAAGGCACAGTTTCGAGGGCTTTGGGCGCCTGCCAGTCGAGGGGGCAGTCCGGCCAGGACCTCCGCTGCCGGGGCTTCGGCCCAGGAGGGACTGCTCGGAGCTGGAGGAGGGGACCGCTGACCTGGGAAGGAGGAAAAGAGGAAGGGAAGGAGCCTAGAAGCCAAGCAGGCACTAAGCGAGTGCGCACCGTGTGTGCGGAGGTGTGTGTGTTGTGTGTGTGCGCGTGTGTGTTGTGTGTGTGTGCGCGTAGGTGCGCGCGCGTGTGTCTCATCTCGTCCGTCTGTAGGCGCTGGGCTCAGCGAGACGCCGGCGAGAAAGAAGAGGAGGCGAGAGGTGAACTGAGTTTGATCCTGCGGCGGCTACAAGTGGGTCCCGGGCGGGCTGCGGGCGGCGGGCGGCGGGCGGCCGGGGCGGGGCGGGAGGCCGGGCTGCGCTCTCCAGCTCCGGCCGCGGGCCCGGCCTCTCACCACGCCTCCGGCTTTGTGAGCGCGCGGGTTGGGGCGGGGGGGTGCTGGCGGGGCGCCCACGGCGCAGCCTCCCGCCTCTATATAAACACACGCATCGCCTCGCTTTGGACTCAAATTCACATTGAGAGAAGCTTTTAAAACCACCAGCCCTGAAATCCTGCCTCCTGCTTTTCCCCCTCTTTCATTCCTTTTGCCTTCCTTTCTTTTTTCCCCATTTCTTCCCCCAGCAGCAACTCCAGAGCCGAGAGACCGCGTCCCGGGACGGACTGCCTTTTCTTAATTGATACAATAGCCCAGCTCGGGTTTTCCACCTCCTCCCCCAACCCCACCCCGCCTCACCCCTCCCGCCCGCTGCCGCCGCCGCCGCCGCCGCCGCCGCCGCCGCCGCCCCATCGCCCGCCCGGGGCTCTGTCGCCGGCTGCGTCCCGTCCCGGCCGCGGCCCGCCGGCTCCGCACCCGCGCTCGGGCCGCAGCGCCCGCCTCGCCGCCTCGCCCGCCGCTCCTGCCTCGGGGGTGCTGCGGCGGCTCTGGGGCTCGAGCGCGCCGCCCCGGGCAGCCCAGGGACTTTTAGGCTCCGGCCTCTCCACTCGCCTCAGCCAGGGAGCTTTCTCCCTCGCCCCCAAAGTTTCTGGGTTCGTTGGAATTTTTGGATTCAGGAATTTTTTCTTTTTTTCTTTTTTTCACCTAGGAATTTTGGGGCCATACTGCAATACTTTTGACAAATCGACCGCACTTTCTCTCTGCTAGCTCTCTGCCCCCTTCTTTTTTTCCGAGCAGGGGAAGGGGCTTACGAGAGAGAGGCTCCCTCTGGACAAAGTTTTCCAAAGTTTTCCGAGTGTGATGGTAGCGGGGAGAGCAAACCCACCAGCTTGACTCACGGCTTCATCTCACCACCCCTTGAGCAGCCCCTAAGCCCGCTATAAAGGAACAAACAAACAAACAAACAAACAAAGTTGCACCCCAGTCGCCTCGTGTTTCCTCTCTTCTTTTAGGCAATTTTTTTCCTCCCTCTCTCCGCTCCCCTCGCAGCCTCCACTCCCTTTCCCTTGGCCCCTTCCTCCTTCTCTGTTTCGGCTGGAGGTGCCAGGACCCCCGGCCGCAGCCTCCCCTCCCCCGCCGCTCCGGTCCCCTCCCGTCGGGCCCTCCCCTCCCCCGCCGCGGCCGGCACAGCCAATCCCCCGAGCGGCCGCCAACATGCTCTTTGAGGGCTTGGATCTGGTGTCGGCGCTGGCCACCCTCGCCGCGTGCCTGGTGTCCGTGACGCTGCTGCTGGCCGTGTCGCAGCAGCTGTGGCAGCTGCGCTGGGCCGCCACTCGCGACAAGAGCTGCAAGCTGCCCATCCCCAAGGGATCCATGGGCTTCCCGCTCATCGGAGAGACCGGCCACTGGCTGCTGCAGGTAAGGGCGCGCTCGCTCCGCTGCACTCCGGGGTCCGCTAGCTGCGAGCGCGGGGCAGACGGAGCGGCGGGCCGGCCAGGGGGCGCCGGGAGCCTGAAGGCACTGGTCCCCGCCCCGCCCCTTCCCTCCTCTCTGCCGCAGCAGCCCGGGCTTCCCCAGCCCGCCGGCAGCGCGGTTCCGGGACCACTGGCGCCCGCGGCGCAGGTTCAGGGGGCTGGTAAGAGGGGTTCCCGGACCTGAGGGGGCTCCCAAGATGGACTTGCCTGGGTCGCGGCTGGCCTGGCAGGGGGCGTGGAGCGCCCCGGGGGCGCCTAGCGAGGCGCGGTCCCGGGGGAGGGTCCGGTCCTGAGCCGCTTTCGCCTCCCCTCGGTGCTGCAAGCCCCCAGTCGCCCTCGGCTTTCTGGGGTTGGCTGTGTCGCTGGGAGCCGAAAATTGAGTCGGGAGAGGAGGGGGCTGGTGGCAGCTTGAATTGCCGATTTAAAACTGTGTTCCTGCGGCGCCGTCGGCAGCGCCAGGTACAGTGTCCCTGGTCCGCGGTCCGCGCGAGTGTGTCTGTTTTGTGGTGGAAGAGGAAGAAGGTAACCCAAGGAAAAATGAGAATCCAGGGCTCTAGGCTTTCGGGGAAAAGGGTCTATTTACTTATTGGGTGGGGACAGTTTGGCAGGAGAGGGAAACTTGGGAGAGGTGAGTGTGGGATCCATAGAGAGAGAGTGCGTGTGTGCTTGTTAGATGCCGCACAACCCCACTCTGCTGGTGATAACGGGGGTGAGGCGCGTCAGGGACCAGACCCAGGTAGGTAATGGGGAGATTAACCTGGAGTTCACCTCATCAAGTGCCAGACAATCGCTTTTGCAATGTGATACACACCGGTTTTCTTCTTGGGGTGGGGGAGCGGAGCGCCTCTGCAGTAACTGCGGGAGGTGTATTTGTGTGTACGCGCGTTTGTTCTGTTAGGGGAAGCAGGGATGTCCTGAAACTGACAATCCCCGCACTAGAGAGGTGAAGCGAAAGGTGAGCGCTGCGACCTGTGGGTTTACAGGTGCGAAAGCTTGGCTTGAAATTAACAGACGCGTGCAATCCGCGCGCTCGCGCACACACGCACTCACCCTGCCCCGGGACGAGTGACAGCGGAGCGGGGGCGGGGAGGGGGTTCGAAGTTCCTCTGCCCTGTGGTCTTTCCACGTCCCGGATTAGGCCCATCTCTTTTTGGGGTTGTTCGTGCAATGAGGTGGGGGTCCTTTCAACCAATGGATGTATCACCCCCCCACCCCCCGCAAAGAAATCCCCAGAGCCTTTCCCTCGCCACCACACTTAAAGTGTCAACTGCAGCGGTGCTCTAGGCTTTGGGCCGCGAATTTAGGAAATAAAATAACTTGGGCAACGGCTCCCGCCTTTTAGAGCCAGTCTGCTGAATCCACGGTCTGTCACCACCCACCCCCACTTCGTTTCCTGACCTCTCTGCCCCCCCTCAGGTCCCCATGACCTTTTCTCCGAATCCCACAAGAGCCCCTGGGGGTCAGCGTCCAACCTGCACAGAAGTTAGGGAGGAGGAAACCTAAGCCTCCCCATCCCTCCAACCCGGGGCCCTAGATCTGGAGGTGAGGAGGGAAATAGGGGGTACGTGTACAGGAGCGCCTAAGGGGTTAATGAGAGCCCTCTGAATCCCAGCGTTATTTTTTCGGAGTCATTTATCAGATTTTACGGGGGGACCTCCAAGGGCTCTCCGTTTCCACCGAGCGCCATCTAAACAGAGCCCAGGGCTAAAAATACAACATTTTTGTATAAATTGGACTCGCGGCCCGAGCGGCCGCCCCTATGAAAGTACTCTTTGTGAAGACCGTGGAAACGGCGGACAAATAACTCTTTATTAATGCCACAAAAAACGCACTTTAATTATAGTTAGGCAGATCAGAGGCGGGGGGTGGGGGCGAGGCGGCGGCGACCTCGGAAAATTCACAACCCAACTTTTGTGTTGAAAGAAAAGAAAAACAGAGGAAAAGAAGGAGAGGAAAGACGGAGAGTGAGACGGAGCGAGGGAGACGGGTATAGCAGACGGAGGGAGGGAAACCCTCGCCTCACCACCCCTTCTGTCGCACCCCACCTCCGCCTAGATTTTTCTTAAAGGGGTAGACGCCGTCTAGAAGGGCTGCACGGCAGGGGGAATTATCCCCGCCTTCCAGCCTGGGAGGGGGACAGCGTTCCCGCGGCCCAGCCCCCCTCCTGGCTGCGCGGGCGCTCCCAGCTCGTTCCCCGTCGCGCGCCGGGCCGGAGGCGCATGTGGAAAAGTGATTAGGGCTCCGGGTTCTGCAGAGTCACTTTTCGGCTGTACTGGCGTGTGTGCACATTTAGCTGGAAGTAGTTTTCTGTGGAAAAAAGGAAAGTGAGGAGGGGGACCAACCCGGGCTAGGGGGACTGAGTTGTCCCCTCGGGGGTGCAGGAGCGGGTAGATCTGGAGCCCGAGTCGGTACGCTCGTGGGCTGGCAGGCGGGGCGGCTAGACAGGTGGCGCCCCTCCCCTTTGCGCCGGGTGCTGCCCCGGCAGGAGAAGGGTTAACGTGGGGTGGGGTAACTAGTGCCGACGTCAAAGGTGAGCGGGACGCCCTTGCCCCCGCCCCTCTGAGGTCTCCACGGTTTCCGGTACCCGCGCCCGGCCGGCTCCGCCAGCCGTTTCGAGAGTCCGGCCGGCCCCGGCCCCGCCATCCTCGGCTTGCGCCGCCACCACCGGGGATCTGGTTACCTGCGCGGGTCGCCCTGCCCGGTCCCGCCCCGCCCCGCGCTCGGGTTCCAAACTCCAGGGCGGCAACCAAAGTCCGTCTCCGTTATTTCCAGGGCAAAATGCATTAGGAAAATCGCGGCTCTGGGCCCGTGACCCCGCCCTGCAGAGTCCTCCGAGGGCCGCCGGGTCCCTGCGCGGGCCACACCGGAGAGCGGAGGAAACTCCAACCCCCATCTGTAGTTGCTGCCTCCGGGCACCGACCGCTTACCGCTATAAATAATCTTTGGCCTGCGGCCACCCCGCGGGGTCTCGCCAGCCCGTGGCCCGGAGCCTGGAAATATTTATTCCGAGAGGCTCCCGAGCGCGGGGTGGGGGTGTGGGGGTGGGGGTGGGGGCGGAGACTCCCGCTTCGGGTCCAGCTGTCCGGGATACCTCTTTCCTCTCGAAAGTCATTACCAAAAAACAGCCTCCTGGGGGTGCCCCTGGGCCTCCGCCTCCTTGCATTATTTATTATCCTCTAGGCCCTACTTCGCAGTTCTTGTGCACGCTATGAAAAATAAAACCTGCGTGCTCGTCTGTGTGAGTGTGTTTGGTGGGGAGAGGGGGCAGGTGACTGTACCCCGGGTTGGGGTCCGCCGCCCCTCCCTCGCGGGCCCTCTGCAGAAGTGCACCCTGAGAGAGACCCGGGTGTGGCTCCCGCAGGGTTCTGGCTTCCAGTCGTCGCGGAGGGAGAAGTATGGCAACGTGTTCAAGACGCATTTGTTGGGGCGGCCGCTGATACGCGTGACCGGCGCGGAGAACGTGCGCAAGATCCTCATGGGCGAGCACCACCTCGTGAGCACCGAGTGGCCTCGCAGCACCCGCATGTTGCTGGGCCCCAACACGGTGTCCAATTCCATTGGCGACATCCACCGCAACAAGCGCAAGGTAAGAACTCTGCCCGTTTTCTTCCGCGCAATCCCTCCCCCACCTCGGGGCAAGGAGTTCCTGGAGCCCGGGGAATGTCCCCTACCGAATCTGTGCCCCCCTTTGCACACCATGCTTGAAGACTCCGCAGTTCCCCGCCGACAAGGCCTCGAGTCCGGATCCAGGGCCTGCTCCGGCCTCCTCTTGGTCCCTTTTCTTGCTGGCCGACTGCGTCATGGGCACCCCCAACGGTGGCTTGGAAGAGCTTGAGCGTGCGGGGTCTGGGGTGTCCAAAGCCTGTCCTTGCCTTGCTCCACAGAGCTGGAAAAAGAAGGGGGCGGGACAGTTGGCCGGCGTTCGCCTTTTCGCCACGTTTCCCAGGGAATTCCGAGGACTGGAGACCGATCATTCTAAAATCAAAGCTGTCCTTCCCACCACAGGCTGCTTGAAGGGAGTCGCGGGCAGGCGGCTGCGCGTGGAGGTTGGGGACAGCTTGTGGGCTGCGGTGGCGGGGCCTGGTCAGAGAGGTGCGGCGAGCCTGGGCAGCGGAGCGCACGGGTCTGGGCCGTGGGGGAAGGGCGGGCGGGGGGAGAGCAGGCGAGGCACGAGCGGGGATCAAAGCGCACCCACCCCCCCCCGAAAGAGGAAGGGAAAGTGGGTGTTTATCCCTTGGATTTCCCGAGCGACTGGAGGAGGCGCGGAGGAGGCGCGCACGGGACAGGCCCCCGCCCCTCCCGGCTGCGCTAGGCTCCCAGCGCTGGCGGCACGTGCTGTTTGAACTGCAGTAACCCGAAAGCGGAGCCAGCGGGCGGGCCCTAAGCCGCCGGGAGGGAGGCTGCGCGACCTCTCCCACTCCATTTTTTTCCACTGGGTCAGAGGACTCACCCAGGTTTGAAACCTAAGGAAAGGGAGAGGCAGCCCCCCGTCCCTGAGCGGTGGCAGACCGGGGAGGTGGGGAGGCGGACTCCCTCCGTCAGGGGCCGCATGTGCTGTGGTCTTGGCGAAGGTGGGGAGCGCTCTACTAGCCGACGCATCCTGTAGCACTTGACGTTCTCTGAACAGCCTGTGAAGGGTAATTCTTAACGGCAGACAAAAGAAGGAGCGGTCAAACCGAGGAGACTGGGTTGCATCCCTGCCCCCACCCCCGTTCCCTTATACAGCATGTATTTCAGGAACTGGAAAGGGGCTCCCAAAGTCCTCTCTTCCATCTGCCCCACTCCTAGCTGGAAGCAGTTACCACAGCCTGGGGGCGGCGGGAGAGGAGTTCTGGGGAGTGGCTGGAAGGGGCTGTAGGCTTCAGAATGAAGCCTCGGCTTTTCAAAGTTGCGGGCACTTATTTTTCCCTCAGCCTTTGCGACTCCACCAGAGGCCCATTCCAAAGAGCGAGGAGAGTGGAGACTCGGCTCCAAAAGAGATGGCTGCTTCCTGATCTCTGCTTTACAGAGGCTTTGGCCAGAGGGGTATTATTGTCCCCTTTTCATGGAAGGGGCCACTGAGGCGTAGAGCGGTTGAATGAGACTTGAACCAGGTCAGGAGACAAAGAAAATTTCGGGGAGAGCCTGCAACACTGGACTGCAGCGTCCGTGGGAATAGTCTCTGGGCCCCGGAGGAGAGTCCTCTTCTGTCCTGCATGCCTGGGGCTGCTGGAAGCTGGGGTGGACAGTGAGTGCTAGGAGGAAGGAGGTGTGGCCAGGACCAGAGTGTGAGACCCTGGGGTGCAGAGGGCTTTGGGGTGAGGGCGTTGTCTTGGGGTTCCACCCACCCTGGGCCTGACTTGGCCTCGGGCCTCCCGGTGTTGGCTGGGAAGGGCTTGCCTGGAAAACCCCAAGGTTTTTTGGCCTACATTGTCCATTTAGAGGGGAGGGAGAAGGAAGGGAGGGTGCAGATGACCCGCCTCAGGAATGCGGTGGGGGGAAGGGGGGATGCTGGGGTTGGGGTCGGGGCAGAAACTGAGAGCCTTGGCTGAGGCGCGATGGCTCCCTATTCAGAACAGCCGGTCTTTTAGCTCCCTGGGGGTGGGTGGGGAGTCACCAGAAGCTGGTTCATCCTGCCAGAGGCCTGAGAGCCAAATGCAGGGCCCCCTCTTTGTGTGTAGCAGTTTTATGCTTGCCACGTGGGGCATGTTGGTGGGGAGGGTCGAATGAGAAATGGGTAGTCAGCCAGATGAAAGGATCCTTCCCCCCAAATCTCCCTAACTGATGATTTCAGTTTACTGAACTCCATGAAAGTCCTGGAACTAGGTAGGTAGAATCTAGCTGGAGACTAGAACACTCAGGGCCACTGTTTCTAAATATCCATGATTGTCCTGGAGAGAATGGCTCATCTGCTGAACCCAAGGCCCGGTGAACTCACTGTGGCCAAGGTGGGGGCTGCTGTGTGCCATGCACACCTCTTTATCCGGTCCATGCTGCAGTTAGAGGCCTGGCTGCAGTGTGGGCTGCTGGGCCAGGACTGGCCTGGTTAGGAGGTACGTGCAGGAAGTGGGGCCCAGGTGTGCTGGGGCCTGGCTGGTGGGGAACTGGAGCGTCACTGTTTCCATTGGGGCTGGTGGCCCACCCCACCTCTGGGAGGTCTGACCAGATGTGTTGGAGGGGGCTTCTCACTGCCGTCACTGCACTCCAGGTGTTTGCCCTGGCTGCCCTGGTGGTCCTGGGCCAGCAGGGGTGGGGTTGCCAGGGAAAAAGTCCAGAAAGTCTTGCCCAGTCTAACAGAATCATCTCTGGAAGCCAGGCCTGTGTCCTTGCAGCCAGGGCCTCAGACTCCCTCCCTCCTCCTGGGTTACCCTTCCCCTGCCCAGGGCCTGGGGTGTATCTGATGGATGGGGGAGGGACCCCATCCCTCTTTGTGTGTAGAGAGGCTGGAGTATTGCCGTAGAAGGGCAGATGGAGTCTGGTTAGGAAGGTGGGGGTGAGACAGTTGTCCAAAACATGGAGAAGGAGCTAGAGAATGGTTCTAGAAGCTTCCTGTGCCCAGCTCTACCCACCAGGATTGGGCCTCTCCTATTTTCCTTTGGAGATAGGACTGGACCTCAGTGCACCAAGAGGCCAGCAGCTCAGGGCACCCCAGACAGTGGCCTGGAGATACCCTCAGGGAACCTGGAGAGTATTTCAAGGGAGGGACTTAGCCTTGGACTGGGGAGACCTCAGGAATGGTAGTCTTGCCCCTTCTACCCAGACCCCTGCCTACAGGACCTTCTGGGCCTGAAGCCAAGGTGGGGGACTAGGCTTTGGAGGTAGAGGTCAAGAAACCCTGCCTGTCCACCCACCATCCCTGACCTTTGGCCCCATCTTGGAAACCCTGTGCTCCTGGGGTCTGTGTTGGGATGGAGAAGCGAGGAGGTGCCTCAGCAGGAGGACGGTGTCAGGAGGACCCACGGTTGTGGGGTCCCGGGGAAGGCTAGCCCACACTTGGCTCTAGGAGGCATTTGGACCAAGGCACAGCCTCTGGCTACACAGTCATGTCCACCAGGCTCAGCTCAGGGCAGAAGGTCCAACCTGCGTTGGATGAAAGGCCAGTGGCACAGCCAGGCAGCTCTGCTGCTGGGAGCTCTGCCCCAGCCCCTTGGCATAGGCACAACGCCTTTGTTCTGCCAACACAAGTCCTTCACCCAAAAGTTACTGTAGCACCAGCGGGTGGGCACAGGGGCTGCTGAGGGGGGCGGGTAGCAGGAGCGGATCTATCTGAAGGTCAGTGGGGGAGGGAGCCCACGGTCAGCTGCCAGGGTGCCTGGGAGTGGGCACCTCCCTCTGCATGCCCTTGTGCCAGGCAGCGGGAGGGTGGGCGGCCTGGATTCAGGGGCCAGCCCTTCCGTCTGTCCCTCCTTTCTGTGTCCTTCTCCCAAGGCAGGGAGGGGTCCAAGGCTGTGGTGCTGATGTGTTTGCTCACTCTCCCAGCCTTGGAAGATGAAGGTGGCCTTGGCAGGGAGTGGGAAGGCTCGGTGGGGTCTGCCCTGGCCCTGGGCCCCCCATGCTGGCTGCTGTATCTGTCCTGGGTTCCCTAAGCCTAAAAGGAAGCAGCTGCAGGACCCTGAGACATGCCGGGACCACACCAGAGTGGCGGGGACAGCTGGCCTCACCCTCAGAGTGGACTTCACCGTAGAGGACGATCCCCTTCAGGACCCTTTGATAAATTCAGAGCCCATCAGGGCTGGCAGAGGGCAGCTCTATGGAGTCTGGGGTGGTGGGAGGCAGGGAGTTCAGGACTTCTGGTGGGTGTGGCCAGCCACGCTCTGGACTGTGACCTTGGGAGGGCCCCTACCCATCCACAGCTTTCTAAGGCGGGTTTGTGGTGGCTGGAAGCAGCAGAGGTAAGAGTGGCCAAGCAAATCTCAGATACTGTGGCTCGGCAAGTGTCTGCCAAGTGCTGCCCGCCCCTCCCTGTCTTGCCCACCTTGTGCTGTAGGTATGTGTGGAAGAGTTAGGGCAGTGGGGAGCATGTCTCCAGGTGAGATGATCACAGCTGGAGTCAAATCGCAGGCAGGCGCTTTGCTCCAACCGCTGGAGCCTGTTGGGGGTCTGGGCCAGCCTCCTCGCAACCAGAGGGGCTGAGTGTACCCAGCCCCACACACCCAGATTGGACATTTCCAGTTCTGGGTGAAGCTGCCTGGCATTTCCACTGGGCCAGGGTGAAGCTGAGGCAGCCAGGCAGCTGGGAAGATGACGTCCTCTCTTACCCCCCTTGCTTGAATATAAAGTACACACCTTGGCGTCACCCCTGTGCGGACGGCTGCCTCAGCGGCTGCCTGCCCTCTGTTATTCTTTCCACTCTGCAGGCCGAGGCTCCGGTGGCTTGGCCGGGTGGCCTGCCCAGGCCCCCACCCCTCCTGGGCAGCCGCTTCCATTCCTCCCAGTCTGAGTCACTGGCCTGGGCAGTGGGTCCCCACTCCGGCTCTACCCGCTCCTACTGCCCATCCATATGTCCATCTGTCCACACCTGCCAGCAGAGAAGGGGGAGGCTATCTGGCTGAGCAAGCGCAGCACGCAGGGCCATGGGGTTCACAGAGCAACTCCCCTCCCAGGGCACGGGGTGAGAGGCAGGAGGGGTGAGGAGGCCTGGTTGGGGAGAATGCTTTTGTAGAAACAATGATAGGGAATCTGAGCCTTCACGAGCCCCTGGCGGTACCCCTAGACCCTTGTGGGATCAGCTCCCACTCTGGAGGGAGGGAGAGAACCAAGGGTGTAGACTCATGAGCCTATTGTGTCCTTGGGGGCTTGGCAGGGGAGTTGCCCAAGGCCATCCCTTAAGGCGAGTGCCCTCCTCCCTCCTGCCTGAGCCTCTGGGGCTGCAGCAGGTAAACCTGGACATGCGCTCCTGGGCTCCTGTGACAGTGCCCTTGCTCTCCCCTGGCACCAGCCGTGGTGGGGAGTCCATACCTGCCACTCCCTCTGCAGGGCTTGGCCTGAGCCTGGGCTGGCTCCCAGTGACCTTTGTCCAGCATTCTTGGCTGACTTTTGGGAATTCCGAGGGAAGCCCCAGAAGGAAACAAAGCAGTCGTGGCTCCTGCGATGCCTGTGGTCAGGGAAGTAGCTCCGGGCCAGGAACCCTTCCTCTCTTCACAGGGAGCCGCTCCCCGGCACCTTCCCAGTGTGCCCGAGTCCTGACCCCAGCAGGTGATGGCCTCAGACCCAGCCCGCCCTGACGCCGCCCTGGCCGCCCTCTGCCCCAGCCTGCGCCTCTGCCTCCGCCCATCCTTTGTGGTGGGCGGTGGTTTCAGAGCTGCCCCGGCTTTGGGAAGTGCCTGTGTTGTTACCCCCCGGGCACAGACCCAGGGATGAGGCTCTGGAGGCTTCCCAGGGCCTGGGAGGCCCCTATGTCTGTGGAGCAGCTGGGCAAGAGGCAGGGGCATGGACCTGGTGACCTCTGAGCCCAGCCCCTTGGGGCCAGTGTGCCCTCCACCCATCTTTGCTGGCCTTCTCATTTGGGCGGTTTCTCCATCTCACGGTGGGCTCTGAGGAGCGTCACGGACAGCCTGGCAGAAAGGCCCTCAGAATGGCCAGTCGGGCCTCTCATGAACCCAGCGGGGAAACAGCTCCAGGAGGGGCAGCAGCCTGCTGGCTGTCACTCAGCAAGTCAGACGCCGGCCAAGACAGTGTCCTGGTCCTGCCTTCACTTTCCTTTTAGAAGCCCCAGCCTCAGGGGCCTGCAGGTGCTGGGTGGCAGTGGCTTTTCCGGCTTATTCTAGCTCCTGGCCTTGCCCATGGACCCCTTCCCCCCAGGGGTCAGGTGTGGACCCCTGCCCTTGGAGTCCTTCTCTCAGTCCAGTCCCAGGTCCCCCGGGGCCCTTCTCTCTTCCTAGACTGCTCCTGCCTGCCCTCTAGGGCCCCCAAGGCCTGGGAAGGAGCAGTTCAACCAGCCATCGCTAGAGGGCGCAGGAAATGGAACCCACGGGGCAGGGCAGGGCAGGGCTTGTCTGTGGGTGAGGTGGGGGCCCTGCGTGCTCCCCCTTTTGAAACCCTGGGATGGCCCCTCCTGGCCACTATGGCCCACGTGGGGTGTGTGAGTAGGGGCTGGAAGGCACTCCCCAGGGGATTCGAGCATTGCCAAGTTCTGGGCAGCTTTGAAGGGATAGCATCTGCTTAGGGGCAGGTGGGTGCTGGTGTTTAGGTGCTCAGTGGATTGAAGGGAGGCCATCTGGTTCCACCTCACTGTTTTACAGATGAGGAAACTGAGGCTTGGGGGAGCAGATAGCCACTTGGCCATGATCACACTGTAAGTTGCTGGATGATGCACAGTTACAACTCAGCCCCTTTCCTGTCACCCCACTGCATCATAGAGCCCACCAGCTTCGACTTTGGCTGGGCCTGGTGGGCGTGGCCTCCAGGGCACCGGGTGAGAGGCAGGAGGACCAGGTCTGCCATGTGCTGGGGGCCCTGGCCAGCCCCTACCCTGCACTCTTCGTGACAGAACCCCTAGTAGGTCCTGGGCTGGCTGTTTCTGGGCCAGGTATGACCTTTCTGGCCCTCCCTGTCCCACCTCTGGCATCCCTGTCCCGCCATGGAGGCCTGGTAGCCGCAGAGTGATTTTCCTGCCCCTGTCTTGTTTCCTGATGCACTTTTCCCTCCTGTGTGCTACTCTCTGCCCACCCAGTGGCTCTCTGCTATCTGTAAGGGGCCCTTCATTGGCCAGCGCTGGTCTCTAGAAGAAGTGCCCCCTCTCATTCCCCCAAGACCCTTCATTTGCCCAAGGGCTGAACCTGGAATCCTAAGGACATGAGGGTTGGGGGTTGAAGCAAACAAGCATTGCCTTTATCCATCACTCTCTGAAGGGAGGCAGTAGTTAGAGTCCCCTGGAAATTCCCTCGGACCCCCAAAACTGGGCAAGGTGTGAATGACCCATCTGGGCTTGGGCTGACCCAGGCGACCTCCTATCGTCCTTCTACCTCTCAGCTGTCCCTTTGTAGCAGGAGCGGCCCCAAACAGTACAGGCCTCTCTGCCCCTCGCCGGCCTCCTGCCCTCCCTCCTTCCCTCCACCGGGAATTTCGGAATGAAAGTGCTATTGTGAATGCCTGGCTGGGCCACTGAAGGGCCAGCACTGTTATTTCTGCAAACCAGCCCTCCCATTAGCCATGCAGGGCCTAGGCCAGGAAAATGTTACCTTTCCTCCCCGAGCTGACTGCAGGGGAAATTCTCACATTTACAGTTTATGCGGTGGTTGTGTTTGGGGGGGCAGTAGGGGAGGGCGGCGCGTGTGTGTGGTTTGCATGGGGTGGAGTGGGGGGCTCCCTCTTCTGCACTGTCCCTCCCCTCCCAGCCTTTGCTTGGTGCTGGTAGCAGGGGTGCTCCCCCTTCTCATCTGAACTCTGGTGGGATGGACGTTGCTGCTTATGAGCGAGACCCACAGGCTTTTGGTAAATAAACTAACGTGCTCCCCTCTCCTCCACACATGAAAACCTGTGCGGGGGAGTCCTGGGTGAGGAGGGTGGCAAGGGGGGCTGCGCAGCCAGCCGGGAGGACGGAGGACAAGGAGGTGGAAACAGGACTCACTGGCTGCGTACAGTGGCCCTGGAAGATGCAGGGAAGTCACAGGGCTTCTGTTTGTCTTTATGATCTTTAGGGGTGGAAAGCCATTGCCCCCATCTCCCCCTGCTTTTGGACCTGGCCACACTGAAGACCTTTTCATGGCACAGCTGTTAATAAACTTACTAGAATCTGCACCCAGTAGGTGTTTTCCAGCAAGTAATGACAATTTTGGTTCCCAGGAAGTCCTGCTTGAGGTCTAGTCTCAGGCTCTCTTGCTGTACCCCATGGAGTAGCTTTCCCTCGATGGCCTTCCCCTACTTCCCTGTACAGTCCAACGACTGTGCTCCACTTCTCCAGGGCACTTCCGTCCTGTGTCCCGGGATTCCGAAATGGGCTTCTGCAATGGAAGGGCAGCCGCCCTGCTCTGGCCCTGCCCAGCCCCCACTTATGCCCCTCACAAGCCACATCCCCCAAAGACTTGCTGGCAGCTGGCCTGCCCAGCTCCCAAGGCTTTGCTGTTGTGTGGAAGCTGAAGTTCTCTCCAGTCACATTCATTGTTCAGGCAGAGTGAGGGGCTGGCCAGGGGTGGGCTGTGCCAATCGGCTCACCCACTTGCCTCTCTGCCTTCCAGGTCTTCTCCAAGATCTTCAGCCACGAGGCCCTGGAGAGTTACCTGCCCAAGATCCAGCTGGTGATCCAGGACACACTGCGCGCCTGGAGCAGCCACCCCGAGGCCATCAACGTGTACCAGGAGGCGCAGAAGCTGACCTTCCGCATGGCCATCCGGGTGCTGCTGGGCTTCAGCATCCCTGAGGAGGACCTTGGGCACCTCTTTGAGGTCTACCAGCAGTTTGTGGACAATGTCTTCTCCCTGCCTGTCGACCTGCCCTTCAGTGGCTACCGGCGGGTGAGCACCCAGGGCCTGGGAGGAGAGGAGCAGGGGCATCCATGAGCCCCCTCTCTGGGGGTGGGTGGCTGACCTGACCCCTGAGATGGGCACCTAGGCACAGGGCACATGGACAAAGGGGAGAGGTGTCAGCGTGGGGTAGGAGGAGGCTGGAGTCGTCCCTGGTGGTCCCGAGGCTCAGATGGGAGCCTGCCCTTCCATATGAGTGACAGCCCTCACCTCTGCAGGGCATTCAGGCTCGGCAGATCCTGCAGAAGGGGCTGGAGAAGGCCATCCGGGAGAAGCTGCAGTGCACACAGGGCAAGGACTACTTGGACGCCCTGGACCTCCTCATTGAGAGCAGCAAGGAGCACGGGAAGGAGATGACCATGCAGGAGCTGAAGGTGGGGTGGGCGTGTGCCCCTCACGGGCAGCACCAGCACCCAGGCTCCATTCTGAGCTTTCCCTGGGTGGAAATGTGCCCAGCCATTTCTACCCCCTGTAGTCTGGCCCCACACATGCTTTCTGAGCAGTGGCTGGAGACCTTGAAACTGGAAGCGAAGTCTGTGTCCCCACCCCTGCTGTGCAGGATGCCGTGGGGCACCCTCCCTTCTCTCCCCATGGCCTGCAGGGAGCTCAGGCCTGGGAATGATCTCAGTTCATTTCCTAGTCCCAATATCCCTGGAAGGCCATCTAGGGAAAGGCAGGCCCACAAGGGGAAACCACTTGCTTGTCACCAGCCTCAGCCCTTGGGGAAGAGCAGGGGAGATTTGGATGTGAGGTATCCTCCCCCACCCCCAGCCTTTTCAGGTTGCTGGCGCCTTGCATGCCCTCCCACCCTCCCCCCCGCCCCCTAGGCCCCTGGGGATCCCGGCTGTGCTCCACGCAGGACCTGCTTGCCCTGCTTTAGGCGGATGTTTCACCCGAGGAGGGCTCACTCGCCCATCCCCACCTGGGCTCTGCAGGCCTGCTCCACTGCTGGGTGCCCATGGACACTCACTGCAGCCTCCCCTGCCCACTATCTTTGCCTCCCCATATTCTAGCTCCAACTTCTTTCCTGGGGAGCTAGGAAGAGCTGGAGTGGCTTTTCCACTACAAGAAGCTTTGTGATTTATGGATGTTGCCATGGCCAGTAATGGACCCAGGTCCCTTCATTGCCCTCTCTGGGCCCAGAGTCCACATTTGTAAAATGCAGGGTGTGCTATGAGATAGCCTGCTGGGGCCTTTCTGTGGGGAACCCATGGCCCTGGTGTCCTGCTCCCCAGAAAGCCCTGGCGGGGTCTTTAGGTCCTCTGGGGGTCGCCTTCCCTCAGCCTCATCCCAGGTCTCCAGGGGAGTGGCCCCAGGCTCCCTCCCAGACCCCATTGGCTCCCCTGATCACCCACTGAATGTCCTCCTCCTGCGATGGAGGAAGGGGCTGGCACTGGGAGTGGGAAGGCCCGGGTTTAGACTCACATCCCCCACACATACACACGCACACCTGCTGCGCAGGGCCTGGCTCCTTGGGATTTGTTCTTTTTCTCCTGTGAGCCCACTGCATATCAGGCCTGTGGGGCTGGCCCAGGAACCCAGCAGTGAGTGAGAAGTGGCTCCACTCCAAGGGACTCTAGGCCAGTGCTTCTGCCCTCGGTCACAGCAGTTGTGTCTTCTGCCCAGCTAGGGACTGGCTGTGACCCCCGTGTCCATCGTGACACTAATGCCCCGGCAACATGAAGCTCAGAGGAAGCAGAATTCACTGCAGGAACCAGGCAGGGCCCAGCACAGATGACCTGGGCACACGGGCCACTGACTGAATGGGGCGGCCCCTGCCTGGCTGAACCCACACCTCCAACAACACCTCTCCTCTGTGCCCTGCAGGACGGGACCCTGGAGCTGATCTTTGCGGCCTATGCCACCACGGCCAGCGCCAGCACCTCACTCATCATGCAGCTGCTGAAGCACCCCACTGTGCTGGAGAAGCTGCGGGATGAGCTGCGGGCTCATGGCATCCTGCACAGTGGCGGCTGCCCCTGCGAGGGCACACTGCGCCTGGACACGCTCAGTGGGCTGCGCTACCTGGACTGCGTCATCAAGGAGGTCATGCGCCTGTTCACGCCCATTTCCGGCGGCTACCGCACTGTGCTGCAGACCTTCGAGCTTGATGTGAGGCTGGGCCCGTGGCACCGGGGGCGATGGGGGAGCAGGGGCACCGGGATAGGGGCAAGGCGGGGCACCAGCCTCCATTTCAGGGACTTCAGGCCTGATGGGGAAACAGTGCTTGCTTTCAGGGAGCTTTCAGTCCGATGGGAGAAGTGCGCCCCAAATGCATCAGGTGAAGCCAAGTTGGGTGTCATATGTGAAGTCACATGTGCACATCTACAGATAAGGGCTTGGACTAACATGCTGAATGGGGCAGGCTGGCCAGGCCTTGGGGGCCACAGTGGGGTGTCTCTAAGAAAAGGCAGGTCTTGAACATCTGGGGCTGAGCAGGGAGGGGGCAGTCCTGGGCCCTCTGTGGGCTCCTCTGGCTCTCACCACCCACTCCTCGGCCCCCATCTTGCTCCAGGGTTTCCAGATCCCCAAAGGCTGGAGTGTCATGTATAGCATCCGGGACACCCATGACACAGCGCCCGTGTTCAAAGACGTGAACGTGTTCGACCCCGATCGCTTCAGCCAGGCGCGGAGCGAGGACAAGGATGGCCGCTTCCATTACCTCCCGTTCGGTGGCGGTGTCCGGACCTGCCTGGGCAAGCACCTGGCCAAGCTGTTCCTGAAGGTGCTGGCGGTGGAGCTGGCTAGCACCAGCCGCTTTGAGCTGGCCACACGGACCTTCCCCCGCATCACCTTGGTCCCCGTCCTGCACCCCGTGGATGGCCTCAGCGTCAAGTTCTTTGGCCTGGACTCCAACCAGAACGAGATCCTGCCGGAGACGGAGGCCATGCTGAGCGCCACAGTCTAACCCAAGACCCACCCGCCTCAGCCCAGCCCAGGCAGCGGGGTGGTGGTTGTGGGAGGTAGAAACCTGTGTGTGGGAGGGGGCCGGAACGGGGAGGGCGAGTGGCCCCCATACTTGCCCTCCCTTGCTCCCCCTCCCTGGCAAACCCTACCCAAAGCCAGTGGGCCCCATTCCTAGGGCTGGGCTCCCCTTCTGGCTCCAGCTTCCCTCCAGCCACTCCCCATTTACCATCAGCTCAGCCCCTGGGAAGGGCGTGGCAGGGGCTCTGCATGCCCGTGACAGTGTTAGGTGTCAGCGCGTGCTACAGTGTTTTTGTGATGTTCTGAACTGCTCCCTTCCCTCCGTTCCTTTCGGACCCTTTTAGCTGGGGTTGGGGGACGGGAAGAGCCGTGCCCCCTTGGGCGCACTCTTCAGCGTCTCCTCCTCCTGCGCCCCCACTGCGTCTGCCCAGGAACAGCATCCTGGGTAGCAGAACAGGAGTCAACCTTGGCGGGGCGGGGGCTGCGTCCAACCTGGAGATTGCCCTTCCCTATGCCACGGTTCCCACCCTCCCTCACCAGTTTGGACAATTTGAAATTACCTATTGCTGCTACTTGTTCTGTCCTCTGACCTTGGGGCAAAGGAGCCCCAGGCCCTGTCTCCCCAGCATCCTCCCTGGTGGCCCTGGGCAGGTGCACTGACACCCCCACCTTCCCATCCCCTGCTGAACCAGGCCCTGTTACACACAGCCGCCTAAGGCCCGCGGCTCATGTGCTGCCCGCCCCCATATTTATTCACTGATAGAGAATCTTGGGGATGCTGGGGTCTGGAGTGAACATCTCCTCCCCTTCATGCCCTAGCCTGTGTTCTAGCTGTCCTGGCGAGACTTCTGTGAGTGAAGAGGAAGGGGTCTCTGGTCAAACCCAGCCCCCAGGGCCTAGGGTTGAAAGCCTTCCCCGGCTCCGGGCATTATTTGGGTTTAATCTCGGAGCCTCACTCCTGGACTGAAGTCCGGTGCCTCTGCCTTATCCCTGGTGGAGATGGAATGTGGCCCATTGCCTCCTCCCTCTCCTGTCAAAAACCCTGATCAGGTAGATTTGGAGGCGGCCACGATTTCCTGTTTGGCCCCTGTTCACCCCAGTGCACTGGCCCTGACTCCAGGCGTGAGTATGGGGAAGGATACGGGTTCTTCTGACGGGGAGCAAGGGCCTCCGTCTTCCCTTCCTTAACTCTCCCCCTTTGCCCTCCGCCCTGAAAAAGGTGTCCTTGAAGTCCCTTCCACCTCTATGCCACTGTCTGCTTAGCCCAGCTCAGGGGTGGGGAAGAGGCGAAAGCGTGGGGGAGGTGAGCGCAGCGGCAGTTCTGCCTCGGAGCTGATTGCAGGGCCCTGTGTGGTCTCCGGACAGCTGCGGGAAGGCTGCCGCAGCTGAAGCTGAAGAGGCGGCTACGTGCGGTTTGTCAGGGGGATTGGGTTGAAAACTGGCCAGTCGGGATGACTGGGTGAAAGAGGAGTAGCTCCTGCCACTGGCGTTTTGAGTGTTGGCAATTTGGGATGCCTCCTGGGGAAGGTTTCCGGGCGTTTGGTGAGTCTCTAGATTTTTCCTTGCTTTCTGTGTTTATTGGTTTTTGATGTTGTAAAAGCAATGAATCCCCTTTACAAGAAAATCGAAAACACAGAAGAATGAAGGACATGCCAGTCCCCGATCGCTGCTGTGAGCACCTCAGTGGCTCCCTCAGACCAGATCCCGTAGGCAGCCCCACAGACCGACCCTGACCCCACTCACAGCCACCCTGAAGATAGACTATAGGAACGGGCCCATACCACACAGACTGCTCTCCAATCCCTGAGTCTCAGATGTTTCATTTATTTCCTACTTTTCCACTACTAAAAAACAGTGTGGAATAGACATTATTGGCAAAATTGCTCATCCCTAATCCTGAAAAACAGGCCAGAATGGGTAAAGACTTGTCAAAGCTTGCAACATAGCTACATGGTGCACCCGGACCTGTACCCCCTCCCCCCAACACAAAACCAGTGTCTGGGAGGTTCATTTTCCTTTAAACTGATCCAGCTGGCCCTGAACCAATTGTTTTTGACTGAGTATCTAGGAGAGCAGTAAGTGGAACTTCAGACAAGCCCACTGGGTCTGGTCCAGGTGAGGGGCAGGGGGCATGGGGCTGGGAGGTCTCAGGGGCCTTCCCTGGGGGTGGCCAGCCTGGTAGGGGGCAGAGAAGGAAAAGCTGAGGGGGGTCCCTGTGAGGGAGGAAAGAAGGATCATTTGCCCCGCTGGGTCTCAAAGGCAGTGAGAAGAGAGCTGAAGAAAGCTCTGGCTGGCTGACAGGATCCCTGTGTTGTAATTGGTCCCTCCTTTCAGCTCTCTAGTGAGATGCCCGTGTCTGTGCGTGTGCGTGTGTGTTTCATACAGCTAGCATTAGATGGGTGATGTTTCTTACTTATCATCCCTAACTATTGCAACTTGACCTTAAAAAGACAAAACCCCACAAAACTCTTCCTGCCACGGGCTTGCAGATTGAAGCACTTTCGATGTTGGGCGCTGGCGTTTGTGTTCTGGGCACCACCGTGACCCTGCCCAGATGGCTATAATATTATTTTATACACAAACCTTTTTTTTCATAAATGTTATAATTTTGTGTCTGTCTTTATAAACTATTATAAGTACTATTTTTGTTATAATTCAAAATAGATATTTAGTATAAAGTTTTTGCTGTTAAATATTTGTTATTTAGTAAAATATGAATTTTGCTCTATTGTAAACATGGTTCAAAATATTAATATGTTTTTATCACAGTCGTTTTAATATTGAAAAAGCACTTGTGTGTTTTGTTTTGATATGAAACTGGTACCGTGTGAGTGTTTTTGCTGTCGTGGTTTTAATCTGTATATAATATTCCATGTTGCATATTAAAAACATGAATGTTGTGCATTTTGTGATTTTGGAAATACTCAATGTGGCTCTTCTATAGGCTTCTAGAATAAACCGTGGGGACCCGCCCTTGTCTCCGTTGCGTCTCTGCTCTCTGCCTTCCCAGCCTTACTGAAAGAGTCCTCCCCGGCTACCTGTGTTCACATCAGCAGTGCCCATCCACCTTGTCAGTTAGGAAGCTCTTCCCTAAGACCGTCCCGTGAGGCCAGTTCGCCATTCCTTGCATGCGGGCACAGAGGTCTGTGACAGAGTCCTGGGAGGAGGAGGTTCCCTGGGGAGGGAGAGAGAGAACCGGTCAGCCTATTGGGGGAGGGGCAGCTGGGAGGATGCTCCGAGTGTGGCTGTGGCTGGCTGTGCCAGGTGTTTCGAGGCTGGACAGGGGGACCGAGAGCTCTGAGCCTGTCTTGTTAACTTGAGTGAGGACACTGATGTTCACAGTCACGTGGCAAATTAGGGAGCAGAATTCAGTTCTTCTGACGTCTGGGCTCGCGTCCCATGCCAGCACTTCTCAAAGCCTGTTTCATGGGTGTTGTGGGATCAGATAGATTCCATGATCAAATGAGTTTGGGAAATGGGTTAAACACAGTCATCCCGGTTCCCCTTCTGCAGGCCTTGTCAGAACCCTGAGCCCCAGGATGTGTAGCCTCAGGGGCAGTAGAGTGTGGGGTGAACACAGGCTGCAGCATTCTCCAGGCCTATTTGAGGACTGAAACCCTGTCCTCTTTCGCCGATGATCACATTTCATGGAAAGATCCACAGCCTGACTGTCACAGAGGCCTGAGGCGAGGACCCGTGATGGGCACGACTTTCAGTGCTGAGAAAACCCCAGGTGGTTCCCGGGATTGAGGGGCTGTGGGTGGGGAGGGAGGGCAATGAGAGACAGAGCTTCGGCCCCTGGAGCTGCACACTGGGAACCGGGAAAGGCTGCAGCGTGACCAGGCTGGCCCCAGCCTCTGCCCCGCCCGGGTCCCATCCCCATAGCCTGAGGGGGAAGGCCCACCCCTGAGCTGACCTGAGAAGAGCCTTTTTGCGGCTGCAGCGTTTCTTTTCCATACAGTCAGTCAGACCCAACCTCAGCTCAGAGCACGCTGGCCCAGGCACACCCTGGGGTGTAGGGCCTCGCTCTGCCTAGGTCTCGGAGCCTGGCCACCCAGAAGAGAAGGACCCAGCATTGAAGCAACGTCACCAGAGCAGAACGCTCGGCAACCCTAACCCCAGCTCACCTGCTCTGGCGTCTGTTCTGCCTCACCTCTCCTCCGCACTGTGACGCTGCCCCAGTCCTCCACTCTTCCCAGGGTGGGGAAAGGGGCAGGGGGACTTCCCTTAAGTCACAAAAAGCAGAAGGTAGTACTGGTGGCCTGCCCCACCCGCACATGCCCACTCCAAGGGGCTCCCTCGGACAGAGGCCCCCAGGGTCCTGAGAAGCAGTGAAAAGCCCCAGCTTCCGCAGGGAGTCGTGCCAGGAAAGGCGGTTGTTTTCCAGAGAGTAAATTCCATCCCTCCTGGTGGAGTGTCCCGTGTGGCAGCAGAGGCAATGAAAGCATGGTCCCTGGGCTGCCCTCGGCCTGACCACCCTGCTCAGGGTAGGCGGGCCCAGCTGGGCAGGCGGCTGGCCCTGTCATCACTTAGGCTGTCCTTGCCTCTCCCCCATGGGCCCAGTGGGTCAATGACGTCCCTGACACGGTCGCCTACCCGCGGGATCTCCCAGCCTGGAAGGAGAACACAGACCACTGTGGACAGGCAAACATGGACTCTGTTTGTCCAGGGATTGGGGCGCCAGTTTGGAGGGCACTCGCAGACCGCACATTCTGCCACCTCCCTGCACTTTTCCAAAACAGCCTGGTCTTGGCTGGACCGGGTTGCCCAGGGTGGCCAGGGCTGGGAGCCAGGAACAGAGCCGGGGAAAGCAGGGCTAGGGGACCAGCGTGGGGGGTAACCAGGTGAAGACAGAGACACCACTTTGCTGGTTCTGCTTAGTTCTGACATGCCTTGGAGGGGGAGACGGAGAAGCAGGCAAGAGGGGAAGAGGGAGAGAGGGGCAGATGAAGAGAGAGGGAGAAGAGAGGGGGAAAGGAGGTACAAAAGTGAGGAGACGGGGAGGAGGAGGAAAGAGAGAATGCCCACGTCTGGCCTCCCAGGAGATTCTTATTCCAGCCCCTTCAGCTTTGGCCTCCTCCCTGTGAAAAGAATCCCCTGTGCCCGCTCAGCCCTGGTGCTCTGAGACTCTGGCCTCCTCCAGTGGCTCCTCAATCCTGCACAGCAGGCGAGGGACATGGGACCCCAGAAAGGTTTCCATGTGAGAGGGGTGCTGTAACACCCCCAGGCTGTTTGAAGCACAGCGAGGGCTCCTTGGCTACCAGTAGCCATGGGCCGGGAGCTGGCCCAGCTGAGGGTACCAGGCTCCCTGGGAGGCAGGTGAGCCTGGGTAGTATCCATCTGCGTGGCTCTGGCCCCCTCCTTCCTGGCTGGTCTGCACCCACAGAAGTCCTGGCTTTGGCATGCCTTCCTTCCTGAAGTTTCCTCTTCTGGGACTCGGGCTTAGATTCCCTCTGAGACAAATGTTATGTAGAACACATCGTGAGTGGCTCCCCTGGAGTGGTGGCCCTGGAGATGCAGGTGGAAGGCCTTGCTTTGAGCCCGAGCTGCAGGGGTCAAATGGCAGCCCCCTACAAGGACTCTGCTTGGCCTAATTTGGGTCACATGCTCACCCCTGGCCAGGAGGATGGCTTTCTCTGATTGGTTGGGTCACGTGCCCACCCCTGGCCAGGAGGATGGCTTTCTCTGATTGGTTGCCTTGGAGTGGGGTCAGAGGGGTGGTGTAGGTTTGGCAACCCAAAGTAGAGAGGGGAAGGAAGTGTAGGCAGGGACAGGTGGATGTGAATGTTACTTCAGAGCACAGCTGAGGTGGGAGGGGAAGGAACTACCAAGTGGGGGAAGACCAGAGCTGCTGGATTGTGCCAGGGTGCCGGAAGGAGGGTGGGCAATGAGTGACATTTTAAGAGTGGAGACACTGTAAATGGAAGTCCTCACCACTTCCTGTGAGGTTGTTTGCACTCTTATGGTATCAATTCCTTCTCTTGCCATGCTCCCAAGGGCTTTGTGTGACTGTGTGTGTGCGTGTGTGTGTGTGTGTGTGTGTGTGTGGTGTGTGTACTGCTTAGTTTGAAGTAATTATAGATTAACAGGAGGTTGCAAAGATAGTACAAGAGAGGTCCTGTGTACTCTTCACCTCGTTGTGATTGTAGTGGGATCTCAAAACAGGAAATGGACATTGGTACAACGGACAGTAACGCACAGCAGGACAATGTCGTTTCAGTCAATGATGAACCTCACAATCGATGGTGGTCCCATGTGATTATAATGGAGCTAAAATATTCCTATTACCTAGTGACATCATAGCATAACACACTACCTTTTCTATGTTTAGATACACAAATGCCACTGTGTTCAGGGCTGGACAGTGTGACTGAGAGCACACGGGATCGTCCACACCATTCAGTACAGTAACACGCTGCACAGGCTCCTAGCCTAGGAGCAACAGGCCGTACCATACAGCCTAGGTGTGTGCCAGTCTCTACCATCGACGTTTGTGTAAGACATTCTATGATGGTTTCATGACAAAATTGCCTAATGAGGCATTTCTCAGAACATATCCCTGTTTTTAAGTGACATGTGACTGGATGGGTACAGTTTGTTGCCTGTTTATCACACCTGTAGATGTGTGACCCCACCACGGCAATGCAGGTACAGGACTGTTCCATCACCACAAAGATCTCCCTCCCTCCTGCTACCCCTGCCCCCACCCCTCCACTCTCCTCAGCTCCTAGACACCACTAATCTGTTCTCCATATCTAGAATTTTGTCCTTTCAAGAAGGCTATATAAATGGAATCATACAGGATGTAATGTTTTGGGACTGGCTTTTTCCATGTAACATCAAGACCAGCCTGGTCAACATGGTGAAACCTCGTTTCTACTAAAAATACAAAAAATTAGCCAGCATGGTGGTGAGCACCTGTAATCCCAGCCACTTGGGAGGCTGAGGCAGGGAATCGCTTGAACCTGGGAGGCAAAGGTTGTAGTGAGCCGAGGTTGCACCATTGCACTCCAGGCTGGGTGACAAGAGCGAAACTCCGTCTCAAAAAAAGAAAAAAAACCATCCAAGTCGTTCCATATATCAATAGTCTGTTCCTTTTTGTTGCTGAGTAGTGTTCCATGGTACAGATGTGCCAGTTTGTTTAACCATTTACCCATCAAAGAACATCTGGATTATTTCCAGCTTTGGCTTTTACACAGAAAGCTGCTATGGACATTTGCGTGTGCTTTTTTGTGTGGACACACTTTTTTATTTTGTTGGGATAAACATCTATGAATGCAATTACTGGGTCATATGGTAGTTGAATGCTTAGTTTTATAAGAAACTGCCAAGCCATTTTCCAGAGTGGCTGTGCCCTTTTCCATCCCCACCAGCAATGTATGAGAGATCCAGTTTCCCATACCCTCACCAGCATTTGGTATCATCATTATTTTTAATGGTAGCTATTCTCATAGGTTCATAGTGGTATCTCATCTCATCATGGTTTTAATTTGCCTTTCCCCAATGGCGAGGGAAACATCTTTTTATGTGTTTATGTGCTATCTGTAAATCCCGTAGGGTAATAAGGATGTTCAGGTCTCTTGCTCATTTTCTAATTGAATTGTTTGTTTTTCACTGCCGAACTTTGAGAGTTCTTTGCATATTCCACATATTCTAGTAATTAGTCCTTTGTGAGATGTGGCATGCAAATATTTCCTCCCATTCTGTAGCTTGACTTCTCATCCTCTTAACAGAGACTTTCACAAAGCAACACTTCTTAATTTTCATGAGGTCCTCGTTATTAATTTTTCTTTTACTTATTGTGCTTTGCTTTCCTTTTATTTATTTATTTAGAGACAGGGTTTCTCCATGTTGCCCAGGCTGGTCTTGAACTCCTGAGCTCAGGTGATCTGCCCGCCTCAGCCTCCCAAAGTGCTGGGATTACTAGGCATGAGACACCACGCCGGGCCCCATTGATTGTGCTTTTCATGTCAAGCTTAAGAAGTCTGCCTAGCTCTAGATCCTGGAGATTTTTTGCTATTTTTCTACAAGTTTTATAGTTTCATTTTTTATAATGAAGTCTATAATTTCCAAATGAGACGTGAAATTTAAGTCTAAGGTTATTGTGGGTGGGATTTTTGTTTTTTGTTACTGTTTTTGTTTTTGCCTATAGATTTCCAATTGCTCCAGTACCGTTTGTTGACAAGGGTATCTGTCATCACTAAATTGCTTTTGCATCTTTTTCTAAAGTTGGCTGGGCATATTCGCTTGGGTTTATTTCTGGCATCTCTTCTTTTCTATTGATCAATGTGTCAGTCCACCTGCTAAAACCACACTGTCTTGATTATTTTTTCTATATAGTAAGCCTTAATATCAGGTAAGGGGATTTCTTCTACTCTATTCTTCTTTTTTAAATTTTTTATTTTTTTAGATACGGGTTCTTGCTATGTTGCAAGACTCCAACCCCTGGGCTCAAGCAATCTTCAGTTTCCTGAGTAGCTGGGACTATAGGTATGCCCTATCGTGCCTGGCTTCATTTGTCTTTCTGAAGAGTATTCTACCTATTCTAAGACCTGTGCCTTTCCATATAAATTTTAGAAAAAGCTTGTATATGTTGGCAAAAACTTTGCTAGGATTTTTATAGAAATTGCATTAAACTTTTAAATCAATTTTTGGGGAAATGACATCTTCATTATGTCGAGTCTTTCAATCCATGGACATATGTCTCTCCATTTATTTAGTTCTTCACTGATTTCTTTCATCAGCATTTCATAATTTTCAACATACATATCTTGCATATGATATTTAAGTGTGTATCTAAGTATTTCATTTTCTTTGGAGTGATTGTAAATATCATGCATCTGCTTTTTTTTTTTTTTTTTTAAAGAGTAATAGACTTCATTTTTCAGCGCGGTTTTAGGTTTACTTTTTCATCAATTGTGATTTACGAGATAAGGAGTAGTTTAGTTTATTGTAGGTACCCGTGTTTCTTTTCTTTCTGTTTTATTTTCCTCTGGATGCCCCAATACAACTCCTTGTATCATTTCCTATTTAAAGAACTTCCTTTCGACATTCTTTAAAGGTAGGTCACTAGCCATAAATTCTTTTTTTCTTCATCTGAGAACGTTTATTTCCCCTTCATTTCTGCAGAACACCTTCGTTCACCCAACGTAGAATTCAAAGTTGACAGTTCTTTTATTTCAGCGTTTGTAAAAGATTGTGCCACTTCCTTATGCTCTGAATAGTTTCAGATGAGAAATTTTCATTTAAATTGGTGTGCCCCTAGAATGAATGTGTCATTTCTCTCTGGCAGCTTTCAAGATTTTCCTTTCATCTTCAGTTTTTACTGTGTCTTGGCATGAATTTCTTCGGGTTTATCCTATTGGACTTCACTCAGTTTCTTGTGTCTGTGGGCTTATGTCTTTTGCCAAAGCTGGGATTTCAGCCATTATTTCTTTGAGTACTTTTTAGTCTTCCCCCGTCTTTCTTTTGGGATGCCAATATACAAATGTTGGGTCTTTGCCATTTTTATATAGATCCTTGAAACTGTTTATTTACTTCTTTTAGTCTGTTTTCTCTCTGTTCAGATGGGGTAAATTCCATTATTCTGTCCTCAAATTTACTGATTTTTTTCCTGTGTCACCTCCATTCTACTATTGAGCCCATGTAATGAGTCTTTTTTTATTTTTGTTTATTGTATTTTTCAGTTTTATAACTTTCCTTTTTATACTGTATATTTCTTTGTTGAGATTTTCTATTTTTCCTTTGTTTCAAGAGAATTTGTAATTGTTTGTTGAAGCATTTTTATGATGGATGCTTTAAAATTCGTGTCAAATAATTACAAGGTTTGTTCTCATTCTTGTTGTTAGCATCAGTTGATTGATTGTTCTCATTCAAGTTGTGATCTTTGTATAATGGGTGATCTTTTATTGCATACTATACATTTTGGCTATGATGTTAGGAGACTCTGGGTCCCATATACATTTCTCATTTCAGTAGTCAGTCACCCTGATTAGGTTTAGCACAAAGAACCTGGCTTGTTTTTATGAGCTGTAGTTCCAATGAAAATTTAATTTTCAGAGTCCTTGCAATGTTATTTCAGTTTTCTTAGTTTATCTAGTGCCAGTGAGGCTCCCAGTAACCCTTCTGGCAGAATGGCAGAAGGAGCCTCCCTAGGCCGAGCTGCCTGGTGCTTCTGGGTAGGAAGAGGGAGTCTCTGGCCTGCGGGGATAAAGAGCTCTTCCAGGCTGGCCACTTGTGGCACAATAGCCCTTCCTTGATCAAAGGCTGGGGATCTGTTATGGTGTAATCACCTTGGTTGTTCCACCTGGACTCCTGGTGTCTCTGGGTGGGGAAGAGGAGTATCAACCCAGTAGGACCAGGGAGCTTCCCAGGCTGGGTACTTGTCTTGATTATGGTAGCTATACAATAAGTCATCAAGTTGGGTAGAACTATTTCTTCCATGTTATTTTCTTCATTTTCAATATCGTTTTATTTATTCTAGTTCCTTTGCCTTTCATGTACATTTTAGCATAAGCTTGTCTATATATACAAAAATTCTTGCTGGGATTTTGACAGAAATTGTGTTAAACCTGTATATCAATTTGGGGATAAATGATACCTTGCAGCCCAAGGTTGAGATGGGCAGGTGATGGGGGAGAGCACAGATGGAGACCAATGTTACTCTAGAGGAAAGTGAAGGAGCTAGCAAGATAGTGAGTGGACTGATGGGACTGGGGGGTGGTAAATGACATTTTAAGCGTGATGAGGCTCTAAGTCGAAGCCACTGCTGCTCCATGTGAAGTTATTTGCATTACTATGATGTCAACTGCTTCTCCATCAAAACAAAGCCACGTTCCCAAGGGCTTTGTATGACTGTGTGTATGTGTATGCATGTATTCTAAAAAATCAAAGTGCACCAACAGTAATGCACATATTCTTCTGCTGGGGATGTTGATAATGGAGAAGCTATGCATGTGTGAGGACAGCGGATATATGATAAATCTCTGTACCTTCCTCTCAATTGTGCTGTGAACCTAATGCTGCTCTAAGAAAAAAGTCTTTAAAAAATACAAATATGCAAATAGAAAGAACTGTGAATATCCTAGCGATAGGTAAGAGAGGCGAGGCAGTGCAAGCCTAATCATTCTGTTATATAAAAAGAGTTCAACTTACAGATTTTGATGCATAGATATTGGTTATTGGGAGAATTCAGAATTAAAATATGTTATTGGGATTTGAGAAGGTTGAAATAGTTGAAGACTTTGGCTTAATGGGATGGGCAAAGATTTATTAATACCCCACAAGCACAGACAACCAAAGCCAACATGGACAAATGGGATCACATCAAGTTAACCCATTTATGCTGGAGGTTGCAAATTTTTTGTGCGTGAGAAATCAGATCTTGGTGATGACCTTGAGCAGTAGGATATAAATGACTCCCACAAGCTTAGCGTTCCAATAGTAGAACACAAGGCATAAATGGGTTAAAAAGTTTCTTCTTCTACAGCAAAGGAAACAATCAACAAAGTGAAGTGGCAGCCCACAGAATAGGAGAAAATATCTGCAAACTGCCCATCTGACAAGGGAATAACCTGAAAATGTAAGGAGCTCAAACAACCCCATAGGAAAAAATCTAATAGTAAAAAAAAAAAAAGATGGCAAAAGATTTGAATAAGTAATACTTTAAGTCTTAGAATTTCAAAGATAAGATAACTCTGGAAATGAAACACCTCTCCTGCCTTCTTTGTTAATATTTACTGAGTGCTTTGCATGATGCCTTGCTCACAATAGGCTTGCACTAAATACACATTTCTGTTTTGTTTTGTTTTGTTTTGAGACAGGATCTCAATTTGTTATCCAAGGTGGAGTGCAGTGGTGTGGTCACAGCTCACTGCTGCCTTGAATTCCTGGGCTCAAGTGACCCTTCCTCCTGAGCCTCCTGAATAGCTGAGACTACAGGTGTGTGCCACCATGCCTGGCTAATTTTTACAATTTTTGTAGAGATGGAGTCTTGCCACGTTGGCCAGGCTGGTCTCAAACTCCTAGGCTCGACCCATCCTCCTTCCTCGGCCTCCCAAAGTGCTGGGATTACAGGTGTGAGCCACCATGCCAGGCCCATCTGTTGAATTACAAGAAATCAAAGCAGGGCTGAATTTCATATGTGGGGTCCTGAATGCAGACAGAGGTGTCGAGATGTACAGAGGATTGCAGCTGACCTGTGTGGTTTGCTGTCTTTCTGCTTTAAGAAAAACCAGAATTGGAAAGTCCCCCAAGGTCCTCCACCAGTTTGAAGAGAGAGTGGAGAAAAAGAGTGAAGTTAAGTCAGATGTGGCCCAATGATTTCTATTAGTGACAGAAAAGGCCAACGGGTGGGTGTGGATTGTGTCTGGGACTTGCTGCCTCTTCTCAGAGAGGCAGTGTCAACCCTTCCTATGTGGAGGGTTTACCTTACAAGTCAACTCCACAGACACTTTCTCATCTCTTTATCCCCTTCTTTCCCTTATTTATTCCCCATTCCAGGTTTTAGAACCAGTTTTCCAGTTTTTCATCCCTTTGAATGGATTAAGAGATAAGAGAATGAAGAGAAGGGGCATGGGCCAGCCCAATCCTATCACCACACACTTTCCAACTAAACTTCCAGGTCCTACCCAAAGGTACCTTCATCCCAAGCAAAGGTTCATCAGGCCAAATCTCAGTTCATCCAAAAAATTGGGATATCCTTTGGGGCTGATAGCAAGAATGAAAAGTTATCCTCAAGTTCTGACCTGCTTGTTGTTGTTTACAGCCTGCTAGGGGGCTGGAAAAGATGCGTTAACCCCTTCTTGGAGGGCTGTCACCTGGTGACACCTCCCAAGGGTGGGTGGCTCACACCAACAGATGCCGAACTTGTGGTGTCAACTCAAGACACAACCCACATATCATTGCCTGTCACCAGCCAGGTGGCTCTTCTTTATTAATTTCATATTTCAAGTCTTGATTGAGTTCCACAACCCATGAATAACTTGAAACCCCAGTTAGGGCATGGGTTGGTTATAAAAGCATTACAAACTTCTAAGTACAAATATGTACTTGACGCCACACTTAGCTATTCCAAGCCTCTTCCCCAGGCCTCTTTCCCACCGCGCCTCTTTCATTGCCTAACCCAGCTCCCTCTGAGAGATTCCTGCTGTTGGAGGAGGCAGGTGTGGGGAGCCCTGCTGTGATCCTCAGAGTTGACACTGTGGGTATTGCACAGGGCATCTGGGGATGGCGGTCCAGTCCAGTCTCTGACGTCCTCTACCTGTGAGGTGCTCGATCAATGACTCTCTTCTCTGGGCCTCGGTTCTCTCATCTGAAAAGTGAGGAGGTGGATGTGAGCTTCCTTCCTGCTCCAAAGTTAGATCAGTTCCGAGTCTTTCAATTCCAAGTAAAGGAGACTAAATAGCAGTAGCTTCAGCACCAAAAGGAATTTATTGGGAGGACTCTGGATGTCTCATGGACTCCAAGGAAGACCCAAACTCAAAGCCATAGAAAGTGGTTTGCCCTGGAGACCCCAGTAATGGGAGATTGTGGTGTTGCCTTCTCATCAATGTGACTCAGCTCCAGTGGCTTGTTGGCGGTGGATCTCCCAGTCTCCCACTTCGGTTTCTCAGAAGAGTGCATCTGATTGGTCCAGCTGTGTTCTCCTCCAGGCTAGTTAGCTCCGTCCCAGGAGACAGGATCATTCAGCACAAACAAGGCAGCGGAGAGGTGGGGTGGCTAGAGAGACGGATCATGCCTTAAGTGTCCGCTCCAGGTATCAATGATATTTATAAAACTCAACCCAAAAAGTTTCAACATAAATTGAGTGCATAACCAGGAAGGCAAAGCAGAGAAATTATTCATGTGGGATAGAGTAAATCAGGTACGGCTTCCTGTAGGAAGATGTTCCATTTTTTTTCACATGGCCCTATATACGTGGCCTGTCTAAAAGACCACCAGCTCTCACTTCTTCACAAGCCACCCTAATTCTTGCCACTTTTGAGTTCCCTGCCAAGGCCTGGCATCTCATCTGGTGGTCTCTAATTCTCTGGCTGTAGATATGTTCCTTGTGTCTGGTGTGACCTAAAGCCTGTTCCCTCTATTAAGCAAAGAACTTGGTGTATCCGCCTCAGTTTTCTTATCCACCACGCAGGAGAATCATTTCAGTGTTGAAGAACACTGGACGGGGTTAAATGAGACAATGTAATTAAGCAGTGTCTGCTGCCCAGCAGGCCCTTGCTGGACAGTGGCGAACTCCTGATGAAAGTCTCCAGGAGCCTGCAAAGGGCTCGCCCCTCCTCCCAGCACAGTGTTGCGGTCTGTGGGTCCAACGCTGGCCCTTGTGAGAAGAACACAGGAATGCATGAAGGGGGCAAAAGGTGAAAAGTGCAGCCACAGTAAGTGCTCCTCACACTCGATGGGTGTAGAAAACAGTGAACAGCTCTGGAAAATGCTTCGGCAGAAGCACATCAAGCTGACCTCGCTATTCCATCCTCAAATGACCCTGCATCCCCTTCCCACGTGTGGAAGTCCAGGAGTGCTCGTAAGAGCCCCAAAGTGGATATGACCCAGATGGCCATGAACCTGGGATTCCTGGATGGCCTCAGGAGGCCTTTGCACCCTCGGAGGTCTTTGCACCTGTATTGTATTTACGAGTTTTATTTTTGTGCCTTCTTGGAGGTGAGAGTTCATAGCTTCCATCACTTTCAAAAGGGGTCCAGGGATGTTATCATCAGTTAAGGTTCAGAATCAGTGCTCTATATTTAGGTCAGAGGTATGGTTTGGATGTGTGTCTCCTCCAAATGGCATGTTGAAGTGTAACCCCCAGTGTTGGAGGTGGGGCCTGGTGGGAGGTGTTGGGGTCACAGGGGCAGATCCCTTGTGAATGGCTTGGTGCCCTCCTTGTGGCAATGAGTGAGTTCTCACTCTCCGAGTTCATGCAAGATCCAGTTGTTTAAAAAGGAGCCGGCCCCACCTCTTGCTCCCTCCCTCACCGTGTGACACGCCTGCTCCCACTTCACCTTCTGCCATGAGTGAAAGCTCCCTGGGGCCTCCCCAGAAGCCGAGCAGATGCTGGCGCCATGCTTCCTGGACAGCCTGCAAAACCATGAGCCAAGTAAACCTCTTTCCTTTATAAATTACCCAACCTCAAGTATTTCTTTCTTTTTTTTCTTTTTTTTTTTTTAAGAGACAGAGTCTCACTCTATCATCCAGACTAAAGTGCAGTAGCATGATCATGGCTCACTGCAGCCTCAACCTCCTGGGTTTAAGCGATCCTCCTGTCTCAGCCCCCTGAGTAGCTGGAAACACAGGCGTGTGCCACATGCCCAGCTAATTTTTAAAATTTTCAGTAGAGATGGGTTCTCACTATGTTGCCCAGTCTGGTCTCAAACTTCTGGCCTAAAGTGATCCTCCTACCTCAGCCTCCCAAAGTGCTGGGATTACAGGTGTGAGTCAAAACAGACCAACTGTCAGTAATAGTAACTAATAAGAGAGTATTTTGATTCATCATTCTACTATATCCCAGGCTCGATTATCCCTTTTTGCATGTGAGGAAACTGAGGCTCTGAGTGCTAAGTGACTTGCCCAACGTTCCACAGCTAGAAAGTCAGAGTCGTCTCAGAGGCTGTCTTGGGGCTTTCTCCCAGAATGGGGAGGAGCTGCTGAGGGTCCTGGCCTGCAGCTTTCTGGAAGTCCTGGGCCTCTCCAGGCTCAGAGTGAAGACAAGTAAGGGTGGGGCCCCATGGACCTGGGGCACGGGTGCAGAAGCTCCAGATTGGGGCACAAGCTGTGAGGCGTGGCCTCCTTTCCTTCCTGTAGGGCTGGCAGAGAAGGAGCTGAACAAGGGGACAGAGCAGGCCCCTCCTTGGGCCCTGAGAAAGCCGGAAGAAGTGCAGCTTCCTGCAGCCCCTGTTCTGGCCTGCAGGTGGCCCTGGGGCTGAGGGTGCTCCTGGGGGCTCCTTGGCAGTGGCAGGCTGGGGACAGTGCCTGGCAGGCTGGGGACAGTGCCTGGGAGGCTGGGAGGAGGGAGAGAACATAGAGAAGAGTCAGGGCAAGTGCGGGCTCAAACTGGAGAAATGAGCATGTGTGGCCTGAGGGGCCAAACCTGCAGCACTCTACAGGGTGGGGGAAGGCCATGAGGCACACATGCTTAAGAAAACGACCTGGGGGTCAGGGCTGGCCCCAAGCCTGTGTTGAGTAGTGCTTGGAGAGAACTTGTAGTGGGGTGGGGCCCATGAGAGGGTGTGGAAGGGCTGAAGGCCAGGAAGTGATCTTTCCTCAGCCTTCAGCATCAGCCCCACCCTCACTGGAGGGCCGGGTCCTCTGGAGGGCAGGATGATGTCTGCCCTGGAGTAGGGGGGCCGCTGGGCTGCTCACTTGCCAGAGACTGAGAAGTGTGCTTCTCTGCCCCTCAGGCTGCACTCACAGGCTCAGGCTCTCAGACAGAGGGGGTGTGCCAGGAGGAGGAGAGAGAGGAGTGGAGGGTGCCCCAGGGCCAGGCTTCGAAGGGAGCTCAATTCAAGTTCTCTGGGGAAGCTGAGAGCCTTTTCTGCCCTCGGTGCCACCCTTTCCCGGCACTTTCACTGCCTCCTGTCCATAGAGCTCCTAGTCTGTCAGTCAGCAGGCTGAGTCAGAGATGCCCTGGGGCTGGGGGCCGCCTGCCAAAGGCTTGACTCACAGAGAGTGGCTGACTGGTTTCCCCAGCCTCGGCCCCTCCCTGTCACAACACGCCGAGGGGCTGCGGCTGGAGGAGCACTCAGAATCTCACTTCTGGGCATCTTGCTCCTGGGCAGATCTTCCCCGAGAGCAAGGGGCACGGGCCTCTGTCCTGGATACGCCAGCCTCTGGCACCTGGGCTTCAAACCACAGGCGAGGCCCTCTGCTCTGGTCTTCTCCCCAGCCTGAGCTGACATGAGCCATGTGTGTGCTCAGGCCCACTTGGTGACTGAATGAATTGCTCCCCTCAGTGCTGGCTTAGAGCCACCCCTGGCCCTCCCACCCCACACGGGACCTCGCAGGTGCCTGCTTCCTCAATTCACAAGAAAATTGGAAATGCTGTGCTAATTTTTGTGCTGTGGCTCAAAGAGGCATTTCCTAACAGCTCACTTTGTCCCACCGTTAGTTCTGGTTTGGCATTTTATTCCAACAAGAAATATCACAAACCTTCAAGCTAAGGAGCCGAAGCGCTGTGCAGTGTGCAGAAAGCAGAGCGCGGGCAATCTCAGCCAGCGAAGCGTCTGGGCAGGGAGCGAGGGCTTGGAGTCTGTGCCATGGAGTGGGCTTGTCACAGAAAGTTGCATTCCTGAGACAGGGGCTGGGGTCTCCCTGAGGAGGCCAGGCAGCCTTGCTCCAGGGCAACCCACTCTCCTGGGAATGGGAGGTGCCCCAGCAGCCAATTCTGGGCCTCTGCCTCGGAGCTGTCCAACAGCCAGTCCAGGACCCAGGTCCTCATGGTGTTGGCCCAGGGCTGCAGAGCCGCAGGTGCTGCGTGGAGGACTGAGGAGGGTGAGGCTGGGGAATACAGCGGCAGCTATGGAGAGCAAAGGCCTGGGCGCTTGCCGTCAGTCAAGACAAGGAACTGGAAACAAGTCCTCACTGGCTCAGAGCCGCCGAGTCCATCAGGGGCTCCCGCTTCAGGCAGTGCCAGCTCCTGGTTTCAAATGGGAGCCCCCCAGGTGCTCGATCTGGCTTTATCTCTTGGTCCTCAAATGTCTCTGTCTGGCTCCATTCTGAGTGGGGAGGACACTGGTGGGCCATGGGCTGCCCTGTCTGTGCAGCCCTGGTGGAAGGGGGACTTCTCTCTCTGGTCCTCATGCAACCCCACAGAAGAACGATTGGCTGTGAGTGGGGAGGGGTGACTAGATTAGCTGGTGGGGTTTTGTGCCTGCTCTGTTGGGTGGGGGTGGGGGCATGTGACTGTCAGCCTCACCATGAGGACCTGGAGAGAGGGGGCCTTCCCAGATGGCTGGGAGGGTTGGGGAGCCTCCACCAGGCCAGCCTGGGATGCTAGGCCTGCTGATCTGGGGGGCATTTGCAGCTCCGGCTGTGGTTCTGGCCTTCCTAACTGCACGCCTGAGGAAGCCCCGGCTCCTGGTGAGCCTCATTCCCCTGCCAGCCATCCTCCCAGGGGTTGGAAGTTGAGGGTCATGACAGACCTGAGGGGACTTAGGTGGGGGACTAGCAGAACTGGTGTCTCAGTAACAAAGATTCAGTCCAACCCAGGGCAGACAATGTCCCACAGGGAAACGTGTTTTCCCCTCCTGTCAAGCAAACGAAAATGTGACCCGGCTGCACACACTCACTGGGCTTTCGGGGGCATTTGATTACTGGGAAATTCCAGAGACAGGGACAGCTGGGCTTTGCGAGTCCTCATTGCTGGTCTCATTAGGGCAGCATGCAGGGACCCAGCAGGGCCAGAAATCAGAGCCTGGAAGGACTGAGACTGTGGGGCTCGTAGGCTGCATGGATAGGAAAGCATCTGTCCATTGCCTCTGATGGGGCCAGGCTGCTGCAGCTCTCAGCATGGGACACCCGCTCCATCTCTGCTACCTTCTTCCAGGACTGGTTGCCCTGGTCCTCAGGCCTCAGCACCAGGCTGAGGCTAGTTTTGGGGGAGCCCTGCAGGAGGCCAGCTCTCTCTCTGAGACGCCAGGTCACAGGGGGTCAGTTTGGGGCAAGTCAACCCCTAACTCCCACCTCCCTTTCTTGGCCCAGCCACAAACCACCCAATCCTGGACCAACCATCTTACCCCACCAGTTGCAAGGATGATGGAGCGGGGCAGATGGCACAGAGCAGCCAGTATTCTCAGACTTGGGTTTCATCAGCTCACTGGCTGGAGTCAACCCAGCATAGCTGCTGGGGAGGGACATAGGCCTGGTGGCAGAACACTGCTAAGCTTTGTCTACAGACTGGACATTCAGCCACTGGGGAGTGTCTGATGGTCACACTTAACTCCGACATCCAGCAAAAGGGCCCCACCCAGGGGAGTGGACACAGCACCCAGCCAGAAATCTGACTCCACTGAGCTCCACAGATTCCCCATTCGCTGCTGGCCTGCTTCTGCGCTCAGCCTGCCCGTGGGCTTTCAGATCTAAACTCTCGAGTCTCACCTCTCTCCAGCTTGGTTCCAGTCTCACCCTTGGTTCCAGCTGCGCCTTCCAGGCCCATGCCCAAAATAGGCCGGAAGAGCCTCTGTGAGCTCACAGGACTGTGAGGCCAGGGGGACACCGCCTGTTTCCACCCCAGTTCACGTGTGCTCCCAAGCCCAGCTTCAGTGGGCAACTCTTCTCAGCACCTGTGGTCCGTGTCTCTGCGCGAGGGATTTTGGCCTTGAGTTGACCTTCCTCAGTGCTCTCTGATTATGTGCTGTGAGTGGCCCTGCTTTCTCAAGGGGAGTGCCACCTCTTTATGCTCCTTGGGGACCCTTGCACTCCGTGAATGCATAACAACAGGGACCGTGGGGTTAAAATGGATGTGAACTTCACTTGGTCCAAATATCCCACTGAACAGAAGAAGCAACTGAGTCCCAGAAAGTAAAAGTGACCTCCTTATGGCCAACTGGCTTGTTTTGTAGAACTGTTTTGTAGAGCCTGGCTTTCTTGGCCCCCAGGCCGGTGTCTGCTGACTCACCCATGTGAGTGCTGAGTCAGTGAATGCATCTCCCGCTCTGAAACCAGCCACTCGAAGGATGTACATAAAATTCTCAGACCTTCTCACACAGGTCAGAATGGGCCCTCTCCTTGCATTTGTCCTTGCAAATGATATATTCCTCACTCCAAGGAGTTCATGCACAAGAGGTAATTTACTGCCTATCGGAGGAAACTGCCCCCGATTTCACGTAGGTTCTTTTCTATTTTCCCTAAGCATCAGCCAGTTTGAGAAATAAAGGGACAGACTACAAAAGAGAGAAATTTTAAAGCTGGGCGTCGGGGGGAGACATCACATTGTCGGTAGGTTCTGTGATGCCCCACAAGCCGCAAAACCAGCAAGTTTTTATTAGTGATTTTCAAAAGGGGAGGGAGTGTAGGAATAGGGTGTGAGTCACAGAGATCACGTACTTCACAGGGTAATAGAATATCACAAGGCAAATGGAGGCAGGGCGAGATCACAGGACCACAGGACCCGGGTGAAATTAAAATTGCTAATGAAGTTTCGGGCACGCATTGTCATTGATAAACATCTTATCAGGAGACAGGGTTTGAGATCAGACAACCGGTCTGACCAAAAATTTATTAGGCGGGAATTTCCTCTTCCTAATAGGCCTGGGAGCGCTATGGGAGACTGGGGTTTATTTCATCCTTACAGCTCGACCATAAAAGACGACCGCACCTAATGGGGCCATTTTAGAGGCCCACCTTCAGGGACGCATTCTCTTTCTCAGGGATGTTCCTTGCTGAGAAAAAGAATTCAGTGATATTTCTCCCATTTGCTTTTGAAAGATGAGAAATATGGCTCTGTTCCGCCCAGCTCACCGGAGGTCAGAGTTTAAGGTTATCTCTCTTGTTTCTTGAACATTGCTGTTATCCTGTTCTTTTTTCAAGGTGCCCAGATTTCATATTGTTCAAACACACATGCTCTACAAACAATTTGTGCAGTTAACGCAATCATCACAGGGTCCTGAGGCGACATACATCCTCCTCAGTTTACGAAAATGACGGGATTAAGAGATTAAAGTAAAGACAGGCATAGGAAATCACAAGGGTATTGATTGGGGAAGTGATGAGTGTCCATGAAATCTTCACAGTTTATGTTCAGAGATTGCAGTAAAGACAGGCATAAGAAATTATAAAAGTATTAATTTAGGGATCTAATAAATGTCCATGAAATCTTCACAATTTATGTTCTTCCGCCATGGCTTCAGCCAGTCCCTCGGTTTAGGGTCCCTGACTTCCCACAACAACTGCCTGGTGTTCAAGGCAGTCCAGGGAGGAGTGAACCACAGGCCCAAGAGACGCCAATCTGGTGCCAATCTGGCTGGCCACAGGGGCTTCTGGAGACTGAGGACCCTGGAAGAACTGGTTAACATGGCTCCTCTAGGGCAGGGGTGGGATTTTCTGGCACAGGGAGGGACAGTTGCTTGAGACTCAAAAGAGGGAGAAGGGGGAGAACCAACATCTAGCCTAGAGGACACAGGCATTGTGAAGATCTGAGTCTAGAAGCTGATTAGGATCTTTTTTTTCAACTTGTTACATTGTATGTGTACAGGTTAAGGAATAACAATGAAGCAAATACTCTGTTTTTTCTTCTGTTTCAATACCCAATGAAGCAATTTCTCAGGATGAGAAAATTAACTCTGCCAGGCCTTGCACCTGCCCAGAACAGCTCTCTTTGGTTGCGTCTTCCCAACTTCTGAGGCCTCCCAATTTCGAGTTTATCACTCAGTTTCCCACCTTGGAATACAGCCTTAAGCAAAAGAATATTTCATGTTGCCTGCTATTTTATTTTATTTCTGTGGGACAGAGTCTTGCTGTGTTGCCTAGGCTGGTCTCGAACTTCTGGTCTCAAGGGCCTCAGCCTCTTAAAGTGCCGGGACTCTTGCCATTTTATAAATGGAATCGTTTTTCTTTCACTTGCTTCTTCTGCACCACGTTGTGAGTGTTGAGATTCCTCCATGTTGACATGTGGAGTTGTGGTTCATTTTTTCACTACTGTATAATAACCCACCATCTATAATAAAAATACTTGGATTTATCTATCCATTCTACAGTTAATGAATATTTGCTTGTCTTCAGTTTTTTTCTACCATAAACAGTGCTGCTGTGAGCATTCTTACCTCTTGATGAACAAATTCTAGTTTCTTTAGAAGGAGCTTGTAGGATGTGTATGTGTTCAGCTGTAAAAGATGATGCCAAATTATGCCCCAAGTGTGTTCTTCCTGTTTGGTTACTGCTCCTGATGGTGTCCCTAATACTTCAGTCAAGAACATAATTTAAACTATGTGGTCTGGAGAGTTAGTTGGATGATGGGCTTCAGTGAAGGAAAGGGGCATTTGGCTCTCAAATGTCCTACACCATGAAATCCCTGGGGCCTGTGGCAGCACCCGGGAGAGGCAATGCAGGTGCCGGGGAGGTCCGTGCAAGCGAGAAAGCACATCCATACGGTGGCCCCATGGCTGGCAGAGGAAGGGCTAGTGGAGCTGGGGAGCTCACTGGCTCACTTCTAGGTGGAGCAGGGACGTTCAAATATCCCCATTCAGAAAACCCTTCCACACAGTGATGAGACACCCCGCACCAGGCTCATTAAGCCATAGAAGCCTCTGCTCACCATGAACCTCACAGACCCCAGTCAGGGAAAATAAAGCTAACGCATAGCTCAACTTTTGTCTTCTCCCTCCTCTGGGAATGAAAGGTTTGAACAGAAACCTTCACAAGCTCTGACAGAACCAATGTCAAATTCTAACACTGAGCAAACAGAAGTAAACAAACATTTATTGAAAAGGCCAATGAGTTCAAAAGAAGGAGATGGTATCAGATATTTATTTTCACCTAACAAATACCTCAAACTTTGGTGGCCTACAATAATAATAAACAATAATAAACATAATAAAATAAAACACCATGTTCTCTCACAATATTAGTGGGTCAGGAATTTGGGAGAGGCTTGGTGGTCCTGGCCCAGGACTCTCATTGGGTTGCAGTCTTCTGACCTGTTGGTTGGGGCTGCAGTCATCCAAAGGCTCTGTGGGTTGGAGGACCTGCTTCCAAGGTGACTCGCTCACACAGCTGGAACGTGGTGCTGGCCATTGGCAGGAGGCTTTATTTCCTTCCCAGGTGGATCCCTCCACAGGACTGCTTGAGTGTCCTCATGACATGGTGGTGGGCTTTCTGGGGAGTGAGAGATCCGAGAGCACAAAGATGAAGCTGCAATGTCTTCTGTGACCTCCTAGCATCAAGGGTCATGCATCATTACCTCTACATAATGGTGAGACTCTTGGTCTCACAGATCAGCCCTGGTTCATTGAGAGAGGGCAACACAGAAGGGCAGGAATGGCAGGAGGTGGGAATTTGCAGGGACATCTTAGAGGCTGGCTTTGCAAGGACAAATCCAGGGAAACTAAACAGATGCGTTCCCTTTGGAAAAGAGTTACTGCAAGAAACCAGAGAAAACAGAACAAAAGGAAATACAATGTGATACCTCTTGTTAGAGTTTTTACAAGATTCATTGCACCCATGAGAAGAAACAAATCTCAACTGCAAAATTTTTTTGTAAAGGAAAAGGTTAAAATATGAAAAATCACTACTGTAAAATTTAAAAAGTGTAAGCCATGAATAACATAAAATCAAATGAAATAAGGAAAGTAGCTTGAAAATTTCTAAGAGATATCAGAAGAAAATTCTAATGGAGATGGGGGAAGACATAAAAGCCATGTTAGGAAGAAGAAGAGAACAAAGAAAATGGAGAAAAAAGATTCACTCATCCATTCTTTGCTTATTCATTCATTCAACATTTATTTAGGGAGCTTATTTTGAGTCAATGGAGCTTTTATAGACTCATTAAAGTCTCTATTTTAAATTTTCATTTAATTATAATTTACTATACCCATACTCAAATAAATAATAGAAGAAAATTTCTCTGATGTGAAGGAAGATGTCAGCCATCAGATGTAAGGGGCAACATTAATATAAAAGGACTCATCAAGGCTTAAGGATAAAGGAAAACAATTTTCAGTATCTAGGTAGGAAAGAAACAGAGAGAGAGAAAAATCAGGTCATCCCAGACTTCACTTGTGCAACTTTAAATTTCAGAAAACAATGAAGCAATGTCTGCTGAATTTCGAGTGACAACAATTGTGAAAAAATTCTATACATAGCTATGATGTCGCTCATATATAGGTCAAGAAAGAGGCATTTTCAGACATGTAGGAACTCATGTAATTCTGCTTTAAAAACATTACCCCAAAAGATCCACCAATCAACCGAGAAATGAGTCAAAATCAAGAACCAGAGAATGAAAGAAGTGATACAAAAGAAACAGCCATGAGTAACTCAGCCAGGAAGGAATAGTTAATGTCTAAATCATCATTTGGAATATGGATACAAAGCCAAATGCAAACATTCAAAATAATTCTTGAAGGAAAAGAACATAAATCCAAAATAAATAATTATTCTGACAAAACTTTAAGGTGAGGAAAAGATAGGCAAAGAAAGAAAGAAAGAAAGAAAAATGTCCTAAATTTCTCATCTTACTTCAGTACAGTTATAGATATTATTTAATTATTAAAATTGGTAGAATTTTTTTTGCTTTAAATATTTTGTTTTATTCTACAGGTATACATAACTTTCAAATTACTATAGAAAAATACACCAAAATATTTAAGCAATTAAGTAAATTCAGAAAAAGAAACAGGAAGGAAATATAAAAACAAAGTACAAAATAATATTACAGAAACAATGCTAAACATACAAGTTTCACCACAAATATCAACATATGAGATTCTACTGTGAATAGATGAAAATTTTTAGATTATGTAAAAAAATCAAAGTATATACTCTTTCAGAAACATACAGTGGAAACATGCAAAACAGAGAAGTGGGAAAATATTATACTCAAAATGCAAACAAAAAGAGAGCAGAAATACATATTAGTAGTGCATGAGAAATGCAAATAAGAGAGTGCTATTTTATATTGATCAAAATGACAATCCACAATAAAGATACATCATAAACTTTTATGAACCAAGTAACATCTCGTTAAAAAATAGAAAGCAAAAGCTATTATATAAAAAAAAATCCATGAATCCATAGTGGGGATTTTAAACTTATGGATCTCTGTATTTGACAGGTCAAGGTGTCTTAAAAGAAGAACTAGAAAAATCAAATCACGTAGACCTAAAAGCAAAAGGGAAAAGTGGAGACAGTGAGGTTCCACCTGAACAGGACAGAATCACCTTCCAAACCTGTCCTGCCACCTCCAGATCCTCAGCTTAGTCTGAGATTTTGCTCTGGGATTAAAGTGAGCTCTCACCTTAGGGCTTTTGCACCGGCTTTCCCTCAGTTTCAAACAACCTACCCTCTGCCCTCACCCCATATTCACCTGACTCACCTGCACTTCATTCTCCCGCTTGAAAATCACATCCTCAAAGAGTCCCTCCCTACCTCGCTCCTGGTAGGATTTTCCCTGCCTGCTCACCCCTGCTTCAGGCCATCACAGTTTCCTTGTCCTGCTTTATTTATTTGTTTTTGCACATAATCATCACCCCTGGACGTTATATTATTATATAAGCATTTGGTTTGTTCACCTTTATATCCCTCAGTACTAGGCGGATTGCTTGGCACACAGTAGGTGCTCAGCAGTATAATTCATGAATGAATGAAATTTTAAAGACACAACATTTAAAAATTCTGCAAGTTCCTTGTGTTGCTCTAGATCAGTGGTTCTTGATGGGGGTGATTCTGTCCCCAGGGGACATTAGGCAATGTCGAGACATTGTTGGTTGGGAAGAGGGAACATTGCTTCCAGCAGCTAGTGGGTAGAGACTGGGATGCAATTAAACAACCTCCAATGCACAGGGCAGCCCCCATAGCAAAGAATTACCCAGCCCAAAATGTTAGTAGTGGGGAAATTCTGCTGTAGTGCCATTATTGCCTAAGTTGTTCAGGAAGATACCTTCTTAGGATTTTTAAACATTCTAAATAGGTAATAAGATGTAAACAATCTAAGTTTTAAGTGGTTGCCTGGGGACTAGGGGGGTAGGGAGCGGGGGGAAGAATAGGGGATTGTTCCTATTCCTAACAATGCTGGATGGTTAGGGCAGTGAAACTAATCAGAATGATGCTATGATGGTGGATACATGCTGTAATACAGTTGACCCTAGAACACCATGAGTTTGAACTTAGAGGGTCCACTTATGCACGGCTTTTTTTCAACCGGGGCAGATAGAGAATACAGTATTCTAGGAAGGTACACTTTTTGTATAAGTGGGTTCTGCAGGGCCAACTGCAGGACTTGAGTATGTGTGGGTTTGGCGTGTGGCAGACAGTCCGGGAACCAATCCCCCACATATGCCAAAGGACAACCGTACATTTGTCAAACCCATAGAATGTCCCACATCAAGAGTGACCCCTAAGTAAGCTATGGACTCTGGGTGATGTGTCTGCGCAGGTTCATCAGCTGTAACAAATGTACCACTGGGAGGGGGATGTTAATAATGGGGGAGGCTGTGCATGTGTGGGGGCAGGGGTTCTATGGGAACGCTGTGCTTTCCATTTTATTTTGCTGGGTACCTAAAACTGCTCTAATAAATAAAGTCTAGAAAAAAAATCAGAGTTTTACCAAGGCACGTAGATTCTAGTTCGTTGATGCTCTAAGTGTGGTCCTTGAATCAGAAGCCTCAGCATCACTAGGAGTGATGCAGCCTCTCAAGCCCACGCCAGACCTGCTGAGCAAGAACCCGGAGCTCAGTAGCCTCCCAGGCACTTCATAAACATGTTGAAGTCTGAGGACACTGGTCTCATTCTTGGCTGCTCATTAGCATCACCTAGAGAAAGCTTTAAAATCCCACGGCCCAGGCCACACCCCAGACCAATTAAATGAGAATCTGGGGGCTGGGACCCAGACATCACCATTTTCTAAAACACCCCAGATGATTTCAACTGTGCACCCAAAGTTGTGAACCACTGTTTGACACCATATGCCAAAGTCACAAAAGAGTTAGAAAAACAAAAACAAAAACCAAAACAACAGCAGCAACAACAAAAACAACAACAAAACCCTCTGGTTTTCTGACTCTTGGGCCCTTACCCACATCAAGGGTCTAAACACCTGTGAGAGACTCTGGGAGGGGGAGTTTCTTCACAGAGCCTCAGCGTCCTTCTTGCCCAGTGTCCACCGAGAAGGCCTTGGGAGATCTTGAGGGACACGAGAGCTTGAGGGACACAGTGCGCTGGGGTCTGACACCTGTCTGTGGGGAGGCTGGGAAGCAGGGCCGAGGGACACTGGCCACTGGTGGAGAGACATCTGCTTCCTCCGAGGGCCGGTGTGGACGTGCCCATTTGTCATGGACCAGGGAGAGGCGTGCGGAATGACAACTCATCAACCGGACTAGAGCCGTTGAAAATCCTGCCCAGGCCACCTCCTGAAAGGGCTCAGGGACCTGCCAGTGACAGGCAGGCAGCATGGAAATGGGAAGGGCACTAGAGGTCACTGCCGCTCCCCCTTCATAGCAAGCGCAGTCAGGTGCTCCCTGCGTGGCTTCTGAGGATGCTATGAAAATGTGCCACAAGGAAGTCACAAGGCCGTCTTACTTAGCTCAGTCCCCGGCAGGTGGAACGCGCCTGTCTCCTTATGTCTCCTCCTGCCCTGCCCCCTCACTCGGGCCCCAGCCTTGGAGGGTCAGATGCCACAGCTATTGGGCTGGGGGAGGCAGAGAGGTGCCAGTAAATGAAAGGGGGAAGCAGAGGCACGCAGAGGCCCCTGCCCGAGTTGCCCCCGCACCACTCCACTGTAAGCAGCTTAGATAGGGGAGAATATCGAAACCAGGTTGGAGGATTTTATTGTCACATGGGACTGGAATACTTTTAATTACGGAACTGAGTTAGTATTTGGCACTTCAAGCAATTTTTATTATCTAGAAGTAAGATTTAAAAAGCAATGCTCTGGCTGGGCACAGAGGCTCATGCCTGTAATCCCAGCTCTTTGGGAGGCGGAGGCGGGTGGACTACTTGAGGTCAGGAGTTCGAGACCAGCCTGACCAACATGGCAAAACCCTGTCTCTACTAAAAATACAAACATTAGCCAGACACGGTGGCGCCCACCTGTAATCCCAACTACTTGGGAGGCTGAGGCAGGAGAATCACTTGAATCCAGGAGATGGAGGTTGCAGTGAGCCAAGATCATGCCACTGCACTCCAGCCTGGGCGACAGAGCAAAACTCTGTCTCAAAAAAAAAAAAAAAAAAAAAAAAAAAAAGCAATGGTCGTTTTCAACCCAGAGTTTGAGGACTAACATCTCCCAATGAATTAAGTTTAAAGGGAAGGTGGCAGGTGTTGTGGGTTGAATGTGTCCCTCCAAAACTCAGGTTGAAACTTAATCCCCAATGCAATAGCATTAGGAGGTGGCTAGGTCATGAGGGCCCTGTCCTCGTGGATGGGGCTCAGTCCTTCTAGAAGGGCTGTAGGGAGGCTTCCAGTCCCTTTGCCCTTCTGTGTCCCTGTGGTGTGAGGACACAGCAATAAGCTGCCATCTCTGAAGTATCAAGTCGTGGAGATTTTCTTCTTTCTGTTTCAAGAGATATGAGGGGTCTTCAGTGAGAGACAGAGGTAGGAGAAGAATGGGGAGAAAGACTCTGAGAGCAACCCAAGGCCAGGGGGCATGTCCCAGGGGGGCAGTGGAGAGGGCTTCTCACAGTGTATGGGGGCCATGGTTTATCGTGGGCTGGGACGTCTGCTCCAAGGATTAAGCAGGGGGCACACTGTACTGGCCGTGCACACGGAGCTTTGGTTCCGAGTACTGTGCGGCTGCCCACGGTCTTTTTCTAAGCAAGAAAAAGCCATTGAGCCAGCAGTAATTAGGTTCTGTTTTCTCTGAAATTGTGTCAGGATTAACTCATTCTCCTCTTTCCCATGCCCCCAGTTCTAATGTCACACCTTGAGAGAGAAGAGCCAGCAAGGAGCAGGCCCACTCTCAGCAGAGGGTAGGGGTGAGGGGGCTATGGCAAGTCCGGCTGATATGAATGACATTCAGATACCTGCTTAACCTCTTTGCCTTTTCTTGTTCAATAAGCAGATAAAATTGGGACCCCAAGCAGCCAAGCAATGCTCCTAGAGGGGTCCCTAGCATCCCACCCACACTGCCTGCCACAAGTTTCCCAAGGGAGAGCTTCCAGGCCACCCTCCAGTCACATCTTGAGACAGGGCAGGAGGACAGCATGGGAGGCTCACCATTTCCTCATGCGCTTGATCCCCTAGCCCCATCCCCTAGCCTCTTTCCCTCTTTAAGTTTTCTTCTCTCTCCCGTGCAGAGAGAGAGTTGTGTTTGTCTGGCTCGTGTGAGTGGTTTAAAGACACTTTGCCTGCTGTCCTTCGGTTTCGCTCAGGGGTCCTCTGGGAGAACTCTACAGAAGATGCACATTCCTTTCAGCCACAGGTCAGAATATTTTCAGCTTAGATCAGGTTCCCAGATAAGTTCTCAATCACTTCTAAAATGCATACATTGTACAGGTCACATTTTCTCACCAGAATTCAAGAAAACTAGACATTAAGAAGCAAAGGGTAAGCAAAGAACAGAAACATCAGGCCACTTGGGGAATTAAAAACTATCCTTCTAAGTAGCTCTTGGGTCTGAGAGGGAAGACAAACATCAATCACAGTTTGTAAGGAACATAATGATAATGATGACAACACAGAAAAATAAATGAGCCAAACATTTATTTCCAGAAGCCAGAAAAAGAGAAAAGCAAACAACTACGATCACCACCCACACAACCCAAAGAAACAAGAAGCTCATAACAAAACCCCTAGAAATTAATGGATTAGAAAATGGGAAACATAAATTGATAAATAAACCCAAGGTCCCTGGCTCTTTACAAAGACCAATGAATTAGAGAAACCATTGGCAAGCCTAATCAAGAGAAAGAGAACATATGAGCGTGCAGAAATGAGAAATGATGCAAAATAAATGAAAAATATAAAGAAATAGGTTTCATAACTTTATGCTAATAAACTTGAAAAAATCAGTGAAGTGGATAGTTTTCTAGGAGAATAGAAACGACCACATTTGACTGAAGAAGTGGTAGAAAACCTGAATAGACTAACCATTCAAGATGAAGCTGAAAAAGTTGTAAAAAAAAAAAAAAAAAAAAAAAGTTTTAAACCCAGACTGTTGGAGGGGCAAGTTCTTTCAAAACTTCAAGGAACAGATCATCTTTGGGCTGTTTAAATAGGATTAGTGCATGGAAAAAGACAGGCAGCTTCCCAAGTCATTTAGCTAAGCTGGCATTGCCTGGACACTAAAGCCAGCCAGCCAGATGGGCAAAAGAGAAACTGCAGGCTAATTTCGCAAATACAGACTCGAAATATTATAAAAGTGAATGAAGCCATGTGTTTAAAATAATAATACACTAATAATACACTATGTATAAGCAGAGCTGATTCTAGCAATGCAAATGTTGTTCAATACTAGGAAATTTCTTAATGTGATCAATTTTTTTAATAGATTAAGGCAAAAAAAAAAACCACATTATCATTGCCATAGAGTGTCAAGAGCTTGAATTTCGAAAGCCTGAGTTCAAATCCTGTCTTTTTCACTTCCCAACTCTGGGTCCTTGGTCAGTTCTTCTACTGTATAATTTGAAACGTAATTTTTAATAGTCAGGGTCATGTGCAGGTTACATTAAATGGTAAATTTAAAATTCTTGGCACAGAGCTGGGCACAGAATCAGAGCTTAGTAAATCAGAGTTTTAGAAAAATTTCAAGACATTGCAATTCATTCCTGGTGATGTTTTTGTGAATAAAAGAATTAAAGAACGCTCTTTTAACATGATAAAGGAAATCTCTCTCAAACTAAAGCAACATTATCATTAACTGTGAAAAATCATTGGCATCCAAATTAAGTTCAGGAACAAGACAAGGATGCCTCTATCTTCACTATTACTTATTAATGTTCTGAAAGTTCTAGCAATGGAAATAAACAAGAAGATAAAATAAGGGTCATAAATATTCCCAAGAAGGAAATATTATCACCATCATTTTCAGGGGATATGGTTTTGTAATTTGAACATCTCAAAAAATCAACTGAAAATGTCGTATAGCTAACAAATGAGTTTAGTGGGGTAGCAGTCACAAAATACAGAAATATAGTTATAAAAACCAATATCCTTCCTATGATAATGAACAAGCCATTAGAACATATCACGGAAATATATTGCATTTACTACAGCAACAAAATTCATGGGAATTAACTTAGCAAGGAATGCGCAAGATTTATGTAAAGAAAATGAAAAGACTTTACAGAAGAACCCAAAATGAGACTTGAACAAAAGGAGAAACAAGCATTTTTTTTCTAGGAAGAATCAACAAAAATTATAAGATTTTAATTTTCCCAGTTAATCAATAAGTGACTAAATATCAATCAAAATTTCAGTGAGTTTTTTTCTCTTAAGGAAATCTGACAAAATTATTGTAAGTTTCTCTGGAAGAATAGAAGCATGGGGAGGAAAATGTTGAAGAGCAAGGTGGATGGGCTTGCCCTACTAGATATTAAACATAACTAAAGGCTACAACAATTACAGTGTATTTACTGGTGAAGAAAAACAGACAGATGGATTCATGAGACAGACTAGGAAGGCAGGAGCAGATCCAAATATGTGCGAGATTTTATTATTGATTATGGAGATATTTCATAGAATTGGAAAATAAGTGTTCACTAAATAATGGCTAAGTTGGATTCCTTCCTCGAAACATATGTAAACAGAAATCTTAGCTTTTGATTACATATATGCATTTTCATTTTTAACTCTTTCCTTTTTTGAAAAGATTTTAAATTTACCAAAAAAGTATAAGAATAGTATAATCAATTCCATCATAGCCTTAACAAAGACCCACTAATTGTGGACATTTGACAATTGTTTTATTATATACCCACAGATGCATATACATATATATATACACACACACATATATATACACACATATATACACACACATATATATACACACATATATACACACATACACATATATAATATATACACATATATACATATATACACATATATACATATATACACATATATATACCTATACATATATATACATATACATATATACACACATATACATATATATACACATATACATACATATATATATATATATATATAAAATTTCCTGTAACATTTGAAAGAAAGTTGCAGGAAACTTGTATCTCTTACCCTTAAAGACTTCAGTGAGATTCTCCAAAGAATAAGGACATCCTCTTATGTAACCACCAATGGTCAAATTCAAAATTTTTAGCATTGATACAATAGTATTATCTAATGCTCAGTCCCAATTCAAATTCTGCAGTTTCCCAATAATAACCTTTATAGGCCTCCCTTCTCCCCAACCAGAATTCAATCTAGGATCATTCATGGCATTTTGTTGTCACGTCTTTTGTTCCTTTTATCTGGTGTACTTTCTCAGCCTTTCTTTGTCTTTTGTGTCAGTGATATTTTTTGAAATACACAGGCCAGTTGTTTTGAAGAATCTCCCTCAATTGATGTTTACCTGGCATTTCATACTTGGAATCTGGCTATGCATTTTTGCAGGAATACAGCATGACACGTGTGCCCTGCTCAGTGCCTCACTTCAGGAGGCACATAGGAAGCTTGTGATCCAGGTTCATTCCATGATTGGTGTCTAAATTAATTAACTAGGATTATTGTAAGGTGGTGATTTTCTAAGTCTATCATTCCTTCTGTATTTATTAGTTGGCATTTTATTATGAGGAAGTTTTCTCTCTCTTCTCCCTTCCCTCTCCTTCTCTTTTTCTTTCTATCCTATCAGTATGGATTCTTTTGTTATTCAATGGGCCATCACCCGTTACTGTCTTTATTCATTTTGATGCTCCAATTGTCTCAGATTTGGCCCATGAGTCCTGTGCCCTTTAGACCCATTCCCATCGTTGTCTAAGCACTTCTTTTCTTTCTGGCACAACAAGATGCTCCAGGCTTATTTTGTACTTTCCCTATGCCAGACTTGGAATCAGCCATTTCTCTGAAGAACTCTTGTTCCTTTGATTGGGAAATGGTATTGAGAAATGAAGGTCTGAACATAATTAAATATAAAAAAATTATGCCATAAAAGAAACATAGATGAATAGTTATATGTCTCTGGGTGAGAAAGGACTTTTAAATATAATATCAAAGGCAAAAACCATAGACTTTATACACAAGTAGGAGCTTCTTTAGGAAATTATCATTTAAAAAAAATTGAGATGTCCCAGGGCTCATCCCTTGGATTTCTTCTCTTCTCTGTCCACGCCCCCATCCTGGGTGATCTCATCAAATATCATGGCTTTCAGGATGATCTATGTTCTGAGGATTAGCAAATCCACGTGTTCCGCCTGGACCTCTCTTCTGAACTCCACATCTGTGTGTTCAGCTGCCCATCTCTAGTTGGATGCCCACTACGCATCCCAGTTGCCTCTCTCCCCTCCCAACTTACTCGTCCCAGTCTTCTTCATAGCAATTAGTGGCAAATCTATCTTTCCAGAGGCTGGTCTTGAACTCCTGGTCTCAAGTGATCCTCTCGGTTTGGCCTCACAAAATGTTGGGATTACAGGCATGAGCCACAAAGCACAGCTAACAATTTAACCCTAAATGAATCACGGACCTAAATGTAAGAGGTAAAATGATAAATCTTCTAGAAAAAAAAGAGGCAAAAGTCTTTGGGACATTGGCTTACATAAAGATTTCTGAAGCAGGACACAGCAAATATGAGCCATAAAAAAAGAAAATGGATAAAACGAGCATTAGCAAAATGAAAACATGTTTCTCTTCAAAAGATATCATTAAGAGAATGAAGAAACCAGCTACAGATTGGGAGAATGTATTTGTTAAACATATATCTAAACAAGGACTTGTATCCAAAATATTTTAAGAACTCTTACAACCTAATAATAAGACAAATAATCCAGTATGTTTTAAAAAGGAGCAAAATTTTAAAGAGACATTTCACCGAAGAAGACATATGAATGGCCAATAAACACGTGAAAAGATGCTTGACCTCACTATTCTTCAGGGAAATGCAAATTAAAACTACAATGAGATGGAATTCTCATTAAATTTAATGGAATTAAATTTAAAAGATTGATAATATCAAGCATTGTTGAGAACAATCAACTAAAAAGATGATAGATTACTTGGGAATGTAAGACACTCACTTTGGAGAACTGTATGGTTCACATTTATCATACAACCCAGCCATTCTACTCCTAGGTATTTACCCAAGAGAAAAAAGATTTGTCCACTCATACTCGTAGGTGAAGAAGGTTCATAGCCAGTTTATTCATAAGTGGCTCAAACTGGAAACACCTCAAATGTCTGTTAACTGGCAAATGGGTAAGCAAAACGCAGAATTTCCGTGTAATATTACATTGCAATAAAAAAGAACAAACTATTGATACCTACAACAATATGCATGAATCTCAAAAACGTTATGCTAAGTGAAGGAAATAAAACATAAACGATGACATTTATGTGATTCTATTCAGATGAAATTCTAAAAAAGGGAAAATTATAGTGACAGGAAGTAGATCAGTGGTTCCCTGGGGCTGGGGCAGCTACGGAAGAGGGTTAACACCAGGGACAAAGCGAGATGTTTAGGGTGATGGAAATGCTTTCTATCCTGATTGTGGTAGTGGTTTCATGACTGCATAGAATTGCCAAACTTCTCAAACTGTACACTGAAAGTGAGTGAATTTTAGTGCATACATATTTTATCACAATATAGCTGATTTTTTTAAATGAAGGAAAAAGTATTAAAATAATAGGAAGGACGTTAAACAAAAAAATTTTCAGCTCCTCTGCAAGATTCAAGATGGGAGGAGGTCAACAGAACCTCAGAGGCTATTGTGCCCCTAGACGGAGAACACAGTGCTTTTGGTGAGAAAGCGGTTGTAGTGTTAGTCTCAGGTGAAGCCGTCAGCTGCCCTACCCACTCCTCCATACCTCCCCGACATGATTCTTAGGAAAAATGCTGGCCAAGCGCAGTAGTTGGCGTCTGTAATCCCAGCACTTTGGAAGGCCAAGGCAGGCAGATTTCTTGAACTCAGGAGTTCGAGACCAGCCTGGGCAACACAGTGAAACCCCATCTCTACAAAAAGTACAATTTTTTTTAGCTGGGTGTGGTGGTGTGTGCCTGTGGTCCCTGCTGAGTTGGGAGGATCACTTGAGCTCAGGAAGTCCAGGCTGCAGTGAGCCATGATTGCGTCACTACACTCCAGCCTGGGGTGTCAGAGTAAGATCCTGTCTCAAAAAAAAAAAAAAAAAAAGCTGGCCTACACAACTTTCCCCATTCAATGATGACGAATAAAGAGAAAGGAATCATCAATAAAATGGTTTCAACAGAGAAATAAGAAAAGAGACACAACAATTAAAAAGCTGATGAAAAATGCATATCAGAAAAAAATTACCTTGGGAGATGGAGAAACATTCCAGAAAAATATACTCTGTCCATCATCTCAGAGGAACGGATGAAAATATAAACTCATAAGGGGAAAAGGAGGAACTCAGAGAAGAAATAAAAGAGACCAAAGAAGCAACAATAAGAGAATGAACAGAGATAAAAAGTGAGCTGACAAAGCTCAAGTAACAGACATGTAAGATAATAATAAACATGTTAGAAATACAAGAACCTTACTGGCAATCACAAGAACAGAACTGATTTTTGAAAGCGGAATAAGATGCATAGTAGACAAACCCAAGAAAAACCCCATAAAATGAAACAGAGAAGAGCAAAGATAGAAAAATAGAGGTAGAAGTTCAAGACAGGCAAAAGAAATCCAGCATAAATGCAACAGTTTTTTTTTTCCAGTGGAAGTAGACAAAATAAATGAAGTCGAAAAAAATTCAAAAAGAAAACTGTCCTATAAAGGAGGACCTGAATGTACAATTGGATAGGGTGCATTATGTTCCAGAAAGAACATATGTTACTGAAGTAATTAAGTAAGAAAGCTAAAGAATCATATGGGCATCCATTAAGTATGAAAGCTAAAGAATCATATGGGCATCCAGGCAGAAAAAGCAAGTCACTCACAAGGAGGAAATATTATCAACTGGCCTCAGACATATTCCTCAGTATTAGCAAAAAGTAGTGGCGTATCGTCTACAGAGATCTGAGAGAAGCATGACCCAACATGTTTTCACTCAGCCAAACTGTCACTCAAGTCTAAAGGCAATGGTCATTCACAAATACGAAAATATGCTGGCACTGTTGCACCAGTAAGTATTTCTTTAAAAACTACCTGGGAGATGAAATCCAGTTAATCAAGGGGTGAATCTGAATAAAAAACTCTGGAGTGGAGAAAGCATTACGCTGAAGGGCTGGTGATGAACCTTGAATAAATTCATGTACAAAGCCAATATGTTTATATTATAAATATAATATTGACAGTATAAAAACTCTTATTGTTGTAAGAGACTATGATTTGGGATTGATTGTTGCCACAGCTAGCATAAGCTGGTCAATATACCAATATTGGGCTAAAAACCCAGTATCTATCTGGTTGACGGGCTAGGGCTTTTTGGGAAAGAATATGTTCTAAGATTAGAAAAATCTATGTGTGCCCTGATTGGCCCTGAAGAGGCTAAGGAAGTCTAACATAAGGTGGGGACTATTACTTAAATATGTCATCGGCCATGTCCCATGAGCTCACATCTTGTCTTTGACTGAGAGAGAGAAAGCGAGCTACAATGCGAGTAAACTCAAGATGCCTGTTTCACTAAACTCTGAATAATATTGTGGCCAGAGCAACGAGCTTTGCTGTCCTCTCCCAGATACTAACATGAAGGGGAGCATGATATTCAATCGCACTTTTCCCTGGACCCTCTGGCTTCACATGTTGAGGGTTTTAGGACATTGGTGGCAGTGCCCCCTGGGACGCACTGCCTGCAGGTGCCATACTCAGGAATAGAGAGCGAAGCCCAGTGGAAAATGGCAGTGGTAACTAGTGGCTGTGCTGAGTCCTGTGTCAGATTGTGGATCTGGCCCAAACAGAGGATGTATTAATAGCAGTGATGGTTTCAGTTGCAAGTAACAGGACTATAAACAAAATAATTTATAGCCTTAGTATATAGAACTGTCCAGCAATGAGTGAGCTTAAGGCAGTTTGATCTTTTGAGGTCCAAGCTTGTCACTCAGGACTTGATTTCTTTCCATCTCTGTTTTGTTTCCATGGCGTCAGCTTCATCCTGCAGCTGGCCCTCCTGCAAATGGCTGCTTCCAATTCCCAGGTTGACACTCGAGCAGGTGAGAAAACAAAACCACTGAACACTGAACACAATGGTTGAACTTCATTCTCATTCAACCGATTTAGGTCATACATTCGAATCTAACTGAGAACTGGGGGAGAGAATGACATTACAGAATTGGCTTAGATCAGTGGTTCTCAACCAGGGGCAACTTTGCCCTCCACAGGACATCTGGCAGTGTCTGAAGATATTTTGTCACAGGTGTGTGTGTGTGTGTTTGTGTGTCTGTGTGTGTGTGTGTGTGTGACTGGCATCCGGTAAATAAAGGCCGGTGATGCTGCTAAACAGCCTATGATGCACAAGATAGCCCCACCCTTGCCTCCAACTGGCCCAAAATGTGAATGGTGCTGAGATTGAGAAACCCTGGTTTAGATGGAGCAGGATCCCCCCTCAGAGTTGTGATGGGGTCAGGACGGTTCAGACTGCTTGACAGCTACACAGAGGGGAAGGGAGACAAAAACATTGACAAGGCAACATTCCATCCCCAACAAGTGCTCAGCAGACCACTGGGTGGCAACTGGACTTGTGTGTGGACATAGGTGAGGTGCCCAGGGGACTCCTATAATTGGAGCGGAGATTGTAAGATGCCAGATTCTTGCATGATATGGACCAGAGAAATCTAGGTTCTTATCAAGATGGTGGCCTCATTTGTTCCTAGAGGCTGGCCAGGTGTTGGCCAACCCAGGGCACATAGCAGTAGGATTTTGATTAAGACCAGGAAGCTTGGGTTATTGCTCCTGCTGGAGGAGATAAAGGAAGAGTTCGGTGTATGGACTAGGGGTGAGGCCTGGTGCAGGGTGGGAGCTGCAGAGCTGGGTGCTTCAGAATGAGGGCTGAAGGCTGACCCAGGCAGGGCTGTCCTGCAAAGGAGACGAGGACCCCTGGAGACATTTTTTTTTTGTTTTTTTCCTTTGGAGACAGAGTCTCATTCTGTGGCCCAGGCTGGAGTGCCCCTGGATAAATTTTTTAAAAGGGAATGGGATCCTCAGATTTGCATTTTATAAAAATCACTCCTTGGGTGGAGGATGAATTGAAGTGAGGGTGGCGATGGGGATGGGACGGCCAACAAGGACAGTTAGGAGACTTCCCCAGTGTCCTGGTGATCCAAGAGGACACCAGGACTGAGAAGGAGGTGGAGGGGGAACGGGTTTGAGAGCTACTAAGGATAAGGCATTTATAGGACTTGAAAATGGGCTGGATAAGGGCCATAAGGGAAAGGGAGGAGTTAAGAAAATCCCCCACATTTTAGACCGAGTAGCTGGTTGGGTGGTGGAACCCGCAGCTGAGAGGAACAACTGGGAGGAGGGGCAGGAGATGGCCATGGGGGAAGAGATCATAGGCCAGGTTTGAGGTCCTATGGGATTTGGATCTGGAGCTCAGGAGGGTCCCTGGAGGTCATATTGGTCCTCTGCCTCAGGGGGCTGTGGGTAGAGGGAGAAGAAAGTGCACTCAGGAGAGAACGCTGGGGAACCCCAGCCTCTAAGGAAGAGAGGCCCCAAAGGAGGGCAATGGGGGAAAGCAAGGAGAGAGGATATATGGGAGTTAACAGGAGAGGAACTTGGGAGAAGCAGGGAGTTGCCGAGTATCCAACTCTACGGAGAAATTGCACTGCAGGGCCTGAAAATCACATACTGGATTTAGCACCAGAGGCTGCTGGTTACCTTGGAGCAACAGAGGCAGAGGGTGGATTGCAAAATGCTGCGGTGAGGATGGGAGGAGAGGAGATGAGGTAGTAGGTCTGGACTCCTCTAAGGAGAAGCTTGCTGGGGAAGGGAGCCCACAGAGATGGTGACAGGAGAATGGGACTGGATAGGCCAGAGAGGCAGGAACGCTGCAAGCTACTCCTATAAAATTTAAAAACCAAAGGATCAGAAGAGTCAGCAGACAGTGGGCAAGACAAATTAAAAGACTTCCACTGAATGGAAAAAAGAGGGAGGGTTAATATAACCTGTAAAGTCAATTCTTTTATTATTATTTTTCTGTTTTGATACCTTTGTACCAATCAATGCTTTTAAACCAAACTTTTTTTTTTGGAGACGGAGTCTCACTCTGTCGCCCAGGCTGGAGCGCAGTGGCACGATTGTGGGTCACTACAACCTCCACCTCTTGATTTCAAGCAATTCTCCTGCCTCAGCCTCCCAAAGTAGCCGGGACTACATGCACATGCCACCACGCCTGGCTAAATTTTGTATTTTTAGTACAGACGCGGTTTCACCATGTTGGCCAGGCTAGTCTCATACTCCTGACCTCAGGCGATCTGCCTGCCTCGGCCTCCCAAAGTGCTGGGATTACAGGCGTGAGCCACTACGCCCAACCTAAACCAAAATGTTTGGCTTTTGTTTAGTAATGGTGATATTTACTTATAAAAGCAGCACCTGCTACTTAAAACTCCAATTTTAACAGGGGTATAAAATTTTACCATTTTATATAAAATGTATTGTATTGTTATATTAAGTAAATATAAATTAAATGCATATTAAACCATTGTATAATTTATTTAGTCCTTTCGCTATTGAGGATGTTGTTTCTGTTTTGTTTACTAAGGTGGTTGGAATGTTCATGCTGAGGGGGTCAGTAGAGGTCCAGGAGGGAAGCAGATGCCTGGTTCCATGCTCACGGTCCTCTAGGACCTTTATGCCTCCTGCTTCTCTCCTAGGGGTGCCTCTAATTTTCTGCACTTTTGGAGGGAAGAGATGACTAAGATAAGCAATGAGCAAGTCCTTTCCACTTGAACTCACTGGCCTTCTCACCGCCTTTCAAGTGAAATAATTTTCCAGTATCTTATCACTACTGGTTTATGTTCATGTTTCCAAATGCACGGTAGCAATACATTGAAAAACTGCTGGCTGCTTTAGACTCATTTCCTCATTGAGGCCGAGGAGTTTGGACTTGATCGAATGAAATGAGTGAGGAATTTGCTCACATGCTAACCACACCCCAGGGAGCGCTTCCCCTTGGTGTGAACCACTGCTCCTTCTGTTCTCCTGGGCCAAATTTTCTCTTCCCTTAGGTGAATGGTCCAGAACAAATGCATATGTTCAATTCTATCACTGCCCTTTTGAACCTGATTACTCAGACAGTACCCAGCCATTGCCCCAGGGTAATCAATCGATATTCTGAAAATCCTATTGGTAAGCCTCGAGTCATACCCAGCAGGTCTGGAGAGAACTGTGCAATTGTACACTGGCAAGTCAGTGTGGAAACTGGGAGGGAGGTCAAGACACGTGGTCAGATGGCATTCTGAATTTAATACCTGGAGAGGGGAAGGACTAGGGCAGAATGCATCAAACCCAGGTAGGCTCCTTCTCTGGGTGGATAAAAACAGAGTTTGTGAATCTGTAGAAAGGAAAGTGGTCGCCACCAGGAACACACCTGGCTCTGCTTGACAGACCTATGAAATTCCTTCATGTTCATTTTTAATGGGTTCCAGATTAGGAGGTGGGAGCGGGGACTAGGGTGGGAGGCAGAAGTGTCTGTTTCCCCAAGTCTCTCAAGTCACCCTGTGAGACCAAATGGAGACCCTTGGGCTGGGACTACCTGGCACTTCTCTGACCCTGTCTCTTTCCTGTCCCTAAGCTGAAGCCAGGTGGATTCCCAGTTAATTGAGAAGGCTGATTCAGGAATAATCCCCAACCAGGGTGTGGGAAATGTAAGGAGTTATGTATGTAATTGGGTAAGGGAATGATATTATTTCCCATTTGCAGCTTGGCCATGACCTACTGCTCCAGATCCAGAGACTAGGGCTTGCCTTTGAACCAGTCTCATATGAGGCCCCATCGTGCTTCCAGGTCTGGATTCTGCCTTTGGCCCTTTCAGAAACTCCAGTCCATCCAAGTGTTGGGCCTGTCTCTTGTCTTCCAGTCCACTGGTAAGATAAGAGCCAGGCCTGCCATGGTGCCCATGGACATCCATTGCTGGGCTCCTCTCTTTGGCTGCCTGTTTCTGGGCAGGGCTCCTAGGCGGGCCCTACCTGGGCAGTATCAGCTGCCAATTTGCTCTTTTTCCACTGGCCCAACTGCACTTCTTGCCCCTGATAACAGCCAGCTGTGCCATTATCAGGGGCAGGAACTAGACGGCTGCTCCAGGGGCAGGTCTAGTTCCAGACCCCAGCTCCCCCACAGCCTACAAGCCTCAAACTTCTGTTCTCATGGGCTGGGTGCCAGAAGTGCTGGTCTGTGGGACTCCACACGCCTGCCATTCCCACCACCGCTTCTCAGGAAAGCAGCCTTGCAAGCAAGTGCTGGGAGTTGTGGTCTGGGACCCTGTCCCTCTGGCCACAGCTGGTTGGCCTAGGAATCAGAACTTGGGTCCAAGGAAGTCATCTGTTGGCTGAAGATGAGTGTGCATGAGCCATCCTTTGGGGTGGGATTTTGCCTGCCTGGTGTGCTCCATCCTGGATGGTGACTAGCTGGCCAACAGAACTCTCTTGGGAATTTCAAGAGGGAACTCACAGAAGTCAGGCAGGAAGAGGGAGAAACAGAGGCAGAGGAAGGGGCAGGAGGGATGCCAGCTTCCGGGGTGAAGAATTTACAGTGCCACAACAACATGTCGACCCTTCCTGGGTCAGCCTGGCCTCCCCTTCTTTTCCACAGGGCTGTCTGAGCACCGCTGGGGCAGGTTTTTCTCTCTTCCCTATCTTCTGAGGTCACCCTGAGTGAGGCTTTGCTCCTACCCAGCTCTCCAGGGGTGAATGACCACGCCCAAGGGGTGTTGATGGAGGAAAAGATTGAGGTCACATGAGGGAGGTTTCAGCAGGATGTTTAGGCCTGTGTAATGATTCTAGAAGCTATGGAGCTGAAGACGTAGATGATATGCTTATCAAATGAGGGCATCAGGGTCAAAGGCCAAGAGGCCCCGTCAGGCTGGAGAGATAGGCTGAATTAAATGTGAGGGCGCCCCATAGGGACGAGTGAGAAAGGCTCCCTCCACTGAGACCGCAGCACCCTGCAGCGCTGTAGATCTTTTGGAAAACACTTGGTGTGTCTCATTGGCTTAGGAAAATAGCCCACAGTGGGAGGGAGTTATCCCAAGGGGCGGGGGTGGGGTGGCGGGGGAACAACAAAACTACTTGAATCCAGTAGTAATGAGAGGATGGTCTCTAGTTCAACCTCCACCGATGAGCTGGGACAAAACTGTTAGCGGTGGAAGAGATTCGAGTTACGGGAGGTGCATCCGTCTGGGTCTGTAGCCACTTCAGCCCTTGCCTCCTGAGAAGAAAGAATTCGACTGAGGGGCATAACGCAGAAAAAGAGACCGAGGCAAGTTTCAGAGCAGGAGTGGAAGTTTATTTAAAAAGGCTTTAGAACAGGAAAGAAAGGAAAGTTTGCTTGGAAGAGACCCAAGCGGGCGCCTGAATGTTCAAAAGAGAAAAGAGTGAAAGAAAAAAAAAAGGTGGGGCTTTAACTGTGATCCTAGGACTTGATAGACTCGCCTCTTTCCCATGATTCTTCCCTGAGGGTGGGCTTCCCGCATGCGCAGTGCTCTCCTTACCCTTTGGAATTGAGCAGGCACAGTGTGTTTAGGGAGTTACACACATGCCCATCTGAAGCATTTTTCCTTTTTCCAGTGCCGTGTCCTGGCACGTCATACTTCGCCATTTTGTCTCTTAACGCGCATGCCCAGGAAGCCGCTTCTCCCTGGGGTCTGCATTCATTTAACACTTTTAATGTTAAAAAATGTGGGTCGTCAGCAGCTGGTCTCTCCCTGGGTGCCGAATTATCATTTTTAGAGAGGGAATGCAATAATTGCCAAACCATCACCTGCCATTTCCAGCGGGTTGGGGGAGAGCCCTCTCCTGCCCCACTCATGCCTAACACGTGTAACAAAATGTCATGCCCAGGAGGCCCCATGGGGCTACTCCAGGAGCCAATGGCACTTTCCATGCTTTCCACAGAGGAGGAAAGGGCCCAATGATGCCTGGGGCATCATACGTATCGTTCCTTCCTCATCCTCCCTCCTTCCTTCCACTCTCTCCCATCCCTTCCTTCCTAATCCTCCGTCCCTTCCTCTATTCCTCCTTCTCTCCCATCTTCCTTCCTCCCTCTCTTCATCTCTTCCTTCCTTCCTTCTGTTCTTCCTTCCTCTTCTGCATCTTCCTTCCTTCCTCCCTCCCTCCTTTCCTTCGTTCCTTTCTTCTTCCTTGTTCCCTTCCTCCTGTCCTTCCTTCCTTTTTTCTGTTACCAGAAAGGAGTCCCAATCCAGACCCCAAGAGAGAGTTCTTGGATCTTGCTCAAGAAAGAATCCAGGGGAAGTCCATATAATCACTGAAAGCAAGTTTAAGAAAGTAAAGGAATAAAGAATGGCTACTTCACAGGCAGAGCAGTGGCATGGGCTGCTCAGCTGCTTATACTTATTGTTATTTCTTGATTGTATGCTAAACAAGGGGTGCATTATTCATGGATTTTCTGGGAAAGGGGTGGGCAATTTCCGGAACTGAGGGTTCCTCCCTTTTTTAGACCATATAGGGTAGTTTCCTGATGTTGCCATGGCATTCGTAAACTGTCATGGCGCTGGTGGGAGTGTCTTTTAGCACGCTAATTCATTATAATTAGCATATAATGAGCAGTGAGGACGACCAGAGGTCAATTTCATCACCATCTTGGTTTTAGTGGGCTTTGGCCGGCTTCCTTAATGTGACCTGTTTTATCAGCAAAGCCTTTGTGACCTGTATCTTGTGCCCACCTATCTCATCCTGTGATTTAGAATGCCTCACCTCCTGGGAATGCAGACCAGTCGGTCTCAGCCTCATTTTACCCAGCCTCTATATAAGATGGTCACTGTGGTTCAAACACCTCTGACCAGCCTGCCTGCCTGCCTGCCTGCCTTCTCTTTCCTTTCTTCCTTCCTTCCCTCCCTCATCAAGTGCTGATTGAAAACCTCTGAGCTAGCACCGTTGTAGGTATTTGGCCTAACAGGGGGATGAGGAAGCCAAAGAAGTTTCACAGAGAAACTGTGTCTTGAGGAATGAATAGTTTCGTTTTGTCAGGCTGATTGTGGGGTAGGAAAGAGTGGGGTAGGGAAAGGTTTGAGGGAATGATGAGAAGTTTGAACTGGCTGAATGGGGGAATTGCAGGAAAAGAAGTTGTGATCACACAGTGGAAGACATCATATGTCACATCAAGGACTGTGGCCTTATCTGAAGTCGATTATTAAAAGTTTTTAAGTAGAGACCAACACAGTCAAATCTGAGATTAGAAAGGTCACTCTGGTATCATTATGGAGGATGGGCTGGAGAGGGGAAAGGTCAAGGGCAGGTCATCCTGTGTCCGGAATTGGTGGGTTCTTGGTCTCACTGACTTCAAGAATGAAGCCGCGGACCCTCGCGGTGAGTGTTACAGCTCTTAAGGTGGCGCGTCTGGAGTCTGCCCCTTCTGATGTTCAGATGTGTTTGGAGTTTCTTCCTTCTGGTGGGTTCGTGGTCTCGCTGGCTCAGGAGTGAAGCTGCAGACCTTCGCGGTGAGTGTTACAGCCCTTAAGGCAGCGCATCTGGAGTCGTTCGTTCCTCCCGGTGGGCTCGTGGTCTCGCTGGCTCAGGAGTGAAGCTGCAGACCTTCACGGTGAGTGTTACAGCTGCTAAGGTAGCGCGTCTGTAGTTGTTCGTTCCTCCCGGTGGGCTCGTGGTCTTGCTGGGCTCAGGAGTGAAACTGCAGATCTTCGCGGTGAGTGTTACAGCTCATAAAAGCAGCGTGGACCCAAAGAGTGAGCAGTAGCAAGATTTATTGCAAAGAGTGAAAGAACACAGCTTCCACAGTGTGGAAGGGGACCCAAGCGGGTTGCGAATGCTGGCTCGGGCAGCCTGCTTTTATTCTCTTATCTGGCCCCACCCACATCCTGCTGATTGGTATAGCCGAGTGGCCTGTTTTGTCAGGGCGCTGATTTGTGCGTTTACAATCCCTGAGCTAGATACAAAGGTTCTCCACGTCCCCATCAGATTCAGGAGCCCAGCTGGCTTCACCTAGTGGATCCCGCACCGGGGCTGCAGGTGAAGCTGCCTGCCAGTCCTGCGCCGTGCGCTCACATTCCTCAGCCCTTGGGTGGTCAATGGGACTGGGCGCCGTGGAGTAGGGGGTGGTGCTCGTCGGGGAGGCTCGGGCCGCACAGGAGCCCATGGAGTGGGTGGGAGGCTCAGGCATGGCGGGCTGCAGGTCCCGAGCCCTGCCCCGTGGGAAGGCAGCTAAAGCCCGGCGAGAAATCGAGCACAGCGCCGGTGGGCCGGCACTGCTGGGGGACCCGGTACACCCTCCGCAGCCACTGGCCCGGGTGCTAAGTCCCCCATTGCCCCGGGCCAGCAGGGCTGGCTGGCTGCTCTGAGTGCGGGGCCCACCAAGCCCACGCCCACCGGGAACTCCAGCTGGCCCGCAAGCAGCCCCGGTTCCCGCTCGTGCCTCTCCCTCCAAACCTCCCTGCAAACTGAGGGAGTGGGCTCCAGCCTTGGCCAGCCCAGAAAGGGGCTCCCACAGTGCAGTGGGGGGGCTGAAGGGCTCCTCAAATACCACCAAAGTGGGAGCCCAGGCAGGGGAGGTGCGGAGAGCAAGCGAGGGCTCTGAGGACTGCCAGCATGCTGTCACCTCTTAATCCCATTAGCCAGATGGGCAGGCACTCCTCTCCTTTTTGGCAGAACTACCTTCCCAACACCAGGCCTCCCCAGCCTCCTTTGCAGCTAGGTTTTCAGCATCAGGCCTGAATTCGCCCAAGGAATCAGGTGCTTCCAGGAAAATGTTTTCTCCCTGATAAAAAGAGACAATGGAGGAGGAAAATGCCTTCTTTTCTGCCTGTAGACTTTGCCTTGTAAGGATGTGACATTGGGACTCATGGCAGTGGTCTCACATGCTTCAGGGAATGAACTGAGAGAATCACAGTATGCCTGGCCCAGTGCCTGACATAGCTGGGTGGCTGAATTGACCAGGCTTGGGGGCGCCGCCTCCTGACTGCCTTCCATGGAAGAGGAGTGGCCAGCATTTACTGAGTGCCCTTCTAACTCTATGAGGTTATTATGAGAAATGAAGGAATCAATACAGGGGTTGTTATCTGTACATGTGGGGAGCAGGAAGAGCAGAGAGGATGGACAGTGGGGCCCTGGGAGGCAGCTGGTATTTCAGGGGTGCCCAGGGAGTGGGTCCAGAGCAGGGACTAAGGAGTGGCCCAAGAATCAGGGTTGAGGGGCTGGCGGGGGGCAGTGGAGCAGGGAGCTCTGATGGATGGAGAGAGGTCAGGGCAGACAGGCAGAGGCAACTCTGGATAGAGGAGCAGGGCCCCGGTTCTCTTTGCATGAGGCAAGACCACCTGCTAAGTAAAGAGCTGGGGAGTGAGGTTTCGGTCAGGGAGGGATTGCAGAATTGAAAATTTGCAGGGGGTGCAGTTCCTGGGGATGCCAGGGCCTCTGGTCTCCTCCCCAGTAGAGCAACTTCTCCTTTCCCACTTTTCTCCTGCTCCTGACCATGTGGGCTTCAGGGTCTCATGGGAGCCAGCCAGCCTGCAGTGTTCTTGGGAGGTAGAGGCCTTTGGAAATGGGGCCCAGAGCTGTTGGGGACATCCAGCAGCACTCAAAAGGCTGCTTCCTCCAGGCAGCCTTCCCAGGTTGGCAGGGAGCTGTGGGTTCCCACACACCTTACAGCTCGCCAAGCAGCCACTCCCCAGGTGACCCAGTCTTGTTTCCCAGTACTTGGGCTTCAGATCAGCCCTTGCTGTTGATTAATGGTAATGGTTCTCATTGCTCATGCTGACCTTGGCATTAATGGAGCAGGTGAGCGTCTGTTCATGAAGGTGGCTTTCTCTCTTAAGACATGCTCTCTCTCCTGCTCCTACCTTAGGCTCACTCTGAGCAGAGGTGGGTCTGGGGAACAGTGGGGCCTGAGCAGCCTCCCAGGGGGTTGCTGGAGCCCCTGGGACAGAGTCCTCAAGAGGAGAGTCTGCAGGTAGGTGAGGTATCTTTCCGGGGCTGTGGGCGCCCCGAGTCCTGCCTGCTACCTCTGCAGCCTGAGCCCCAGGCTTCTGCAACTGCCCTGGCCCGGGGAGTACAAGAACATGGTTCCCCGGAAGTCCTGATCGCTCCAACTTCTCAAGGACCTGCCTGGGAGAGGCCACCATGGGGGCAGCCCCAGAGCAAGCCACCTCTGGGGGTGAGGCACGACAGATCATGCCGCTCCCGGGCCGCTGCCCACCCTGCTTCTCATTCTACATTCTCTTTTAAGGGGAGACAAGGCCCTGGGGGCCACATCCCTCTTGTGAGCAGTAGTACTTTGTACAGAAAGTATACACTTGGTGGTCCAGGGTAGGCCCTGGAGCCAGACAGGAACAGGGTTCCTGGGTTCAAATCCTGTTCTGCATGTGCCCGTGGAACAACCATGGGCAGGTTTTTCATCTCTCTGAATTTCCCCCTCTGTTTGTAAAACAGGGCTAATCATCATACCGACAGCATGCAGTTGTTGTAAATGAGATGATTCATGAGCCAGGCATTGGAGGTCTCCATAGTGGTCATCTGTGGTCTTTCAGCCCTTGCTGCTCCTGGTGCGGCAGCCCCCGTCTCTGGTCTGTGTGGGCACCTCTGTCCTGGGGCTGTCTAGGGAGTAGAGAGGAGACAACACATCCCTGGATGCGCCCCAGTCTGAGAGTGAAATGTGCGTGTGTTCAAGTTGAGCTGATCCATGAAGCAGACCCTGGAATTCATTGCACTCATCTGCTGAATCCCAAATGGAAACAAATACAAATACACTTTATAAACAAAGAGAGAGTCTTAAAACGAGAACAAACCAATGAGCCGGTCTGAACTGGAACCAAAGCTCTGGGTTGTCTGATGATTTTCTTTCAATCTAAACAGAGCCCCGCCACCCCATTCCCTCTGAGACCTGACTTTCCTCCAGGCTCGGATGCCGGTGGCTGCTGCACCCCATTCCCTGCAGCCCAGCCACGTGCCGGGTGCTCTCCAGCTTTCTTCCAGCTGCCAGCGGCTCCTCTTACAATGCCAACCAGCAGTGAGGGGAGACAGTGTGTCCCTTGCCTTTTGTGGGGGATGACATTTAGCAGACATGTTCCTCTCGGATCTGGGACACGTGGGTCTGTGGGTGGATGCTGGGGCAAGGCAGGGCGAGACCCCTGAGGACTCCAGTGAAAGAACACTGTGCCACGTGAGCAGCTTCACAGTGCATTCCCACACTCCCACAGCTCCCCCCTTGCTCCCATGGCCTTGGGGCAAGAGGCCGTCCTGGAGAAGCAGTGACTCCACTCCTGACTCCACTCAGGATCCATTCTCCATTCCTGGTCTTGGCCCTGCACCACCTCTACCATCACCCCCTACCCGCACACAGGGCCCAAGTCCCACTCCGCAGCCTGCCCCTCCCCACCCCAGGGCTCCGGAGGCCTCATCTCCCACCTTCACTACCTGTGCCGCCACGTGTCCCCACCCTCCCTTCGTCACCAGCCTGTTCCAGCTCAGGCTGGTCTCCTCTCGTGCACGACAACGCAGGAGCCTTCTCAGGCATAACTCACCTGACCACATACATTCACCAGTGCTAACACGAGCCAGGCGGGAACCAGGAATGCAGAGTCCAGTAAGTCCTGGTCCTCTTCTTGGGGACTTTTGGATGGGCCCAGGGACCCACCACTGCTCCTCTTGGCCTCTCAGGCCACCTCCACATTCTGCCAGCTCCCGTCCGAAAACAGCTCTGACCACGTGTCTGTCTCCACATCCCCTTCCCATTTTCAGCAGGTGAAAATCAGCTGTCTTGGCAGCATTCAAAGCTCTTCATAATCTTTCTAATATTATTATTATTTGAGATGGAGCCTCACTCTGTAGCCCAGGCTAGAGTGGGTGCAATCTCGGCTCACTGTAACCTCCACCTCCTGGCTTCAAGCCATTCCCCTGCCTCAGCTTCCAGAGTAGCTGGAATTACAGGCATGTGCCGCCATGCCCAGTTAATTTTTGTATTTTTTGTAGAGACGGGGTTTTGCCATGTTACCCAGGCTGGTCTTGAACTCCTGATCTCAGGTGATCTGCCCGACTCAGCCTCCCAAAGCGCTGGGATTACAGATGTGATCCACTGCGCCAGGCCACTGTCTTTCTAATTTTCACTTCCAATTTCTGCCTCTCCATATCCTGCCAACCGTTCAAGCTCAGCGCACGCCTTCCTCCGACCATCCTGTCCCAAGCACTTCAAACACCGCTCGCCCCTGGGCACACCTGTGCACGTGCTGCGCGGGAATCTGACTGTGTGCAAGCCTCAGCCCGCGCTTCTGAGAGTGGTCTTCCACCACCAGAGACAGGCAGACTGTGGAGCTCTTCCGGTCCCATAGGCTCAGGCCCTTTAAGAACGGGGAGTCGGCTCTGCAACCAGCTGCTTGGGTGGTGGTTCTGGCACTTGCTGGCTTTTGAGGAGCCCTGGAGTACAGTAGGGGGTCACTGAAAGATGAGGAGACTGTCTGTCTTGTCTTCACTCCTCCCACAAAGCCCAGAGCACAGGGAGAAGCATGTTCCACCTCCGGCCCACCCCTCAGCCGGCTGCACCTGCCTGCAGATGAGGGGATTCATCCCCGCGGTGATGATGGGGGATCCCTGGGATGAAGGGAACCTAAAAACACTGTTTTGTTCTTAAAGGAAGCAGTAGGGGTGGCGAAAAGATGGACAAGAGATTTCTGGGATGACATTCCATGCTGACACCCCCACTTGCTGGTAAAGGGACATAGTCCCCTTCCTGTGGGTTCAAACTGGAGAACATGACTGTGAGTCATTTTTTTTCTGAGAAGGTGACAAGCATGTGGCTCAGTAGAGGTCCTGCACAGCAGTTCCTGGGGTGATCATGACCATGGCTGATGTGTGCTCTGAGCCAGCCGTCATTTCCCGTGAACGGGAAACCTCATGCGTGCACATGGTGCTGCACAGAAGTGCTGACGGGAGGCTGCCCGATGGCAGGCAGATGGAAGGTGGCGCAAACGGAGGGAACTGGCCCAGGCGTCTCATCTCCACGCCCATCAGGGCTGACCCAAGGGTAACGCTGGCCTTCCATCCTCCCACCAGTTTTCTGACATCCAGGAGCCAGGCCCCATGGGGCTGCCACTCTGCAGCCCCTCTCCCCTGAGGCCTGGCTTGTGCTCATCCTGCTGTCAGCACTCATCAGGGCCAGAACCAATGTGGCTACGCAGCATTTGGAGCAGTGCAAAAGAACAATGCATGACTCAGAGTGCCATGTTTTTGTTGTGGGTTCTAATTTTAGGCCATTGTTCCATTCCTCCCTTGCCTTTCCCAGAATTCAAACAGGGATGGGGTGGGGTGGAGGCCAGCTTGCCAAGATGGAGACCAAGGAGGGGTGTGGGGGTGGGGGCAGCAGGGAGAGAGGTGGGACCCAGGCGCCTGCTATGGGGGCTGAGTTGGGAGTGGTGGCGAGTTCAGGCCCAGGGCTCTGAAGGAAGAGGACCCTTATGACAAGGGTCCAGACAGCACCCCGAGGGTCAGAAAACTGGTGCTCTGATCCCTGCACCTCCTTGATTACTCAACTGTGTCATTTGAGCTACAGAGAGGCAGTTCTGGAAACCCCATAGCTCTGAGTCACTCGGGTTCGCAGGCGAAAAGCCCCACAAATCTCAGAGCAGCAGAGGCTGGTAGGTGGGTGTGCGAGTGCTGTGTGCACATGCCCCCTGCCTGCGGGTCACACACTTAGTGCTGGAGCCAGAGGTGCAGAGCTGCTCCATGGCCCAGGCTGGCCTGCACCCCATTAGCAGAGTGACCTGCAACTGCCCTGCTCCATGCGCCCCCCTTGAGCATGAAAGTGGACACCATGGGTGGGTCAGCATGGCCAGATATCCATCCAGGCACTTCCCTCCTGGGCACTCGGCATCACCATTGATTATGAGCAATGGTTAGAGTGGGCAGAGTGTTGGGTACGAAGTCCTAATATTATGGGATCTTTGGGGTGTCGGTTTTCTGGCCAGAAACCTCTAGGCCAGTGGCGCTTTTGCCCAAGTTCTTGTCCCGCATCCAGGAAGAATGAGGTACGCAGATAAGTGAAGGGTGAACATGAGGAAGAGGAGATTTATTAAGTATTAGAACACCCACAGTGGGTAGCTCCTCCCTGTAGGTAAGTCAGCCTGAGTGTTCAGCTCTCAGCAGAGAGGGTAGCTCCTCTCTGCAGCTGGCTGTCCCATCCTCTCTCTGACGTCTGCCCTTCTCTGACTGAGCCCCAGGCTTTTATGGGTGTCAGAGGGGGGAGGTGTGTGCTGATTGGTCCCTGGACAGCCATGGGTGGGCCCAGGAAAAAGCACCATGAGTTCCCCTCCTGTCTGCAGGACTGGCAGACTGGCCTGAAGGTGGGGCTTCACTGGGGACCCACTCCCTTCCACCCAGTAGCCTGTCTGCCTCCTGTGACCATCCATGGTGCCCAGGCTGCTGGCAGCAAGGGGTACATGCAGGCCAGTACCCAGCCCTCCTCAGCCCCCCTCAGCTTCCCCTCCCATGCTCCTCAGTGCCCAAAGTCTGAAGGGGACCAAGACAGCAGGAGGCTGGCATGTCAGCACTGCCTGGAGTGTGTGCACACCTGACTGGGCTGTGACAGCACTGGGCTTAGTGCCAACTCTACTCTGAGATTGGAGGGGGGCGCCAAAATTGGGGACAGGCCAGGCTGTGGGAGAAGGCACCTCTAAGCCTGTGAAGGCAAGTGGGGGAAGAGTGCAAGGATGCCTGGGTCTGCAGCTCTGGTTTGAATAGCTGTAGCCATGGTGGGGGGTGGTGCTCCATGGAGCAGGAGCCCAGGACAGTGAGACTTCTGCCTACTCCCAGCTCCCAAGAGCACAGGGGTGCCCAGGTTGCAGCTGTGGCTTGGGCACACAACCTGGCCCAGTCCCATCGCAGTGGCCCCAGGGTGGTGGGCTGCAGGGATGGGGGCTGTCCACCTCCTCCCCATGCACCCCCTTCAGCCACCAGTGTGATGGCAGCAGCTGCACCAGCTGGCCTACTGCTGCCATCACTAATGCCTGGGTCTTGGTGCTCACATGTTTCTGGAAGGTTCTTCAGAGCTCACATTTCCCCAGTGCAGAGCATGGTGTGTGATTCACAACTACTTCCAGTCTGACACTTGTGCACATGCGTGCGCGCGCGCACACACACACACACACACACACACACACACACACACACACACACAGTGATAGTGGGTTAAGTTCTTTCCCTGAACTGTGAATAGCAGTTACACAGCCATGGCCCTGCCTGAAAACCAGCTTTGAGCTGGGCTATGAACCACCTCCTCTTCCCTCTTCTCCTCTCTTCTCCCCTCCTCTTCCCCCCCCTTGCTTTCCTCCTTCACCTCTTCAGAGGTGGTCACTTAGGTGCAACCTCACGAAAGGCACAGGAGTGGGGATCCAAAATCCCTGCATCCCAGCCCACCCTTGGATGGGTTGTGTGACCCTGGTGAGTCTCTGTTTCACTCTGGGCCTTGGCTTTCCTGGAAGCCTGTCCTTCCCTTCCTCTGTGAAGTCCTGGGAGGGCAGAGGGGCTCTGAAGGGTGTACAGGGCCCGTTGAGTGTGGCTCTTGGCCTGGGCGGGCTTCCCTGGCAGGAGGAGATGTTCCACCACTTCCCTTGCCTGACTCAGGCACAGGAGCACAGTAGGCTGATTGCCCCAGAATCCCAGGAGGGCTCAGGGGGCAAGTGTTCTTCTGTCTGCTTCCAGGTGTCCTTCTCTGAGCACCCCTACTCTTTACTCCCTCTCTCAGGGATGCTCTGTCATCTGGTACTCCTGGCTGAAGTCCCCAGAACAAGTGTTCCGGGAGGCCTAGGTAGAAGCTGCCAGGCTGGACACCTCCAGGTGGGCTCTCCAGCATGGCAGTCTCAAGGATAGGCACTGGTTGACAGCCCAAGCTGAGCTAGCCATGTTCAAGAGGAAGGAATTAGTTTCCACTTGCAACTGGAGAACTAGCAAAGACTTTCAGGCCACCTTTCATCATTCAATGTCTTGAGCTGAGGCCTCTATTTCACCCTTGCAGATGTGCTATTACCTTGTAACATTTTCTGGGTCCTTGATGGCTTTGACTTTCCCAGCTAGGCTGTGCAGTCTCCCAGGGAGGGAGTGGAGGAAGATCTTAGCCAGGTGCTGCAGGCCACAAGTTATATGCAGAAGATGCTTAACGAAGACAGTAAAAGAGGGTCCCAGGAGCTGGAAAGGGGGTTGTATTGGTCAGGTATCAGGCTGATGACATGTACTATCTATGAGCATTATCTAGGCACCAGGTTCAATCATGGGACTGGGAGATCCCCGCTCAGGGGCCTTGCCAGGGAGCAAGGATATGGTCCCCAGGCAGGCGAGGTAACAACCACATGGTCAAAGTGGGCATGGCACGTGCTATGTTAATGGTGGTTCCCACTCATGGCTCTTGGCTGCCACAGGTTTGAGGTCAGCAGCCACAGTCAGACTGAAGCGTCTAATTTCCCATCTGCTTCAGTAACAGGGAGCTGGATGGCATGAAGTGTCATTGCACAGCCTCCGGGGTCACAATATCTGTGTTCAAACCCCTGATCCACCCCTTGCTATTATGCAACCTGGGCAAAGTTACAGGATCTTCCTGAGACTCAGTTTGCTTTTCTTTAAGAACCGGAAGTACGAACCCCATGGTGCTGTTGCCAGATTGCAAGGATTAAATAAGATAATGAAGGTTAGCAGCTGTCATTGCTGTTGTCATTGCTACCACTATTGTCCTCAATCATTAGGACCCAACCAGGAGAAGAGGGAACACAGGGGAAAAAGAAAAAATTCAGGAAGGCTAATAATTGCAGAGAGATACATCATATTAAAACATACAAAGAGAAAAGAATTCTTGACAATTTATGCAGGTGCAGTACAAGTCAACTTACAAAACGTCTTCACAAACTTCTACACCTTATTTAAACGTGTTTTATTTTGACAAAGTCATACATGTTCATGGTTTAAAAAGTGTAACATTTTTATTCTTCATCTTGCTTGAATTCCACTTCCCAGAGGCAGCTACTTTGAGTTTTTTTTGTGACATTAGTGGCCATATTTTTAAATATCATGCTTATACAGACTTTTGTAGTAGGCTTAAGTATTAGCATTGGTCTTCTACTATTAAAAATGAGGTTTTTGCTACCATTCTTTTCCCAGCATACAGATGTATTTGTTCTTCTAGTCTTCCAATGGAATTATATTATCTTTTTGGTTGGACCAATATTTACTCTTGGTATTATGTCCACATAATCTATTCATTGCAGCTGCACCATGTAGTGTCCCATGAACACATTTCCTTTCTTGTGCAACTTTTTGTTTCCCCTGGGGTTAATAATTGTCCATTTTTAGTTGTTAATGTCTATAACTTTCACTGATAAATCTCTCTGAAGGAAGTAAAAACTTCTCTCAACAGTTCAGACATACTGTCATTAACATTGACAACCAGTTGCCTCCATTCTATTCTTGTCAACATCCCTCATCATATGTTGGCAATCCTTGGATCATATTTAAGAGTGGGGCACTGAAAAACTGGAAACAATGTGCATGGATGAGGCTTACTGACTATGGTGACACTCCAGGACAGCGTGGCTGGATAATTCTTTGGGGAACCACTGCATGTCAGTGTCCATAGGTCTTTTCTCTGGGGATAGTTGGTTTAATCATAGAGGGATTCACAATCTCCTGCCTGGGGGTGGGGGTGATGCATAAATGCTGATGCAGAAGTGTAGAGGCAGAGTTGGGGGAGGGGACTGCACTCTCTGCTCACCTAATTTTCCTATTTACAGTCTCGAATTCCCCCTCCCCCATCCTTGGTTGCTCACAGTGCTGCTGAATTCAGAGCTTCTGTCTCGATCTCTTTAGAGAGAGGGACTCTAGTCTTCTGTTAGGTTGGAAGAGGGCAGTGGGGGGGGGGGGGCTAATTGACCCTCATAAAGACTTGCAATCAAACCTTTTATTTTCAGCCCCACCTGCATTCTCACTTCCAAGGAATACCTGGTACTTCTTTTCTTTTTCTTTTCCCTTTTTTTTTTTTTTTTTTTTTTTTTTTGAGACAGTCTTTCTCTGTTGCCCAGGCTGGAGTGCAATGGCATGATCTCGGCTCACTGAAACTTCCGCCTCCATGGTTCAGGTGATTCTCCTGCCTCAGCCTCCTGAATAGCTGGGATTACAGGCACCTGCCACGACGCCAGGCTAATTTTTGCGTTTTTAGTAAAGATGGGGTTTTACCATGTCGGTCAGGCTGGTCTCAAACTCTTGACCTCAGGTGATCCCTCCACCTCAGCCTCCCAAAGTGCTGGGATTACAGGTGTGAGCCACACGACCAGCCTACCTGGTACTTCTAATTCTTAGATTTTCAGGGGCTCTGAAGCGCAGCGAACCTATCTTTGGTCTTCCCCAACAATTCATTTGGCTTTGAGTTTTCCCCAGTGTCTTGTCAGGTATCATTTGGCTGTCTACTCACGACTTCTTAATATTTTGTGACTGTTTACTCCTATTCTATTTGTCTTTGTGAATTTGTGCCTAAAAAATAATTATTTGGCCGGGCTTGGTGGCTCATGCCTGTAATCCCAGCACTTTGGGAGGCTCAGGCGGGCGGATCACCTAAGGTCAGGAGTTCAAGACCAGTCTGACTAACATGGAGAAATCCCGTCTCTACTAAAAGTACAAAATTAGCCAGGTGTGGTGGTGCATGCCTATAATCCCAGATACTCAGGAGGTTGAGGCAGGAGAATCGCTTGAACCTGGGAGGTGGAGGTTGCAGTGAGCCGAGATCGCACCATCGCACCCCAGCCTGGGCAACAAGAGCAAGACTCTGTCTCAAAAAAAAAAAATTATTTTACTTTTGTAGGAGTGGGACTTTGCAGAAGAGTGGCTCGATCTGCCATGTTTAATTGGAAGACTTAGGGGAAATTATATAGTCATTTCATAATGAGGCAACTCAAGCTCGCAGAATGTGAGCTGTGCAGACACATAAATGAAGGGACTTGAATCCAAATCTGGCTCTAAACTTTATGCTGTTTCTCCAACACCACACTTGCTTGACCACACTGTAATCTCTGCCCTAATAAACATTTAACAGGAGACAATTTTGCATTGCGGGATTTATTGAAGGTCCAAGGGACTGCATCACATTGAGTATTAGATGTTTTTGTACTCAGTTATGCCCACCACTGAGAGTTTATCAGACTACTCCTCTGTTGTACTCCGTGTCACCGTGGTCCTCTTTTGTCTCCACATTTCTCTTCACATTCCAGTTGACCTCATTCTCCCTCTCCCAAGCTGCCCATAAAAACTGTTGTGTGTGAGAGCACAATCTTCTGTAGAACAATCAACCTTTCTTCTGTGCTCTTTTCATACCATGGAAGCAGCAGGAAGGTAGGGAATGGGGAGAAATTGATTTTGACTCACTGAGAATTCCATTGTAATAATTAGAAAAATCTTATGGAAAAAAAGACTTCAAAACCATGTGACTGAAAATAATTGATGTATTTCATGTAGAGGGAGATGATGGGAGGAGTCTCTGCTCCAGCCAGTCATTCAGGAAACCAGGCTGATGACAACACTGCCAATGTGAGCATTCACCTCCCAGGATGTTCCAGTCCTTACCACCTCAGTCAGCTGAGGGAATGCGGAGAGGTGGGTCTTGGGGAACACGGGCCAGGCTCAGCAGTTGTGCACATCACTGCTGCTCACATTCTATGGTGAGACTGGTCATGTGGCCTTGCCTTGGGGAAAGTGAGACTAGGAAGAGTGGTGTCAGGCTGGTATTCACTTCCTACATAAAACTCACTATGGAGGGAAGGGAGATGGCATTTTGGTAGACAGCAGATAGTTTCTGCTACAGTTACTAAGATATTTTAAAGAAAAACGGAAACAAAATTCCTAAATGGAATGCTGCCCTCTGACAGGCAAGGTAGCTCAAACCATCATTGTATTTTTGAAATACCATTTTTTCCTTTATGTTTATCCATCTGCCTATTCATCCACCCTTTCTATATCTGCATTTGCTTTTAAAACATAGAAAGGAAGCCACCAGTCAATCCGAGACTTACTGGGTAGAACTGGATGCTGTGTTTCTCAATATCTCTGCCCCTGCAAAATTTTCTCATCCTATCTTTGTGTATCTCCAGTCAAAAAGATTTTGTTGAGTTTTACTTTGAGTTTGATATGAGTTCAAGAATATTGAATATTCCTTTTCCCATTGTGTGCGCTCCACCCCCAACTCTTCTCTTCCTCTCCCCACTTGTGTGCTGATAGACCTCCTTAGAAAGTAAGACGCTTACCATTTCAGAATCTTTAGGATTGGGGGAGGGGTAGCAAGCTTATGTCTTGCATGGGAAGTGAATAGACAGGTTACCTAGGAAACCTATGAAAATCCCAAGCTTAGAGCAGAGAGTTAGGCAACACAGAGACATTCTTAGATATACTAGGATTCAGAAAGTAAACTATTCATTCAGAAAAATTGCTTGAGGAAATAAAACTGAGAAGTGAATAAAAATGAGAACTCCAATATGAAAGATGTGCTGTAAAAGAAATTGTGGCAACAAACAAAACCATAAAACTCGGTAATATATACATTATTGCTAGTAACATAGTTAAAAATTTAATAAAGAGAGAGAAAAAACTCTTTAGAGAGCTAACCAAGTTAAAAATAAATTTATAGTAATGACATGGACCAAAAACATCTGTTAATTCCAGTGAAAATCCCCAGTTTAGGTTAAGTCAGGAAGGGAGAGGGATGAGAAGTAAGGGACAGTAAGGATGAACTGAGACCCATCAGGACAAATGGGAATCTGTGTCACTACCTGTAATAGGCTGGCATCAGCAGCACATGCAACAGGACCAGGATTCTGAGAAGCAGGAGGAGACCCAGTGGGAACTGAGAGCCTGGGTGCTGCCCACACTGGCAAGGTCAGAAAGCAGATACTCCACAATTTATAAACTGCAATCAGTGGTACCTGGCCCTACACTGACCTTTGATTTTAAAGACTGACTGCTCCTTTACCCCTGCCTTCCAAATCCAATGTAAATTTCCCACGGGGCCAAATCTAACCAGCACCCATGTAAGGAAGATAATTCTGTGAAATGTAGTTCTTCAAGCTTAGCTAAGTGGTCACAGTACAATGCCATCTCAATAATTAAATAAGAGAGAATGAAATCAAAATTCATTCAACAGTTAACAAATTTTAAAAATGTGTAACAAAATAAACCTAATGAAAGCAAAAGGAAAAAAATTAATAATGACAAATGTTGTGGGAAGTCAGGGAGCCCGAATGGAGGGACCGGCTGGAGTCGTGGCAGAATAAATTGTGAAGATTTCATGGACATTTATCAGTTCCCAAGTAATACTTTTATAATTTCTTATGCCTGTCTTTAATCTCTTTAATCCTGCTATCTATCTACATAAGCTGAGGATGTATGTCAGTCACCTCAAGACCACTGTGATAATTGTGTTAACTGTATAAATTGACTGTAAAACGTGTGTGTTTGAACAATATGAAATCAGTGCACCTTGAAAAAGAACAGAATAACAGCAATTTTTAGGGAACAAGGGAAGACAACCATAAGGTGTGACTGCCTGTGGGGTCGGGCAAAAAGAGCCACATTTTTCTTCTTGCAGAGAGCCTATAAATGGACGTGCAAGTAGGAGAGATATCGCTAAATTCTTTTCCTAGCAAGGAATATTAATATTAATACCCTGGGAAAGGAATGCATTCCTGGGGGGAGGTCTATAAACGGCCACTCTGGGAGTATCTGTCTTATGCAGTTGAGATAAGGACTGAGATATGCCCTGGTCTCCTGCAGTACCCTCAGGCTTAATAGGGTGGGGAAAAACTCTCTGCCTTGGTAAATTTGCGGTCAGACCGGTTCTCTGCTCTCGAACCCTCTTTTCTGTTATTTAAGATGTTTATCAAGACAATATGTGCACCGCTGAACATAGACCCTTATCAGTAGTTCTGCTTTTGCCCTTTGCCTTGTGATCCTTGTTAGATCCTTATTAGTAGTTGTGCTTTTTGCCTTTTGAAGCATGTGATCTTTCTTTCTTTGTACCTACTGCCTGTTCTTACACCCCCTCCCCTTTTGAAACCCTTAATAAAAACTTGCTGGTCTGAGACTCAGGCGGGCATCACGGTCCTACCAATATGTGAGGTCACCCCTGGCAGCCCAGCTGCAAAATTCCTCTCTTTGTACTATCTCTATTTCTCAGCTGGCCGACACTTATGGAAAATAGAAAGAACCTGTGTTGAAATATTGGGGGTGGGTTGCCCCAGTAGACAAAAGCAAAACTTAATGAATTAGAAAATGAAAAGTCAACAGATTTGACAAACCAGTATTTATTTGTGTAAGGGCTAATAAAATAAGAAAACCTTTAGCAGTGCTAATAAGACAAAAAAGAGCTCACAAAATATTATGAATGAGAAACAGCATAAATCTCTAGAAAGAGAAAATTCTAAAGAAAAATACAAAAATAAACAATTGAAAATTGAAATTAAAAACCTCAATTGCAAGAGCATTACAATCTTAAAATAATCAAGCCTAAGTATAACAAATTGTGTGCAAGACATGTATACTGAAAATTATAAAATATTGCTGAGTTAAATTAGATACAACTGAAATAAATAAAAAGATATACTGTGTTCATTAATTAGAGAACTCAATATTAAGATTTTAATTCCCCCAAATGATCTATAGATTTTAAAACAATCCAAATAAAAATCCCAGCAGGTTTTTTTTTTTTTTTCTAGTCAGGGGGAAAAAGGGATAGAAATCGACAAGCTGATTCTAAAATACAAAAGACCTAGAATATCCAAAACAATTTTGTAAAAAAGGATAAAGTTAAAAGACTTAAACTATTTGATTTCATGACTGTAAAGCTGTGGTCAAGACGGTGTGGAGTTGGTGTGATGATTGATAGACACACAGATCAATAGAACAGATGTGGTCTGTTGACCTTCCACAAAGGTGCCAAGGGTGTCAATGGGGATACTCTTTTTCAATACTTAGAACTGGAACAAAGGATATACATATGCAAAATTGTTAACCTTGATCCTCAACTCACACCACGAAAAATTAACATGAAATAGATCATAGACCTAAATGTAAGAGCTAAAACTATAATGCTTCTAAAAGAAAGCATAAAAGAAAATCCTTGTGACATTTGGTTAGGTAGATTTCTTATGACATAAAAGCACAGTGTAAAAGAAAAAATATTAAATTAGAACTCATCAAAATAAAAAATTTTGCTATTTGAAAGACATATATGAAAGAGATATGCTATAGACTGGGACAAATATTTGCAAGCATATCTGTTTGTTATATAAAGAATTCTTACGCCTTAATAATAGGAAGGCAAACAACTGACTTGTTGGGATAAAAATATGGATAAAAAGATTTGAATAAACACTTCACCAAAAACATATATGAATGACAAAAAAAAAGCACATGAAAAGATGCTCAGGGATATATAAATCAAAACCACAATGAGGTATCACTATGTACGTAGTAGAATGACTAAAATTAAAAAGGTTAATCAATCATACCAAGTACTATGGTTTGAATGTTTGTGTCCCCTCCAAAATTCGTGTCAAAATTTAATTCCCAACGCAACAGCATTAGGAGGTATGGTGGCCAGGTGCGGCGGCTCATGCCTGTAATCCAAGCATGAGCCAAAGGTGAGCAGATCATCTGAGGTCAGGAGTTCGAGACCAGTCTGGCCAACTTGGTGAAACCCTGTTTCTACTAAAAATACAAAAAAATTAGCTGGGCATGGTAGCATGTGACTGTAATTCCAGCTACTTGGGAGGCTGAGGCAGAGGAATTGCTTGAACCAGGGAGGTGAAGTTTGCAGTGACCTGAGATCATGCCACTGCCCTCCAGCCTGGGCAACAGAGAGAGACTCCATCTGAAAAAAAAAAAGAGGTATGGCCTTTGGGGAGTGATAGATCATGAGGGCTCTGCCTTCATCAACAGATTAGTGCTCTTATAAAAGGACTGGAGGGCATGAACTAAGTCCTGTTTGCCTTTCTGCCATATGACGATAGAGCATTCAAGGTGTCATCTTGGAAGCAGAGGCCAGGCTCTCACTAGACACCCAATCTGCTGATACCTTGATCTTGGATGTCCCAGCCTCCAGAACTATGAGAAATAAATTTTGATTATTTATATTAATACATGACCCAGTTTCAGGTACTTTGTTATAGCAGCATGAACAGACTAAAACATCACATAGTGATAAAAATGTGAAACAATGACAATTCCCATATATTGCTTTGAAAAACAGTCCATTTCTTATATAAATTTAGACCTATATCCCAGCAATCCCATTTCTGTTTATCTAAGAGAAATGAGCAACATGCCAACAGATAGACTTGTATACAAAGGTTTATACCAGCTTTCTTTGTAGTATTGCTGTAACAACTTAACCACAGACTTGGTGGCTTAAAACAACATACATGTATTCTCTTACAGTTCTGGAGGCCAGAGGTCCAAAAACAGGTTCACTGGGCTGAATTCAGGGTGTTGGCGTGGTCGTGTTTCTTCTGCAAGCTCCACAAGAGAAGCCATTCCTTGCCTCTTCTGGCTTCTGGTGGTCGCTGGCATCTCTCAACTTGGGGCTGCATTGCTCCAGCATCTTCAAATTTCCCTCTGCTCGGTCTTCGCATCTGTGTGTGTGTCAAATATCCCTCTGCCTGCCTCTTATAAGGATATGTGTGCTTACATTTAGGGCCCACCCTGATAATCCAGGATAAGCTATCCATCTCAAAATCTTTAATTACATCTGCAAAGGTGTTTTTTCCATGTAAAGTAACATTTACAGGTTCCAGGGATTTGCATCTGAATATTTTTTTGGGTGGGGGGGGCATTTTTTTCAGCCCACCAGAGCATCAGCTTAAAATAACCTCATGTTCACCAACTGGTGAATGGATAAACAAACCTTGTATATTTATACAAGATACTACTACTCAGTAATAAAAAGGGACAAAAAACTGATACGTGCATGGATGAATCTCAAAAACATTATACTTTGCAAAAAATGCCAAACGCAAAAGACAAATTCTATCTGATTCCATTCATATGAAATTTCAGAAAAGGCACAGCTGTATTGATAGAAAGCAACCCAGCAGTTGCCTGGGGCAGAGGTTGGGGGAGGATACCGACTGCCTTTGCAGTCAGTACTTTTGGCATGACTCTAACTAGTAAAAAATACTCCAGATTCTCAGTGAAGGTTACAGTAATGCATTAGTTTGTTAAAATACATTGAACTGTACCTAAAATGGATGAATTTTTGAATGTAAATTATACTTCAATAAAGCTATTTTTATTATTTATTTTTATTTATTTTTATTTTTTTATTACACTTTAAGTTTTAGGGTACATGTGCACATTGTGCAGGTTAGTTACATATGTATACATGTGCCATGCTGGTGCGCTGCACCCACTAACTCGTCATCTAGCATTAGGTATATCTCCCAATGCTATCCCTCCCCCCTCCCCCCACCCCACCCCACCACAGTCCCCAGAGTGTGATATTCCCCTTCCTGTGTCCATGTGATCTCATTGTTCAATTCCCACCTATGAGTGAGAATATGCAGTGTTTGGTTTTTTGTTCTTGCTATAGTTTACAGAGAATGATGATTTCCAATTTCATCCATGTCCCTACAAAGGACGTGAACTCATCATTTTTTATGGCTACATAGTATTCCATGGTGTATGTGTGCCACATTTTCTTAATCCAGTCTATCATTGTTGGACATTTGGGTTGGTTCCAAGTCTTTGCTATTGTGAATAATGCCACAATAAACATGTGTGCATGTGTCTTTATAGCAGCAAGATTTATAGTCCTTTGGGTATACACCCAGTAATGGGATGGCTGGGTCAAATGGTATTTCTAGTTCTAGATCCCTGAGGAATCGCCACACTGACTTCCACAATGGTTGAACTAGTTTACAGTCCCAGCAACAGTGTAAAAGTGTTCCTATTTCTCCACATCCTCTCCAGCACCTGTTGTTTCCTGACTTCTTAATGATTGCCATTCTAACTGGTGTGAGATGGTATCTCATTGTGGTTTTGATTTGCATTTCTCTGATGGCCAGTGATAATGAGCATTTTTTCATGTGTTTTTTGGCTGCATAAATGTCTTCTTTTGAGAAGTGTCTGTTCATGTCCCTCGCCCACTTTTTGATGGGGTTGTTTGTTTTTTTCTTGTAAATTTGTTGGAGTTCATTGTAGATTCTGGATATTAGCCCTTTGTCAGATGAGTAGGTTGCAAAAATTTTCTCCCATTTTGTAGGTTGCCTGTTCACTCTGATGGTAGTTTCTTTTGCTGTGCAGAAGCTCTTTAGTTTAATTAGATCCCATTTGTCAATTTTGTCTTTTGTTGCCATTGCTGTTGGTGTTTTGGACATGAAGTCCTTGCCCATGCCTGTGTCCTGAATGGTATTGCCTAGGTTTTCTTCTAGGGTTTTTATGGTTTTAGATCTAACATTTAAGTCTTTAATCCATCTTGAATTAATTTTTGTATAAGGTGTAAGGAAGGGATCCAGTTTCAGCTTTCTACATATGGCTAGCCAGTTTTCCCAGCACCATTTATTAAATAGGGAATCCTTTCCCCATTGCTTGTTTTTCTCAGGTCTGTCAAAGATCAGATAGTTGTAGATATGCGGCGTTATTTTTGAGGGCTCTGTTCTGTTCCATTGATCTATATCTCTGTTTTGGTACCAGTACCATGCTGTTTTGGTTACTGTAGCCTTGTAGTATAGTTTGAAGTCAGGTAGTGTGATGCCTCCAGCTTTGTTCTTTTGGCTTAGGATTGCCTTGGCGATGCGGGCTCTTTTTTGGTTCCATATGAACTTTAAAGTAGTTTTTTCCAATTCTGTGAAGAAAGGCATTGGTAGCTTGATGGGGATGGCATTGAATCTGTAAATTACCTTGGGCATTATGGCCATTTTCACGATATTGATTCTTCCTACCCATGAGCATGGAATGTTCTTCCATTTGTTTGTATCCTCTTTTATTTCCTTGAGCAGTGGTTTGTAGTTCTCCTTGAAGAGGTCCTTCACATCCCTTGTAAGTTGGATTCCTAGGTATTTTATTCTCTTTGAAGCAATTGTGAATGGGAGTTCACTCATGATTTGGCTCTCTATTTGTCTGTTATTGGTGTATAAGAATGCTTGTGATTTTTGTACATTGATTTTCTATCCTGAGACTTTGCTGAAGTTGCTTATCAGCTTAAGGAGATTTTGGGCTGAGACAACAGGGTTTTCTAGATATACAATCATGTCATCTGCAAACAGGGACAATTTGACTTCCTCTTTTCCAAATTGAATACCCTTTATTTCCTTCTCCTGCCTAATTGCCCTGGCCAGAACTTCCAACACTATGTTGAATAGGAGTGGTGAGAGAGGGCATCCCTGTCTTGTGCCAGTTTTCAAAGGGAATGCTTCCAGTTTTTGCCCATTCAGTATGATATTGGCTGTGGGTTTGTCATAGATAGCTCTTATTATTTTGAAATATGTCCCATCAATACCTAATTTATTGAGAGTTTTTAGCATGAAGGGTTGTTGAATTCTGTCAAAGGCTTTTTCTGCATCTATTGAGATAATCATGTGGTTTTTGTCTTTGGCTCTGTTTATATGCTGGATTACATTTATTGATTTGAGTATATTGAACCAGCCTTGCATCCCAGGGATGAAGCCCACTTGATCATGGTGGATAAGCTTTTTGATGTGCTGCTGGATTCGTTTTGCCAGTATTTTATTGAGGATTTTTGCATCAATGTTCATCAAGGATATTGGTCTAAAATTCTCTTTTTTGGTTGTGTCTCTGCCCGGCTTTGGTATCAGAATGATGCTGGCCTCATAAAATGAGTTAGGGAGGATTCCCTCTTTTTCTATTGATTGGAATAGTTTCAGAAGGAATGGTACCAGTTCCTCCTTGTACCTCTGATAGAATTCGGCTGTGAATCCATCTGGTCCTGGACTCTTTTTGGTTGGTAAGCTATTGATTATTGCCACAATTTCAGCTCCTGTTATTGGTCTATTCAGAGATTCAACTTCTTCCTGGTTTAGTCTTGGGAGAGTGTATGTGTCCAGGAATTTATCTATTTCTTCTAGATTTTCTAGTTTATTTGCGTAGAGGTGTTTGTAGTATTCTCTGATGGTAGTTTGTATTTCTGTGGGATCAGTGGTGATATCCCTTTTATCATTTTTTATTGCGTCTATTTGATTCTTCTCTCTTTTTTTCTTTATTAGTCTTGCTAGTGGTCTATCAATTTTGTTGATCCTTTCAAAAAACCAGCTCCTGGATTCATTAATTTTTTGAAGGGTTTTTTGTGTCTCTATTTCCTTCAGTTCTGCTCTTAGTTATTTCTTGCCTTCTGCTAGCTTTTGAATGTGTTTGCTCTTGCTTTTCTAGTTCTTTTAATTGTGATGTTAGGGTGTCAATTTTGGATCTTTCCTGCTTTCTCTTGTGGGCATTTAGTGCTATAAATTTCCCTCTACACACTGCTTTGAATGCGTCCCAGAGATTCTGGTATGTTGTGTCTTTGTTCTCGTTGGTTTCAAAGAACATCTTTATTTCTGCCTTCATTTCGTTATGTACCCAGTAGTCATTCAGGAGCAGGTTGTTCAGTTTCCATGTAGTTGAGCGGTTTTGAGTGAGATTCTTAATCCTGAGTTCTAGTTTGATTGCACTGTGGTCTGAGAGATAGTTTGTTATAATTTCTGTTCTTTTACATTTGCTGAGGAGAGCTTTCCTTCCAAGTATGTGGTCAATCTTGGAATAGGTGTGGTGTGGTGCTGAAAAAAATGTATATTCTGTTGATTTGGGGTGGAGAGTTCTGTAGATGTCTATTAGATCCTCTTGGTGCAGAGCTGAGTTCAAGTCCTGGGTATCCTTGTTAACTTTCTGTCTCGTTGATCTGTCTAATGTTGACAGTGGGGTGTTAAAGTCTCCCATTATTAATGTGTGGGAGTCTAAGTCTCTTTGTACGTCACTCAGGACTTGCTTTATGAATCTGGGTGCTCCTGTATTGGGTGCATATATATTTAGGATAGTGAGCTCTTCTTGTTGAATTGATCCCTTTACCATTATGTAATGGCCTTCTTTGTCTCTTTTGATCTTTGTTGGTTTAAAGTCTGTTTTATCAGAGACTAGGATTGCAACCCCTGCCTTTTTTTGTTTTCCATTGGCTTGGTAGATCTTCCTCCATCCTTTTATTTTGAGCCTATGTGTGTCTCTGCATGTGAGATGGGTTTCCTGAATACAGCACACTGATGGGTCTTGACTCTTTATCCAATTTGCCAGTCTGTGTCTTTTAATTAGAGCATTTAGTCTATTTACATTTAAAGTTAATAGTGTTATGTGTGAATTTGATCCTGTCATTATGATGTTAGCTGGTTATTTTGCACGTTGGTTGATGCAGTTTCTTCCTAGTCTCGATGGTCTTTACATTTTGGCATGATTTTGCAGCGGCTGGTACCGGTTGTTCCTTTCCATGTTTAGCGCTTCCTTCAGGAGCTCTTTTAGGGCAGGCCTGGTGGTGACAAAATCTCTCAGCATTTGCTTGTCTGTAAAGTATTTTATTTCTCCTTCACTTATGAAGCTTAGTTTGGCTGGATATGAAATTCTGGGTTGAAAATTCTTTTCTTTAAGAATGTTGAATGTTGGCCCCCACTCTCTTCTGGCTTGTAGGGTTTCTGCCGAGAGATCCGCTGTTAGTCTGATGGGCTTCCCTTTGAGGGTAACCCGACCTTTCTCTCTGGCTGCCCTTAACATTTTTTCCTTCATTTCAACTTTGGTGAATCTGACAATTATGTGTCTTGGAGTTGCTCTTCTCGAGGAGTATCTTTGTGGCGTTCTCTGTATTTCCTGAATCTGAACGTTGGCCTGCCTTGCTAGATTGGGGAAGTTCTCCTGGATAATATCCTGCAGAGTGTTTTCCAACTTGGTTCCATTCTCCCCATCACTTTCAGGTACACCAATCAGACGTAGATTTGGTCTTTTCACATAGTCCCATATTTCTTGGAGGCTTTGCTCATTTCTTTTTATTCTTTTTTCTCTAAACTTCCCTTCTGGCTTCATTTCATTCATTTCATCTTCCATTGCTGATACCCTTTCTTCCAGTTGATCGCATCGGCTCCTGAGGCTTCTGCATTCTTCACGTAGTTCTCGAGCCTTGGTTTTCAGCTCCATCAGCTCCTTTAAGCACTTCTCTGTATTGGTTATTCTAGTTATACATTCTTCTAAACTTTTTTCAAAGTTTTCAACTTCTTTGCCTTTGGTTTGAATGTCCTCCCGTAGCTCAGAGTACTTTGATCGTCTGAAGCCTTCTTCTCTCAGCTCGTCAAAGTCATTCTCCATCCAGCTTTGTTCTGTTGCTGGTGAGGAACTGCGTTCCTTTGGAGGAGGAGAGGCGCTCTGCGTTTTAGAGTTTCCAGTTTTTCTGTTCTGTTTTTTCCCCATCTTTGTGGTTTTATCTACTTTTGGTCTTTGATGATGGTGATGTACAGATGGGTTTTTGGTGTGGATGTCCTTTCTGTTTGTTAGTTTTCCTTCTAACAGACAGGACCCTCAGCTGCAGGTCTGTTGGAATACCCTGCCGTGTGAGGTGTCAGTGTGCCCCTGCTGGGGGTTGCCTCCCAGTTAGGCTGCTCGGGGGTCAGGGACCCACTTGAGGAGGCAGTCTGCCCATTCTCAGATCTCCAGCTGCGTGCTGGGAGAACCACTGCTGTCTTCAAAGCTGTCAGACAGGGACATTTAAGTCTGCAGAGGTTACTGCTGTCTTTTTGTTTGTCTGTGCCCTGCCCCCAGAGGTGGAGCCTACAGAGGCAGGCAGGCCTCCTTGAGCTGTGGTGGGCTCCACCCAGTTCGAGCTTCCCGGCTGCTTTGTTTACCTAAGCAAGCCTGGGCAATGGAGGGCGCCCCTCCCCCAGCCTCACTGCTGCCTTGCAGTTTGATCTCAGACTGCTGTGCTAGCAATCAGAGAGACTCCGTGGGCGTAGGACCCTCCAAGCCAGGTGCAGGATATAATCTCGTGGTGCGCCGTTTTTTAAGCCGGTCGGAAAAGCACAATATTCGGGTGGGAGTGACCCGATTTTCCAGGTGCGTCCGTCACCCCTTTCTTTGACTCAGAAAGGGAACTCCCTGACCCCTTGCGCTTCCCAAGTGAGGCAATGCTCGCCCTGCTTCGGCTCGCACACGGTGCGCGCACCCACTGACCTGCGCCCACTGTCTGGCACTCCCTAGTGAGATGAACCCGGTACCTCAGATGGAAATGCAGAAATCACCCGTCTTCTGCGTCGCTCAGGCTGGGAGCTGTAGACCGGAGCTGTTCCTATTCGGCCATCTTGGCTCCTCCCCCAGTAAAGCTATTTTTAAAAAGAACAGTATAAGATGCATAAATTGGAAAATCCAGATGAATTGGTTGGTTTTTAAGAAAAGTATAACTAAAATAGACTCTAAAAAGATCTAGAAAATCTGAATATAGCAAAAAATATGAAATAAATTGAGAAGTTTATGAAGAACTTTGCCACCTGTATCCATCTTCTTCAAACTACACCATAGGAACAGAAAGTAGATCTATTTGCAAGTGATGTACTTCAAACCTGAGAGAATGTTTATGCAACTTAAATTGCTCTAGAGCATAGATAAAAAAGGAGAAGTTTTCAATTTATTTAATAAATTTTTTAAACCTAATACAAAAACTTGATGAAACAGCACAAAATGGAAAGCTACCGAATAATATGCTAGTGAATAAGCCATCAATAAAACATTAGCAAATCAAGAGCATTCGTATGTGAAAACAATAATACGCTCTATAAAAATAGGGCCCATTCCAGAAATGCAAGGTAAGTTTGAGGAACTAAGAAAAACAGGTAGAGATTAATTAACTTTGGACATTTGCTTCCTCACCCCTCCCTCTCCAAGTCCTCAGGGAAGGTGACTTATATTGGGTGGGGTGGGTTGGGGATGGGGAACCTTCTCACAGTGCTCCTTCTTTCTGGGATCCAAAGGGTGTATGAAGCCCAGTCCCAAAGAGTTATTTTGTGGGGTGACTAATGGTTGAGATGAGTTTCTGTTTGTAGCCTCTTCACCCTAGGATTCTTCCATCTCCTCAGCTCACTGGAACTCACATAGACAGGGGTCTGGCCTTTTCCTAGTTGTATTAACTAACACAGAAGGCAATATTCCCAGGGAAAAAATGAGTTCAGGTTAAAATAAGACAGATTAGACTCACAGTATTTCAAACAAAAAATAACGCACAACCAGAGTACAGATTTCTTCAGAGAAGGAAATATTAAAATAGACAAACCGCCAATGTAAAACTAGAGTAATAAGCTAAAAGTGATAAGAGAATATATTAATTAGCAGGGTCAACTGAAGAATAATGAGGTTCATAAATTTGAAAGGAAAGTTTTATTTCTCATAAATAGTTACAGCCTGAAGGGAGGCCATTCCCACAGACTGGAAAGTGTAGCCTCTGGTCAGAAGCCAGAAACAAGCACTTCAAGGGTCAGAAGAATAAGACAGAGATTTATGCTGAATGGGGTGGCAAATATATATATATTCAACAGGCTCTAGGAGGAGTCATGAATATTTATGAGTAGAGAAACCTGCACATGGGCCATTAAGCTTCATGCCCCTTCATGGATCACATGTACAAAAAATGGTGGCATTAGCATGCTCCCAGGGTAGTTTTCAGCCTCTGATGTCAAAAGATGAAGCAGAGGACATGAAAACCCTCACTGTGCATTCTCTGTAGACTGGCCAGAACCACTCAGTGGTCTGTGGTCTCTTAGGAAGGAATGCTGGTCAGTTGCGTCAAACTGCAAAAAGGGAGGGGCAGCATCAGTCGGTTGGTTGATATCAGTAGTGAAGTGAATATTTTAAAAGGGCTGGTTTCTGTTTGTTTAAACATTAGAGGAAAAAACATAATGGCAGTTAGCAAGGGAAGAGGGTATAACAAAGCCTGTCCAACCGCCCATCCCATCATTGTCAGGAACTCAGGTTTCCCTGGGGTCCCCTTGGCCAAGAGCAGGGTCTGTTTAGTCAGTTGTGGGGGGGCTTCAAATTTTATTTTTATTTCTCAGCTGTATCTAATATCTTAGAAGAAGAACAAGAAAACACAAAGGTGAAGTAGAAATATTAGGTATGAAAAACATAGTAGTTAAAATAAAGAATTGGGCCAGGCGTGGTGGCTCATGCCTGTAATCCCAGAACTTTGGGAGGCTGAGGTGGGAGGATTGCTTGAGCCCAGGAGTTAGAGACCAGCCTGGGCAACACAGCAAGACCCCATCTCTACTAAAAATATAAAAATTAGCCAGGTGTGGTGGTACATGCCTGTAATCCCAGCTACTCAAGAGTTGAAGCAGGAGAATTTGGTTGAACCCAGGAGGCGGAGGTTGCAGTGAGCTGAGATCACACCACTGCACTCCAGCCTGGGCAAAAGAGTGAGACTCAAAAAAAACAAAAGAAAAGAGTAGTTAGGATAAGTAGTAGATTGGACCTACCTGGGGGGATAAATTAGTAATTTGGAAGGCCAGATTGAAATCATCTCCCTTAGAAAAGAAGAAAAGGACAAATAAATAGAAAATATATTCTTTAAAAAGCAAAGACATGTGGAAGAGAAAAGTAGAAGTGCTAATATTTAGATAATAGGCGATATGGTTTGGCTCCGTGATCCCACTCAAATTTCATCTCAAACTGTAATCTCCATATGTCAAGGGAGGAACTGGTGGGAGGTGATTGGATCATGGAAGTGGTTTCCTAGTGCTGTTCTTGTAATAGTGAGGGACTTCTCACAAGATCTGATTGTTTAAAAGTGGCTGTTTCCCCTGCTCTCTCTCTTTCCCACCACCATGTAAGACACGCCTTGCTTTCCTTTCCACCATGATTGTAAGTTTTCTGAGGCCTCCCCAGCCATGCAGAATTGTGAGACAATTAAACCTTCTTTTCTTTATAAATTACTCAGTCTCAGATAGTTCTTTATAGCAGTGTGAAAATGGACTAATACAATAGGAGACCCAGAAAGAGAGAAACATAAAAAATGTGGAGGAGGGTATATTTGAAGAAATAATGGTGATAAATTTCCCAAAGTTAAGTAGAAGGGAAGGGGGAGGAGGAGGAATGGAAGGAGGAAGAGAAGAAGAAGACTTTAGATTGAAAGAAGCTGCAGAGAATAGGTAGAGAAAACTAAATGGGAACGTGAAATTTAAGACTAGCAAAGTCTAAGAGAAAATTTTAAAAGTTTTCAGAGAAAGAGTAGTTCTCACACAAAGGAACAAAAATCAGATTGACTTTCAGAGAGTTTTCAAACAAGCACTGGATACAGGGAGTCATAAGAATATTATTTTTAAAATATTAGAAGTAAAGAAGTTAGACACTAGAATTTTATATCAAATCAAAACATCAGGTTGGGTGTGGTGGCTCATGCCTGTAATCCTAGCACTTTGGGAGGCTGAGACAGGCGGATCACATAAACTCAGGAGTTTGAGACCAGCTTGGGCAACATGGTGAAACCCTGTCGCTACAAAAAATACACAAAAGAAAAAAAATAGCCAGTCGTGGTGTCACACATCTGTAGTCGCAGGTACTCGGGAGGCTGAGGTGGGAGGATGGCTTGAGTCTGGGAGGCAGAAGTTGCAGTGAGCTGAGATTGTGCCACTGCACTTCAGCCTGGGTAACAGAGCCAGACCCTGTCTCAAGGAAAAACAAAAAACATCATTTAAATATGAGGGCATAATAAAAATATTCTTAATCCCAGAAAGTTTCATAAGGTTTGTCATAGAAAGATCCACACTAAAAGCTATTTTGAATGAAGGGTATAAAGAGAAAATGCAAACCCAAAATTTGGCTACCATATCGGATGGCACAAATCTAGGCCCTTGCTATGCAAAATGTGGTGTTTGAACCAGCACCAGTGTCGCTACTACCTAGGAGCTTGTTATAAATGCAAAGTCTTAGGCCCCATCTCAGAATCATGCAGAATCAGTATCTGCCTTTTAAGAAGGGCTATACATCCTTTGAGAATTTGAGAAGCCATGGTATAGATGATATCAACATGACTGAGGCTGGAACGTAAGGAAGACTAAAGGAATGTGAAAGTGTGCTAAAATTCTTGTCAAATTAGAGAGGAAATAAAGGATTGAAAAGCAACATCTAAAAATAGGACAACCGAAAATTTGAGACAATAGAAACTAGTCCAAATATATATAAATAATTAGAATTAATGTGAATGAATTTGACTTACAAGGTAAAATGCAAAGATTGACAGATTAGACTTTAAAATATAAATTTATGCTATTTACAAGGCACATTTAAAGCTAAGTACCAGGACAAATTAAAAGTAAAAGGAAGGAAAAAGTTATATCATCAAATACTAATACTAATAGAGAACCCAGTCCAGCCCAGACATGTGTGGAATTTAGGTACAAGAAGGAGGTGTCATGTCAGATCAGCAAAGATGTTAACATAACTAGAAAATAATGGTTATTCATATAGAAGATGACAAGATTGGAATCCTCTTTTTTACCACATACAGAAATCAACTCAAGATAGATTGTGAACTTACGCATTAATATCCCAAATTTAAAACTCCAGGTACAAAAATGTTTTTGAAAAAAGACACAAAAAGTTTTTCTTGTAAAGGAAAAGATCAATAGATTTGTCTATATTAAAATTAAGAATCTTAGTTGCCTAAAAGACATATAAAAGAAAGTATACAAATAAGCCAGCATAACAACCAGCTAACAACGCAATGACAGAAGAAAATCCACACTTATCAATACTAACCTTGAATGTAAATGGGCTAAGTGCCCCATTTAAAAGGCACAGAGTGACGACCTGGATAAAAAAGCGAGACCCAATGGTATGGTGTCTTCAAGAGACCCATCTCACATGTAATGACACCCATAGACTCAAAATAAAGGGATGGGGGAAAATCTACCAACCAAATGAAAATCAGAAAAAAGCAGGGGTTGCAACCATGATTTCAGATGAAACAAACTTAAACAAAGATCAAAAAATGACAAAGAAGGGCATTATATAACGGTAAAGAGTTCAATTCAATGAGAAGATCTAACTATCCTAAATATATATGCACCTAACACAGGAGCACCCAGATTCCTACAGCAAGTTCTTAGAGATTTACAAAGAGATTTAGACTCCCACACAATAATAGTAGGAGACTTCAACATTCCCCTGTCAGTATTAAACATACCACTGAGGCAAAAAATTAATAAAGACATTCAGAGCCTGAACTCAACATTGGACTAAATGGATCTGATAGACCTCCACAGAACTCTCCACCCAAAACAACAGAATACACATTCTTCTGATTACCACATGGCACATACTCCAAAATTGACCAATCAGATATAAAACAATCCTCAGCAAATGCCAAAGAACCAAAATTGTGCCAAATACACTCTCAGACCACAGCACCCTAAAAATAGAAGTCGAGATTTTAAAATTTGTTCAAAACCATGCAATTACATGGAAATTAAACAACATGCTCCTAAATGATTTTTGGGTAATAATGAAATTAGGGCTAAAGTCGAGAATTTCTTTGAAATTAATGAGAACAAAGTTATAACATACTAGAATCTCTGGGCAATAGCTAAGGCGGTGTTAAGAGGGAAATTCAAAGCACTAAACACCTGTGTAAAAAAGCTGGAAATATCTCAAATTAACAACCTAACATTACAACAAAAATAATTAGAGAAACAAGAGCAAGCCAAACCCAAAAGCTAGCAGAAGACAAGAAATAACCAAAATCAGAGGTGAACTGAAGGAAATTGAGACACGAAAAACCATTCAAAAGATCAACAAATCCAGAAGTTGGTCTTTTTGAAAAAATTAATAAGATAGATAGTCTGCTAGCTAGACTAATAAAGAAGAAAAGAGAGATGATCCAAATAAACACAATTAGAAATGACAAAGAAGATGTTACCACTGACACAAAAGGAATACAAATAACCATCAGAAACTACTATGAACCCCTCTGTGCACAAAAACTAGAAAACCGAAAAGAGATGGATAAATACCTGGACACATACATACACTCTCCCAAGACTGAACCAGGAAGAAATTGATTCCCTGAGCAGACAATAACAAGCTTCAAATTTGAATCAGTAATAAATAGCCTACCAACCAAAAAAAGCCCAGGACCAGATGAATTCACAGCCAAATTCTACCAGATGTACAAAGAAAAGCTGGTAGCATTCCTACTGAATCTATTCCAAAAAATTGAGGAGGAGGGACTCCAACTCATTCTATGAGGTCAGCATTGTCCTGACACCAAAACGTGGCAGAGACACAACAACAACAACAACAAAAACTTCAGGCCAATATTCTTGATGAACATTGGCCTCTTGATGCTGAAATCCTGAAGAAAATACTTGCAAACTGAATCAAGCAGCATGTCAGAAAGCTAATCCACCATGATCAAGTGCCTTCATTCCCAGGACGCAAGGTTGGTTCAACATATGCAAATCAATAAATGTGATTAATCACATAAACAGAAGTAAAGACAAAAACCACACAATTATCTCAATGGATGCAGAAAAGGCTTTCAATAAAATTCAAAATCCTTTCATATTAAAAACTCTCAATAAGCTAGGTATAGAAGAAACATACCTCAAAATAATCAGAACCATCTATGACAAAACCACAACCAACATCATACTGAATGGGCAAAAGCTGGGAGGGTTCCCCTTGAAAACTGGCACAAGACAACATGCCCCCTCTCACCACTCCTATTCAACATTGTATTGGAAGTCCTGGCTAGAGCAGTCAGGCAAGATAAAGAAATAAAGCACATCCAAATGGGAATAGAGGAAGTGAAACTATCTGTGTTTGCAGACAACATGATTCTTTACCTAGAAAAGCCTTAGTCTTGGCTGAAAATCTCCTTCAGCTGATACACAACTTCAGCAAAGCTTCAGGATAAAAAATCAATGTACAAAAATCATTAGCATTCCCATACACCAACAACAGCCAACCGAGAGCCAAATCAGGAATACAATCTCATTCACAATTATCACAAAAAGAATGAAATACCTGGGAATAAGCTAACCAGGAGGTGAAAAATCTCTACAGTGAGAATTACAAAACACTGCTCAAAGAAATCATACATGACACAAACAAATGGAAAAACATTCCATGCTCATGGATAGGAAGCAGTTTACAGATTCAATGGTATTCCTATCAAACTACCAATGACATTCTTCACAGAACTAGAAAAAACTGTTTTAAAATTCATATGGAACCAAAAAAGAACTTGAATAGCCAAGGCAATCCTAAGCAAAACAAACGAAGCTGGAGGCTCACATTACCCGACTTCAAACTATACTACAGGCCAAAAGTAACCAAAATAGCATGGTACTGGTACAAAACAAGACACATAAACCAATGGAAAAGAATAGAGAGCCCAGAAATAAGGCAGCACACCTACAACCATCTGATCTTTGACAAACGTGACAAAAACAAGCGATGTGGAAAGGATTCTCTATTCGATAAATGGTGCTGTGATAACTGGCTAGCTATATGCAGAAGATTTAAACTGTACCCCTTTCTTACACCACATATAAAAATAAACTCAAGATGGATTAAAGACTTAAATGTAAAACCCAAAACTATAAAAACTCTGGTAAACAACCTTGGAAACGCCATTCTGGACATAGGATCTGGTGAAGATTTCATGATGAAGACTCCAAAAGCAATCACAACAAGAGCAAAAATTGACAGATGGGATTTAATTAAACTAAACAGCTTCTGCACAGCAAAGGAAACTATCAACAGAGTAAACAGGCAACCTACAGGATGGGAGAAAATATTTGCAAACTATACATTTGACAAAAGTCTAATTTCCAGCATCTATATGGAAATTAAACAAATTTACAAGCAAAACTGGAAAAACTCCATTAAAAAGTGAGCAAAGGACGTGAACAGACACTTTTCAAAAGACATACATGTGGCCAACAGGTATGTGAAAAAAAGCTCAACATCACTAATCATTAGAGAAATGCAAATCAAAACCACAATAAGATACCATCTCACACAAGTCAGAATGGCTATTATTAAGAACCAACCCAAATCTCCATCAATGATAGACTGGATTAAGAAAATGTGGCACATATACACCATGGAATACTAGGCAGCCATAAAAAATGATGAGTTCATGTCCTTGTAGGGACATAGATGAAGCTGGAAACCATCATTCTCAGCAAACTATCGCAAGGACAAAAAACCAAACACCGCATGTTCTCACTAATAGGTGGGAATTGAACAATGAGAACACTTGGACACAGGAAGGGGAATATCACACACCGGGGCCTGTTGGGGGGTGGGGGGAGGGGAGAAGGGATAGCATTAGGAGATATACCTAATGTAAATGACGAGTTAATGGGTGCAGCACACCAACATGGCACATGTATGCCTATGTAACAAACCTGCACGTTGTGCACATGTACCCTAGAACTTGAAGTATAAAAAAAAAAAACAGAAGTCCAGAAATAACAGATGCTGGCAAAGTTGCAGAGAAAAGGGAATGCTTGTATACTGTGGGTGGGAGTGTAAATTAGTTCAACCATGTAGAAAGCAGTGTGGTGATTCCTCAAAGAGCTAGAAACAGAACTACCATTCAACCCAGCAATCCCATTACTGGGTATAGACCCACAGGAATATAAATTATTCTGCCATAAGGACACATGTACATGAATGTTCATTGCAGCACTATTCACAATAGCAAATACATGAAATCAACCTAAATTCTCATCAGTGACAGATTGAGAAAATGTGGTACATATACACTATGGAATACTATGCAGCCATAAAAAAGAATTAGATCATGGCTGGGCGCGGTGGCTCACACCTGTAATCCCAGCACTTTGGGAGGCCGAGGCAGGTGGATCACGAGGTCAGGAGATTGAGACCATCTTGGCTAACACGGTGAAACCCCATCTCTACTAAAAATACAAAAAATTAGCCAGGTGTGGTGGTGGGCACCTTCAGTCCCAGCTACTCGGGAGGCTGAGGCAGGAGAATGACGTGAACCCGGGAGGCGGAGCTTGCAGTAAGCCAAGATAGCGCCACTGCAGTCCGGCCTGGGTGAAAGAGCGAGACACCATCTCAAAAAAAAAAAAAAAAAAAAAAAATTAGATCATGTCTTTTGTGGGAACATAGGTGGAACTGGAGGCCATTATCCTTAGCAGACTAATGCAGGAGCAGAAAACCAAATACCACATATTCTTACTTATAAGAACAAACTAAATGATGAGAATTCATGAACACAATGAGGGGAACAACAGACACTGAGGCATAGCGAAGGGTGGAGTGTGGGATGAGGGAGAGGATCAGAAAAAAATAACTACTGGGTACTAAACCTAGCGCCTGGGTGATGAAATAATCTGTACAACAAATCTCAGTGACACAAGTTTACCTACGTAACAGACCTGTACATGTATCCCTGAACCTAAAATAAAAATTAAAATAAATAAATAAAAAGAAAGTATACAAAGTAGAAACTGAGAGAAGGTATTTGCAGTAGCTACAGATAATGGATTTGCATTAAGAATATATAAAGAACTCCTATAGATTAATAAGAAAAGCACATACAACCCAATAGAAAATTTCCTGAAACTGTGAACAGACATTTCACATAAGAGGAAACATATCATCCATAAATAGATGAAGAGATGCTCAGCATCATTAGTGATCAGAAAATGCAAATTAAGACCACAATGGGATGTTTTTTAATATACATCCAGTTGGCAAAAATGAGAAAATCTGACAACACCAAAAGTTGAAGAGGATATGCAACCAAAGGACCTCTTTCTCATAATCTTGCTGGTGGGGATTTAAATAGATACAACTAATGTGGAGAACAGTTTGGTACTACCTCCTAAAGTTTATCCTACCTTTTGAGCTAATCCTACACATATACTCAAGAGAAACTTGCACACGTACAACAGAGGAAACAGGCATAAGAATGTTCATAGCAGTGTTCCAAATATCAAAAATCTGGCAATTTAAATGCCCATCAGTGGAAGAGTGGATGAATAAATTGTTATAAATTCATATGATAAAATATTACATAGTAGTCAAAACAAATGAACTAAAATGATATACAACAATATGGATGAATCATAGTAATATAATATTAAGTGAAAAATGTAAGTCCCAAAAGATTCAGCATGATACCACTTTTATGAAGTTAAAATAAAAAATGTATATTTTAATGAATATATAGATGCAGAAAAACTATACAAAAAGAAAATATTTAAGTGATGAATACAGGGATGATGGATGATGATTCATTTGAGTTGGGACAGGCAGGGAAATGGGATGGAGGGAGATCATATATTTAGATGTAGGTTATTGTCAAGGCCCAAGCCTCTGTTTTGGGTGATGGTTTCATAGATGCTTATGTAATCATTAAAGCTAACTAACTAACTAAAACTATCCATTTCAATTACTTATTGCTGTATAACAAGCCATCCCAAGCCAAATGACTTAAAATAACCTTTGTTATTATACCTTATGATTCTCTGGAGTTGAGATAGGGCACAGAGAGGCTTATCTTGTTCCACATAGCTGGGGTCTCAGTTTGGATGAGTCCAACAGCTGGGGCTGAAACAGCTTGGGATTGGTCAGGTGTTGCTCCCTTTCTCTCCATGGGGCTAGCTTAGGCTTCCTCACAACACGGCGGCCTCAGGGTAGTTGGACCTCTTACATGGTGGCTCAGGACTCCAAGAGTGACTGCACTGAGAGGCCCAGGTAGAAGCTGCAAGTCTTCTTATGACCTAGTCTCAGAAATCAAGGCAAGAGGAGGAATAGACTCTACCTCTCAAAGGATGAAAAACATGTGATACAAGAAAGGGAAGAATTGATGGCACCTGACTTGAAGACAAGCTACCACATGGCCTACTTAACTAAATAAATGAATGCATAAAAGCAGGTCACATGTGGACCAATGAGAATGAGTCATAAACCAATGGTTATGATTAATTCAATTCTCTACATCTGAGTTCCATTGAAAGAATGAAAATACAATTCTAAGAAACAATTTCTTGAGTACTATTATGTTAAAACATAAAATTTTAGTTTTTGTAGGTCAAAAGGTCAAATATAAGCAGTTTTATGCAATTCAACCCAATAGCAATAATTAGAGATATAACATTTAATTTAATTTCTATGTGAGAAAACTATATCATAAATAGATAAGTTATCTTCAAATTAATCTGTTGGTTGTACATAATTTCCACAAATTCTGAATGATTTTTTCAACCTGCCAGAAACATTCTGTTTATGTAAAGATTCAATATAAAAGAAGAGTCAACAAAATTATGGAAAAGCAAAGTAATGAAAAGATACTTACCCTTCCAGATAATAAGATATACAGAATTTTAAAACTATAAAAATAAAAAGAGTATGGCACCAACATCAGAACACACAAATGTAAAAGTGGAATTAAATAGAAAGTCCAAACAAAGACAAGTGTTTATAAGGGTTTAGTATAAGGTAAAGATAAGATTTCATTGAAGTAGGGAAAGAGTGGGCTGTCTGGTAAATGGCACATGCATAGTTGGATTCTTTTAAAGCAAAAATATGGTTGGATTCTCTTCCTTATTTTTTACAAAAAATACATTTCAAATAGGAATCCTTTCTACTCTTGACACTAGAACAAAGCAGTAAAGTAAGATGCTGATAAGTTTGACTACATAAAAAGCATAAATTCATACTGTGGAAAATATTATGATGAAAAAAGTAAAAGAAAAAAGTATCAAAGTGGAATTTTTTTGCAATAAAAATATAGGAGTCAATCTTCTCTATACAAAGTGCTCTTAAAAATCACTAAGAAATGTATAGCTTAATTGTAAGAACTGGAAAATTACATGAGTAGGCAACTCACAAAACTAACAGCTAACAAATAAATACATTGATATTCAGTAGTAAAAATAAATGCAAAATGAGATATATTTTTTCTCCTTAGCAGATTTGCAAAGCTTAACAGGAATATTATTGCACAATGCTTATTGGGATATAGAGAAATCTGCACTTTCATAACTTACTGATTCAAGTATAAATTAGTACAAACTTCCTAGAGGACTATTTGACCATCTCTATCAAGAGTCTTAAAATTGTGCAAGCCCTCTGACACCAGCAGTTCCATTTCTGGGAAGGAATGTAGCCTACGCAGATAATTGGAGAGTTAAACATGATAGATTGAATATGTGGATTTCTCTCTGCCCTCTCCTAAAATCCCACTCGACTGACTAAAGTTAAAAGAGAAGTGTAAAATAACAAGGAGACGACAATGGAATAAAGTTGTCAACACAGCTTCGGAAGTTGAAAAATGGAAGCCTTAGCGGAGAACGGCAAATCGAACACATGTATTTAATTTTGCTCTTTTCCAAAATCTTTCTAAAGCTACAGTAAAGGGATTGTTTTAAAAGGCCTGAATCCACAGCGTGGGGAGCAACCCATTTCTGTTAGCTGGAAAGCCAATAGAAGAGTGGTAATTTACTTGACAAATCTTACAACCCTGGGAACTCACCTGGATTGTATCACAAGACCTTCAAAAGACCTGGGAATTGAAACCTCTGGAAGGAGGTGATGGAAGGAATGTGTGTTGTGTGAACTAAAAAGTATCTGAGATAGGCCTCAATCAATTTAGAAAGTTTATTTTGCCAAGGTTAAGGACACATGCCTGGCAAGCAGGTCTATGCCTTCTCCAAAGATGATTTTGAAAGCTTTAATATTTAAAGGGCAAAGAGGGAATAATGGGTAAAGAGGAAGAAATTTTTAAGAGGTGTGGATAGGTAAGAGACAAACAGTTGCATTCTTTTGAGTCTAATCAGTCTTTCACTGAATACACAATTTACATGTGGGGCGGGGGCTGGGTAGAGGAACACTTATGTCTAGTTCAGAGAATCTGCATTTTTACATTAGAGGAAGCAATCAGATATGCATTTGTCTCAGGCGAGCAGAGGGATGACTTAGTGTTCTGTCCTTTGTCCTGCACCTGTGAAGATAAGCTATCCATTTACATCTTGGGGCCCACAGGATTTTCCTAGTTGGCAAATTGTAAGGGAGGTATGTAACTTAAAAAAAAAATCTTTGTAGCTATCTTATTTAGGAATAAATAGGAGGCAGGTTTGCCTGACACAGTTCCCAGCTTGACTTTTCCCTTTGGCTTAGTGATTTTGAGGTCCTGAGATTTATTTTTCTTTCACAGTTGCTAACATAGAAAGACTTCTCTGAAAGCTGTTTAAGAGGCAGTTAAAAAAAAAGGGAATTAACTCTCTGAGACCCTTCTCCAAATCTGTGCCACTGAGTGCCTGCCCCGCCCCTACCCTGGCAGATCGTGAGGTCTGTTGTCTGAAGAGGGCTGTTGGCATTCCTTGACTTGTGGCCATATCATGCCACACTCTGCCTTTGTGGCCACATTGCCTCCTCCTCTGCTGGGTGTGTAATCTCCCTCTGTGTTATAAGGAGAGTTGTGATGGCATTTAGGGCCTGCCCAGATAATCCAGAATAATCCCCTCATCTCAAAGTCTTGAATGTAATCTCATCTGCAAAGACCCTTTTACCAAATAAGTTAATGTAAATTTACAGGGATTAAGCTACAAATGTCTTTTGGGGAACCATTTGTAAACACCAACCTTACATTTCTGGGATGAACCCCATTTGGTTTTGCTGTATTACCCTTTTTAGAGATGCATTGCTGGATTCAAGTGACTAAATAAAGGATTTTTTTTAGGTTTAATATAATGAATAACGACATTGGTTTGAGATTTTTTTGTAGTCTTTGTTAGGTTTATTTTTTATTTTGTTTATCTATTTATTTTGTCTTGAGGACATAATCCCAGGGAATCTTTGGTAGGTTTAGAGACCATGGTCGTGGTGTCAATTCCTACTTCATGTATTTTGAAGAACTAGTTATTTGTTTCGTGATATCTATTGTTTTTTCTGTTCCCTTTTAAAAATTAATTTATACTCTTTATTATTTCCTTTTGTTTTCTTATTTAGGGTTTAACTTGAAATTTTTTTTTAGTTTCTTAGGTGGACGTTTAAACTATTAATTTATAATCTTTTCCTCCTAATATATAAGCACTTCATGCTACAAATTTCCGTCAGAGCACTGCTTTATCTGTAATCCACCCACTTTGGTTGATTGTGCTTTCACTTTCATTCAATTCAAAATATGGTTTTACTTCAATTGTGAATTCTTTGAAGTATGGAAGGCTGGGTTATTTAGAAATGTGTTGTTTAGTTTCCAAATATTTGCAGATTTCCCAGAAATCTTTGTGTTATTTATGTCTAGTTTAATTCTGTTGTGTAAGGAAATTTTGCATGATTTCAATACTCTTAAATTTAGGCAGATTCGTTTTATGACACGGAATATAATCTGTTTTGGTCAATGTTCCATAAACACTTGAAAAGAATGTGTCTTTTGCTATAGTTGGATGGTGTAATCTGTAGATGTCAATTAAGTCAAGTTGGTTGATAGTGTTGTTCAAGTCTTCTGTATTCTTTTTTTTTTTTTTTTTTTAAGAGAGAGGGTCTTGCTCTGTCACTCAGGCTAGTGTACAGTAGTGTGATCATAGCTCACTGCAGCTTGTTCTCCTGGGCTCAAGCCATCCTCCCACCTCAGCCTCTCAAGTAGTTGGGATTAAAGGTGCACACCACCATGCCCGGCTAATTTTTAAATTTTTTGTAGAAATGGGGTCTTGCTATGTTGCCCAAGCTGGTCTCAAATTTGTGGACTCAAGTGATCCTCCTGCCTTGGCCTCCCAAAGTGCTGAGATTAAACACATGAGCCACCGCACCTAGCCCAGTCTTCTATATTGTTATTAATTTTCTGTCTACCTGTTCTATCAATTACTGGAAGAGGAATGTTGAAATCTCCAATTGTAATCATAAATGTATCTATTTCTTTGTTCTATTGTATGTTTTTACTTCATATATTTTGAATCTCTTCTAATAGTTGCATATGCATTTAGGATTGTGATGTCCTCTTGATGAATTTACCCCTTTATTCTGTCTTTATCACTGATAATATTGGGTCTACTATATATTAAAATAGCCTCTCCAGCTGTTTTATGAATAGTATTTGCATGACATATCTTTTTCATTGTTTTACTTTTAACCTGTGTTTTTATATTAAAAGTGAGTATCTTCTAGAGAATATATAATTGGTCTTGCTTAAAAAAATCTAATAAAAGTCTCTGCCTTTTAATTTCTGTGCTTAAGCCACTTATATTTAATAAAAATTCCAATATTTTTCAACTTAAACCTACCATCTTGCTATTTGTTGTCTTTTTATTTAATCTACTCTTTGTCCCCCCTTTTCCCTTTCCTTCATTCTTTTGAATAATTTTTTAAAATTCCATTTTACCTCCACTATTGGCTTATTAGCTCTATGACTTTGTTTTATGTTTTAATTATTGTCTGTGGTTTACTATAAACATCTTTAACTTATCATAGTGTAATTTAAACTGTCACATCACATATAGTTATACAAACCTTAAAATAGTATATTTCCGTTTCCTTCATCCTTTGTGCTATTTTTATACATTTCCTTCACATATGGGTAAACTGCAAAACACATTGTTATTATTTTTATGTTAAACAGTATGCTATCTTCTCAAGAGATTAAAATGTGATTTTTATCCTTTGTAGTGCTCTTTATTCTTTTTGTGGATCCATTTTTCAATCTGGTATTATTTTTTTTCTGCCCATGACATTCCTTTAACTTTTCTTTTCTTTTCCTTTTTTTTTTTTTTTTTTTTTTTTTTTTTTTTTTTTTGAGATGGAGTCTAGCTCTGTCGCCCAGCCTGCAGTGCAGTGGTGCAATCTCAGCTCACTGCAAGCTCTGCCTCCCGGGTTCACGCAGTTCTCCTGCCTCAGCCTCCGGTGTAGATGGGATTACAGGTGCCAGCCACCACACCCAGAGCTAATTGTATTTTTAGTAGAGAGGGGGTTTCACCGTGTTAGCCAGGATGGTCTCGATCTCCTGACCTCGTGATCCACCTGCCTCAGCCTCCCAAAGTGCTGGGATTACAGGTGTGAGCCACCGCACCTGGCCTCTTTTCTTTTTCTTTTCTTTCCTTTTTTTTTTTTTTTTTTTGACCGTGTCTCACTCTTTCAGCCAGACTGGAGTGCAGTAGTCCAATCATGGCTCACTGTAAACTTGAATTCCTTGGTTCAAGCAATCCTCCCACCTCAGTCTCCCAAGGAGCTGAGACTACAAGTGCGTGCCACTATGCCCAGCTAAATTTTTAATTTTTTTGTACAGATGGAGTCTCACTGTGTTGCTCATGCTAGTCTGAAACTCCTGGGCTTAAGCAATCTTCCTGCCCTGGCCTCACAAAGTGTTGGGATTACAGGCGTGAGCCATTGTGCCCGGCCACTTTAACTTTACTTATAGGCAGGTCTGCTGACAATGAATCCTCTCGAATTTTGTCTAAAAATTTTATTTTATTTAAATTTTGAAAACAATACTTATCTGGGTAAAAAATCTAGGTTGACAGATTTTTTTTTTCTTACTTGATGATGTCTCTCCTTTGTCTTCTGTCTCACATACCTTCTGACCAGGAGCCAGTAAGCTGGTAAAATAATAGGCACATTTGGCTTTTCTTCTCTCAGTTGGTCAAGTTCTGTGCTGCTTGCTATCCAATGCTTTGTATATTTGTCTGGTTTTCTGATTGTGTAAGGTGAAAGGGTAAATCTTGTCATCGTTACTCCATGTTGGCTAGAAGCTGAGCTCTACTGCTCTGATCATTTTTAAGTTTCTATTATGGTTTCTTTTTTTGAACCATTATTTAGAAATGTGTGTCTACAATAATTATATTTTTGTTATTGAGTTCTAATTCAACTGCACTGTAATTAGAGATTGTAGTTTGAAATGATAGCAGTTCTTTGAATTGCGTTAAGGCTTACTTCATGTTCTGGTATGTTGTCAGTTTTTGTAAATCACTCATGTGTGCTTAAGGAGTATATGTATTTTCTGATTGAGGAATGCTGAGATCTAGAAATAGCCATTAAATCAAGCTTCTTCAGTGTATCTTTCAAATCCTATACATCTTTATTGATTTTTATTCCCTTTCAGCCATAAGTAATTGAGTGAGTTGTGTTGAAATTGCTGACTCTTATAGCGGATTTTTCCATTCCTCCCTGGGTCTATCATTTATTCTAATAGGTGCCAACAAGTTTGTAATTATTTTATCTTGCCAGTACATTAAACTTTTTCTCATTAAGTTGTGACTCTTTTTATCCTTAATAATGCTTTTCATCTCAACGTTTATTTTATCTTTTATTGATGTAGCTCCCTAGCTATTTTTATTTGTAAGTATTTACTTACAACATCTTTTTTTATCCTTTAACTTTCAATCTTTCTCTGTCTTCATGCATTATGTGTGTCATTTTACAACACCACATAGATAAATTTTTAAAAAGTTGACTCTGATCATATCCATCATTTAACAGTAGTGATTTGACTGTAGTGATTATTGACATCTTTAAACCTTGTGCTTTCTGTTTTCCCTGTGCTTATTTTTCTCAAATTGAGTTTTGTGGTTGATTTCTTCATTTTTCTACCACATGCTAACATTGGCGTTTTCCCTCAGGGTCACTATTTCTTTCATATTTATTTATGTTTTGCCTCTTCTAGTTTCCTTTTATTTTTTCGGGGTTTTTTTTTTTTCTGATTGTTTTTGTTTGCTCTTAGATTTTTTTTTAACCTAGAGGTAGATTTTGTTTTATTTTTAAATCCCTAGAAATTACGATTCAGTATGTACTAAGGATAGGGTAAATAGGATTTTGCAGTAATACAAGACAAAATAAAATCTCTTAGCTAATTCTGCCGCATAATCCCAACTAGAAGCTATTCATTCTGAGGAATTCTTTATTGATAAATCATAGAAAGAAAAGTAATTATGATCCTCATCGATTAACATATGAAGCTACTAATAAAGATGTTTTGAAGTTTTCAGCTGAATGACTTGGCAGACAAGGTAAATTCAAAGACAAATTAAAGAACACTAGCTCTTTGCTTTATCTACAGTCTTTTATTGTGAGTTATTTTTAAGTCTATGCCTGGATTGGAAGATTTAATATTGTTAAGATATCAATACTAGTGAAAGCAATCTACAGATTTGATGCAACTCTTCTCAAAATTCTAATAACATTTTTTGCAGAAATAGAAATATCTATTCTAAAATTTATATGGAATCCCAAGGGATCCTGAGTAGCCAAAACAATTTTGAAAAAGAACAAGTTGAAGGTCTCACACTTACTGATTTCAAAACTTCTCACAAAGCTTCAGTAATAAAAACAGTGTGGTATTGGCATAAAGACAGACATATATACCAACAAAATAGAACAGAGAGCCCAGAAAAAAAAACCCTTGGATACATAGTCAAATGCTTTTCAACAAAGAGCCAACTCTATTCAATGGGGGAAAGGACAGTGTTTTCAACAAATGATGCTGGGAAAACTGGATATCTTTACACAAAAATAAATGAAGATGGATTCCTATCTTACACTGTATATACCAATTAATTCAAAATAGGTTACAGACCTAAACATTATAGTGAGAACTATAGAACTCTTAGAAAAAAAAAAAAACAGTATAAAAGCTACATGACTTTCAACTTGGCAGTGCTTGTTTGCATATGACACCAAAAGCATAGACAACAAAATGAAAAATAGATAAGCTGGACTCCACCAAAATTAAAAACTTTTATGTACGAAAGGGCATTATCAACAGAGTGAAAAGGCAACTCATGGAATGGGAGAAAATATTTGCAAAGCATATATCTAATAAGGAATTAATATATAGAATATAAAAAGAATTCTTACAACTTAACAACCAACAAAAACAAAAACTGATTTAAAAACAGGCAAAGACTTTAATAGGCATTTCTCAAAAAAATATACAAATGGCCAATAAACACATGAAAAATGTTCAATATTACTAATCTTTAGGGAAATGCAAATTAAGACCACAATAAGATACCACTGCATACCCATTACAATGGCTATTATCTAAAAATCCCTAAACAAAACAAAACCCAACAAACAAAACAAAGAATAACAGATATTGATGAGGGTATGGAGAAATTGGAACACTGTGGGAGTGTTTATTTTACATTGGTGAGAATGTAAAACAGTGCAGTTGCTATGGAAAACAGTACTGTGGTTCCTCAAAAAAAAATTACACATAGGATTTGTATGTACTCTAACAACTCCACTTCTGAGTATGTACTCAGAAGAAAGAAAGCAGAAACTGAAACCGGTATTTGTACACCCATGTTTATAGTATCATTATTCACAATAGCCAATAGGTGGAAGCAACTGAAGTGTCTATCAGTAGCTTTATGGATAAACTAAATGTGGAATACACATACAATAAAATATTATTCTGCCTTAAAAAGGAAGGAAATTCTGACACATGCTATCATAGGGATTAACCTCGAAGACATTATGCTAAGTGAAATAAGCCAGTCGAAAAAGGACAAATACTATATGATTGCACTTATATGAAGTACCTAGACAAGTCAAATTTATAGAGACAGAAAGTAAGATGGTAGTGGCCAGGGGCTAGGGGAAGGGAGGAATAGACAGTCAGTGTTTAATTAGTACAAAGTTTCCATTTTGGAAGATGAAAAGCTTCTGGAATTGGATGGTGGGGATGGTTGCCCAACAATGCAAATGTGCTTAATGCCACCAAACTGGAATGGCTAATATGATAAATTTTAGGTTATGTATATTTTAAAACACACATAAAAAATTCAGTATTCTACATCTGACTGGGAGAAGTCTCTCACTAAAAACAAACAAACAAACAAGCAAACGAAAAACCTTAAAAACCAACAAACTATACCCATCCCTATTGCAGACAAATTAAATCAGATTTTGGAGTATCAGTTTTCTTTTTTTTTTTAAGTAAGTTCCACAGCTGATTCTAGTGTAAAGCCAATGCTGGGAATACTTGACCTAAATTATAGATCTCAATGATGAAAGAATAGTTTCCTAAGTTTGTTATTTTCATTTTCCTTATGTTTTGTGAGTATGATTACAAAAATAGAAATTGTATTTAAGGCAATTTTTCTAGGGTCTGGCTATATTTTAGTGAGAAGGCTCTTTAAAGAATAAATATAGAATTTTATACCCAGCCAAACCTTCAATCAATATTGAGAGTAGAATAAAAGCATTTTCAGACATCTAAATTTTCAAAACTTGTATCTCTCATTTTTTCCAAAGAAACTACTGGAGGTTGTGTTCCAACAAAATAAAAGAATAAACTAAGAAAATATTGACAGGGGAGCCAGGAAATAAGATGCCAACACAAGATAAAAGCAAAATGAATCCCTAAGATGTTAGTGAAAGAAGTACTAGAAAAACGGTGCTTTGGCATGTGAGACAGCCAGAACAGATGGGAGCAGCAGCTATGTTAAGGAAATCTAAGAAAAAATGGAAGATATTGACCTTATTTAGAGAGGTTTTATGGTTCTGTCAGAAAGCCTGGAGAGAATTAACTATAAGTATTGAGCAAGCTAGGCAAATAAAATCAAGGCCGTTATTGACTCCAGGAGGAACTAAACATTGTACAGGAAAGCAAATGCAATCATAGTATACTACCTGACTCAGATTTGGAAATGTTGTAATTCAGATCTATTAGAAGACCAGGGAGAGGGGAAATGTTTGTGTGTAGCAATGTAAGAGTGCTCCCTTTTTCATCTTCCATAGTAGTAAGTCAGTAAATGATGTAAATTTGATTAATCAAGAAAGCAGAATATAAACAAATTATTTAGATATATACAGTTAAATACTAGAAAAACTGCTAAAGAAATTGCAAGAGCCTCAGGGAAGCAGGGGGAGTGGGCCAGGATACTGTTAATTTTCATCATAATTTTTTTTGACTTTTAGACTTTTAAAATTATGTTTAGAACATTCCTCTGGTTGAAGAAATGTTTTAAAGTATACAAGGACATAAAGATATATTGTAAGAATGTTCATCACAGCATTGATTGTAACAATGGAAAAATTACTACCTACTTGGGGCGATAATTTGAATGTATGTCTAACATGCAGTCATTCTGCAAATGAAAATAACACTTTAAGAAGACAATAGAAGGCCATTCTTGGCCAAATGGATTATTAACTTACATTGAGGCAGTAGTTCAGAGGAGGGAGACAGCCTTCTAGCTGGGATTGGCTAGAGGGAGGAGATAAAGATTGTATTTGGCTGGTAAGATTAGGTTCAAGGGGCTCTGAAATTGGGCTCTGAGAGGGTCAGGAGTCCGGAGTCAGGGAACAGTGGGCAAATTTGTCTGGCAGGCAGGGAGAGGGAATGGTGTGGAGGAGAAGCAATTCAACTGTGAAGGGCATTAGGGCTATGCTAGAGAAAAACAAGGGCTTTTCATGGCATTTGTAACCCCTTCCAATGTGCAGCCAAATGTCATCCGTCAGGCCCTTCTGCCATGTGCTGTGTGTTGGTGGTAGCGATGACAGGGATCTCAAGAAACATTTATATGGTCTTTCCCTGTACCTTTTCAGATAGAGACATATAGTTTTGAGGTGGCCAGTAGCCAAGACTAGGCTCAGTGTAGCTGGAGTACTAGGGATTAGGGGTGAGTTTGAGGACAGGTTTAGCAGTGAGTCTGTGGCCAGGGTTAAAGTTCAGTCTGAGGCCAGGTTTAGGGTTCAGTCTGTGATCAGGTTTGGGGTTTGTCTATTCACGCTGGTTTCTGATTGGACCCCCCTTTTCTCCTGTGTCAATAAATGTTGCTTAAGTGCACGAATGAATAGCGAAGTTTGGCAGGCTAAGTCTTCTTAAAGCCCTTCAGCCCCTGCCTTTCTTCGTCCCTTCTTTCTCGGCATCCTTTATCCCTCTTACCACACCACACACACAGGAATCGTTCCTAGACCTCCCCAGGCCCAGGCTTCCCTGAGTCTCAACCTACCACCTCACTCCATTCTTAGTAGCGGGGGTCTGAGCCCTCAATCAATGGGTGCCTGGACTGTGAGGAAGGTGTTGCGTGGTGGGAAGAGGTGATGAGGAGGCCACAGTCCCCGGCAAGACTCTCCATCCCCCTGCCCACCTCACACCAACCAGTGGCCAGCACCTCTCCTCTCCTCATCCACACGGGGATGGCTGCCTTACTCAGCACCCAGGAATCCTGGCCCACACAACACCTGGGCACTTTCGAGGCAGGTTACTGAAACTTTAATCCCAGCTTTCCTTTCGTTTCTGACCCCCCCACCCCTGCAGCTTCCATGGTCTCAGCTGGGCCACTCCCTTTCCCTGTCACCAGCAGGCACCTGAGTCAAGCCTTGAAAAAGTACTCCTCATCCAGCCAAGCTCAGCCAGCCAGTGCAGGAGTGTACCTTGGCTAGGTCAGTGTGTGTGTATGTGTGTGTGTGTGCAGGTGTGTGTGTGTTGGGGGGGTATGATGGTGGGGCCACGGGACAGGACAACGTCTCCTCATCACTGCCATCTTCCTGGGTGCATGGCTGCCTGGCAGCTGCTCCTCGGCTGCTTTCCAGTTTGGCTGCCTTCCTCCTGGACTTCGTGTCCCAACATGTGGGAGTTTCAGGAGTGGCTCTGAGGATGCAGGGCCCAGCCTGGCTGGGAAGCAGCTGGGGAGGGAGGGGCCCACTCCCCTGCTGCCCTCTGCCTCTCTCAGCTTTTGTTGGTCTTCCTCTCTCCCTCTCTGCCCTCTTTGATGCTCGTCTCTCTGGGTCCCTGCCTGTTTCCACATGTACCTCTCCTCCTCCATCCCTGGCCCTGTTTCTGTCTGTCCCTGTCACTGTCTTGCTCCCTCTCCAAATCTCTGCTTCTGTCCCTACCCATTCTCCATCCCATGTCTTGTTCCTTCTGTCTTGTTCCATTTGCATCTCTTGCTTGCGGAGTTCACTCCATCATCACAGACTAGAAGAACAATCTCCTCCCTAATTACTTTTGCAAAGTCATGCAACAAATACTCATTGGTGATGATAATAATTCGAGGGAGGGACCCTTCCCTCAACCTCCCCCCACCCAGTTATCTCTGTATAGGCAATTTCATCACTGAGTCACTCCTTGGAGCAAAAGCAATTCAAAACCACAGAACGTTCGCTGAGCTCCTAGCAGGTGGGTGCCAATAGCATGCTGGGTGCTGGGAATGTGTGAGTAAGACAGGTCTGCATCCTCCAAGAGTTTACAATGGAGTGGGGGGTGGGCAAGAACACAAATGCTGAAAATGTGAAAAGCAATACAGGATGAAAGAGACTGTTCAAGGTAATTACTGAGACTGATGGTAGATAGCTGAATATCTCCACTGTTTTGAGGACTGAGGAGTTGTCAAGGGCGGCAGGAGCTGGAAAATCATTAGGACGTTTGTGAGAGGAGGGCCAGTTGTTAAGAGATGGGTGGGATTTGTAGATGATGTGAGTGCCTGTGGGGTGTAGCCATTCCAGGCTGGGGAAGCAGTGTAGGCAGTGGTGTGGAGGTGGGAAAGTCGAGGGCGCTGTGAGGTTAGCTTGCTGGGACCTCGGGGTTGGTGTTTGTGAACAAAAGGGAAAAGGTTGAGAGGCCATTTGGGTGCAGATGGTGGACTTCGAATTGACCTCTTGGGCAGTAGGGAGCCATGGTGGCTTCTTGAGCATGGGAATGATGGGTTACAAGTGAGGTATCGAGAAGTAACTCGGGGCTAGAGTGTGTCCTGCTTCCTCGCCTGACACCCAAGGGCCAGAAGACTTGGACCAGGGACATTATCCCTGTCCATGAAGGCAGCTGTGCAGATGCTGGCTCCCACTGAGGACCAAACTCGAGGCCACAGCATGGTTCTGCAGTGGGAGGCCTGTGGAGATGCTCAAGGGTTTCAGGGAAACCAGGACTTGAAGTGGCTGTGTCACCCTGTGCTTCAAACCTTGGATGGCTCCTCTTGGACCTGGATAAAGCTGAGAATCTGCGCAGAGGTCTGTAGGTGCTGCATGGCAGTTCCATCTGCAGGTCCATGGCAGATGGATGCAAGTCAAGCAGGAGCTTGTGTCCTGCTGTGTTTCCATCACTGTGGGGTCTTCTCAGAGGGTTTGACCACCTCTCCACCACTTCCATACCGCCTACTCCTTCCCACCCTTGGGGGCTGTGCTGAGGGCTTCCCCAGGGAGGCCTTTGATGCTCACTGCAGATGAGGCTGGTGCTGCCTCTGTGTCACACTTAGGGAGTTCTGGCTGCTGGGCAGACACCTTTGGGTGGAGTGCTTGTCTTCTAATAGGCGCCTGTAAAGCACCGAAAGCATAAAAGATGACATTAGTGAGGAATGTGGCTGCTAATCCTAGTGTCTCTTGAGTCAGGGAAGGAGCTGGGGAGGGGACAGTCCCCTTCCCATCCCCAGGACGTCTGCCCCTTCAGAGTCTCCACCCATTGAGAAGGCTCAGAGGCCTCCTTTCCAGAAAGCTTCCCGAGAAGTGACCCTGCCTGGTTGCTTCCATCTCTCAGGACTAGGTGGAGAGAGAACCCATCTGAGGCCAGGAGACTTGAGCTCTGATTTCCAGAATGGCTGTGAAGTCAGGAAAAGCCACTTCTTGTATCTGAACATCCATGGGAACAAGCAACTGAAGGCCCAGCTCAGAATAGCTTAAGCAAGATGGGATTATTGCCTCACATAGCAGAGTCCATACTCAGGGTGGTTCCGGGGCAGATGGATCTGCAGGCTGACAGTCCCCTCAACTCCCAGGGGCCTGGGAGCTTTCCATCCTTCCTCTGTCTAACACAGCAGTTGGCCATGTCTCCCTCAGGGTGGTCAGTGATAAAATGACATCTGGTAAACAAGTGGGGGTAATTCTCTCTCCCCTCAATCATGATGAGAAAACTTTCCTCCACCCCCCTATGTCCTGTTGGCCATACTCAGGCAAGGAGATAGATGACTGTGTCATCAGCTTACAGCACTGGCTCACAGAAGAAAGCTGCGGGCGTGTTGTGACTGTTGGAGTGATGGCATTTGGAGGGGTTTGGGGAGGGTGCAGGGAAAGTTTGAATGTCCTGCATTGCATAGAATAATTTGTCCCTTCTGTGACCTTTAATGTCATGTCAGTCATTCATGAAGGTGAGAAACCTGTTTTTTATGATCCAGGCGTAGGCCCTTAACTCTATTTTATAGAAGCATCCTTGCCCAATGTTTACCAGGTACAGTGGGAGAAAATACTCCATGGTTTTCTTTGGAACTTGACTGAGAGCCTCCTGCCACTTCTGAAGGTCCCAAAGTGTTGGCAGTGCTGCTCCATGGGGTGTGAGTGGCTGCAGCGCCCCAGGAGGTCTGCATTGCCACCGGCACAGTGCAGCCTGTGCTGTGGTCCCGTTTGATCGTCTGCACACCAAAACATGTTTAGCTCATTAGAAATTACTCTTCTTATATTTCTCCTTTATGTTAAAGGCATTGTGTTGATGCTTCCCTTTGAAATTATATTATCTATGGATTTCATTTCAGGATAGTAAAGGGGATGGCTCAAAATGTTTTCTATCAAAGGTGGATTGGGTTTGGGAAGGTGGCAAGCCACTGGCCTCAGCCAATAGAGAGACCCTGGAGCTGAGTGGGGGCGTCCTTCTCACGAACTGGGGATGGTGAGTTTCAGGCAAAATTGGAGTTCCCAGCAACAGAGGAGGGGGCAAGGTGGAACATCTGCAGAGGAGCCTCCAAAGCGTCTTCGACACTTACCCCACGAGGGCCTCAGTTTTCTCATCTGTGAAAAAGGTTGATAATCTCAGTTTTAGCACCTCCTCCCTGTGAGACTCTGGTGAAGGTACCTGTGGAAGTGCCTGGAATGAGTAAACTGCTGATCAAATGCGATGCCCCTGGGGTCCTGTGTCCTTTAACTGTCTTTACTGATCCCTTTTCCTGCCTTTGGGAACCCATATCCTGAGAATCCTGTATTTTAACCCAGTTTCATTAACCCCATTACATCAAATAGAAGCGCAGTTACCAAAGCATCTCACAACTCCACCAAAGTGCAATGTTTCTTAGCTCACTTTCCTGGGAGGCCAGCACATTGCACTGGGAGGCCAGCACATCGCACTGGGAGTCCCTCCCAAGGTACGCTGCCTGCTGGAAGGCCCCATGTCCAATAGAAAAGAAACAAATGGGGATGGCGGCATTTCATGGATCAAGAAAAATGGAGACTCCTGGCTGATACTGCCAGGAGTCCACCCTGCTCCAAAGATTCAACTTGCTGCTGCCTGGAATTTCATCCCTAGAGATTTGGACTCTGGCTTTAAGCTTCTTCTATGAGGAAGTAGCATGGTAGGGATGTGGAGTCTGCAGTCCCCATGCCCACAGCCCTTTAGCAATGCCACAGCTTGCTTGAGTTGGTGGGGTTGGGGGAGGGTTAGTCTCATCCTGTTCTGAAATCATATTGTGGTTCAGAGTGAGGTTGGCTGCCTCATTTAAAGCCATGCATGGATTTAAGTGCCAGAGTCATGTATTTAACCATTCTGTGCCTCAGTTTCCTCATCTATAAACTGAGTAATAACACATCACTGGATTAAAAGAAACTATGTATATAAAGCTTTAGAACTGTGTCTGGCACATAGCTTAGTCTCAGTAGGATTTAGCCTTTAACTGACTCTCGTTTGCTGACACATGAGGCTCTGGGGCTGGGAGCAGCGTCCTGGGGTACCCCGATCTGCCAGGCCCAGTAGCTGCAGTCCTAGGGATCATGACTCACAGGTACTCTGGGGGAACCACTTCAGAACCTCTGCCTCCCCTCCCAGGCTGGGGTGGCTGGGCCAATGGAATGACCTCAGCCAGGAGGAATGAGGGGCGCGGAGTCTGTAGGCAGGCCCCTGCCTACCCCTGGAGCATCCGCAGCCCCGGCTTGCATTCGCTCCCTAGCAGGTGACCACAGCCAACAGGACCCCAGGGGTCACCCTGGTGACTCACTGTAGTCTCTTGATCCAGACCTTGTTCAAGGGACCTCCCAGCCTCTTCCTTCTGCAGCCCACTGCTTAAAAGTTGATCCCAGCCCCATTACCCTTGACCTATAGCTGAGACCTCAAGCTGGCCTCTGACTAATGCATGACCCTGATCTTTGACTGACCTCTGACCCTGGCCGTGGACTGGCTTTGATTCAGACAGTCGCAGTTCTGGCCTCTGCTGGGCCCTGGCCCTGGCTGCAGATGGACCCATTGCACAGACATGAAAGACACTCAGGGGGTTTCTGGGCTGATCTCCTCTCAGCACCGCATCTCCCTCCCTTCAGATCTCCTGGCTCCAGGCTGAAGTGCTCCGCCTGCCAGGCAGCCTGGCTCCCTGAAGGTGGGGAGTGCCTGTCTGCCCCCCTTGCTGGGAGAGGCCCACATGGAGAGGAGGCCTCAGCCTTAGAGAAGATACAGGTGGATTCTGCTGGTGTTATCTCTTTAGTCCACTTCTCAGTGATGCCTCCTAAGGAGCATCCTTCCTCCAGCCCCTGCTGGCTACAGCTCCCAGATGAAAGGGAACCCACAACCCCCGCCACCACTGTTGCCCTGCCATTAGACACTTTTCCGGGAGCTTCCTAAGAGCAGCAACAAAGCTTCCCAGCTGGACCAAGTTTCTGTAGGACAGAACACGGCAATCAGACCGGGAGAGCCCCATGGTCAGGAGTTGTGTCTCAGTCACCCATGGTGGGGCGGGGGGGGGCCCAAGGAGGGGCTAAGAGCAACTTGCGTGCTGCAGTTGAACACACTTGGACCCTAACCTTGGCTCCACTATTTACTAGCTGTGTGTCTTTGGGCCAATCTCTGAACCTCTCTGAACTCAGTTTCCTCACCTGCAAAACGGGGCCAGTGGCATTACTTACTGCAGAATGATGAAGATGGAATGGGCTACACTCTGGGAAGCCCCAAGCATGTCTGGCACTTGTACTTGCTCAGTAGATGTCAGTGGTCAGGGATAGTCTGTCCCTAGCACATCAGGGGTTCCACAGGGCAGGGCAGCTCAGTGAGGCTGAGATCTTTACCCCTGCAGAAGCAGGGTTTTCTCACTGAAGAGGGTCAGAAGGCAATGTCTAATCTAGCCTCCCCTGCCCGCCCTTGCTCCTTGTAGCTTCTCAGGGACTCTGGGCCTGCAGGGCTCAGCCCAACCTCTCCACAGAGCTCTCCTCTGTCCTTCACCGTAAGAAAGCCTCTCCTCCTCAGCCTTACCTATTTATGTCTACCCGTCCTTCCTGGGTTGCCTGACCCAACCCACCCCCTGCAGGAAGCTTCTGAGGGTGACGTCTGCCAGGGCCTGGCTCTTGAAAGCTAAGTCACAAAAGCCAGGGCTGATCCTCCACTGTGGATGGCCTTGCTGTGATCCCTGGCTGCCTGGTTCTCCTGAGACAGTGAGGATCAGGGCCCGGCCTGCCCCGGCACCATGGACCCTAGGGTGGGGCCAGGGTGAGACGTGTTTCCTGAACCTGAGCCACCAGGCCGGGGGCATCTCCATTGCACTCATTGCCCAAGCAGGTACTCAAACTGCCCTCAGAAGGGTTTGGTTTCTTTTCCTCTCTTTTCAGTTAATTAAATCAATTAAGTCATTTTGAGTCATTCCTGTTGGCCACTTGGGGCTTTCTCCTTAGCGAGGCCTGATTCATTAAGGCAGCAGGACAGATGCCAAGGTCAGCCATGACGTCATGATCCGGGGTCACACTTCCTGTGGGCGGAGAAGAGAGCCATACAGGCACCCAGGGCGTGCCCCAGGACTGACCTCTGGGGAGGGACCCAGAGAGTAAGGATATGGGTCCCCGTGGGGTCACTTGGCCAAAGCAAGTCATGAACTTAGGCTGCCACCCATGTTTTCAGTCAGCCTCAAGCATTCTTCAAGGGTTTCCTTGACGCCAGGTGCTGGGGGAGGATGAAAAGATGGTTCAGTGCCTCCCGAAGATGCCCTTTTTATTAGGTTGATTTCAAAAGTAGTGTGGCCTTTTAATGGCAGAAACCACAATTACTTTTGCACCAACTTGTACCTTAGCTGCTAGGAGCCCAGATAGAAAGTTAACCCTTAATCACACGATCTGTGTTAGCCCCTGTGTTTGGCGTATTTGAGTCTTTCTTTCTCCTCTTGAATTTTTATGTATTATCATTTTTTGTTAGCAGCATTATATGCATGTATTCTATGGTAAGCTACTTCATGTCCTCTTTGGAAGTAGGTAGAGTATAAATCATAAGTCAATTAATGGGGCCTGGAGAAACTCATAGACCATCAAGAGGGACTCATGCAAACATCCTATACCTTTCCCCCTTGGATGGAGAAAACCTCAAGCGACAGGGTGTGAAAACGTGAGTCTTCTGGGGCCTGAACACCTGGAAACAAATTGCAGCTGCAATCTTCAGTTGAGGAGAAAGGGAGTAGGGGCCTGGGCTCAAACGGCAGCTCTCTGCGGAAGGAAACTGGCCGGGGTTTAAGGTCTCAAGCCCTGACTGCCGGTCCCAGCTCCACCTGTCTCTGGCAGTGGGACCCTGGGAAGATTCTCTTGCCCCTTGGGCCTCTGTTTATCTAAGTGTTAAACGGATTTGATGAGGGGCCTGACCTTGGCTCTTATGGGGCTGCTTTGAGGCTCCCTTGAGCCAAAGAGTGGATTTAGTGATTTCTCTGGTCAGAGCTGGTTTGCCCACTAATCTTGCTGCTCAAAGAAGAAACGGGAGAGTTTGCTCAGGCTGGGAAGGCCACCTACTCTCAGCTTCTAGGAGAGAAATCTATTATATAAATGACTGTCCCCTGACCCCCGAGAGACCCACTACCCATCTGAGGCCCCATGCTCTCTGGCCACTGCCTCCCTGCTGGCCTGGGTTCCTCCATGCCACACTCCCAGCATCCAAGGGTGACCGAGCATGTGAGTCAGGGCTGGCTCCGACTTCCTTGAAGCGGGGTCCTGCTCCTTAGCATGGGGTGCCCTCCCTAGGCTCTGGGCAAGAAAAGCCTGCCGGGTGAGCTGAGAGAAGCTTTCCGGGCACATCTCCTGACCTGGAAAGGGGCTCAGTGGGCCGCGACACACCTGCCTCCTAGTGATGCTCTGCAGATAGCATCATGGTCACAGTCAATATTTATTGAGCACATGTTAATCCACACACCAGCCCCATGAGTCAAGTACCATTATTAACTTAATTTTACAAATAAGCGAACTGAGGCATGAAGAGATTATGTCACACAGTTAGGAAATGGCAGATTACTAGTTCTCTTTTCCATTACAGTCTACTGATGCCTATTCACTCAGTCACACTGTAAGTATTGATTGAGCGCATACTGTGTGCCAGATGCTAAGGATCCTTTAAAGAACAAGATAGATAAAAAGCCCTGCCCTCCTGGTGCTAACATTCTAGAGGGAGGAGAGAGACAATAAACAGCAAACATAGACGCATGACAGAGTATGTTAGAAGGTCATATGAGGTTTGGGGAAAAACAAAGGAGAGTCAAGTGGATCAGGTCTGCTGCCAGGGAAGGGTGTTGCAATGGAAGTGCGGAGGCCGAGGAGAGCCTGGGTTCAGCCAAGACTTGAAGGAGGTCAGGGAGGGAGCGTGTGGCTGCCTGGGAGAAAGACATGCATGGGCCCTGAGAGAGGAGCTGAACACAGCAAGGGGTGCTTCGGCTGGAGAGGAGGGAGAAGGGCCTGAGAACCGAGAGGTAATGGAGGACACAGCATGCAGGGCCCTGTCGGCCATTGTAAGGTCTTTTGAGTTTTTTTCCCAAAACCGAGTTGGTTTTATTGCAAGAATAGAACGGTGCACTGCCCTCGAGGCTTTGCCTTTTACTCTGAAGCTTCTGTGGAGTTTGGGCCCCAAGGGACCAGACCTGACTTGAGGTTTAAAAGGATCCCTCTGGCTGCAGCAGGGAATGCTGATGGTGGGCGGCGGGGGGGGGGGGGGTGGTGGTGGCAAAGCGTGGGACAGAGTGACCCAGAGGAGGCTTCCTCGATGGCCCAGAGGACCACAGGACCTGGACCAGTGAGGAAGAGGTGAAGCAAGCATCAGTGGAATTCTGGATCTGCTTTGAAGGTGGCACCAGAGTATTTGCTGCTGGATTGGCTGTGGGGTAGAGAGAAAGAGAGGAGTCCAAATTTTGGGCCTGAACAACTGGAAGGATGGAGCTGCCTTTTACTGGGATACAGGGTGAAGGAGGTTCTTTTGTGGCATTCGGGGATGATCAGAGTTTCATATTGGGCATGCAGGGTTTGAGCTGCCTAGTGTGCATTCTAGGCAGAGTTCTAGGGACAGCAGCTGGCCATGCCAGTGGGAGGTATAGGGAGACAGAGGTCACAGCTGAGGACCTCCCTCAGGTCACACTCCTGTCAGAGCAGGATGGACTCTTAGGGACTGCCGAGGAAGCACAGCAGCAAGTGGTCAGGCCACACAGCTGGCAAATGGCAGGGCTGGGGCTGCAACCCCGGGCTGTTCCCAGGTGCTCCTGTCTCCTGCAGCCACTGCCTCCCATCCACACCCACGTCAGGAGGAGCGGCTGGGGCCGACTGAGTCCACCACCCCCTTTACCAGAGGAGGAAACTAGGCCTACGTGATTGCCTGGGCACACACCGAGGACGAGCAGCAGAGCTGGAACCCGGGCCTCCCTGACTTGGGGTTCAGAGATTATGCATGACAAGATAGCACTCGTGAAGGCGCCCCGACAGGTCTGGAATGTGGGAGTGAGTGTGGTGGTGATGATTATTGTGCCCCATTGGCTGGCCAGGGGCGCATTTTGGCAGGATTGCCCTCTTACCCAGTGAGGGCTGGGGACCAACTCATGTTCTTCCTGCTGGGAGAGGCCCAGGCCCCTGGGTGGGGGCCCCACATTCAGTCCCTGCCTTCCTGATTCATCCCAGCTCTCTTGGAGGCCTGAGTCACTTTTTTTCCAGGTGAGAGCTGCCTGTTTGGCAAATTCCTGGATTTCAGGGGAAGAAATAGGAACTCCTGCCCAGGGTTGGTCTTATGCACAGGTAAGGCAGGCAGCAACCCACGTCTGCCCCAAATCCCTGCCCTGGCCTGGAATTCACTCACTTGTCTATCTATCCATGGGGCCAGCCATTTCTGAGTAATGATCTCCATTCTGATATTCAGTATTTTGCAGTTTGCAAAACACTTTCAAATACGGGTAGTCCTATTTTGTGGATGAGAAGACTGAGGCTCAGAGAAGGGAAAGGCTGTTTCAAGAGGGCCCAGCTGGGAAACAGGGAGCCAGGGTGCAGTCCCAGGCTTGTCTGACACAGGAGTTCTTCCATTTACAGTCACTACTGTCCCCACATCTGGTCGCCATTTCCAACTCTTTGCCCCAATTCTCTGAGCTAGGGAAGGAAGCTGTGACCTTCAAGAAGTCTGATTCCCCTTGCACTGTGGGTAACAGGAGAAGGAGGAGGCATGGACACTGAAGAACAGTCTCGAGGACAACTGCACAGCCAGGTCTGGAGAGCGGCCGTGGGAGAAGCCTTGAGTGGGTTGAGTGCCCAGCAGCTCCGTGGAGGCTATCACAAGAATATCAGAGAAGCGAGGTGGGTAGGAGGCGTTCTGGACAGGGAAGCAGCCAGCAGAATGGGATGAACTTACATTCAGGGGCCAGGAACATAAGGTATGTGTATGAGTGGGCAGGAGGGTCAGGTTGCAGAAGTTTCTGAATGCCTATGGAATGTTCGGGGCAGTACTGGTGAGGGGCCCAGGGCTGCTCCCTCTTCCCCCAGGAAGCCTTCCTGCGCTAACTCCTCTGGTTCCTCAGCCCCGGCCGGCTCCTCTTCCCCAGGCACAGCCTGTACTTGGAGACTTCCTGGGTCATGTCCTCTCTCCCAGGGAACAGGGCAAGGGGCCGCTCGTAGGATACCTACCTTACTGATAGAGATCGTGGGAAGTTAGGAAGCCAGAGTCTTTCTCAAGAAGGATCAGGGCTTGGAGGGAGGGCCAACCCTACAGACAGGCAGACTGTATTCCTCGAGGTGTATGCAGACGTCTCTTCTCCAAAGAGCCCCTGATTGCATGTTACAGTGCCCAGAGTTCCAGCAGAGGTGATTCACACTTTCGGACAGGGCACATCCCCTCACCACAGATGAATTTCCTTGAAAGGATACTGCTGCACCCATCACTGTAAATGGCACCAGCAAATAGTTTCTTCCCTGGGTAGGGGGCTGGGGGAAGTGGGAGCAGAGAAGAGGGTGACCGGAGAACCTCAAGGGAAGGTGGGGTAGCAGAGACACCTTGGGCCACTTCATATCCGTGCTATAGGAAGACCGTGTCTATTTGGAGCCTCCACAATAATCCATCCTCACTCTTTACCAATGCCCTAACAGCTAGTTCAGATTTGCCTTGTTTCAATCAAATTCCTAGTGGGTCTCGGGCTTCTTAGTATAGGGGGTGCAGGGGCTGATTCAGGGCACCATGAAGAGGGTTTTTGAAAACCAGTTTCCCTCGGCAGGTAGAACCTAATTCAGAGAAAGGCAATCTGGGCATCTGTCAGGTAGCCAGTCAGTAGTGGGCACAAACGGTTCAAGCTGGAAATAGGATGCTACCTAACTCAGGTTTCACTGTGACCACGTCGCTATAACTGACAAAATGCAAATAAGCTCCACTCCCACTGATGTAGACAACGCCCTGGAGTAGAATTAAAAAAAGAAAACGTTGTGCCAACCTATTTTGATTGTGTACTTCTGCAATAAGGATGCACATGTTGCATGGCACGATTATATGCCACGCCTCTCACCTGGGACCCAGACTCAAAGCTGCAACCGACCCAAATCCTGCAACCAAATAATACCTGGTGCATACGGCTCTGCTTTTTGAGAAAGGGTGATATAAAGCTTAGAGTCTTTGACATGACTCTCAGACACAGATCCAGTTTAGGAAAACAAAGACCAAGATCTTGAGGCAGGCTGGGCATGGTGGCTCACGCCTGTACTCCTAGCACTTTGGGAGGCCAAGGCAGGAGGACCCCTTGAATTTAGGAGTTTGAGACCAGCCTGGACAACACAGTGGGATGCTGTCTCTACAAAAAATAAAAAGTTAGCCAGGGGTGGTGGTAGCCAGGTGCACTTGTAGTCCTGGCTACTCAGGAGGCTGAGGTGGGTGGATTGCTTGAAACTGGGAGGTCAAGGCTTTGAGCCATGATTATGCCACTGCACTCCAGCCTGGGCAACAGAGTGAGACCCTGTTAAAAAACAAAACAAAACCAAAACAAAAACAAAAAAACTTGAGGTGTTGGCAGTGAGTGACCACGAACCAGAATAAAACAATTTTTAAATATGCTGTAAATAAGCCTTAGTAATGATGTGTATATAAGTTAGAGGATGTGGCTATAAGTGGCCAGTTATAAAAAGTGGGAAGATTATAAAATGAAGACAATTTCAAATAAGGAAAAATATATTACATTACTTCAACTTGTTAATTCCTTATTCTGAACATAAAAACATATGTAATTTATATTGTTTGAAAACCTGTTTCTTTCCATTTCTCCTGAATAAAAGATAGATAAGCCAAAATTTTAGCGGTTTATTGAGATCACCAAATTATTAGCCATCATGGGTTGACCAGCTGCCTTGTTCCTCCCTGATGAGAATGGTGGGTGAAATCGAGGCTGCTTGCGGCGTGTGGAAAAGCCAAGTGGAGGCAACTCAGCTTCAAGTCTGTGCTATGGCAACATATGTGCTTCTCATTAGTGATTTACATCACAAGATCTAGCAGCGGGTCTAATAGTTTTTGTATAATAATTTCTGCATTGGGATGAGCGTTTTTGATATTTCAAGATGTGGATGAGCGTTTTTGATATTTCAAGATGTCTTCTCAACTGTAATGATATGAAAATATCTGATTTCGATTGCTAACAAAGTCACAGGTACTTTTACATACTTTTGTGGTTTGTTGTCTCCACACATAACTGAAAGAAAGTTGAGTTAGGCGTTGGTGAAAATAATGGTGTAATTTTCTCCGCATTCAATCCCCAAATCCCCTACATTCTCTCCTTGGACGTCCAGTGGGTTAATGGAGCCCAGGTCAGGTGGTCCCTGAAGTTCCCCACAATCTCTGCCCACAGGACAGACGCCTGGAGTGAGAGGCTCTGGGGCTGAACTCCCCATGGAGGGCTCTGTCTCTCTGACCCACTCTTAAGTGCTCCTTTCCTCCCTCTGAAATAGACAATGCCCTGTGTCCCGCCTCCTCACACTCTCCCGTGGAGGCTGCTCCTTCATGGCTCTCGACTCTGTCCACTCCTGCCCACCTGCCCCTCTGAGTCAGGGCCCCAGGCCTGGGCTGCTGTGGAGCCTCCCGACAGTCTGCTAGCTCCTCTCTGGTGGACTCCCATTGGTTCCCCACATGGTAACCAGTGGGATGTTAAGTTGTAGAGTTCATCATGTCACTCTCTGCTTAAAGTCCTTCAATGGTTCCCCAGTACCCTTAGGGTAGGAACAAGAACTTGACTTTTGTCCCCAAGGCCGGCCCACGCTGCCTCCCATCTCCCACTAGGCCCCTCCGTAGCACCCTGGCCACCTTGCACTTCCTGGCTCATGCCATGTGCCTCTCTGCCAGGCCCTTGGCACTCACCGTTCCCTCTGTCTGGCCCCTACCCTCGCTCTGCCCCATAGCTTGTGAACTCAGCTCTCTCGCAGACATCACTTTCTCCAGGAGATGCCCCTGCTCTCTGTGGAGCCCCCATTCCACACCTGCTGCTCTGCTCAAGGCTGGTTTGTTAGAACATGCATTTTGTCTTTCACATTGGGGATGTCTGGAAGCCCTTTGATGCTACAAAAGGGCATGGGGTGGGGGGCACCAGGAACATCCCGCTGCCTGGGAGGACCACCCAGCATGCGGACAACTCTGGATCAAGGCTTGTGCTGACGTTAGGAGATTGGAGGGCCTGAAAGGCGATGCTAACACAGTGCTGGAAACCCAGGCCCATGGGCCTGTGGTGTGGGGCGGAGGCAGGCTGCCCTCCAGGTGTGGAGCAGAGCAAGCACTGTCTCTGCGGGCTCTCCTGGCACCATGAACTTTTGGGTTAAATCCCCTAATGCCATTGCAACTTTACTTTTCTTTGATTAATATCATTTCCCCACTAGACTATAAGTTCCAAGGAGGCAAAGATGGCATTGGTGGCCAGCATCTAGCATGTGCCCGCCTGCAGTGGGAGTTCGAAAGTTGCTATTGAAGGAATGTCCGAGTTCTCTCTTCCCTATTCACAGAAAAGCCCTCCGGCTCCTTCTGTCCCTCTTTGTTTCCCCCTGCCTTTTGAGAGTCTGCACACCCTTGGCTGGGTTTTGTGGGTATTTCCCCATTAACTGGCTAAGTCATCCCTTACTCGTTTTTCAGGAGGGCTGCTGGTGACTCAGACCCGGTGTGGCTGGGCCTGGCTCTGAGGGAGCTCCTGAGAGCCTGAGTAGATGCTCAACAAACATGTGCCGAGTTGAGCCTCAGCCAAGCTTGGAGGCAGAGGGATGGACAGGATGACTTGGCTGCAGGAGGGTGAGTCCTTGGAGGAGGGAAAAGACAGGTCAGGTGACTGAGAACAGGGTTCGATTCCCGGTCAGGTGACTCTGGGGAAGGTGCTGGGGTGTCTATGGAGTTTCACACCCCATGATCTGGGCTGGGTGCTCCAGATAGGATCCTGGCACACCCCCGGCGGCCTGCCCCCACCTGCTCCTGGGGCAGGGGCAACAGGTGGGGCCCACTTATCGCCAACCAGGCCAGCAGGTGGAGCCAGCCTGGCCCTGGGGAGATGGCAATAGCACAGGCACTCCTCAGTGGAAAATCACCACACCACACGGCCTCCTCCTGGGAACGGGAACAGAAAGGCCTGGAAGATATGGGCCAGAAGTGTGTGGGCCTGTGCAAAGAGCTCAGGCTCCCCTCAAACTGGGGTAGGCGGGTGGGCCTTCCCTCTATGGTGCCACATGTGGGCAGTTCTCAGGCTGGGTCGGAGTGAGCCGAGGGTCAGTCCTCAGCCCCATGGATCCAGGCCCTCCAGGGCCTTAGGAAGCATCTGCAGTCTCCTTTTAGGCCCTTGAGATTTCAAATTACGTCTAATCACAACTCGCAGGGCTAGACCTACTCCACTTGTGATCCCATAATGTCTGCTGGACTCCCAGCTTGGGTGTAGCAGTGTCCTTGGCAAGGGCCAGCTTGAGGGCCGAGGGCACTGAACACTTTTTTATTGGGGCAATGGCTGCTGGCCCCTTTACGGTCAAGGTGTGCAGACTGAGAAGTGTCCATATCACTTGCTAATTGCTTTGCTCGAACATGAAGACTTGGACATAAGAAATACGTGCACACACTCAGAGCATACTCTGCACATGTTTTCACACCTATGTCCACACATGAAGACATTTTCTCACATAACCACAGACAAAACTGTGCCCCAGTGCACACGGATGCACAGAGGCCTGCGTGGAAATCCATGCCCATGCCTCGGACACCTCACAGTCTCGGTATGCAGGCTGAGCACCACAATCCTGTCCTGGAGCTGGGGAGTCATGCCTCTTTCCTTCCAGTCCCTTTTCTATGCACTTACAAAGCATACTTGCATTTGAATTATTTGTACCATTTTGTATCTCATGTCATGAAACACTCTCTGTAAACATCATTTTAAATCATTGCATAATCTACCATCATATGGGTGGACCGTAATTTATTTGACCAATCCCCTATTGTTGGACATGTGAGTTGTATTCCATTTTTCACAACACTGTGTGTAAATCTTTATCCACCTGTCTGATGATTTCCTTGGGCTGGCCTCCTAGAAGTCGCAATACTGAGCCAAAGGGTAAGACTGTTTTAAAGGCCTTTGAATCATGTTGCTGAATTCACCGAGTTGCTCAATTGATACTCTCACCAGCAGTGCTCATTTTCATGTTCCCTGGCCAAGCCTGAATACTCTTATTTTAAAAACTATCTATTAATTTCATGTGCTAAATTATTCATTGCCATTCTTTTTATTTGCATCTGTGAATTATTAATGAGTATAAATAATTTTACTTTTTTGTTAGCCATTTATATTTCCACTTTTTCTATTTAAGTCTTTTTACTACTTATCTATTTTGATCCTAGGATTTTTTTTTTCATATTGATTTGTAAGAATTCTTTGTATATTTATTAAGAAGATTAACTCTCCCTTTACTGGCCATGTTTGTTTCAAATATTGCTTCCATGTTTCCTATTTGATTTTTATATTCTGCCTTTTTGTTTTTTTGAAATGGAGAAGACTTACATTCCAGGCAATCAAATTGAACATATTTCCCTTCACCACTGCTCCGTTCACATTTAAGTTCAGAAAGCTCTTCTTTGTTCTAGTTGTTGAAAATTACTTCTTCCTACATGTGTGTATCTTCATTTTACATTCAGCTTTGTAATCTTCTGGGAAGTAAGGAAGATAAGACATTATTCCTGCCCTCAAGGAGCTTTCAGGAAACAGGGCAGAGGGAGCAGAAAGTGACAGTCATCACTGCTCCCATTGTGAGCCAGAGATAAGATATGCAGGTAGGGGTTCCGTGAAAGGAGGAGGAGGCCACATGGAGGAGATGGGACTTCTTGAATGGAGTGCTCAAGGTGGCACTGGGCTGTAAGAGGTTTTATTTCTTTATCAAACATGTACATAGGCAGGTTATGTGGCAGGCATTGCTTTACATACATTATAAATACTAACTCATTCAATCCCCGTATAACTTACTGAGTTATCCTACTCTCATTATCCCCATTCCACAGATGAGGAAACTGGGGCATGAAGAATACAAATAACTTACGGTGGTAAATGGAAGGGCCGGGACTTGAACCCAGTATGGTTGGGTTGGGGGCTGGGGTGAAGTGTGGTTGGCAGGGGGTGCTTATGATTAAGGGACTTTGAATACTCAAAGGAAGAGTTTAGACCAGAAGCCAGCAAACCTTTTCCTGGAAAGGGCCAAACAAACAGTAAACCTTTTGGACTTTGAGGGCCAGGAGGAAAAACCAAGGATATTATAGGCACTTATATAAAAAGAGAGAAAGCATGTTTCTACAACTTTTTAGTAAGGAAACTTAAAATATAACAATAGAGTACATTAAGAAAATAACATAGGTCTATTACAATTTTGGAGAGGGAGTGTGTAATATTTTGCTTAATTGGGGTAAAAGTGGTGCCTACCATCACACTGATGGCAAATCTTCACCTGTAAAAGCCAGGCAGCTTGTGAGGCTTTAGGGAGATAGGCTGTGGGATGGATTTGGCCTGGGGGCCTCAGGTAGCCTGCCCACCGCTGATTTAGACCTATTCTTGTAGGGAATGATGCCCTTGAAGCACTGTGGCACTGAGCAGAGAAGAGGTAGAAAGTTGCTGCCGAGGTCCTGGAGAGAGGGGAGAAGGGCCCACGGCAGGGCGGGGGGTGGCGTGGCTGGAGAGGCAGGAAGGAACTGCCAGGTTTTTCCGAGGCTGGTGATTAGGTATGGGGTGGGGATGACCTGGCACATGGAAGCACCGTCACTGCCAGCCGAGTCAGCAGCACCCTGCATGCTTGCCTGTCTCTCAAGGGGGCGCCCATTTGGAGGCCTTGGCAAGGGGCCAAGGCATTAAAGAAGAGAAAGTCATTGCTGCCATAGTTTGGTTGGGCCTTCCTTTTCTGCAGCATCAGGAAGACTCCACATTTGCTGCCATAGTGCCCGCCACCCCAGCAGGGGATCACTCTCTTTTGGGCTTAAGCATTGCCCCCTTCAGGCTCCTTTTACAGAGTGCCAGGCCATTCAGACTTTCTCTTTTGGGGCTCATAAGGGATTAGACTGAAACAACAACGGTGGGGACAAGATGGGGTGGGGGGCGGTGTACACAGAAAGAGGAGTGAGAGGCACCAGGGACCTGAGAAAATGTAGCCACCGTGGTCACAGTTTCATCGAGACAGATCGCACTCCCAGGCTGCACTATTGGGAAACGCTTCTTGATTTCTCTTGCTGATGCCTCCTAGTGGAGCACAAACCGGCCCCCCTTCTCTGTCCCCCGTGGGGGCGGAAGGTGGCCACTTGGTGCAGCTGGGGTCTGTAATTAAGTCTGTAGCAATGGGTGGGGAATTGGACAAGGCTTGTCCCAGAGTTGTTCTTGCTGTCAGTGGGCTTAAACCCAGGCAGGTGGCTTACGAAATGTTCTTGGGGAAATCCTCCTGGGTGAGCCCAAGGCGCACCAGATGCAAATGGGCCTGAGGGACAAATTCAGGGCACCTCTGTGTGGATGCAGCCCCCGCTCCGGTCCACAGACCCAGAGGGGTTGAGGAGAATGAGTTAGAGGGCTGTGTGGGCCAGGTAGGGGACTGATCCCCACTACCATGGCCTACAAGGGGCTGAGGGGTGTCACTACCCCTCACAGTCCCTTGATCCTGACCTCAGGGTGACCCTGTTTTAGCTTCAGACTAAACCTTAACCCTGACCTCAGAGCTTTAAGCCCCGCTACCAGGCTGACCTTTAAACCCTACTCATCATCCCACAAGATAAGCATTCTTTCTTCCAAGGGACATTGGGCCCAGCAGTGTGGGCAGCTCAGTGAGGGTCTGGAGGCACCCTGCTCCCAGCCTGAGTATCAATGCCAGAAGGGTGGGCCACGGAAGGGTAGTAGGAGGTCACCAGATTGAGGATCGGGCACAGCCTTCTCACCTGACTCCTACTCAGCTGAGTGATGGGGCCACTCTCTTAACCAAAGTGAGGTTTGGGTGCTGAGAGAGATTTACTCATCTTCCCAGCAGGTACAATGATACCCAAGTGCCTGCCCTGCCCATCTTTTAAAGTAGGTGTGAGAGTTCAATGGGGAGGCACAGAAGTAATTTGGAAACTGTGTGACATTATTACACAAGTTTGTAGTATTAAAATAAGAAGAGTGGCTCACGCCTGTAATCCCAGCTCTCTGGGAGGCCGAGGCAGGTGGATCACGAGGTCAGGAGTTCGAGACCGGCCCGACCAACATGGTGAAACCCCGTCTCTACTAACAATACAAAAATTAGCCGGATGCGGTGGCACACGCCTGTAGTCCCAGCTACTCAGGAGGCTGAGGCAGGAGAATGGCTTGAACCTGGGAGGCGGAGGTTGCAGTGAGCCGAGATGGTGCCACTGCACTCCAGCCTGGGTGACAAAGTGAGACTCCATCTCAAAAAAAAAAAAAAAAAAAAAAAAAAAAAGGAGAAGAATTACACATGGCTGGTCTGCTGCCAATCAGCCTGCATGCTGTGAGTCCAAATGTTGCCACACATGGTAATTTCGTCACAGTTTCCTCCTCCCTACACTCTTCTGCCCACCTCATTTTTTTCTTTTAATTTTTATTGAAAAATATTTCAAAAAATACTCAATGGTAGAGACTAGTTTAATGAACCTCCATGTGGCGACAAAGAGAGCATGCTTTGCGGACTTCCTGCTGCAGGGGCCCTGCTGCGTGTGAGGCCTGGTGCTGGGCATTCAGCCCTCACCCTGATTGTGTGGAGGCCGCATCTCCCAAGGACTGGACCCTGCCAGTGCAGCAGGAATCCTAAGGCAAGCTCCTTCATGGGAGCTGTGGGACCCTCTGTCAGAGACTTTCACTCAGGGACGTTCCCAGGCTTTGCTCGACTGTCCGTATACTCAGGAGGCTGCCCTGCTCTCCAGGGTGCACCTACCCAGCCTTCTCTCCCTCCCTCCTTCATTCAGGGTCAGACTAGCATTTAGAATGATGGTTAGCTCTCCCAGCCTTTCTGGCTCCTCCTTTATGTCCTTTCTCACAGGCATGTCCCCTAATAAAATAACACCTTTCATCTCACCTTGGTTCCTGCTTCTTTGAGGACCTCAAGCAACAGACCCCCCAATCCCATATACCCATCATGACTGTCCGCAATTAGCAACATCTCCAACATTTGCTTCATCTATCCTTTCCTCATCCTTTTGTTTTTCTTTCCCCACTGAAGTGATTAGAAGCAAATCCCGGACGCCATGCCATTTTATTCTTAAATGCGGTTCACCCTCACTATTCATGGAGTCTGCATTTGCAAATTTGCCTATTTTAAAAATTCATTTGGAATGCAAAATCAGCACTCATCATGCCCTCTTGGTCATTCGCAGACACGAGCACATTGGTGAAAAATGTGTCACCAGATGTTAGGTTCCCAGGTGAGGCCAAACATCGTGACGCTCTGCCTCCAGTTTCTGCTCTCATACTCTAAAGGGTCCTTTTCATGGTCTCTTCAGTACCATGTTTTTCACACTCTTGGTGCCTTTTATTGGTGATTTTGCTGTTTAAAGGGGTCCCCAAGCACAGGGCTGTCTGATGTTCTTAAGCACAAGAAAGCTGTGATGTGTCTTACGGAGGAAATACGAGTGTTAGGTAAGCTTTATCTAGTCATGAGGTACAGTGCTGGTGGCCATGAGCTTGCTGTTAATGAATCAACAATATATATTAAATAAGGTGCCTTTAAGCAGAAACTCACACACAACAAGATTATGTAGAAGATGGCCGAATAGGAACAGCTCCGGTCTACAGCTCCCAGCCTGAGCGACTCAGAAGACGGGTCATTTCTGCATTTCCATCTGAGGTACCGGGTTCATCTCACTAGGGAGTGCCAGACAGTGGGCGCAGGTCAGTGGGTGCGCGCACCGTGCGCGAGCCGAAGCAGGGCGAGGCATTGCCTCCCTCGGGAAGCGGAAGGGGTCAGGGAGTTCCCTTTCCTAATCAAAGAAAGGAGTGACGGACGGCACCTGGAAAATCGGGTCACTCCCACCCGAATACTGCGCTTTTCCGACGGGCTTAAAAAACGGCGCACCATGAGATTATATCCTGCACCTGGCTGGGAGGGTCCTACCCCACCAAGTCTCGATGATTGCTAGCATAGCAGTCTGAGATCAAACTGCAAGGCGGCAGCAAGGCTGGGGGAGGGGCGCCCACCATTGCCTAGGCTTGCTTAGGTAAACAAAGCAGCCGGGAAGCTCGAACTGGGTGGAGCCCACCACAGCTCAAGGAGGCCTGCGTGCCTCTGTAGGCTCCACCTCTGGGGGCAGGGCACAGACAAAAAAAAAGACAGCAGTAACCTCTGCAGACTTAAATGTCCCTGTCTGACAGCTTTGAAGACAGCAGTGGTTCTCCCAGTACGCAGCTGGAGATCTGGGAATGGGCAGACTGCCTCCTCAAGTGGGTCCCTGACCCCTGACCCCCGAGCAGCCTAACTGGGATGCACCCTCCAGCAGGGGCACACTGACACCTCACACTGCAGGGTACTCCAACAGACCTGCAGCTGAGGGTCCTGTCTGTTAGAAGGAAAACTAACAAACAGAAAAGACATCCACACCAAAAACCCATCTGTACATCACCATCATCAAAGACCAAAAGTAGATAAAACCACAAAGATGGGGAAAAAACAGAACAGAAAAACTGGAAACTCTAAAAATCAGAGCGCCTCTCCTCCTCCAAAGGAATGCAGCTCCTCACCAGCAAGGGAACAAAGCTGGATGGAGAATGACTTTGACGAGCTGAGAGAAGAAGGCTTCAGACCATCAAATTACTCTGAGCTACGGGAGGACATTCAAACCAAAGGCAAAGAAGTTGAAAACTTTGAAAAAAATTTAGAAGAATGTATAACTAGAATAACCAATACAGAGAAGTGCTTAAAGGAGCTGAGGGAGCTGAAAACCAAGGCTCGAGAACTACGTGAAGAATGCAGAAGCCTCAGGAGCCGATGCGATCAACTGGAAGAAAGGGTATCAGCGATGGAAGAAGAAATGAATGAAATGAAGCGAGAAGGAAAGTTTAGAGAAAAAAGAATAAAAAGAAATGAGCAAAGCCTCCAAGAAATATGGGACTATGTGAAAAGACCAAATCTACGTCTGATTGGTGTACCTGAAAGTGATGGGGAGAATGGAACCAAGTTGGAAAACACTCTGCAGGATATTATCCAGGAGAACTTCCCCAATCTAGCAAGGCAGGCCAACGTTCAGATCCAGGAAATACAGAGAACGCCACAAAGATACTCCTCGAGAAGAGTAACTCCAAGACACATAATTGTCAGATTCACCAAAGTTGAAATGAAGGAAAAAATGTTAAGGGCAGCCAGAGAGAAAGGTCGGGTTACCCTCAAAGGGAAGCCCATCAGACTAACAGCGGATCTCTCGGCAGAAACCCTACAAGCCAGAAGAGAGTGGGGGCCAACATTCAACATTCTTAAAGAAAAGAATTTTCAACCCAGAATTTCATATCCAGCCAAACTAAGCTTCATAAGTGAAGGAGAAATAAAATACTTTACAGACAAGCAAATGCTGAGAGATTTTGTCACCACCAGGCCTGCCCTAAAAGAGCTCCTGAAGGAAGCGCTAAACATGGAAAGGAACAACCGGTACCAGCCGCTGCAAAATCATGCCAAAATGTAAAGACCATCGAGACTAGGAAGAAACTGCATCAACTGACGAGCAAAATAACCAGCTAACATCATAATGACAGGATCAAATTCACACATAACACTATTAACTTTGAATGTAAATGGACTAAATGCTCCAATTAAAAGACACAGACTGGCAAACTGGATAAAGAGTCAAGACCCATCAGTGTGCTGTATTCAGGAAACCCATCTCACGTGCAGAGACACACATAGGCTCAAAATAAAAGGATGGAGGAAGATCTACCAAGCAAATGGAAAACAAAAAAAGGCAGGGGTTGCAATCCTAGTCTCTGATAAAACAGACTTTAAACCAACAAAGATCAAAAGAGACAAAGTAGGCCATTACATAATGGTAAAGGGGTCAATTCAACAAGAAGACCTAACTATCCTAAATATATATGCACCCAATACAGGAGCACCCAGATTCATAAAGCAAGTCCTGAGTGACCTACACAGAGACTTAGACTCCCACACATTAATAATGGGAGACTTTAACACCCCACTGTCAACATTAGACAGATCAACGAGACAGAAAGTCAACAAGGATACCCAGGACTTGAACTCAGCTCTGCACCAAGAGGACCCAATAGACATCTACAGAATTCTCCACCCCAAATCAACAGAATATACATTTTTTTCAGCACCACACCACACCTATTCCAAGATTGACCACATACTTGGAAGTAAAGCTCTCCTCAGCAAATGTAAAAGAACAGAAATTATAACAAACTATCTCTCAGACCACAGTGCAATCAAACTAGAACTCAGGATTAAGAATCTCACTCAAAACCGCTCAACTACACGGAAACTGAACAACCTGCTCCTGAATGACTACTGGGTACATAACGAAATGAAGGCACAAATAAAGATGTTCTTTGAAACCAACGAAAACAAAGACACAACATACCAGAATCTCTGGGACACATTCAAAGCAGTGTGTAGAGGGAAATTTATAGCACTAAATGCCCACAAGAGAAAGCAGGAAAGATCCAAAATTGACACCCTAACATCACAATTAAAAGAACTAGAAAAGCAAGAGCAAACACATTCAAAAGCTAGCAGAAGGCAAGAAATAACTAAAATCAGAGCAGAACTGAAGGAAATAGAGACACAAAAAAACCCTTCAAAAAATTAATGAATCCAGGAGCTGGTTTTTTGAAAGGATCAACAAAATTGATAGACCGCTAGCAAGACTAATAAAGAAGAAGAGAAGAATCTAATAGACGCAATAAAAAATGATAAAGGGGATATCACCACCGATCCCACAGAAATACAAACTACCATCAGAGAATACTACAAACACCTCTACGCAAATAAACTAGAAAATCTAGAAGAAATGGATAAATTCCTGGACACGTACCCTCTCCCAAGACTAAACCAGGAAGAAGTTGAATCTCTGAATAGACCAATAACAGGAGCTGAAATTGTGGCAATAATCAATAGCTTACCAACCAAAAAGAGTCCAGGACCAGATGGATTCACAGTCGAATTCTACCAGAGGTACAAAGAGGAACTGGTACCATTCCTTCTGAAACTATTCCAATCAGTAGAAAAAGAGGGAATCCTCCCTAACTCATTTTATGAGGCCAGCATCATTCTGATACCAAAGCCGGGCAGAGACACAACCAAAAAAGAGAATTTTAGACCAATATCCTTGATGAACATTGATGCAAAAATCCTCAATAAAATACTGGCAAACCGAATCCAGCAGCACATCAAAAAGCTTATCCACCATGATCAAGTGGGCTTCATCCCTGGGATGCAAGGCTGGTTCAATATACTCAAATCAATAAATGTAATCCAGCATATAAACAGAGCCAAAGACAAAAACCACATGATTATCTCCATAGATGCAGAAAAGGCCTTTGACAAAATTCAACAACCCTTCATGCTAAAAACTCTCAATAAATTAGGTATTGATGGGACATATTTCAAAATAATAAGAGCTATCTATGACAAACCCACAGCCAATATCATACTGAATGGGCAAAAACTGGAAGCATTCCCTTTGAAAACTGGCACAAGACAGGGATGCCCTCTCTCACCACTCCTATTCAACACAGTGTTGGAAGTTCTGGCCAGGGCAATTAGGCAGGAGAAGGAAATAAAGGGTATTCAATTAGGAAAAGAGGAAGTCAAATTGTCCCTGTTTGCAGATGACGTGATTGTATATCTAGAAAACCCCGTTGTCTCAGCCCAAAATCTCCTTAAGCTGATAAGCAACTTCAGCAAAGTCCCAGGATACAAAATCAATGTGCAAAAATCACAAGCATTCCTATACACCAACAACAGACAAACAGAGAGCCAAATCATGAGTGAACTCCCATTCACAATTGCTTCAAAGAGAATAAAATACCTAGGAATCCAACTTACAAGGGATGTGAAGGACCTCTTCAAGGAGAACTACAAACCACTGCTCAATGAAATAAAAGAGGATACAAACAAATGGAAGAACATTCCATGCTCATGGGTAGGAAGAATCAATATCGTGAAAATGGCCATAATGCCCAAGGTAATTTACAGATTCAATGCCATCCCCATCAAGCTACCAATGCCTTTCTTCACAGAATTGGAAAAAACTACTTTAAAGTTCATATGGAACCAAAAAAGAGCCCGCATCGCCAAGGCAATCCTAAGCCAAAAGAACAAAGCTGGAGGCATCACACTACCTGACTTCAAACTATACTACAAGGCTACAGTAACCAAAACAGCATGGTACTGGTACCAAAACAGAGATATACATCAATGGAACAGAACAGAGCCCTCAGAAATAACGCTGCATATCTACAACTATCTGATCTTTGACAAACCTGAGAAAAACAAGCAATGGGGAAAGGATTCCCTATTTAATAAATGGTGCTGGGAAAACTGGCTAGCCATATGTAGAAAGCCGAAACTGGATCCCTTCCTTACACCTTATACAAAAATCAATTCAAGATGGATTAAAGACTTAAACGTGAGACCTAAAACCATAAAAACCCTAGAAGAAAACGTAGGCATTACCATTCAGGACATAGGCATGGGCAAGGACTTCATGTCTAAAACACCAAAAGCAATGGCAACAAAAGACAAAATTGACAAATGGGATCTAATTAAACTAAAGAGCTTCTGCACAGCAAAAGAAACTACCATCAGAGTGAACAGGCAACCTACAAAATGGGAGACAATTTTCGCAACCTACTCATCTGACAAAGGGCTAATATCCAGAATCTACAATGAACTCAAACAAATTTACAAGAAAAAAACAAACTACCCCGTCAAAAAGTGGGCGAAGGACACGAACAGACACTTCTCAAAAGAAGACATTTATGCAGCCAAAAAACACATGAAAAAATGCTCACCATCACTGGCCATCAGAGAAATGCAAATCAAAACCACAATGAGATACCATCTCACACCAGTTAGAATGGCAATCATTAAAAAGTCAGGAAACAACAGGTGCTGGAGAGGATGTGGAGAAATAGGAACACTTTTACACTGTTGGTGGGACTGTAAACTAGTTCAACCATTGTGGAAGTCAGTGTGGCGATTCCTCAGGGATCTAGAACTAGAAATACCATTTGACCCAGCCATCCCATTACTGGGTATATACCCAAAGGATTATAAATCATGCTGCTATAAAGACACATGCACACGTATGTTTATTGCGGCATTATTCACGATAGCAAAGACTTGGAACCAACCCAAATGTCCAACAATGATAGACTGGATTAAGAAAATGTGGCACATATACACCATGGAATACTATGCAGCCGTAAAAAATGATGAGTTCATGTCCTTTGTAGGGACATGGATGAAATTGGAAATCATCATTGTCAGTAAACTATCGCAAGAACAAAAAACCAAACACCGCATATTCTCACTCATAGGTGGGAATTGAACAATGAGATCACATGGACACAGGAAGGGGAACATCACACTCTGGGGACTGTTGTGGGGTGGGGGGAGGGGGGAGGGATAGCATTGGGAGATATACCTAATGCTAGATGACGAGTTAGTGGGTGCAGCACACTAGCATGGCACATGTATACATATGTAACTAACCTGCACAATGTGCACATGTACCCTAAAACTTTAATAATAAAAAAAAAAGGAAAAAAAAAAGATTATGTATCAGCTGAGGAAAACATTGTGATCAGAGGCTCATAGGAACCTAACATTCTATTTCTTCTGGGAGCAATAATTCAGTATTTGCTAATTCAGTGTTTTGGTGAATTTATATAACAAAACCACTGTGAACAAGAATCAGCTGCACTTCAGTATTACACACATTTCCTTATAGGATGACGATGCCATTATCACATCTAACAAAATTAACACCAATTCCTTGGTATCATTGAATACCCAAACCATTATCAAACTATCCCTGCTGTCTAAAAATGTCTTTTTATGAGTGGTTTATTCAAACATGGAAGGATCCAAACAAGAGCCATATCTCATATTTGGTTGTTATAATTCTTAAATTTCTGAGTCTAGAGAATTACTCTCTCCCCTTTTAATTTTTTTCATGATTGCCTTCTTGCAGAAACCAGGTCAGTTGGCTCAGTGGAATGTCCCACATTCCGGATTTGTCTGTTTGCCTCCTTCTGGTATTTACTTTTTTCCTTTATCTCATATTTTCTAGCAATGGAATTTATCTCCAGAGGATTCTATTATGGGGTGGGGGGGAGGGTGTCAAATTATAAAGGATGAGTTGGGATGGCAGTGCTAAGAGTTGGGGATGAAGTGAGGGTTATAGGAGGGTGGCATCAGGGTTGAGATGGGGTTTGAATTCAGGACAGAGATAAATGCATTTGGTGGGATGATCTGATAGTTAAGAGTAAGGACTCAGGAACCAGGATTTCTAGGTTCAAGTCACAGCTTTACCACTTATTAGCTATTGACCTTAAATAAGCTACGTAACCTCAGTCTGCTTTAGTTTCCTCATATGTAAGATGAGAATAAACAAGAATCCTTGCCTCATAGGGTTGTTGTGAGGTTTAAATAAGCAAATGTATGTAAAGCATTTGGGCTGGTGCCTGGCACATGGTAATTGCTATGTAAGTGTTTGTTATTCTATTGTTATTGGAGTTAGACTAAGGGTTGGGGCTGGGTTAGTTGCAGGGTAAGGGTAACTCTAGTTCATGATTCCACCCATTACTGAAGGTTCTGCCTCACCATCAGAGGGGGTCTGGGGATAGAAAGTGCCCAGATTATCCCTCCCTTGAAGTGACCTCTTGCTTCCTCTCTAGAGACCAGGTAGGGATTGGATGGAAGCAGGATCTCTGTTTCTCTTTCCCTTGGAAGCTCCTCCATTCTTGACCCTCCAGTTTTGACTCTGACCTTTCCCCTTCATTGTTCATACGCCAAAGGGGCTGTGGAAGTTCTCTGATGGAACCACAATCCTGAGTGGGATTTTAGAAGAGTGGGGGGAAATGGTTCTTGGCCTCTAGGTAACTACTGAGAAGAAGATTTTTGCTGGGCAAGGACACCTGTGTGGACATTTGGATCAGTTGCATGGAGCTAGAATGGAGAGGGGCTGATACAGTTCCAACCCAAGAATAGGGCAAACCATACGGTGGCCACTAGAGATGCTGGTGGATGTGGGTGTAGTGTTCATCTATCTATCTGTCCATATGCCAGCCAAGCATCCATCCATCCACGCATCCATCCATCCATCTATCCATATATCTGCTTATTCATCTCTTCACCCATTGATCACCCCCGGAAATACCAAGCACCCCCTCTGAGTCAGGCACACCATCCCTGCACTGAAGTAGGTCATTATCTAGTGAAGGAGGTACATATTTAATTATTACACACTGTACTAGTAGAGGAATGTACAATATGTGATGAGAGTTCTGGAGAGGGTGGAACCATTTATGGCTGGGGCCAGGGGCTGAAAAGAGGCCTCTGTCGATCTTCCTTGGGTCTGACTCTTCCATCCCGATGAACCCCTGTCCTAGGGTTGGGTCCAGGGGCAGGCTAATTTTTCAGTTTCCTGTTTCTAAATCACCAGGTTCAACTTGAGAAGAGACCTGTTCCTTCTGGGAAGGAATTATGGAGTTACCAAATAGCCCCACCACACCGGTCCAGGCACCCTGAGGTCACGGACAAGTTCTCTGGAAATGGGCTGGAGTCCTCACGAAGGCTCCGTTGGGAAGATGTGGACACAGAGAGTCCAGGCACCTCCATGCCAGGTCAACAAGATGCATGGACATGGCATCGTTGTCCCTTTTGGAGCTGTCTCCTCTCCCCCTTGTGTGGGGCTGTGGACAGTGGGCCAGAAGCCTCTCTTATATCCTCCTACTCTGCTCCCTCCTGCCCATATCCCACTTCCTAGCCCTTGGTTTAGATCTCTTGATAATGGCTCTCAATCTCAGGTCTCCTGATGGGGAATATTTTGCCTCTCTAACTAATTGCAGGCTCCAAAAGTCAGCGTGTAGGACGTGTGACTCCCCTAAGTAAGACCTGGCTCTTCCCGGCTGCTGGATGGTGGGAACTGCCTTCACCAATAGCCCAGGGGTCAGACAGCAGGGGCTGTGTCTGTTCCCTCAGCCTAGGGCAGGGGCGGGGCCTTGCCCTCTGTCTCTCCCTAGCCTCAGATCAGGAAGGAGCCCATGGACTGTCTCAGGCTGGCCTGTTGACAGGAGAACCTGGCCAGGGCCTGAGGTGGTTTCAGCACACTCTCCCTCCCTCCATCTGTCTGACTAATAGTCCCATCTGCAAGCCCCACGTGAGACACAGCAGCGTCTCTGCTGCTGCCCTTGTGAGCGAGCGGCCGTGTCTGCAGCGTAACTGCCTGATGGTATCTCCAAGGGTGGTGTGGGTGAGCTGTCTCTTGGGAGTGCCTGCCTGTCTGCCTCAGCCCCCAACCTGCCCATTGCATTATTCATAGAACCCTAGGACCCGCTTCCCTTCCCCCAGCACTGTGAGAGACACCTGCCTGGCTGATACTGGGGGTGGGGGGTGTGAGAGTGTGTGTGTTTCAGGGGAGGGGGGGTCTCTGGGTACCCCTTCCTGAACTAGTCCCCATGACTTCTTCTCTGACACATTCCTAGGTGGAAGCCTTGGAGACGTGATTGCTGCCAGGGTGTCTCCAGAGATGTGAGGCCCAATTTCCATCTTCTGGCTCACAAGGAATCCTAGCAATGGGCCCTGGGTCCTACCTGCCCTCGTCTTCTGACTGCCCCTGCTAATACTCATTTCTGCCTCCATGGGCTCCTACCTCCTCATTCTAGGCAATTTCCTTTTCGCTCCTCCCAGCTGATGAGGGCCTCCTCCTGGCCCTAGGTCACTCCCATGGTAAGATAAATGCAAGTTGCTTCCCAGCCAGGCTTGACCTCTATCTACTGCCACCAACCCACCCCTCCCACTGTGCCTTCGTTTCCTAAGCTGTAAAATGGGAATCATAGTAGGAAGGGTCCTTGAGGGATGAAATGAGATCATATATGCGCAAGTTTGCGGGAATACAGGAGCCCAATGTCTTAACAGTCTTCCGTCTTCCTCCTGACTCTGTCCCCTCAACCTTAGATTCCCCAAGACAGCAACCACAGAGAGAGTGTATAAAAGGAGACGCGAAAACATAAGAAATCAAAGAAGGGCCCCACCCTTTGAGATCCTCTGAGCTGATGGGAGAGATACAGTCTCTGCCTCGGGGAGCTCCCAATGTGTTTGTGTCTAGGTTTGTGTGTCTGTGTGTCTGTGTGGTAGTGGAGGGGCGTGTTTCCCAACCAGAGAGGAGAGCCCAGATGTGTGTACTGGGCCTAGAACAACTCTTGTGGTGTCTTTTTAGCAGGCAGGGACAATCAACAAATTCATTAAGTACCTATTTACACATCTATTGTCAAAGCTAATAATTTGATTTAACTAAGCTGATTACCTTCATTAAAAACCATTAGTTCCCATAAGCAAATGTTCCTGTGTCTGCATTTTCATAATTACATTGACATTTCACAACTTGCATTTCAAGGGAAGCCTGTACTCAAACTCCTTCTTGTCCACCCCAGCCCACAGGGCTCTCTTGGCGTTGCCGTCCAGCCCAGGCCCTTGCTAGATATTGGGGACCGTGGGAAAAAAAACAGGCCTGGGGTCCTTTGCCTGCATCCCATGCTTCGTGCCTCCTCTGGTGTCCTTGTGCCTGGATGGCAATATGAGCTGTTCGTGGAAAGGCTGCCTTTAGGGAAGGAAAAGGAACCAGTGTTTGTCGAGTGCCCACAGGTGCCAGCTGCTGGCACAGTGGTTAGCTCTTTAGTCCTTCCAGGAACATATCAGCACCTCCATTTTACCGATGCTGAAACTGAGACTCAAGAAGTTGAGTAACTTACCCAAGTTCACATGGACCTCCTGAAGCCTGGATTGAGAGCCCACGGGCAGGCTGGAGCCTACCACCTGCCCTTCCTCCTCTCCTGCCAGTGCCCCTGGTAGGTTTTCCCGGACACTCATTTCCCTGAAACAAGAGCTAGGATCTGGGCCCAGGGAAGTGTGGAGAGAGCACACCCTGGGAGGGGTCCAAATGAGCAGAGGAGTCCAGGTTCGGCAGTGATACCCATGGCTGATATTTACTAAGCACTCGCTGTGTGCCCAGGGTCTGTTCTAAGCACTTTGCCACTGACAGGCAGGAAGAGTTGCCTCTTGGAACCTCAGTCTCCCTGTCTATAGAATGGGTGGAAGAATCCTTGCCCCACCCACCTCCCAAGGGTTCTTTCAACCCCATGGCTGTGTCGCTGGCCACGGGGGAGGGGGACGTCAGAGCTTGGAGGAAAGAAGGGCCGTTTCACAAAGGTGAGGCTGTGTCAGGGGGCCTGTGGGGACCCCAGGGACCCCTGGGCCAGCCCGGAGAGGCAGGCTTTCTCGCTCTCCCCTTTCTTCCCTTCCTGTGTCCTTGGCTTCCTAGGGAGGCCATCTCCCCACCGCTGTCTCTGCTCACCCACCCTCTGTCCCGCTTCTCCCTGACCTGACCCAGGGGCAGCCTTGCTGTGGGAGCTATTTCCAAGGACAACCCTGGCAGCCCCAGGGTACGGGAAACAAGTCCCTCCCCTGGCTTCTTGCACAACACTGTCCCTTCCTGGGGACCTCGTGGTCCTCTCCATCCACAACTCTTTCTCTTGCCTCTTTCTACTCCTCACCTCTCTTGCTTTGCCTCTCTCCTCCACACCTCCTGTCCTCTTACCTCCAGAGGCTGCCTTCCTGATTGTAAACACCTCTCACTTCCTTTCTCTTCTCCTGTCATCTCACACTCCTGCTAGCTCTCTCCCTCCTTCTCGCCCTCCTTCCATTCAGCTTGTCTCCTTTCCTCCCTGCCTCTGCCTTAGCCCTGTCCTGGACCCGGGATGCCTGTGCACCTCCACCCCAGACTGAGACAGAGGAACCCTCTACACCTGCAGGAGACAGAAGCTTCTAGAATCCACGTGGGAGGAAACTGAAGGACTGGACCACATAGGTCAGTGGCTGATGGTCTTGACCATGCAGAGAAGCCAAGTGAGTCAACCCGAGGAAGCGAATGTTGCTCAGAAACCCGAGAGAGCCTGTGATACCTTCTTTGGAATGTGTTGCTATGTAAATCTCACTTCCTGTCCCTGTTGGAGGACAGAATTGACCTTTTAAAAAGAAGCCCGTCGCCGGGCATGGTGGTATGCGCCTGTGGTCCCAGCTACTCTGGAGGCTGAGGCAGAAGGATCGCTTGAGCCCAGGAGTTTGAGGCTGCAGTGAGCTATGATTGCATCACTGCACTCCAGCCTGAGTGATAGAACAAGATCCCATTTCTAAATAAAATAAAATAAAATAAAATATAATACATTTTAGAAGCTCAACATTATTGTAATCCTGAAGGCGTGTAAGGTTAGTTAGACAAGAGGATGACCTGAGGTAGGAAGATGAGCATGGCAGTAAAGGAAGGCTCTGCTTTCAGGTACCTTGTCTGTCCAGGCAGCTCCATGAGCATCTGTCGAGTGTCACTAAGTACAAAACACCTTGTCCGCTCTGGGAGGGTTGAGAGCCCCAGCCAGACCTGCCTATCCTCCAAAGCTCATGTCCAGTGGACTGACTCCCTGAAGGGCTTCTAGATATGAGGGAGAAATTCAGTCGCCACTCTAGGGTGTGGGAAGTCTTTTCAAAAGAGTTGTCTGCTGCTGGGACATGAAGGATTGGGAGTCTGATGTTAAGGTGCAGAGAGCATGACTGGGGCTGTCTGGGTTTGAATTCACACTCCACCGCTTTCTAGCTGTGTAACCCTGAACACGTGACTTTCTGGGGCTTGGGTTTCTCATCTTTAAAATGATGATAATGTTCCTACTTTTTTCATAGTGTTAACATGAGGCTTAAATTACTGAGTCCCAAAGGACTCAATACGAAAGACATTTCTCAAAAATGTTCCATTTCAAAAACATTTTTCAGTGAAGCATAAACAGCCTCCTAAGTGATTGCACAGAAATCTATTTTTTGGTATCCCAGAGTGGGAATGCTGGGTTCACCTTGTCTCTGCCACTCACAGCCGTGTGCCTCTGGGCAAAGCATCCACCTCTCTGAGCCTTAGTATCCACTTCTACAAGATGAACAGAATGTATAGATATAATAGATATTTCTAAAGGTTTGACGCTATTTCCTCAAGTATCTATTGCTTTGACTCTTAGTAGTGAATAAAAAAACCCCAAGAATCCATTGCCACTTCCTCCCCCGCCCCCGCCCCTGCCCCTGCCCCCACCCATTGGCCTATTGTGGTGGGGACAGTCTAGTAGTGGCTGGGGTGGGAGGAGGGAGCCTCCTTCTCCAAGTGGCCTTGGATCCACAAAAAAAGAGACCCACGTGGTGACTCATGCCTGTAATCCCAGCACTTTGGGAGCCCGAGGTGGGCGGATCACAAAGTCAGGAGTTCAAGACCAGCCTGGCCAATATGGTGAAACCCTGTCTCCACTAAAAACACAAAAATTTGCCAGGTGTGGTGGCAGGCACCTGTAGTCCCAGATGCTCGGGAGGCTGAGGCAGGAGAGTCGCTTGAACCTGGGAGGCGGAGCTTTCAGTGAGCTGAGATTGTGCCACTGCACTCCAGCCTGGGCGACAGAGCAAGACTCCGTCTCAAAACAACAACAACAACAACAACGAGGCCCAAGTGGGAGAACTCTGGTCTTGAGTTAACTTCTAGAAGGAAATAGGGCCCATACGTGTCCTGGAGCCCCAAACCCGGTGTCCAGAGGCTTCTGCTGGTTGGGTGTGGCAGGGTTGAGTCACTCAGCAGGAGAAAAAATTGGGAAAACATTTCCGTTGTCCTCCTCCCTTCTCCTCCTGGTGCTCCCGAGCAGTGAGGCTGAGCAGGATCAACACCGTCCACGCCTGTCCGTGTTGGCATGTTTAGTCACCTGGGCAAGCTGGGGGAATACTGCCATGGGATGGAAGAGCCAGGCACTTGAACGCCCATGCACACACATGCTCCCTACCACTAACCTGCAGTGGCTTTAATGAACCCCTTGCAAAGCTACAGCCCTTTAAACAGGATCGTATCCATCCACATCGGAAGAAAAGCATTCATAATTTGCCCTGGGCACCCAGTAATGATTGTGAGTAATAGTGAGCCAGGGTATACCAGGCCGCTGCAACTTGAAAGGACATTTCCCAAACGGAGGTGATAGGTCTTGATAATTGTTATAATAACAGCTCAGTGGGCCTGGGTTAGTTCCTTTCATCCCGTGAGGTCATAAATGGCTTTCTCCACCGGAGAAAGGACAGGGCCTCCACCCACCACAAACACCCTCTCGCCTGTGTTCATCCAGCTGGGGATTTGCCCAGCTGTGATTTCTGAGCTGGGGAAACTTCAGGATCATTAAAACAAGGTGAGCTAATCATGTCTGTGTGCGCCATTCTCCCAGGACGGGAGTGGAAATTCCATTTGTCAAGTAGGTTCTGGAATCCTTTGTCAGAAAGCCGGTTCCAATGCACTGGCCCAGTTTTCCTTCACTGTCCTGCACACAAACTTGTGTAGTTCACGCTTTATTTGCTGTGTGAGTGACCACCAGGGCATGGAAATTTGTTTTACCCTTCTTTTCAAGTGTGTTTATACTTAAAAAGTTGATAGTTGTGTCTTGAGAGTGGAAGCCTTAACACACTTGTGACTTTCTAATGAGACCAGCAACCGAAGGGTAAATTGGAATCAGGGCACCAACAATGGGCCCTGCGGATGTTGTCCAGATCATGCACTGATCGAAGCCTCTGTCCTCTACATATTTGTTTACTTTTAAATTGCGCTGAGACGGCACGATCACAAGAGCATGGGCTATGCTACCAACCTGAGACCATGCTACCATGGTGCCCCTCTTCCCCCTCGCCTAGCAAATTCTCCTGCAGCAGAAGAGACGGTCACATTCAGGGTCACCTTTTTTTGTTAGACAATAGCACTCATCTCCACTTTGCCCCTGCTGCTGCCCCTGTTTGAAGCTGCCTGGCTTACAGCCAGTGTCCTCCGTGCCCTCAGGTCTGGCCGGGGTCTCCTCCTCACCCCTCTACAGAGGTGCCCCCGAGGTCTGCAGTCTCAAGACCACTGCCCTTGCTGAGCAGCCACAGTCTTTCGTGTGAGCCTAGTGCAAACCCCACACCTGGCTTCCTGTAAATCTTGGTGTTCTATGTTTAACCGCTTGTCAGACGCTGGGCTCACGTTTAGAATTTGGAAAAATGGCCGCTTGATTTTATTCCATGCCAAACTTCATAACATATAGAGATGCTTGCGGCATTCAGACATTCATGAAATTGCTGTAGCTTTGATTTTTTCATGTTAGTTCTGCTCTGCCTGATGCACAGACCTGGGAGTATGGAGGGTTCCTGGGAAATGCTGTGAGAGCAAAGTGGAGGATATTCAAAGACACACAGATTTGTAGAGAGCGCAGAATCACGGCTTCAGATCTCCACACTAACATTTACTTGCCGAGTGATTTGGAGCAAGTGATTTGCCTTTGCTTCTTAGTTTCTTCAACTGTAGAATGGGGAAAATAGTACCTGATAAGACCGTGTGAAGATTAAACGAATTGCCGCACTTGGAGCGCTTTGAACAGTGCCTGGAACATAGAATGTCAGCTGCTGCCATAATCGTAATTATTTGTTATTATTGTGAGAGTGGCAGAGAGGCCAAACTCTGACCTTTCTAAGTCCCACTCCCTGGAAACTAAGGATCTGCAATTCACAGGTGGGGAGTGGGGCCCAGCAGTCAGCAGACAGGGGCCTTGTTAAAGGCCTTCAGGGCAAAGGATTCTAAGATCACCGTTGACTCTTGGGAGATTTTCACACTTTCCCAGTCAGGAAGTTCCCCCTTAGGTCAGACTTGTAGCCTGCGTGCTGCAGCCAAATCACACCTCGTGCCTCCCTTATGCTTAATGCAGAGGAGGATGGTCTGGTGTCCCACTTGAGACACTTCAAGGTGTCTCAGTGACCACAAGGAGAGATGTGGTCCTGAAGGAGAGATGCCCCAGTTCCTGGGCATGCCACCTCCTAGTGCAATCCCTGTGGTCTTGTTTCCTGATTTATATCTCCACGGTATCCTCCCCAACCCAGAGCAGCCTCTGACTGCAGGGCCACACAGCTGTTCTTCCAACGTGGCTTTCATCCTATCGCCTGTGGCTCAAGCCACGTATGTCTACCCTACCACCAATTCATGGCCCTGCAGGTGCCACTGCAGAGGGTGTCTTCTCTTCTCTGTTGCAACTCCTATCCACCCTTCAAGGCCCAGATCACATGCCACCTCCACCAGGATACCTTCCCTGGCCTTTCTAGTCCACACGGCTCTCTGAATTCCTCTGGCCCTTGGTATCAATATGAAGTAGGCCCAAGGTAGATTAGGGGCCCTCCTCATTCCCCCACGATTACTGAAGTCTGGTCAGCGTGAGGTGACAGTATGACAAAGTCTCTTCAGAGGCTATAAAACAGACCTGCTTTGCTGCCTTCCGGAGCTCAGGGTCCTCCCTGGTGGAAGGCTGTGATGAAGCCTCAGCCACACTTGCTTCTGAGGGATGGGAGGGGTTGTTGGAACTTGCTTTGAACTTGCCATAGGATATTCACAGGATCTGAAGTTCAAGGTGGGGGTAGGAGAGGAGAGGCTGGCCTCTTTGTGTTGGGTTTGCAGCTCAAGCGGCAGAAGAAAGCTATTTGGGAAACACAGGTGTCTCAGTAAAGACTACTCTGTGGCTAATGCATCCCACCCGCCTCCCCAACTCTCTTTGGATCTCTCTTTACCTCTGCTTCTGTCTCTCAGTCTCTGGGCCATGATTTCTCTGCTTTCTGCTAAAGGCAGGCTCCCAAAGACTCCTAGATGAACAATTCCCGGTATTAACCCGATGCGTGTGTGGACACAGCTCGGCACTAAGAGCGTTCTGCCACCTCATGCCGCCAGCCTGGTGCCACTGGCTAACCCCTGCCTGCATCAGCCGTAAACTCATCTTGAGATGTCGACTTGCCCCCGTTTCCTCGAATTCTGGATTACGCCATATGTAATGAAGCATCCAGACTCAGAAGTTATTTTCTTCTTCTTTTTTTTTTTTTTGGTCAAGGTTTGTCCATATTATAAACAACAAAGAGAAAATAACTGCCTCCCAGTTATTTCCTCCCAGAAGAGGAAAGTCAGGGGGTCCAAGACGGGCCATGACGATGTCCTTCTTCAAGGGTGGGAGAGACTCCACCCAGGATGTCCTCTGATTCCCTAGGCACCAGCAGAGTAAAGCAACCACATTAAGGTATCCCAGAGTGGTGGGACAGTAGAGGAAAGGGATTTCCCAGGGTCTTAGCACCAGGTAAACTGAAGGCCAAAGGCCAGGAGAGGCGTGTCCAGGTCCAGGCAGCCACAGTCTAGGGAAGGCTCTGTTCCCAGACCCAGGCACCTCTTCTTTGCTTCTCAGCTGGACACACCTCACCTCTCTCTGGGGATCGGCCTTCTGCCCGAGGAGTTTTCGCACACAATGGTTGGCAGGCTTTGGCATTTATTTTCATCACTGTTTTGAAGGTGAATGGCATTTGTCACATTCTTTCCTGGCTGACTTTGATGTGGGGTGAATTCCCACTCCCTAATGACAGGTGAGGCGCTGGCCAGTAACACCCAGCACCCCTGGGCGGCTGTGCTCCCCCTGCCAGTCCTGGTTCCCACAGCTGCTGCTTGTTTTGGGTGTCTGTTTCAGGGACCTTAATTAAGATCCTCTTTAATGATGGAGAGAACTTCTCCAGTGATTACTGTCTCACTTTTACAGCTCTCTCAGGCTCTTTCTCTCTCCCTCCTCCTCCTTGACTCCCACAGCCTCCACCCCTCACCTCGATAGAGTCAGGCAGAGGATACAGCTTCTCAGGAGGGGATGGGGGTTCAGGTGCAGAGCTTCCCCCTAGACATTCCAGCAATGCTCGAGTGTACCATAGTGATAACATGTGAAAGCCCATGCCCTAATCACACTGTGTAACTCCAGTGGAGCACAGTGCCCGGCACACAAAAGGAACTAAATCCATATTTGCTCGATGAGTGAAATGAATAAAAAGATTAGCATATGGGTGAGTTGAGTGTTGAACATGAAATACTGATGTTTGGGGCAGGATACTTCTGATTCCCTGGCTGGGAGCAGTCTTAGATTCCCAGCCCATCTTCATGAGCTACGCATTTGTGTTCATCAATCCAGAGGCATGGGATCTGGTCATGACGGGGTATGCTGGGGCCAAGGGCTACGCAGAGGACAAAGCACTGGCCAGGCCCTGCAATCCCTGCTGCTGCTGTAGTTCTGCTCTGACCTTACTTATCTGGCCCCAGTTTTCTTGTCTGCAAAATAGGAATATAAATCCCCAGGCACAGATAGGTTGTGAAGCAGCAAGGAGACCCTGTGTGTCAAGGTGTCTGGCCAGGACCATTCAAAGTTGATATGAGTTAAAGGTGGCCTTGGCTTTTCCAGCTGAGGAATCAAGGGACTGGATGTCCTAGGACTTCAGGGCCTTGGGCTGGGCTGCAGCCTCATGGAGCCCCAAATGGGCCAGAACCTGTTCTTTGCCCTCTCCCTGGCCTGGGGCACCTGCTCTTCCTCCTCCTCAGAGCCTTACCCCTCCTTCCAGGCAGGCTTCCCGCCTCCACCTCCAACTGCCATCCAGCCCTCACTCCACCAGTTCTGCCCGCCGTGGCTTCCCACCTCACTTGGCCACAGCTTGTCTGTTCAAGGAGAGTACTCCTTTCTTGAAGGAAGTCCTGGAATCCTAGAATAAACATTAAGCCAGAGTCTGATCAGCTTCTTGAGGTCAAGCCCTTTGTGGGAAAGGCTGAGAACAGGCTCTTAAATTGTAAAGAAAAGGTTCCAGGCCACCCCAAGGGTCAGCTGCCAAACTAGGCCCGGAAGGAGGAGCTACTGGTGAGCAGTCCAATTCTCTTTCCAGAAGAACCCACAGCCAGGCCTTGTCAGGGTGGCTTAGAAGAACTCGAGGGGCAGGGGGAGGTGTGTGCATGGTGCGTGGCCAAGTGAGAATCTGGCCCCCCAGTGCTCACCTAGGGGTGCTGGTGCCCAGCTCCCATCATATAGTGGGCACTCTACTGAGGATCCTGAGCCTCAGTTTCCCCATCTGTAAAGTGAAGGGTTGCAATGGGGAAACTCGTGCGTTCCCTCTGGCTGGGTCATCCCGATACCATGAAGCAGGAGCTATGGAAGTGATGGAACGCCAGAGAGCCCTCCCCACCTCCTGGCCTCTGCCCCTCACACACACCTGCACACTGTGCACTCCAGTTGCCCTCAATGGGCAAGGATGACTCCTCCTGGAGCTGGTGGCTGGTTTTGGGTTTAGAGATGGGTGTGGCGGCTCATAGGCTGGGAGCCTGAAGTTGTGAGTTCTGCTCCCTGCCTGGACACTGTGGGGTCCGGCTGTGGGAAAACCACGGGATGATTCAGAGCCCGTTTCTTTATTTGTAAAATTGAGATAATAATTAGCCTCCAACCACTCACCTCCTTGTGGTTGTGGGGCAGATCTAAGGTGATCTCCTGCCCCGTTAACATGAGGGGTTATTATGACTAACCCCAGAGAACAAGTAAGAGGGTGTGAACATGGAGAAGGGCAGCCAGATCAAAGCTCAGGGGACCAGGGAGGCCAGGGGTTGTAGCCCACAGGGTTAGGACTGACTTCTCTCTATAGGGGCTAATTCTGCTGCAGGTATCAGTGAGGTAAAAGAAAGAGGTATGAGGAGTGCGGGGAGGCCGGGAGGTCGAGAAGTGGTTCACAGAGCGAGGAAGTTGCTAGGTGGCCAGGAGGGAAGCAGGGCACTTCTTGAGGACATTGATATACTGGACTTTGGTCATTGAATGTGCTCAGTATTCGTGGATCTGACAGGATGTTTTAATCTGTGCCAAGGAAAATTTAGGGAAGATACTCAGAAAGGCTGCCAACCCATTTCTTTGACTTGGCCATGGAGCTGAGATCCTATTTTCAGGAGCCGGGGCTCTGAACTGAGAGGCCCAGAGCCCTCCTTGCAATTCCAGTCTTCCAGCTACTCTTTGTCCTATGCCATGTTTCTTATTTGCCTAGCACTTTCCTTCCCAGGATCTCAGAGGAGGGGCACTTTGCTATCTTGGAGACTTTCAACACCCCAGGGAAGCAGGGAGGTGGCTGGGATCCTTATCAGGGGTGGGGAGCGGGCCCGGGGAGGGGCCACGCTGGCTCTGCTCTTTCTCCCACAGGCCTGCAGTCTGGATTTTCTGGGGCAGCTTGATTTCAGTATTCAATCCCAGGACACAGCTGGCCCTGCTATTTAATTATTGCCAGAAAGAAAGATTTCAGATCAAATACTCTATCAGCAAAGTCATTATTTTTGGTGGTTGTCCCTTGGCTTTTAACGACAGTTAATTATCCCATGCAGGTCTCCTCTCAGTTAACTTGGCATGTGTTTCACAAAGGGTTTATCTTGGAAGGTAAAGCAGGAAGGAGATTTTACTGACACACACACAAATTAGGTAGGTGTTTGTACGGGTCTGCTTTAAACCGTTCCCAGGCTGAAGTCACTTGCACTCTATTGCACTGGGCTCATCATTATTTCCTGGGAAGAATCTTCGTCTTGTTAGAATCTCGGTCTTGTTTTCTGGGAAGAATCTTGCTCATCTTGAGAGAGGGAACAAGTCCTTGTTAGACCTGCTTCATTTTTCCTAGACGATGTCCAACCTCTTTGCAGTTTGACATCTAGTGGATCTCAAACAAAGCTTTGTCACCTAGTCTTGTCATGTTCTCATGACAGTCATGAGAACCCACAGTCCCCCGATATCTGCCTGAAGCTTGGCCTAAAGAAGCTCTCCTTAGACTGCATTACTCGAGCTGGGTGCAGTGGCTCACACTTGTAATCCCAGCACTTTGGGAGGCTGAGGTGTGTGGATCACTTGAGGTCAGGAGTTCTAGACTAGCCTGGCCAACATGGGGAAACCCTGTCTCTGCTAAAAAAAAAAATACAAAAATTAGCCAGGCGTGGTGGCATGAGCCTGTAGTCCCAGCTACTCAGGAGGCTAAGGCATGAGAATTGCTTGAACCTGGCAGGTGGAGACTGCAGTGAGCCGAGATTGCAACACTGCACTCCAGCCTGGGTGACAGAGCAAGACTCTGTCTCAAAAAAAAAAAAAAAGAAAGCATTTGGAGATTACACCCTCCACCAGTTGCTCAGGCACTCCTATGGCTGGACAGAACCCTGTGCCCTAGCCCACCAGATAACTGCATTTCACATTAGTCAGACTCCCATAAGCCTGGCTAAGAAATGTAAGAAACAAAGTTCATGGCTGTGTCTGCTGCAAAGATGCCTCTGAGCAAATTGCTGGCTGTCTTATCCCTTGTCATCTCTGGGAGGGGTTAAGGAGCCATTTCTTTCTGTTCTCTGGGACATCAGGAATGTATGCATTTCTCCTGGGCTAGTGGTTTGCTTTAATCTTGAGGATCCTGGGAATTGTGCAGTTGATCATGTTTCATCTTGGCACTGGCTGTTAGAAATTTTAGAGCCAAATTTGTGGCCCACCCCTAGCAAATGGATCAAAGTTTATAGTATGTTTATTTTGTATTAGTCCCATCCTTGGCTCCATTTTATGGCTTTACCCTTGCTTTTACATTTTTTTTCTTTCTCACCTGCTTCTAATTTATGTCGTCCTGCTGAATTTTATGCATCTTTGTAAACTGCCTTAAATCCTTTTGTGAAACAAAGAGGTGTATACACAAACAGATAAATAAATACATATTCTATGTCATTACTAGACAACATATCATAGTTTTTGGCTTGGGAAATAGGGTCCACATAGCTGCTGATCTCCTCCTGGGCCACTGTCCTTCTACAAGAGCATCCAAACAGACAAACTGTGAGCAAAGCCAATAGTCCACTCTCCCAGGGGTGAGAAGACAAAAAGCAAGCCAGTAACTACACAGTAAGATAGGTGGTGTTGAGCGATGTGATGAAAATACAGTAAGGAGGAGCAGGCATGGACAGGCCAGCCAGGGAGGAGCTCCCAGAGAGGCTATATTTGAGCAGAGCCCAGGGAAGACAGGGAGTTGGTCAAGGAGTGAATGGTGGAAGGACATTCCAGGTAAAGCTATGAGGCAGGTTAAGAGTGCAGGAAGAAGCCAAGGAGGCCAGTGTGGCTGGAGCCATGTGAGTGAAGGGGAGCGTAGCAGGCAACGGAGGGTGGGGACTGGACCCAGTAGGGCCTCGGAGGCCACAGGAAAGACTTGATGTTCTGAGATGAGAAGCCTTTGGTGGGTTTGGCCAGAGGCGTAATGTGATCTGACTGAAGTTTCAGCACAATCATCGTGACCACTGGGGGCAAGGACGAAGCAGGGAGGAGTCAGGAGGCTGCTATAGTAGTGCAGACAGGAGCCCGTGGGGGTATGAACTACAATAGTGGCAGTAGAAGGTGGAAGAAGAGGTCAGAATCTGAATCTTTCTCCATACTGTGTCACCAAACTAGAAGTCTGTTTTGTCCACTCTTGTTGCCTACAGGTCCCTGTCCTTTTCACACCTCAAACAGTGCAAACTGGCTGCTTTCCACACCTCTTCATCCACAACTCTTCTGCATAACATGGCCCTTGTGAGACCCTGGCCTCTGTCACTCCTATGAACCAACTCTCCAACATCTCCTCCAACCTGGCACAGGGCTCCATCAAAATCTCCCCGGCTTCTCTTGCACTGCCCACCCCTTTGAGCTTGGTGCTTCAGTTTGTCTTTGTCCTTTTCACACTCAGAAACTGCTACATAATTAGCAGGGCTCAGTGCAAAATGAAAATGTGGGTCCATGGTTCAACAATTATTAAGAAATTCAAGATGGCGACAGCAAAGCATTAAACCAAGCATATGCCCTCTGAGCACGGGTCCTGTGTGGTCAACTGCCCATGCAGCCAGCCTTTCTCACTCTACACGTTCTTGGGATAATCTCATGCATGTTGGCCTTAACTACCACACACAGCAATGACTCCCAGGTGCATCTTTTTCTTGAGCCCCAGACCCATCTGTTGGCCCCACGTACTGACACCAACACTTTGTCATTTTTGCAGGCAACTTGAAAGCAGTAAGTTAAGACTGGACACATTATCTTCTCCCAAACCTGCTTCTTCTTGTGTATTCTCCTATCTTCATACCGAATACATAGAAAAAAAATCCTTTTTGAATACCTGTAAATTCTTTACAAAAATCGACCATGTACAACTATATAAACAGAAGCTCAAGATATTTCCAAAACCGTTATAGTGCAATAAAACTAGGAATAATAAACAAAAATAAATGGTTTTCTAAAACTAAAATCATTGATAACCATTTAAAAAATTGCTATCTACTTAAAAATTAATAATAAAAAACAAGATATATGAAGGTCTATAGGGTGAAACCAAAGCTACCCTCAGAGTAGAATTCATTGTTTAATTATTTTATTATAAATAAAAGTTTGAAAAGAACTGGCTGAGAGTTTTATTCCTGAAACTAGAAGAGAAACAACAAAACATCAAAATAAAGTAGATGAAAAAAATGAAGCAGTAGACAGAGAAAAATAGGATTGATACAGAAAACCAAAACAAGTTTCTATTGATTTACCTTGACAATAAATATTTATTATGTGCCTATGTCTAGGTACTGCACAAGGTCACTGAGGATGCTGAGATGAACAAAATAGATGTGATTTTTCTACTTGTGAAATTCTTTTGAAAAGATTATTAAAAAATAGATACTTTTTTAAGACTGGCAAAAAAAGGAGTAAAAAAGAATGCAAATACATAATTTCTTCAGTAAGAAAGTAGATATGTATTAGTCCATTTTCATGCTGCTGATAAAGACACTCCTGAGACTGGGTAACTTATAAAGAAGAGAAGTTTAATAAACTCACAGTCCACGTGGGATCATGGTGGAAGGTGAAGGGCATGTTTTACATAGCAGCAGGCAAGAGACAATGAGAATCAAGTGAAAGGGGAAATCCTTTATAAAACCATCAGATCTTACGAGACTTACTCACTACCACGAAAACAGTATGGGGGAAACTGCCCCCATGATTCAATTATCTCTCACCAGGTCCCTCCCACAACATGTGGGAATTGTGGGAGCTACAATTCAAGATGAGACTTGGGTAGGAAAACAGCCAAGCCATATCAAGATACAACTACTTATGTAGAGGGAATTTTTAAAAATTTAATATCACATACATATTTATTTTAGTAAATTTGAAATTCTAGATGAAATGACCACTAATGTAAGTATAAATCGCAAAAATGGTTCAAGAAAAGGCAGAAGATCTAAAAGACCAATAATCACAGAAGAAAGGGCAAAGGTAATAAAATACTTAACACCCCGAATACCTCAGGGTAGATGGTTTTATAAGTGAGATCTATCACATCTCCATAGGGCAAATATTTCTTATCTATACTTAGAGATGAAGTCCTTCCTGAGCAATTTTATGAGACTAATTTAGCTCTGATACTAAAATCTGACAGAGATGGTGCCAACATATAGACCAATTTATGGAAGTGTAAAAATCCTAAATAAATTATTGAAAATTTCAGTGAAACAATGTATTAAAAGATAAAATATCATGACTAAGCATTTCAGAAGTTCAAGTCTGGTTCAGTAGTAGATATCCATACATTTATATTAATAGCTAAAGAAAAAAAATGATGCCAAAATTTCAATAGATGCCAAAATCTTATTTGGCAAAATTCAAATTTTGTCCTTGTTATATTCTCCTAGCAAGTCATGAGAATAAGGAGAGTTTACTAAATAGACAAAAGTATCATAAAATCCAGTGAGCCAAGATCGCGCCACTGCACTCCAACCTGGGCGACAGCAAGACTCCATCTCAAAAAAAAAAAAAAAGTATCATAAAATCATTGAACATCATCCTTAATGATTAAACACTAGAAACACCACCAAAATCAAGAATAAGACAAAGATGCTCACCATCACGGCTATTATTTATCATTGTTCTGGAGGTTCTAGCCAAAATAATGAAAAAGCCAAGTAAAGAACCACATGTAGTAAATTAAAAAGGAAAAATCGTCATGATTGTGGATAATGTGAATAGATGACATATCCAAGAGAATCAGCCATCAAGTATGTAAACTGAGTTCTGTGAAGCATCTAGATTAAATTTATATTAAAAAATGAAAATCCATAGGCTTCCTACATAGCAACAAAAACCTGTTAGAAAATTTTAATAAAATTCTTCAAAGAGCATGCTTAACTACAAAATAATTAGTCACATATTTAAAAAGAAATGTATAAGGCATACATAAAAATTAAATAATTTTCTTCAAAGATATAGGAGAATATTTGAGTTAGTAAGTGAAGAGACACAAGTTCTTGGATGGGTAGATTTAATTCTATAACAATATCAATTATTCCCAAATTGCTCCATTAATTTAATTGAATTCCAAGGAAAAACAATTCTATTTTTTTGTAAAAGAAGAAAATTAGGAGGGAATTTATTCTACGAGCAATCAAAAAGCACCATAAAGCCACAGTATTAAAAATTGTACGATACAAGTACAGAAAAAGGTAAGTTGTTGAATGAAAGAGAATTGGAAGTGTAATAGATACACATATGTACAAATGGGAAGTAAATATGTAAATAAGTGGCAATCATAATAGAAGAGGGTATTTTTTTAAATAAATAGGATCAGAATATTTGGATATTCATTTAAAAAATGTACATAATAAATTGACACTGCATTTTAAAAATTCAGACTAAGTAATTAAATATGAAACATGAAACATCTTACCATAAAAGTATTGGAGAATATTTGCATAATATTTCCATCTTTTTAAGCATAACTTAAAGCCTAAAATATATAACATAAAACATTGTCAGATTTTATTAAAATCTTCTCTCTAGCAAAATATCTAAATAGATCTAAGAAGACATATTCAAAACTAGAAATAATATTTGAATATAAATACACCTGAACAAGTCATTAATATCCACAATATATAAATAACTTTTACAAAATATTGATAACTCATACAAAAATGGACAAGGATTATGAAGAGGAGCAATTCATAGAAATCAATGCTTAACTTCTCTAATAATCAAAGAAGTAAAAAATCAAATACAGATTTTTCAGTCTGACAGAAATGATTAAGTGCAATTGTCCAGTATTGGTGTGGGTAAATTAATGCAAATCATTAAGGCAGATTAAGTTCAAAATGTCTATCCCTTTTACTCAACAATTCCATTCCTGGGAACTTAACCTATAAAAATATTTACACAAGTGCCCCAAAGTAATATATAAGAATGTTTATTGCAGTATGGTTTGTAATAATGAAAAATTGGAAACACTCTAAAGGTTCATGAGTTGGGGGCTGATTAAATTAATTATGGTAAAATCAAGTGCCAAATCGTGCAAACGTGTACAGGGAGGATGAGGAAATGAGAAGAAAAACTTGGCAGCAACATCAAACTCTTACTTTTGTAGCCCAGAGACCATAATCCACTTGGATAGCAGGAAATAACTTAGAATCTTCTAGGTTTAACTCTTTCATTTGATAGACGAGGGATCTGATCCCTGACCAATGGTAGTCCATCTTCTACTTGAAGCCACTGGATGGAAACCCTGGTTGTGAAACTTCCTTTGTTATGTAGAGCAAATCTGTCTCTGAAACCTACTTGTCACAAGAGAGCAGCTAAGGAGACAGGGAATGATGGATGAGAGCCAGAGGAGGCAGAGTTCAATGTAACGTAAAACACTTTAGCATCACCTAAAGATCACACTGAAGGTGTGCTGGCAGGGTAGCTGCTGTGGAAGTACTGTAGGAGGGATGTTTGAAAAATGGGTTTGATTCGTTGACCACCAAGGTCACTTCCAGCCATATCTCATGAGTCTATGATTTCACTCATTGGACCCAGTTTTGCCCTTTGGAGAAACACAGATTCAGTCTGGTCCTTATCCCCTTAAAACCCTTCAGATACTTGGAGATAACGCTCCAGTTGACTTTTAGTGTTTCTTCACCAGCTCTACATCTCCAGTTCCTTCCTTTCTCCACACACACTTCTCATATATTATGACTCCTTGATACTTCTTCCTCCAGTCCAACTTTCTTTGGTCACTTAAAAAAAAAATTCTTCAACTATGAAACCAAGAATTTACCAAGAATTCCAGCTGTGGTGTGACCAATGTAGGATATGGTGAGATTTTGACCTTCCTTACTTGGGACACATGGTTCCTGTTTGTAAAGTCCTAAGCTACTTCTTTGACAGCCATTTTATATAGCTGGATCATGTTAGACTCACAGAAGGGATGCATGCTGTAAATTATCGTGAGGTTATGTGTGGCACAACTCTAGGGGGCTCTATTTACAACCTATTGTAGATTTACATATTTCCTTCAGTAGTTTTTCCAGCAGATGGCAGTAAAGTTTCTGAGGAAGGGGGGTGCCTTAGTTCTAAATCACACAAAGATCTTTTCTGGGCTGGCAGTGACCCTGGCTCATAATCAATTAAAAAATATTTTTGATATGAATGTAGTATCTTTATGGCGGACTCTCCAACATCCATCCCTCCTTTCTTCCTTCCTAAAAAATCCCAATTTTGCTCAGCTATCCACCCTTCCCCCATGTGACTTCAGGGAAGGCTCCAGACAGTAGATCTGGATTACTGTAAAAAATCAGGGCTTCTGAGTCTTGAACTACTGACATTTTGGGCCATGTAATTATTTGTTGTGGGAGCTATCCTGCACATTGTAGGATGTTCAGCAGCATCCATGACATCTCTGTCCACTAAAGGCCATAGCATACTCCCACCTTACCAGTTGTGACAACCAAAAAATGTTCCTAGGTATAGTCAAATGTTTCCTGGGGGCAAAACTGCCCTGGTTGACAACTGCTAGCCTAGAGTATCTCAGAGAAGTAAAGCTTTCACACCCACAGCTGCTTTGCCTGTCTCCTTGTTATAGGAGATGATAAATTGCCTTATCCATCTTGAATCAGGTATTTTTGTTACTTGCAGCCAAAGGCATCCCCAACTAATGCAAGGAATTACTGCTAACTCATGTCTACCCTTCCTGTGCTTATACAATTTCTTTTTTTACACCTGAAGGGAAAATCTCCACACTATCTCCATTCACTTTGTTGTTGTTAGCTTTAATCCAAGTTCCAGTCTGGCAAAATACTTTAGAATCCTAATTTTGTCATCCAAATTATTAGCTATCCCTTGCAGTTTGGCATCATTTGTAAATGATGATAAGCATGTCATAAATACTTTTGTGTGAGTTGTTGATTAAAAAATATTTTATCAATATTCTTTAGGTATAGTTGTTCAGCCAGTTACAAATCCGCCTAATTAACCAGTAGCCAACTCACATTTCTCCATCTTATCTACTAAGATTTCAAAAGAAACTTCTTCAAATATCTCACTGCAGTCAGGAAGAGCCATGCCTATAGTACTTCCTGATCCTTGATTCAAATAAGCAAGTATAAACAGACTAGGTCATTTGGCATGAGCTATTTCTTGAGAACCCATGTTTATGCATGGTGATTTAGTGTGCAGAAACTGTCTACTCAGTGGTCCATCCTGGTATCTTATTGGTAAGAGATGTCACACTTATCAGTTTGCAATTTCCACATGCTATCCACCTCGCCTATGTGAAAAATATTCAACATTTGTCAATCTTCTGTTTTGTGGCCCGTCTCTAGTTCTCTATGACCTCAAAAACATTATCAACAATGGTTCAGTAATCACATTTGCAATGATATTTGGTGCTCTGAGAATTCATCCAAGACCTGAATTCATTTAAAGCTACCTCTTGTGTAAAATAATTTAAATAAAGGGGCCCATACACTTACTCAACCAAATACCACAGATGCAAAGGAGTCTCTGCTAAACACAGGGCTTATGAGCCTGGATTAGGAAACACCACAAAGAGTTATCAAACTCCATCTCAGCATCCAGCACAAATAACCAGGATGATCAGTAAACTAAGGGGGAAAGAGAACCTTGAGAGAGCCCTATGCACACAATAAGTGACTCTAATGAGAAAGAAAAATAGACAGAACCGAGCTAAGCTGGTAACCTTCACTAGTTTGGCATACAGTTCGACCTCTTCCCTCTGACCAATTCCTTCTCTCTACTTAGTCCTGTAGCCTCCAATCAAAGACTTTATTGATATGGAACCCCGGGAAGGAGCCTGCAGTGATGTCAGGGCCCACTGAGCTGAGTGAGCAACTGTAGCAGATGTCAGGCTGGGGAGATGAGCTGGGACCAACAGAAATTACAATGTCAGCCTATAATCCCTGAGCTTTGGGAGACCGAGGCAGGAGGATCACTTGAGCTCAGGAGTTTGAGACCAGCCTGGGCAACATGGCGAAACCCCATCTCTACAAAAAATTAAAAAATTAGCCAGGTGTGGTGGCACACACCTGCAGGCACAGCTACTTGGGAGGCTTAAGTGGAAGGATCACCTGAGCTCAGGAGGTAGAGGCTGCAGTGAGCTGTTATCACACCACTGCACTCCAGCCTGGGCGACAGAGAGACCCTGTCTCAAAAAAAAAAAAAAAAAAAAAAAAGAAAGAAAGAAAGGAAAGAAAAGAAGAGAAGAGAAAAAAAAAAGCAAGGAAGGAAAGAAGGGAATCCCAAAGGGATGACACGCTGGCTCTGGCTCTCCTTGACTGTGGGGAGATGGAGGAGTCTGCATCACAGAGCCACATTCTCCTCCAGGTTTAGCGTAGAGGCAGGGGAAGGATTTTGCAGGTTCAGGCTGATCAGGTTTTAGTGTCTCTGTCATCTAAATACTGAATATTGGCTATATATGCCATGGAGGGATGTTGACCTCAATCCACACCAAGAGAATGCCATAGTACCCACAGTCTGCTGTAGAGGGGAGATGGGTCTGCAATTCTTCTCATTCCCAGGCTAGACTCTCATTCCCCACTTGAAAAGCGGTTAAGAGGGCTGGAGCCAGAATCAAACTGATTGGGTTCAAATAATGGTTCTCCTAGTTATTAGCTTTGGAACATTAGGCAAACCACTCAACCTCACTGAGTTTTATTCTCCTTGCTGGAAAACAAGATAGAACGTGTGAAGGATGCTTGGTGCGATGATAGCTACTGTTGCTCTGAAATCACCTGCTTTGGAAATCTCCTCCTTGCAGAGGCTGTTGACAGAAGAAAAAGTCAAGGCATTCTGAATTTGGTCCTCAAAAGAAAACATTGGTCCTGGGGTTTATATAGTCTGATGAGGAGGGTTGAAGCTGAAACAGAGCCATGAAATCAAAGGTTCAAGTGATTTCCTTTGTTGCTGAAGGTGGGTTCTTGGATTCACTCTTGAGCAATGACCCTTCTGACTAAGCAAAGCAAAGGCAATGGATTTCCAAAGAGCTGAGTTTCTCTGCATAACAATGTTAACAGGTTATCATGAATGAGGGTGGTGGAGGTGGAGAGGGGTGGACAGAATTACACTCTGTAGACAGATTTACTTCCTTTAAAGGAATGCCTCTTTCACAACGACTGGATCAGGCTGTCTTACTTGGTATCATACTGCTTGTTCTCAGGAGGTATTTCTATGTTACTCTTCAAGCATTTGGTCACGGATCTGGGAGGGGACCCTGAAGATGACAGAAAGCCTGTGCAGGCTTGGTCAACAGGGTTGCTGGAGGAAGGATGAAAAAGAAAGGGTTTTGGCTTGGCTAAGACTATTAATAGGTCACAGAAGATGTTTTTCAAGACTAAATAATCTAGAATTTGGGAAATGTCTGGACTTGAAACTTTCTGTTCAGGTATCTTTTAAGGGCCAAAGGGCAAGACTGTATTCCCATGGATGGGGCTGGGGTTTTCTTGAAGGAAGCTGATTTTCCATTGTCAATCATGCTTATGGAGGGTTAATCATAGGGCTGGAAAATAAAAACTTTGAAGGTGGACCTTAGCATTAAGGGAGGGAAACTGCCTTCTGTCTGTAAGCCTTGGGATATGACTCAACTGGATCTTGCCTTGGCTGTCACACTGAAGGACACCTCCTTTGGCATGGCCTTAGTGACAAGTAGCACGCGGGGACAGGGCATGCAGTTCAGCCTCTACTCCAGCAAGGCAGGCCGGAATCCAGGAAAAGAGGAAGGCAGCAGAGGGTCCCCATGAAGGATACTGGGCCCGTGGACTCTGAGGGAAGCCATTGATAATATTCAGTGTAAACCCCTTGGGTGATAATCCTGCCTGCCATAGCCTACCTTTCAGCCAGCTTGTGTTAAATTCTACATCCCAATCTCATTTCAGCAGAGGAAAGGCAGGAGGGTGATACTCCCACATTTGGGAAAGAGATGGTACAAGGAGAGCAGGAGTATCTAGAGGGAAGCTGATCTTGAGCCTACCAAAGGCAACACGTTGAACATGCATTGTTCCAGAGCTAGATGATATATAGGGTGGGAAGAACACAGGAGGCAATGGGTGAACACACCAATATTCCTGAGGAAGTCCAAACAGAGTGGGCAAGGGACAGGAGCTCTGACTTCTGTGATTTGAGGATTAAAGGGAAGTGTGGCTTCGTAAGTTGGTAAAGCCTGGAGTGTCAGGGTATGCACCTGGGTCACCTTCTGGCTGCATGGCTTTGTGCAAGCTACTTATCCTTCCAAGTCTCAGTTTTTCCATCTGGGAAATGGGGCTAATAATAGTGACTGCCTCATAGAATTTTTGTGAAGATTAGATAAGCCATGGTAATAACCCAATAGATAGTTACTATTATCATTACTAATCCCAAGAGTGCTGGAAAAGGGGAATTAGTGCGCTAAGCAAAAAACTGTTATAACTAATTGCCAGAATTCACACGAGATGTATAGATACGGCTGCTGTATAAAGAAGAGGAGTTCTTAGCTCATCACTGACTCAGACATGAGAAGACAATCCCACTGGAAGCTTTCAGGCTCCTCTTCCTCTGCAAACCCATAGGACTGAGTCCTGCAGCAGCATCTCAAGGCTTTGCATCTCACCTTCCCTAGAGAAACACTGGCAGAAATCCATTCGCAGAAGCCCAGAGATGATTCAGATGAGAGGTTGACCCAGCAAACTCTGCTGGAAATGGGTGCCCAGGATTTAGTACTAACCTGCCTTGACCCATTCTCCTCCAACTTGACTTTAGTAGAGACAACAGGACAATATTTTTTACCGTAATTCCATCTGGCTTCCTCAGTAGACAATCACACCTGTGCCACTTGACCCTGAGTGTCATGCTGACCTGGAAGTCATTGGCTGCCCTTCCTGCCTGCTCACCTCCAGCTCTTTCCAGCCAGGTGGCCTGTGGGATTCCTTTGGGTATCCTGGCTCTTGCCATGTGGCCCTGCTTGCTGTCCTAGAGCTATTCCCTCCCCAGCCGCCCTGGATTCCCTCACGGGGGGACTGCGATCTGAAAGTCTCTGCACACCCGCACCCCCAAGTAGTCTGACTAAAGTGCCCCTCCTCGGTACTCTGTCAATGCATTATGCTTACTTTTATCATATCATTCTGAACAATCACTGACTTTCAGGTCTTTTCTCCCACTGGAACACTTACTGTTCGGGAGGAATGGACCATGTCTTCTACCTTCATTTATTCCTATTTCTAACTCGGTATTTAGACTTCTTTAAATATGTGCTAAATAAACTCATGAGTAAGTGAAATGAACTCAAGTATAGAGAAGTTGAAATAGAAAATGTATTCATTCACAAATTCATTCAAGCATTGACTGAGCACCTACTGTCTGCCAGACACCCCTTCAGGCACTGTAGACACAGCGGTAAACAATAGACCCAGTCCCTGCCTGGCGCATGCGCATTCCGGTGTGGGGGACAGTAGGAAAATGAGCATATGGCAAGATCTCAGTTGGCAATGTATGTTATGAAAAAAATAAAGAAAGGAAAGATGAGGCAAGCTATAATTATGGTACTGAGCATTTTTAAGACTTTTTAAAAGTAAAAATGTTGTAAATATTCAATAAAAGTACAAGAAAAAAGGGAAAAAACAGCTCAATTATTAACATATTTTGAAAGCAAATAATGGGGTTTATAATTCTGGATTAAAATTTTTTAAATGTCTGAAATGATCAGAAAGATAGAAGAAGCAAAAATGTTAAATTATTTAATCTTTCATAAGAGGACTACAAAGTTGTTGTTTGGTCTTTGTTTTTTAAAGTTATTTAATTTCTTTATGCACATACACAGATCATTTTACATAAAGAAATAAAGGTTTCTTTTGGTTTTGTTTAGCATCTTTTCCCTCTTTTCTTCTCCCCTCCTCCTTTAATAGCACGTGAACTCATGGTAGTGAACTAGTATTTAAAGGGAATCCAGTATGTTACCTTCCATATTTTTCTCCATGCTGAGGTGATCATTTACATTGCACATACACGTGTGCAGACACACACACACACACACACACACACACACACAATGCATAATGAGTTTTCTGTTGTTTTTTGTAAAAATATAAAGAAGGAATATTATATACTCTTTTCCACATCTTGTTCGATAAAACCTCAGGTAAATCCCTCTAGGGTGAAAGGTAAATTTCTAGTCTCATTTTTAAAAAACAGCTATATAATATTCCATGGTATGGCTGAACCATATATTCTCAGCCATCTCCTTATTTATGGGCATTAATTTCACTTCCAGGTTTTAATTTTGTTGCCACAATAACAACTCTGCAATAAATGTCTTTAAATATATACCCTTATACACTAGTGCTCTTAATGTTATGGCTAGATTCCCAGAAGTGAAATTATTAGGTTATAGGCATATATATGTAAATTTTATAGGCACTTGCAGATTGCTTTTCATAAAACCATAACATTTCACATTGCCACCAACAATGTTAGAGTTATTTGCCTCCACGTCTTCTCTAGAATAGGTATTGTTGAATAAAGTGACATTTCGTTATTACTTGCATCTGTATTTCTCTATTTACTAGTGATTTAGATTTTGTTCTTGGGTTTTAGTAATTTGATGAATATAACTTTTAGGTAAACTCATAATTTTTTTTTTGCATCTATCTTCATAAAACTAGCTGGGAAGTGCGTACTCATTTTTTATTCTTTGGAAGAGTTTGTGTAACATTGATGTTATTTCTTCCTTAAATGTTTAGTGAAAATTCCTGGACTAGAGATTTCTTTGTTGGAAGGTTTCAAATCATAGATTCAATGTTTAAGACATATGTAGTATGTATGTAGTATACATGCAGTAGAACATTCGGATGTTCTGTTTCTTCTCATGCCCTCTTTGGTCAGTTAGATTATCTAGCAATTTGTTCGTTTAAGTGAATTTTTTTTGGCATAAAGTTGTTCATAATATGATTTTATTATCTTTCCAGTGCCATTAGGATTTGTGCCCAGACTCCCCTTAAAGGGGTTATGGTGAAGCTGTAATAAAGTATCCTTTTAATTACTGAATTAAAAGTCTCATGCTCTACTGACTGAGCTAGCTGGGCAGCCTAATTACTGAGTTAATAATTTGTATTCCTCACTTTTTTCTAAATAAGCTTTGGTAGAGACTTCCTAATTTTTACCGGACTTTCAGAGAATAAACTCTTATTTATTTTCTCTATTATATGTTTACTTTCTCTTTCATTGATTTCTGCTCTCATCTTTGTACTTCTTTCCTTTTACCCTTTATGTATTTAATTTTTGTTTCTTTTTCTAAATTCTTAGGATGGATTTCTTTTGTTTCTTTTTCTAAATTCTTAGGATGGATACTTATTTAATGTTCAGCTTTTCTTTTTAAATATATGCATTAAAACTGTCCATTTCCCTGGCACGTGTATACCTATGTAACAAACCTGCATGTTCTGCACATGTATCCCAGAACTTGAAGTATTTAAAACAAAACAAAACAAAACAAAACAAAACAAAACAAAAACTTAAAAAAAAAACCTGTCCAATGGCCGGGCACGGTGGCTCACACCTGTAATCCCAGCACTTTGGGAAGCCGAGACGGGCGGATCACCTGAGGTTGGGAGTTTGAGACCAGCTTGACCAACATAGAGAAACCCCGTCTCTACTAAAAATACAAAATTAGCCAGGTGTGGTGGCACAGGCCTGTAATCCCAGCTACTAGGGAGGTGGAGGCAGGAGAATCGCTTGAACCTGGGAGGCGGAGGTTGCGGTGAGCCGAGATCACGCCATTGCACTCCAGCCTGGGCAACGAGAGCGAAACTCTGTCTCAAAACAAAAACAAAAACAAAAACAAAAACTTGTCCATTTCCCTTAAAGCATAATTTTAGCTGGATTTCACAAATTGTGATGTATTGTATCTTCATTATACAATTAATTTTTTTTTCTAATTTTTATTGTTACTCTCTTTTGGTCCATGAGTTATTTAGATATATATTTTTTAATTCCCAACATTTAGGGGTTTTCCTACTTTTCTTTTTGTTATTGGTTTTTAACCTTATTATGATCAAGCACATGATCTGTTTTATTCTATTTTCATAAATTCATTGATTGAGGCCTTCTTTATGGCCCAGCATTTTTGGAAAATATTCCATATGATCCTTAAAAAATTTGACTTTTGAAATTCTTTGGTACAATGAATGCCATTATTAATTAGGTCACGGTTGTTAACCACATTTTTTCAAATTTTCTAAAATCTTACTGATTTTTGTCTTCTTGTTCCATCAGTTACCAACAGAGATGTGTTAAAATTTCCAACTCATAGTTGGAATTGTTTATTTCTCATTGTGGTTTAGTCCATTCCTCTCTTATATATTTTGAGGCTAATTATTAGATGTTCACAAATTTAGAATTGTTATGTCTCACTGCTGCATTGACACTTACTTATTGTGAAATGTCTGTCTACCAGTTTTTTTTTTTGCCTTGAAATCTATTTTCTTCCTGTTATTAATATAGCTACACCAACTTTCTTTTAGTTAACTTGCATGGTATATCATTTTGCATCCTTTTACTTTCAATATTCTTTTGTTCTTGTTTTAAAGTCTCTCTCTTATAAGAACCATATTGTTTTTGCTGCTGCTATTGTTTTAATTTAGTCTTACAATCTTTGACTTTTGATTAAAGGCTTTAGTTCATTTACATCTAATCTATTGGGATATGTATCTACCATATTACTGTTTTTTATTCAAACCAATTGTTCTGCTTTTATTTACTTAACTTTATTGCCTTCTTTTGCATTAAACAAGTATCTCCTAAGACTCCATTTTCTCTTTTTTCACCTATTTGGTACACATTCTTTTATTATTATTTTAATAGACAGAAAATCAGCAAGGATATAGAAGATTACCACATATATTAACACTAGAGATTATCATAAATATTATTGATCTGTTTCAGGCAATGTAAAGGCCACAAAGGCCTCCCATCCTGGCTTTGTCTTATTGTTCCCATGTGTTTTAATTTCACATATGTTTTGTACTCCACAAGACCTTATTATTACTGTTATGTAGAGTCAATATTTACTTAGATTAATCCTGCTATTTACTTCCCTGAAGGTAATTTGTCTTTCTACCCTGGATCTTTTAAGATTTTTTTTCTTTGGTTTTCATTCTTAGCAGTTTTACTATGAAGTGCATAAGTGTGTTTTTTCCTTGCAGTTATCATTCTTAGAGTTCATAGTGATTACTGACTCATTGGTTTTCTTAAAATATTGCTTCTGCTCCATCTCTTTCTCCTCTCCTTCTGGGTCTCTAATTACATGCATGTTATGTCTTTTCACTAGGCTCCATATGTCTCTTATGCTCTTTTCTGCATTTTCTATCTTTTCTTTTTCTCTTCATGATTCAATCCAGACGTTTCCACTCAGATATCTTTCAGTATAGTAATCCTCTTTTCAGCTTGGCTCAATCTACTTGTAAAGATATCCATTGGGTTTTAAATTTCAGTTATCATGCTTTTCCACTAATAGGGTCTTTAATGTATGTAAGTGTAATAACTAAAACATAAAGGTGGAAGGGTAAAGGAGCCTATATAGTGGTAATGTTTCTACATTCCACTCAAAATGCTAAAATATTGATTTTTAAGAACACTGAAATGTTAAGCATGTTTTTTGTAACCCTATAGCAACCACTAAAGGAACAGCACAAAAATATGTTCAAAACACAATAAGTACGTTAGCGTAATTTTAAAAGTTTAAATAACTCAGAAGAAGGCAGGAAAGAAAAGCAGAAGAACAAAAATGAGAGAACAAACACAACAAGTAAATGTTAAATCCCAAGATATTAGTAATTATGCTAGATGTAAGTGGTCTAAATGTGCCAATGAAATCACAGAGCTTGTAAAAATGGATTAAAAAGCATATGCTGTCTACAAAATATTTACTTCAAGGATAATAATATAAGTAGGTTAAAAATAGAAAGATGAAAAAGATAAACCATTCAAACATCAATCAAAAGACAGTTGAAATGGCTTTAATCATATCAGATATAAGAGGCTTCAGAGCAAAGAAAGTTACCAGGGCATTATATAATGATTAATGTTCAACTAATCAAGAAGACATACCAATCCTAAGTGTATATACATTTAACATCAAAGCTTCAAAATATATGAAGCAAAAACTAATGTAACTACAAGCAGAAATAGATAAATCCAAAATTATAGTTAGAGACATTGCATTTTTCTCTGAGAAACTGATAGAACTTGCAGATAGAAAAACCAGTAAGGATACAAAAAGACTGAACAAATCATCAACTGACTACATTTAATTAACATTTATAGGACACTCATTCAACAATAGCAGAGTTCACATTCTTTTCAAGTGCTCATGGTCTGTTTGCCAGGATAGACCTATCATGAGTCAGGTAATGAACCTTAATTAATTTAATGAGTTAAAATTATGCAAAGTATGTTGTTTGGCAATATGGAATTAACTAGAAGTCAGTACTAGAAAGATAAATGGAAAATTTCCAAATACATAGAAATTAATGTACTTCTAACTAATATATGGGTAAAGAAAAAGTCTCAAGGGATATTAAAAATATTTTGAAATAAAAATAAAAATATAATCTAAAAATTTAGAATGCAGCTAAAGCAATGTTTAGAGGGAAATTACTTGCCTCATATTCCTACATTACAAAAGAAGAAAGATTTCAAATCAATAATCTAAATTTACACATTTAAGAAACTGGAAAATTAGGAGTAGAATAAGCTTAGTACAAGCAGAAATAAAGACATAATAAAGATAAGAGCAGACATCAATGAAATTTAAAATAAAAAAATCAAACAAGCCAAACCTGATCTTTATTTCCCTGTAGTGTGTGCTGACTTGATCAGAGAAGTAAAGGAAAAGAATCTCAAAGTGAAAGGACCAGTTTGAATGCCTACCAAGACTTTGAGAATCACTACAAGAAAAACTCCTTGTGGTGAAGGTTCTAAGACATGGGATCGTTTCCAGATGAGACTCCACAAGCGACTCATTGATTTGCACGGTCCTTCTGAGATTGTTAAGCAGATTACTTCCATCAGTACTGAGCCAGGAGTTGAGGTGGAAGTCATCATTGCAGATGCTTAAGTCAACTATTTTAATAAATTGATTACCAGTTGTTAAAATAAAATGAGATAAAATATCAATAAAAGGCCAGGTGCAGTGACTCATTCCTGTAATCCCAGCACTTTGGGAGGCCAAGGTGGGCAGATCAACTGAGCTTAGGAGTTTGAGACCATCCTGGGCAACATGGTGAAACCCCATCTCTACTAAAATACAAAAAATTAGCCAGTGTGGTGTCGCGCATCTGTAGTCCCAGCTACTCAGGAGGCTGAGGCATGAGAATTGCTTGAGCCCGGGAGGCAGGCAGAGGTTGCAGTGAGCTGAGATCAGGCCACTGCACTCTAGCTTGGGCTACAGAGTGAGACTCTATCTCAAAAAAAAAAAAAAAAAAAAAAAAAGCACAATAAAAATGAAAAAATTAATGTTGCCAGCAAGACCAATAGAAAAAAAGAGGGAATATCCAAATTACCAATATCAGTGCTGAAAGTGTATAACACTACAGAACTTGCAGTCATTAAAAGGATAATAAGGAAATAAACAACTCTAAATACATAATTCCATAACTTTAATGAAATGAACAAAATCCTTGAAAAATGAATAATACCAAAATTCAACCAAGATTAAATCGATAATCTGAAGTTCTATAACTATTAAATAAATTGAATTTAGTTAAAAAGCATCTCAAAAGGAAGTCTCCAGCCTTAAATCATTTCACTAATGAATTTTAAACATTTAAAGAAGAAATAACATATATATAATTCAGTATAGATAACATACATATTGAATTATATGAATATATAATTCAGTATAGATAACATATATTCAATTACATGTGAATATATAATTGAGTATATAACATATATGTTATATATATTGAATTTTATAATTATAAATTTATATAATTTATATTGAGTTATGTAATAATAATACATGTGTAATTTTGATAGCTTTGGGGGTACAAGTGGTTTTTGGTTACATGGATGAATTATATGGTGACGAATTCTGAGATTTTAGTGTACCCATCACCCAAGCAGTGTACATTGTACCCAATATATGGTTTTTTATCCCACACTCCTCACACATCCTCCCGCTTCTGAGTCTCTAAAATCCGTTATATCATTGTGTATGCCTTTGCATACTCATAGGTTAGCTCCCACTTACAAGTGAGAGCATATGGTATTTGGTTTTCCATTCCTGAGTTACTTCACTTAGGATAATGGCCTCCAGCTCCATCCAAATTGCTGCAAAATACATTATTTTGTTCCTTTTTATGGCTGAGTAGAATTCCATGGTGTATCTATACCACATTTTCTTTATCCACTCATTGGTCAATGGGCACTTAGGTTGGTTCCATATCTTTGCAATTGTTAATTGTGCTGCAATAAACACACATGTGCCTGTGTCTTTTTCACATAATCACTTCTTTTCCTTTGGGTAGATACACAGTAGTGGGATTGCTGTATCAACTAGCATATCTACTTTTAGTTCTTTAAGGAATCTCCATACTGTTTTCTGTAGAGGCTGTACTAATTTACATTTCCATCAGCAGTGTGTAAGAATCCCCCTTTCACCACATTCATGCCAACATCTATTGTTTTTTGACTTTTTAATAACAGACATTCTTGCAGGAGTAAGATGACATCTCATTGTGGCTTTAATTTGCATTTCCCTGGTGATTAGGGATGTTGAGCATTTTTTCATATGTGTATTGGCCACTTGTATATCTTCTTCTGAGAAAAGTCTATTCATGTAATTGGCCCACTTTTTGAAAGAATTTTTTTTCTTGCTGATTTAAGTTCCTTGAAGATTCTGGATACTAGCCCTTTGTCAGATGCATAGTTGGCAAATATTTTTCTTCCATTCTGTGGGTTCTCTGTTTACTCTGCTGATTATTTCTTTTGCTGTGCGAAGCTTTTTAGTTTAATCAGGTCTCATTTATTTATTTTTGCTGTTGTTGCATTGGCTTTGGGATTTTAGTCGTAAATTCTTTGCCTAGACCAATGACTAGAAGAGTTTTCCCAAGATTATCTTCTAGAATTTTTATGGTTTCAGGTCTCAGATTTAAGTCTTTGATCCATCTTGATTTGAATTTTGTATAGGGTGAGAGATAGGGATCCAATTTAATTATTCTGCATGTGGCTAGCTAGTTTTCCCAGCATCATTTGACCTTTCCCCCAGTTTATGATTTTGTATGCTTTGTTGAAGATCAGTTGGTTGTAAGTATTTGGCTTTATTTCTGGGTTCTTTATTATGTTCCATTAATCTGTGTGAATGCTTTTATACCAGTACCAGTACCGTGCTGTTTTGGTAACTGTTGCCTTATAGTATAACTTGAAGTCTGGTAATACAATCCCTCCAGATTTATTCTTTTTGGTTAGGATTGCTTTGGTTATTTGGGCTCTTGTTTGGTTCCATACAAATTTTAGGATTGTTTTTTCTAATTCTGTGAAAAAATGACATTGGTATTTTGATAAGAATTGCATTGAATCTGTAGATTGCTTTGGGCAGTGTGGTCATTTTCACAATATTGATTCTTCCATCCATGAACATGGGATGTGTCTCCACTTGCTTGTGTCATCTATGATTTCTTTCAGCAGTGCTTTGTAGTTCTCCTTGTAAAGATCTTTCACTTCCTTGGTTAAGAATATTCTTACGTACATATATACACCTATGAATATATATATATATAAATATATATACATACATGTATATATGTAGGTATATTTTGCAGCTGTTGTAAAAAGGATTGAGTTCTTGATTTGATTCTCAGCTTCATTGTTGTTGGTATATACCAGTGTTATTGATTTGTGTTCATTGATTTTGTAACCTGAGACTTTACTGAATTCTTTTATCAAATCTAGGAATCTTTTGGAGGAGGCTTTAGGGTTTTCTAGGTATACAATCATATCATCAGTGACCAGTGATAGTTTGACTCCCTCTTTTCCAATGTGGATACCTTTTATTTCTTTTTCTTGTATAATTGCTCTGGCTAGGACTTCCAGTACTATGTTGAATAGAAGTGGTTAAAGTGGGTATCCTTGTCTTGCTCCTGTTCTTACGGGGAATGCTTTCAACTTTTCCCCATTCAGTATGATGATGACTGTGGGTTTGTCATATATGGCTTTTATTAATATGAGTCCCGTCTATACCTAGTTTGTTGAGGGTTTTCATCCTAAAGGGATGCCAGATTTTATGGAGCACTTTTTCTGCATCTATTGAGATTATCATATGGTTTTTGTTTTTAATTCTGTTTACGTGATGTATCACATTTATTGACTCATGTATGTTAAACCATCCCTGCATCCCTGGAATGAAACCCACTTGATCATGATGTATTCTCCTTGTGATGTGCTGTTGGATTTGGTTAGCTAGTATTTTGTTGAGGATTTTTGCATCTATATTCATCAGGGATATTGGCCTGTAGTTTTCTTTTCTTTTTTTTTTTTTTTTTTTTTTTGGTATGTCCTTTCCTGGTTTTGGTATCAGGGTGATACTGGCTTCATACAATGATGTAGGGAGGATTCCTTCTTTCTTAATATTTGGAACAGTTTCAGTAGGATTGGTACCAATTCTTTGAATATCTGGCAAAATTTGGCTGTGAATTCATCTGGTTCTGGGATTTTTTGTTGGCATTTTTTTCTTTACTACTGATTCAATCTTTCTGCTTGTTATTAGTCTGTTAGGGTTTCTATTTCTTCCTGGTTTAATCTAGAAGTGTCGTATTTTTCTAGGAATTTATCCATGTCCTCTAGGTTTTCTAGTTTGTTTGCATAGAGGTGTTCATAGTTCTGCTAGCTTTGGGTTTAGTTTGTTCTTGTTTCTCTAGTTCTTTGAGGTGTGACATTAAGTTGTCAATTTGTGATCTTCCAGACTTTTTGATGTAGGTGTTTAGTGCTATAAGCCTTCCTCTTAGCACTGCTTTTGCTGTATCCTAGAGTTTTTGATAACTTGTGTCACTATTATCATTCTTTTCAAATAATTTTTAAATTTCCACCTTGATTTCATTGTTAATCCAAAAATCATTCAAGAGCAGATTGTTTAATTTCCATGCATTTGTATAGTTTTGGGGGTTCCTTTTGGAGTTGGCTTCTTGTTGTATTCCACTGCGGTCTGAGAAGATACTTGATATGATTTCAATTTTTAAAAGTTTGTTGAGGCTTGTTTTGTAGCCTAATATATGGTCTATCTTGGAGAATGTTCCATGTGCTGATGGGAAGAATATGTATTCTGCAGTTATTGGGTAGAATGCCCTGTAAATATCTGTTAGGTACATTTGTTGTAGGGTGTTATTTAACCCATTGTTTCTTTGTTGACTTTCTGTCTTGATGATCTGTCTAGTGCTGTCAGTGGAGTATTGAAGTCCCCTACTATTGTTGTGTCGCTGTCTATCTCATTTCTTAGGTCTAGTAATAATTGGTTTATGAATCTGGGAGCTTAACAGTGAGGTGCATGTATATTTAGTGAGTCTCTTGAAGACAGCAGATACTTAGTTTGTGATTCTTTATCCATTCTATCAACCTGTATCTTTTAAGTGGAGCATTTAGGCTCCTTATAGTCAGTGTTAATATTCATATGTAAGATACTGTTCCATTCATCATGTTAATGTTACTGATATACTTTGTTTTTTTTCATTGTGTTATGGAAGTAACACCAATTTTAAACAATTTCAAAAAAATTAGAAGAGAAGATAATACTTTCCAACTTATTTTATGAGTTTAGCAGTACCATGGTACTAAAGCCAAAGAACAAAAAAGAAAACAGAAAGCTATAGATCAATATTTCTCACGAACATAGAAGCGAAAATCTTTAACAAAATATTAGCAAACTGAGTCCAATAATGTATAACAAGGATAATACACCATGATCAAATGAGCTTTATCTCAGGGAACGCACATTGATTCAGTACTATTTGGAAAATTAAGCAATATAATCTACCATATTAACAGTCTAAATAAGAAAAATCATAGGATTACATTAATTGATGCAGAAAAAGCATTTGATAGAATTCAACATCCTTTCATGATAAAAAGTCAACAAAGTAGGCATAGAAGTGGACTTTCTCAATATGATAAAGGGCATCTACAAAAAATTTACAGCCAAAATCACACCTAATGCTAAATGATGGAATGCTTTTCCCTTTGTTGCTTTTCCTTGCACTAGGCAAGAAGATTCAGTCTCACCACTCCTACTCTATATTGCATTAGAAGTGTAATACGTCAATAAAAAGAGATAAAAGTCATAGAGATTGAAAAGGAAGAAACAAAAGTCTCCCTATTCACAGATGACATAGAAAATTCCAAGAAATCTGAAGAAAATCTCCTAGACGTAATAGGTGAGTTATCAAGAATGGAAGATATAAGGTAAACACACAATTATTCATATTTCATATATACTAGCAGTGAATATAAACTTTTGGAACTGGAAGTTTTAAAAAATACTATTCACAATAGCTCCAAAATATATTGCAGTATAAATCTTACCAAACATACATAGAATCTGAAAACCATAAAACTGTGATGAAAGAAATAAAAATAGACCTTAGACAATAAAGAGGCGGGAGGAGGTTCCAAGATGGCTGAATAGGAACAGCTCCAGTCTACAGCTCCCAGTGTGAGCAACGCAGAAGACGGGTGATTTCTGCATTTCCAACTGAGGTACCAGGTTCATCTCACTGGGGCTTGTCAGACAGTGGGTCCAGCCCACGAAGCAGGGCAGGGCATCGCCTCACCTGGGAAGCGCAAGGGGTCGGGGAATTCCCTTTCCTAGCCAAGGGAAGCTGTGACAGATGGTACCTGGAAAATCGGGGCACTCCCACCCTAATACTGTGCTTTTCCAATGGTCTTAGCAAATGGCACACCAGGAGATTATATCCCGCGCATGGCTTGGAGGGTCCTATGCCCATGGAGCCTTGCTCACTGCTAGCACAGCAATCTGAGATCAAACTGCAAGGCAGAAGCGAGGGAAATAACAGGTGCTGGAGAGGATGTGGAGAAATAGGAACACTTTTACACTGTTGGTTGGACTGTAAACTAGTTCAACCATTGTGGAAGACAGTGTGGTGATTCCTCAAGGATCTAGAACTAGAAATACCATTTGACCCATCCATCCCATTACCGGGTATATGCCCAAAGGATTATAAATCATGCTGCTATAAAGACACATGCACACATATGTTTATCGCGGCACTATTCACAATAGGAAAGACTTGGAACCAACCCAAATGTCCATCAATGATAGACTGGATTAAGAAAATGTGGCACATATACACTATGGAATACTATGCAGCCATAAAAAAGGATGAGTTCATGTCCTTTGTAGGGACATGGATAAAGCTGGAAACCATCATTCTGAGCAAACTATCGCAAAGACAGAAAACCAAACACTGCATATTCTCACTCATAGGTGGGAATTGAACAATGAGAACACCTGGACACAGGGTGGGGAACATCACACACTGGAGCCTGTCATGGGGTTGGGGGAGAGGGGAGGGATAGCATTAGGAGATATACCTAATGTAAATGACGAGTTAACAGGTGCAGCACAGCAACATGGCACATGTATACATATGTAACAAACCTGTACGTTATGCACATGTACCCTAGAATTTAAAGTATAATTTAAAAAAAAAGAAAATAAAGAGGCATACTATATTCATGAATTGGGAGACTCAACACATTAGATTTCATTTTCCCCAAATTAATTTATAGACTTAAGGCAATTCCAGTCAAAGTCCCACCAAGATATTTTTGTAGATATACACAAGCTAGTTCTAAAATTTTTTATGAACTTCATACTATACACAAACTTTAAGTAAAAATTGATCAAAGACCTAAGAGGTAAAGCTATAAAACTCTTAGAAGAAAACATAGCAGTATATTTTTATGACCTTGCATTTGACAAGAGTCTTAGCTGTGACACCAAAAGCATAAGCAACAAAAGAAAAAAAAGCAGGTTATTTGAACTCAATGAAATTAAAACCTTAAAGTGTACAATTGAATGGGATTTAGTACTTTCACAAAGTTGTACAGCCATCATAACTAACTTCTTCCAGAACTCCATAACCATTTTTCATTTTTGTTTTTTTGAGATGGGCTCTCATGATGTTGTCCAGGCTGGTCTCAAACTCCTGGGCTCAAGCAATATTCTCACCTCATTCTCCCAAGTAACTGGGATTATAGGAACACACCACTGTGCAGCAGAACATTTTTATCACCCAGAAAGAAAGCACTGTACACATTAAGCAATCAATCCCCATTTGCCTCTCCCCTCTAGCAACCACTAATCTGATTTCTGTCTCTATGGATTCGCCTATCTTGCATATTTCATATAAATGCAATTATACCATATATGGCTTATGTGTCTGGCTTTTGTCACTTAGCATAATCTTTTCAAGGTTTATTCATGTTGTAGCATGTATCAGCATTTCATTTCTTTTTATGCCTAAGTAATATACCATTGTATGTATATACCATATTTTGTTGATCCATTTTTCAGTCAGTGGACATGTGGACTGTTTCCACCTTTAACCATTGTGAGTAATGTTGCCTTGAACCTTTGCGTACAATTTTGTTGTTGTCGTTGGAGCCCTTGTTTTCAATTATTTTGGATATATAGAAGTAGAATTGCTGGGTCACACGGTAACTCTATATTTAACTTGTTGAAGAACTGTCAAACTGTTTCTAAAGTGGCTATACCACTTTACATTTCTCTACCAGTAATAAATGAAGATTCTTATTTCTTCCCATTCTCACCAATATTTGTTATTATAGGACATTTTAATTATAGATATTCCAGTGGGTGTGAAGTGATATCACCTCGTGGTTTCAATTTATCTTTCCCTAATGACTAGTAATGCTAAGCATCTTTTTATGTGTTTATTGGCCATGTGTATAACTTCCTTATAGAAATATCTATTCAGATCATTTGTCCATTTTAAAACTTGGTTATTTGTCTTTTTATTACTGTGTTGTGAGAGTTTTTAATATATTCTGCATACTAAACCCTTATTTTGAGAGAAGGTCCTACTCTGTCATCAAGACTGGAGTGCAGTGACATCATCATGGCAGCCTTGACATCCTGGGCTCAAGCGATCCTCCTGTTTCAGCCTCCCAAGTTCCTGGGACTACAGGCACATGTCACCACACCTGGCTAATTTTTTCTATTTTTTGTAGAGACAGGGTCTCAATACATTGCCTAGGCTATATTTTCATCCATTCGGTGTGCTGTCTTTTTACCTCCCTGATTATGTTCTTTGATGCACAAAAGCATTTAATTTTGTTAAAATCCAATTTATCTATTTTTATTCTATTATTCATGTTTTTGTTGTTATATCTAGAAACGAAGGTCATGAAGATTTACATCTAGGTTGACTTCTATAATTTCTATAATTTTAGCACTTATATTTAGGTCTTTGGTCCATTTTGAATTAATTTTTGTATATGGTGTAAGGTTGGTCAATTGATTTTTGACAAAGTTGCAAAAGCAGTTCAATAAAAATAAGTCTTTTCAATTAGTGATGTTGTGACAATTGGATATTCATATCAAAAAAATCTGAACCTATACCTCATACTTGTGTGTTAGAAGAGAGAAGTCAACATGTTAAAGAGAGACATGAAGAGAATACCACCATTCAGAGTTGTTTTGGGGCCAAATGGCAAATAGATACAAAAGGGGTCATTCTCTTCCTTTTCACATAGAACCCAGCCAAACTGTTACCCAAGTGACTGGAAGCTTCAGTAGCACATGGAATATGTACCTTGGAATGAGTAATGAAGGCTCGTGCTAGACAATAGCAGTGACAACTTGACTATTATTAGAGATAGGCTAACTTCATAGTGCATCCCACCAAGCGCTGATCCAAAGCAGTAATCTAAAAGAGAGCTCTCATTAAGTAATAATGATGACTCAATGATATCAAGGAACTGGACACATTCCCTAACCCAATTCATTTTCTTACTACCCTTGAGAAATACAAAAACCACCCAAAGCTTCTACAATTCCTTTCTCCTGTTGCCTGGTCATCAATATACAAATAAAACAAATAGAATCACATCTTAGGGAATGTTACATTTTTTGAATCAAGAGCAGTATTAGGATGGTGCTGGCAATGGTATATGAGTCATAAATGTTTAACTTTGTGCATGAGCTATCTTAGTCTTTCTAAATCTCCCTCTTTGACATAGGAGGCTTGAGTTCTTGCATTTCCCATTACTCATAAATTCCCTGAATTGAGGGATCCTGGCCATTCTTAAGCTGAAGAATAAATGTGAGTTGTAAACAGTAGTTGCTATGATGAGAAGGTGTTATGGTTTATCTATTTGTTTCTCAAAAGCACACTGGTTCTAGAGGATATGAGATGATTAAGGCATGAATATAAGCTTACTCTTGACCCAGCTGGGAGTCTCATTCATCTTCAGGCAATCAGGAGGACATGAAGGAAAACTTGGTTTTGGAGTCAGACAGATACATCCTGGTCATACCCCAGTATAGTCAGGTTATAGCTGTGTGATGATGAGGAAGTTTCTTAAGCTAACAGCCCCAGTCTCAAGAGTAACAATGGGAATAATACCCATTTTGCAGGATTGTTGAGAAGATTAAATGCAATAATATTGGTGAAAATATGTAGAGAGTGCTCAGAAAATGTTAATCTCCATTCCCTTTTTCCATTTAAATGAATGGCTGAAATTCTGCCCCTTGATATCCGTTTTAGTTAGGAATTAGGCTTGGCTTTGTGTAACATCCAAAATAACAGGGACTTATAAAAGAGAAGTTTCTTTCTTTCTCATCTAGTGTCTGGAGATAAACAATCCAGGTGGTCCAGGGACCTCATTGCTCTGCCATCCCTATGGTCCATGATGACTCCCCACCACATCCACGATCCACACGAGGTGGAGGAAGGGGAAAGAAGGCTCATGCATCATCCTTCAGGGAAACGACAAGTATTGCCTACATCACTTCCCTTCACATCCTATTCCAGATCTTAGTCTCATGGCCACCCTGGCTATAAGAAAGGCTGGGAAATGTAGTCTTTAGTTTGAACAGCTATGTGCCCAGATGATGATTGAGGGTTCTATTCCTACAGAGGAGAGGGAAATGGATATTAGCAGACAACTTGCATCCTCTGCCCAGTGTCTGCATTTTTCCCTTCCTGTAAGCTTGCAGTTGAAATCCTCAAACATAAGTGCAAACTATAGATAACAAATAAAATCAAATTAATCTTATACTATTAAATAATGCATATGTTAAGTTATATTAGAAAAACATGTAAGAAATCAGAAAAAGCAGAGTTACAGTATCACAAAAAGGTCAGTTTCTATTGGTAAGAGTTAAAATGCAGGGACTTCTTAACAAGATGGGGTCTTTGTGCTGAACGCCTTCCATGTTCTCCTCCGGCTATCCACTCCTCCTCCATCTCCTCATTGCTCTAGGTCCCAGGAGGCTGACTTGGAGGGACCACACTGACAGCTCTCTCACCCTTTGCTTCTACTTGGGTTTGGCCAAAAGGAAGCATCAGCAGGAGACTGTGGGGGAGATTGAAGGTGGGGCTGGTGCACTTAGTTCCCCAGCGGTGGTCCCGCAGCGTGGCTGCAGGTTGGCTATTCCTTACTTGAGGTCAGTTGCCATAGAGGAGCCCTTCCTTTTGGCCCTCCAGTTTCCATGTTTCCACATCTGCTCTCACTCCTTTCTCTTTCCAGCCTAAGAAAAGTGATGGTTCCCTGCCATTTCTAGCCCCAGGATACTGCATTACCACTTGTGGTTTCTGCAGAAAAAGATTTAAAAAGCAAAATTTCTTGAGGCATTTTTAAACCAACCATTATTTATCGAAACAGTCTAAGTAGTAATGTAAAATTTGCATCCTAGATAAAAAGAATATGTACTATTTTCAAATGTCCATGGACAATTTAGAACATTGAACAATATCTCCAACATGTATGGCAAAAAATAATGTTCTTAACATATTAAGAACTTTGAAACAAAGTTATGAGAACAACATTTGCGGAAGAAAAGTTAACACATTAAAAATTAATTACTGGTAATCAAAAAATGTGCAAATTAAAGTAGCAATAAGTTATCTTTTTTCACCTATCAAATTAACAAAGATTTAAAAAATAGTGCTTGCAAGAGTGATATGACACTGTTGTTCACAGCTAGTGGGAGTATGAACTGATAAAAAAAACTTTCTAGAAATAAATTTGTCCTCTGTGTCAAGAAACATTTGAAAATTTATGTTCTTTCAATCAGTAAATCCACTTTTAGAAATTTATTAAAAATAAATAATAAATGATGTAGATGTGTTTAAGGATGAGTAGTACACATTTATAATAGCAAAGTGGAAATAGTCCAGATAATCAGCAATAGTTGATGGTTACACTATGGTATATCATCATGGTATATCAATATATTAAAAATATATAGACATTAAAATAGGGTTTTCAAAAAGATTAAATGAAATGGGACAATATTCCCCAAATAATATTAACTTCTTAACATATAAAACTACAGAAACAGTTTGATTCTTAAGTTAAAATATGCATAGAAAATTTTATTAACAGTGTTCATTTGAGTAGTAAATTACAGATAATTTTAATGTCTTTCTATACTTTTCTGCATTTTCCAAATGTTTTACACTGGTATATACTTTTATAAAACTGTGTATTTTTTGAAAAGTATCAACATTCTAAAAGCCTCAAGCTGCCTATTCTTAGGCATTTTCATGAAACTGTAGTGTTTCAGGAGCACAGGTGATTCTGATATAAGACATACCTTTCCCACCTTCTACACTTGGAATGGTGCACCCAGTGCACCATTCGGGTGGAAAAAAACAAATAATTTTTTCTTTCTACTCTCACATACCACTCAACACAACACTTTGACACCATATGTGTGTGGGTTTCTCCCCACACACCAAGAAATTTTCCAGTGGACACCAGGTGGGTGTCCTATAATTAAATTTATTTCTGAGACAATCTACCTGGAGATAGTGTCAGATTCCACAGGTCAAGGGCTTGGTCCCATAAGACTGCCCTCACTTTGGATGCCAATTGCAAGTGCCAGTTTGTGGCCTGTGCTTTTGACTGAGCTACTATAAATACAGCTTCCCACAAACCCCCTTCTGGGGTTCAATTAATTTACCAGAGTGGCTCACAGAACTCAGGGAAACACTTTACTTACATTTCCTCATTTATTATATAGGATATTGCAAAGAATACAGATGAACAGCCAGATGGAAGAGATGCGTAGGGCAATAAATGTGGGAAGGGACATTAAGCTGCCATGTTCTCTACAGGCATGCCATCCCCCAGGCACCTCCACGTGTTCAGCTATCCAGAAGCTCTCTGTACTTTTGGGGTTTTATGGAGGCTTTCTTATGTAGGCATGACTGATTACATCAATAGCCACTGGAGATCCACTCAACCTTCACTCCCCTCCCATCCCCAGAAGTTGGGTGATGGAGCACCATGACAGTGTACAAATGCCATGGCAACGTCTGAAACGTGGAGGAACCTTCAGTTCTGGGAACTCCCTGCCCCTTTCCCGGAAAATTCATGAGTAATCCACCTGTTTAGCATATAATCAAGAAGTAATCATAGGCATAGTATATCAAGCAGCCCACACTGCTGCTTTGCCTATGGGGTAGCCACTTTTATTCCTTTACTTTTTATTAAACTTGCTTTCACTTAAAAAAAAAAAAGAAAAGAAATTTGGAGGGGTGGAAGTGGGGCTGAAAGTCTCAACCTTCTAATCATGCTTAGTCTTTCCAATGATCAGCCCCCATTCTGAAGCTATCAAGGGTGCCCCAGCCACCAATCATCTCATTAGCATTCAAAAGTCACTCTTATCACTCTGGAGATTCCAAGGGTTTTGGGAACTGCATGCCATAAAAGGCCAAATACATAATTGACAATATCATAACTTTCACAATATCATAATTTTCTTGGGTAAGTCTTCTTACCGTAAAAGAGATTTTGAGCTATCTCAATACAGTTTGAAATAAGCACATTGGTTGCCAGGGTAAATCAGTTTTAGAAAGCTATGAATTCAAAAAGTTAAAAATTTAATAGGTGGTGTCTTACTATAAGACTTGCTATAAAGTAACAGTAATTAAGACAGTATTATAGTGTCATAAGGATGAACATATAGATCAATGGCACAGAATAAAGACTTCTGTAATAGACCCACATGTATATTGCCAATTGACTTACAAGAAAGAGGACAAGCTGATTCAGTGAGGGAAAGGACAGTCTTTACAACAAATGATGCTGGGTCAAGTGGATAGTCACGTGAAAAAACAAATGAACTTTGACCCTTACCTCACACCATAAACAAAACATTATTCACAGTGGATCAGGGAATTAAGTGTAAAAGCTAAAGCAATAAAACTTCTTGAAGAAATCGTAGGAGATAATTTTCATCACTTTGAGGTATGCAAATATTTTTTAGTTTGGACATAAAAGCATGATCATAAGAAGAAAAACTCAAAAAATTAAACTTCATCAAAATTAAAAACTTCTGTTCTTTAAAAAAATCATTAAGAAAATAAAAAAATTAAGTCACAGCCTGGATGGGTGTCTGTGTGTAAATATTTAAAATACACATATCTGACAAAAGACTTCTAAAAGAATATTTAAAGAATTCTTAGAACCTATTGATAAAAAGTAAAATAACCCAATAAAAACCTACAAAATGTAGTATAGTATTTTTCCTTTACTCCCCATCTGCTTTGCAAATATTTGAAAAGAGACCCTTATAATATATCCCCAATACTAGACATATTATTTTTAACAGCAATAGGTGGAAAGGAATGTTGCTAGCAAAATAACAACAAAAAAGGCACAACATATTTACATTCCAGTGGGAACTACATGTCCAAATTTTATTCTAAGTCCTAAGTTAAGGATCATGTGTATAATGGTTAGCTGTAGTAAATTATAAGAAACTGAATATTGCCTAAATTGCCCTAGTAGGGAATTAGTTAAATAAATGATGACATAGGCATACAATAAAAGTATATGCAGCCAGTAAAAATATTGTAGAAATACAAGCATTGGCATGAAAAGATATTTATATTATATTGTTAAATGAAAAGGCAAATTATAAAAATATGTACAATAAGGTTCAATTTTAGTAAAAAAAAATGCATTTACGTAAACCAGTTGTCTGAAATGCAATACTGTTCCCTCTGAGAGTGGTGATTACAGGTTATTTTTATTTTTGCAACTTTATATCCTCCTCACGTTACTAATCACTAGCCTAGTGTCTTAGTCCATTTTGTGTTGCTATAACAGAATATCTGAGACTGGGTAATTTATAAAGAACAGAAACTTATTTTCTCACTGTTCTGAAATCTAGGAAGTCCAAGATCAAAGTGCCAGATCCTCACATGGTGAAAAGCTTAAGGGCCAGAGGGGATCAACTCTCTCCATCAAGCCCCTTCATAAGGACACCTAATTCCATTCATGAAGAAGGAGCCCTCATAGCCTAATTACCTCCTAAAGGCCCTACCTCTTGATACTACCACGTTGGCATCATCTCAATATTGGAGGGGACACATTCAAACCATAGCACCTAGTAACCCTATCAAACAATGATCCATGCTTTTATGGGTCCTAAGATTACTGCTATTTCCTGGAGAAGTTAATCCACAGGCTTCTCTTCTGGCTCCTCTCCCTAGCTTACCCAGCCTTTCCGACTACCCATGTAGGCAGCCATGGGCCCCTCTCCATGTTCTCCTACCCTTGAAGGAACAACAGCTCTTTCTGGCTCTTTTCTAGGCGTGGCTTCTGGATTTAGCATGAACTGCATTCCACGTGGTACCCGACATACTAATTTCTTTCTCTCCTGTTCTCTTCCACTCTGTGCATCTAATCCTTTCCTATTTTCCTTTCCTTCTTTGTCATGTTTTGCAGATAGATATCTGGTTTGGTTTCCAGAATCTCAACTTACAAATTACTTAACTATACCCACAGTCTTCCCTTATTCAACTCTCTTATGTTATTTATCCCCGGATGTTCAGGCTTTCTGGTCTGTGTTTAAAGCTTTTGTTGAGTATAGTAGAGGGTCTGTTGTTTCTTTCTGCTCAGCACCTTTTTCCTATACCTCTCTTCCAGTGAAAAATAATTTCTTGGCCACAGCCACGTGATGTCTTCTGGATCATAGCAGTTTGATCAGGCATTAGTATATGATCCCAGCTGGCCAATCAAATCCCCCCCCTCCGGGGTCAAAAGCTGTAAGGAGAAGAGTCCTAGAGTCTGCTCGTGACCATGTTCCCCATCATGTATGAGAACCAGTTTGATAGAATCAAGCTCACACACAGATAAGAGAGATGGATGAAGAAAACAGTCCACATGGTATTTGTTATCTTGATCCAGCTATCCCTGAGGCCAGTTCCATTCCTACTCTTGCTATGGATTGATTACATTTGTCAATGAATGTCCTCTTTAGTGCTTTGAGTTAGTTTGAAAAAAAATTCTGTCACTTTTAACCAAGTGTTCTAACCATTTCAGATCTCTCAGAGCTGTGACTTAATGTCACAGCAGCTCCTTGCACTCTTCTCTCAGAAAGTTGTCATATCTATCTTCATACTCTCAGTGCCCACCCCTGTGCAGGTAACAGAAGTTTTGGTCTAGGTATAGACAGACTTGGGTTCGACTTCTGGTTCTGCTAGCAAAGGCTCTGTAAGTGAGGAAAGAGCCTTTAATCTATCCAGGTCTCAACTTCCTCATCCACAAAAGGAGGATATTTAATTAGGCAGGGTCTAAAATTCCTCCCAGCTCTAACATATTATGGTTTTGTGATTCCAAATTCTACATCTCCAGGCTTACTTAATGAGAACTCTGATCCCATAGTTGCTTTTTTAGCATCTCTAGTTGCATGTCTCACCATTATCCCAAACTCAACAACTCTGAAACCAGCCATCATTTCCCCACACAGCCTGATCTTTTGCCTTTCTGTCAATGGAACCCCTGTCCTTCCAGACACCAAGACTCAAATATTTGAAATCATTTTTAACTACTTACAACCTCTTATCACATATACTTAAGTGGTCATCAATGCTATTATTTCTCCCTTGAAAAATTCTAACAGTCATCCTGGTTTGGGCTTTAATTATTGTGTGCTAAGCTATATCTAGATCTGACTATCTCTATCTCTGTCTTTCATATGTATCTATATTGATATTTTGTCTGTATTTGCATCTTCATCTATATCTACACCTCTATCTGTATCCGTACTTACATGTATATCCGTATCTATATCATCTCTATACCCAATCTCTACCCCAAGTTCCAAGGCCCATATCTTCAAACATATATTGAAAATTTCTACCTGGATGCCTGTGTTAGTCCATTCTTGCATTGCTATAGAGAAATACCTGAGGCTGGATAATTTATAAAGAAAAGAGATTTAATTAGCTCACAGTTCTACAGGCTGTATGGGAAGCACAGAACCAGCACCTGCTGGGTTTCTGGGGAGGCTTCAGGGAGTTTTACTCATGGTGGAAGGCAAAGCAGGAGCAGGCACATCACATGGAGGGGGCAGGAGCAAGAGCGAGAGAGTTGATGGGGGAGAGGAGCCACACTTTACAACAACCAGATCTCCTGAGAACTCACTATCATGAGGACAGCACAAAGCCATTCATGAGAGATCCATCCCCATGACCCAATCGCCTCACAATAGGCTCTATCTCCAACATTAGTGATGACATTTCAACATGAGATTTGGATAGGGACAAATATCCAACTATGTCAGTGCTTTTCGGGTATCTCAAATTCATTATCATTTGCTCAGATATCCATTTCTCCTGCATTACATATTTGGAGTAATCACCATTTAATTTATTTCCCAAGCTATAAATCTTAAGATACAATCTTAACTCCTCATCTGCTCTAACCGTCCCCCTCTAACCCTATAAACTCTCCCTTAGAAATGGCTCTCAAACCTTCCCCTACTCCCTTGGATGCATCTCCTCAAATTGCCCTAGTTCAGGATTTTATTGTCTCTCAATGAACTGCCGTAATGACCTCTGGCAACTCTCCTGCCTCAATTCTCAGCCGACCCTACCCATTCTTTCTATTGATGCTAGACTGTCCTTTTCAGGGCACTAAACCAACAAAGTCTGTCTACTAAAGGGCAAATTTCAAGGGTCACCCTTTTGCTGCAGGATCAAGTTCAAATGTCTTAACATGGCCTGAAATGATAAAAATGATAAAAGGAAGGTGCCTTAAGATGAATAGGAGGCATTCAGAAATTATTTCAAATGGTTTCATGTAGAGCTTCCCAGGGAATTCTCTGATGAGCACAGATACAATACGAAATAAGCAAAGATGGCTGGGAACGGTGGCTCACGCCTGTGATCCCAGCCCTTTGGAAGGCCAAAGTGGGTGGATCATGAGGTCAGGAGTTCGAGACCAGCCTGGTCAACATGGTGAAACTCTGTCTCTACTAAAGATACAAAAAATTAGCTGGGCGTGGTGGTACATGCCTGTAATACCAGCTACTCGGGAGGCTGAGGCAGGAGAATTGCTTGAACCCGGGAGGTGGAGGTTGCAGTGAGCTAAGATTGCACCATTGCACTCCAGCCTGGGTGTCAGGCTGAGATTCCATCTCAAAGAAAAGAAAGAAAGGAAAGAAAAGAAAAGAAAGAAAGAAAGAAAGGAAGGAAGGAAGGAAGGAAGGAAGGAAGGAAGGAAGGAAGAAAGAGAAAGAAAGAAGGAAAGAAAGAAAGAAAAGAAAGAAAGAAAGAAAGAAAGAAGCAAAGACGAAGAATGGTCTGTCTCAAGAAAATAAGATTTCAAAATGAGCTCAGGCTTGGGAAAAATGCAAAAGTCGTCTTAGGTATTGGTCTCTAGTGGGGGGATCAGGCTGCCACTAGAGAGAAGATGCTCAAGGTGATAATGAAGATGCTCAAGGTCAAAGTTTAGTCCTTAATGCCAGAGGCATGGTCTGCTTTCTCTCCTGGATTCAGTCTCTGGCAAGTTGGGTAAATCTGGTAGATGCTCCCACTGCTGGAATGGGCCTCCCGGATCACTGCTGCTCTGGGTTTTAGGGCTAACACTCTTCATCATGTACCCTCATCTTCTTCCCTGGGCTGGAGTGCTCAGGATTGCCCTTCCTCACTTGGCAAGAGCTCCAGTGTCTGAGACTGGGCTCACTTGGAGAAGAGAAGATCGCGCAGCATGGCCAAGGGAGACCTGGTTCACTTCTGCACTGGGTCTTGGGCAAAGTCCCAGCTGGGAGCAAAGGACCCCTTTGCTTTATTTTGTCTTCTGTGCTTATATTTCCTTTGGGAATTCTGGGGAAGGCTTGTCATTGCAAGCAGGATCTGGGTGCCCACACCTGGGCCATTTGTGAGTCTATAAATATCCATCAGTAGGCTGTTCTGATACAACTTAAAACCCCATGATTACTTTTGTCATACAAAGCAAGAAAAATGAGGGAGGATGGGAACACGTTTTCTGGCAGATGGTATCTGGGAACAGATGACAAAGAGAAGACAGGTCAGTCAACTCCTACTGAAAGGAAAAATTTGGCTTTCTCTGTCCAAGACAGAGATCTTCATTCTAGGAAGTATAGAACAAATGTGGTTAGGAAGGAATGTGAATGTAAAAATAGGATTGGGTGGTAAGAGAGCAATTTATTGCTTTTGAAAAAAATTTAATGGTTAATTTTTTTTTTAACTTTAAAGAACAATATGAAAGTAAAATGTAGAAGGAAAAGTTACTCATAGCCCCACCAGCCAGAGGGAAAACTTTATTAACAGTTTCATCTAGTTCCTTCCACCCCTCCCTTTTATTTTACTGTACATGTATTTTTCTTCTATCTATTTTACAAATCACAGTCTTACAATACACAAAATTTGTATTCTGCTTTTTACATGAACATTATGGAATAATTATTGTATGATTTCTTGCACAGTTCTTATAAACCTTTGTTAATTCAGCAAATATTTATCAAGCACCTACAGTGCCCCAGGCATGAGCTCTTTCCTCCTGGCATTTGCAGTCAGTGAGGCACATGGACAAGCGAACCCACAGGTACCCAGCTCCAAGGACCAAGAGAGGACATTTGGGATCTGGGGGAGCATGTGGGAAGGGCCCAGATGTGTGTGGGGTGGGTGTCATAGAAGCTTCCTACAGGAGGAGGAGTCTAAGCTGAGTCCTGTAGGATGAGTGAGAATTGGCCAGGAAAAGAATGTGAGAGGACAAGGAGTGTCCTGAGGTCTGGATGAGAGCGCGAGTGTGAGAGGCTGAAGTAAGTTTTCTCTACCGAGGATCTGGACAGCCGAACTGAACGCAGACAGGGGCAGTGGTATTAGAGGCAGAAATCAAGCATTGGGTGGGAGGCAGAGTCATGATGGGCCCGTCAGCCACAGAAACCTTGCAGAGGAGTCTGAGCAGTGTCTTGAAGGTCATGGGAGCAGAAGGGTTTTAAGAAACGGCCTGGCATGGCTGGTTCTGCATTTTAGAAAGATTGCTCAGGCTGCGCTGTGAAGGACATATTGGAAGAGGATAAAAGTAGTGTCAGGCAGACCACTTAGGAAACTGCCCTAATCCTGTTGAGAGCCGATGGATCCCTGAGTTACTCTCTACTTTCAGCCCTGCAGCACCAGGTATAGAGGAAACAGCCTTCCATAGACTTCTCTACCGACTTTCCTCAGCTCCCATTTCTGGCTGGGCATGTCTGGCTTCAGGGGGGCTTAAAAGTGACATTTTTCTGATCCTCTAACTGCCCATGTAGGACCTTTGCTCCCCAAGCATTCCCCATAATTGCATACTGTCTTATTTTTAACCAATGCCCCCATCTTTTAACACTCACAGTGGCTCTGCTTCCTGCTTTAAGCCAAACTGATGCAGCCTTCTTGACCCCCACTCACACTAGCCTATCACTCTGGTGGCACTTACCTTGCATGGGGAGATCTTGCTTTCTTATGCACTGTTTGTCTCCACTACATTGTTAGAAACTAGATCTGTTTTGTTCCTGAGAACAGTGCCTGGCCCATGGTAGGTGCTCAGTCTGTGTAGTGGGTGAATGAATGAATGATTGAATGAAAGAATGAATGTATAGGTCCAAAGCTCAGGGGAGAGGTCTGGGCTGTAGATAAAGATTCTTGAATCACTGAAGCCATGGATGTGGATGAGATCACTTAGGAGAGAGCACATTAAGAAAGAAAAAGAGGAGAGTCAATAATAGACTTCTGAAGAGGGCCCACAGTAGAGAAGGAGAAGGGGCAGCCAGAGGGTAGGATCCAGCTCCAGGTGGGTTGTATGGAGAAGCTAGGAAAAGCTAGGAAAAGGAGCATTTCAAGATGGAGAGACAGGGCTGGGCATGGTGGTGCATGCCTGTAATCCCAGCTCTCTGGGAGGCCCACATGGGAGGATTGCTTGAGTCCAGGAGTTTGAGACCAGCCTGGGCAACATAGTGAGACTCCTCTCCCTACAAAAAAAATATAAACAAAGATGAAGAGACAGAACCATAAGCTGCTGAACTCAGAGTTGGCAATAAGGAGAGGCCTTTGGGGTCCTTGGAGAGAGCAGTTTCAGGAAAGTGGTGGGGACAGAAGCCACGCTACCATGGACTGAAGAAAAAGTAAGGGAGAGGAAGGAAAGACAGCCAGTGTGTGTGCTTCCAATGAGTTGTTGTGGATGGGAGAGGGAGCTAAGGCAGGAGCTGGAGCTGTGGTTTTAACGTGGCAGATAATTGGGCAAATGCCAATGGGAGGGGCAGATAGAGAGCAAGAGACTGAATAACGAGGACAGGAGTGCTAACCACAAGAGGGATGTCCCTGAGAAGGCAGGAGGAGATGCCTGTGTGACCCTCGTTGGGGATGAAACCCAGAGGGAGGGCAGAGGCTTATAGCAGACAGCACAACTCCCCCGATGTCAACCCGAGGGGAGGGACTGAGGCCACATGGGCCAGGCATAAGGAGCCTTGTACATCTGGGGGCAGAAGATCCAGGATCTTACACTCCACCAGGTCCCCCCTCACTGGGTGGTGGGAGGCAAGGCTCTCTGCTCAGAGGGCTGGGAGTTTTTGGCTGGACCAAGATCCCATTAGTACACAGAATTCCTACTGAGGAGTTGTCAGGACTGCTGCCCGGGGCCAGAACTTGGCTGGTTGCTTCAGCTAGGTTCTGAAAGTGTTAATTCCCATCTGGAGTTTTCGGCCAGGAGGAGTTTCCCTCTTTTTAGGAAAAGACCATTTCTTAAGCTCTTCTGAACCTCCTCCTCACCCTTCCTCCGGGAGAAGCAAAGGGGCCTGGTGCCTGCCCTTCCCTGCCCGGCTCAATCCCTAAAGAGGGCAGTATTTTCACAGGTGGGCCCTGCTTTAAGAAGCCCCATTATAAGAAGATTCTGGCTTTTTAAACTGGGGCCAATAAAAGAATTTGCCAAGAGGGTCTTTGAAGTAATGACCTCCCTAGTTAGTGCCTTGAAACATATTTTTACATCGCTGAGGGGAGATTATGAGCTGGGGGGCCAGAGAACTGTGGGAGGCAAAAGACCCTGAGGGTGGCAGAGTCCTGGCTCCCATCCAGAGGCCCCACCAGGGGAGTAGAGGCAGCAGCTCAGGGAGGAGGAGTGTGGGGTCTGGGGAAATCAGATTCACGGAATTCTGTGTCTAAGCCCAGTTCTTGGGCAAAGCAAGGCTTGTCTGGATTAGGACTGTTTATCCTCTACAAACCCAGGCCCAGCCAGCCTTGGTGTGAGGTCTGGGCCAGCTGAAGCCATGTGGAGCGGCCCTTTCTCCTGTGTCTAGTGAGGATGAGCAGGGTGTGGGCAGAGGATGGCAAGGGGTAGGGTGGGGGCCTGGAGGGTGGTCAGCCTACATGGTGCTGAAGATCTTCTGCGTGATTAAAAAAATTATCCCATCTTTCCCATTCACTTATTCGTCTATTCCTGAAATCTTTATTGAACACCTACTATATGCCAGACTCATTGCTGGAGATGAAATGGTAAGTGCAGTAGGCCTGGTCCCTGTCCTCATTAGAGCTCACATTCTGATAGCGGAGACAGACATGAAGCAAATAAGCATGTCAGTGTGTGCTTATGAACCATGAGAGAACCGTGGGAGACCGCACAGTGAGCCATGGCAGCATATAAGAGGGACCAACATCTATGGGGTGCTGTAGTGGTGGTTGGGGTCCTGGGGACACCACCTGTGAGCTGGGGCCTGGAGGGTGGGTGGGCATTAACCAGGGGAAAGTAGGACTTCAGGCATGGGGAACAGCACATGGAAGAGCTCTCGGGAGCAGGGAGTGAGGCCGGTAGGAAGCAGAAGACCAGGATAGCTGCACACAGAGAGCAGAGGCAGGGTTGGTGGGCAGGGGCAGGGATGAGGTTAGGGAGATTGGCCAGGGCCAGGTCACACAGGGCCTGCTGGTATTCAGGGTATAAAATAGGAAGTCCTTGGCTGTGATTCTGCAGCTGGCAGAGGTTTGGGTGTAAAATTCCCTCCTGGCAATGATCAAGTGGCACTGGTAATCAGAAAATAGAAACGCAGTTAAATGCCCCTCACTTTTGATCCCCCTTTCACTCAATTTCTGTCCACCTAGAAATCCTTCTCAGAGAACAGATAGAACAGAGAGGAACCCCTGGCTTCTCCCTGCTCTGGGCTCTCAGCCTTCCCTGAAGGACCCCATTGCTGAATCCTGACACTGCCTGCAGGAGGACATCTCGTGCAGCGTTGGGGCCACCCTCCCCAAGGCCTCCTAGTCCAACCCTTTCATTTTAGGAATGTGCATACTGAAGTGGGAGGGAGAAGTGAGCTCTTCAGCTCCCACAGAGCATTCTAGATGCCAAAAAAGCTTTACCCCAGAGGCCTCAAATGCCTCCCACCTGCCATCTTTAGTGAGTCCTTGCTGTGACCTAGATGCTATAGGAGAGAAAAAAGTAGGCAAGATGTGTGTATAAAAAGAGGATCAGAACTTTCAGCTTCCAAATCCACATGTAAGGAGCTTGGAAGTCGCCATTCTGTCCTAACAAAAAGCAAAAGCCTGAACAGACTGAAAAATCAACAACTATTCTTGGATCCCTAAGAGAGATGAGGACACAGAGCAGCCACTGCCCCCCAGATCAAAGAGACAGACAGGCAAATACAGGAAGTCACAGCTTATGGAAGAGACCTGGGAACAGAAGCCTCCAAGGGAACCAGGGCCAGGGTAGGAAAACCTGCACTGTAATTGATGAATTGTTTGAGGTTCACAGTTTAAAACTCCCAGGGGACTCAGTTATATGGGGGTTCCCACACTTCTGTGAGTTTTACCTCCAGGAGCTTAACCAGATTGTCACAGTAAATGTTAGGGGAAAAAAAAAATCCCTCATGCTTCTGCCATGGGGAGGAGGAAAAGGAACCATTTTGAAATACATCAGAGCATTCTGTTCTTCTTAACAAGGCCTGCCCTCAGGAGAAACTATTTAATGAGAGCCTAACCTGCTAAGGTTTTATCAGAGCCTAACTGACCTGGGGAAGGAAAATATGCAACTCCAGTTCACTCTAGTCATCCTGTCCCACCTAAGAAGGTTGGAGACTGAGAAGCACTTGTGAAGCATAGCCTTACTGAAAGACTAAGACCTAATCATAATGGTACCTTGATCTTGGACTTCTCAGCTTTCAGAACTATGAGCAGTAAATTTCTGTTGTTTATAAGTTACCCAGCGTAAGGTATTTTGTTATAGCAGCACAAACCAACTAAGACAGTTGTAAATGTGTATTTCGAACTCTAGGGTAACCACTAAAAATAGTTTTAAAAAAGAAATATAACTGATATGCTAAGACAGGAAAGAAAATAGAATAATATAAAATGCTCAATTAAAACTAGAAAAGACAGAAAATGAGTGGAAGACAAAGATAGGAACAAAGAACAAGTGCATCAAATAGAAAATAGCAATAAATATGGTAGATATTAATTCAATTATATCAATAATTAATTTGAATGTCAATGGTCTAAATGTACCAATTAAAAGACAGACATTGTCAGGGCAGACCAAAAAACAAGACACAACTATATGTTCCCTACAGAAACCTACCTGAAATATGAATACACATATGGATTAAAAGTAAATAGATGGAGAAAATATACCATACTAACACTAATAGAAAACAGAAACAGCTATATCAATTTCAGACAGAGGAGATTTCAAAGCAAGAAAAATTATCAGGGAAAAAAGGTATAACATAAAGATAGAGGGGTCAACTCTCCAAGAAGGCATAATAATATTTAACACGTATCCATTTAATAACAGAGGATTACAAGGCAAAAACTGACAGAACTGCAAGGAGAAGTAGATAAATTCACTATTATAGTTGGAGACTTAAACACCCTTCTGTTAGAAATGCACAGATCCAGCAGGGAGAACATCAGTAAGGACATAGTTGAACTCAACAATACCATCAGTCACCTGGACATAATTGATGTCTATTGATTGACAACAAGAGAATATACATTCTTTTCAAGCTCATGTGTAACATTCTAGGCCATAAAACACACATTACCAAATTTAAAAGAACAGAAATTACACAATATTTGCTCTCAGATCACAGTGGAGTTAAACTACAGATGAATAGCAGAAAGATAACTGGGGAATCTCAACAAACATGGAGAGTAAACAACACATTTCTGAATAACACATCAGTCATAGAAGAAATAACAAGAAAAATTTAAAAATATTTTAAACTAAATGAAAATGAAAATACAACTTATCAAAATTGTTGGGATGCAGCAAAAGAAATGCTTAGAGGGAAATTTACTTATTTGTTTCATATTTTCTTATTTTTTATTTTCAACTTTTATTTTAGATTCAGGGAGTACATGCACATGCTTATTACTTGGGTATATTGTGTGATGCTGAGATTTGGGGTACAAATAATCCCATCATCCTGGTACTGAGCATAGTACCCAATAGTTTTTCAACCCTTGACCCCCTCCCTTCTTACCCCTCTACTAGTTCCCAGTTTCTGTTGCTTTCTTTTTGTCTATGAGTATCCAGTGTTTAGCTCCCACTTATAAGTAAGAACATATGGTAGTTGGTTTTCTGTTCCTGTGTTAATTTACTTAGGATAATGGACTCTAGCTGCATCTATGTTGCTGCAAAAGACATGGTTTCATTCTTTTTTTATGGCTGCATAGTATTCCAGGGTGTATGTGTACCACATTTTCTTTATCTAGTCCACCATTGATGGGTACTTAGATTGATTCCGTGTTTTTACTACTGTTAATAGTGCTGTGATGAACATGTAAGTTCATGTGTCTTTTTGGTACAGTGATTTGTTTTCTTTTAGGATATATATCCAGTAATCGAATTGCTGGGTCCTTCTATTTTAAGTTATTTGGGTAATCTTGAAACTGCTTTCCACAGTGGCTGAACTAATTTACATTCCAAGCAACATTGTATAAGTGTTCTCTTTTCCTAGCAGCCTTGCCAGTATCTGTTGTCTTTTGACTTTTTAGTAACAGCCTTTCTGACTGGTGTGAGATGGTATTTCACTGTGGTTTTGATTTGCATTTATCTGATGATCAGTGATGTTGAGCATTTTCGCATGTTTGTTGGCTGCTTGTATGTCTTCTTTTGAGAAGTGCCTGTTCATGCCCTTTGCCCATTTCTAAATAGGGTTGTTTGTTTTTTGCATCTTTTGATTGTTTAAGCTCCTTATAGATTCTGGATATTAGACCTATGTTGGATGCATAGTTTGCAAATATTTTCTCCTGTTCTGTAGGTTGTCTGTTTACTCTATTGATGGTTTCTTTTGCTGTGCAGAAGCTCTTCAATTTAATTAGGTCCTGCTTGTCAATTTTTGTTTGTTTGCAATTGCTTTTGAGGACTTAGTAATAAGTTGTTTCGCAAGGCCAATGTCCAGAATGGTGTTTCCTAGGTTTTCTTCTAGAATTCTTATAGTTTGAGGCCTTACATTTAAATCTCTAATCCACCTTGAGTTAAGTTTTGTGTGTGGTGAAAGGTAAGGGGTCCACTTTCATTCTTCTGCATATGGCTAGCCAGTAATCCCAGCACCATTTATTGAATAGTGAGTTCTTTCTTCATTGCTTATTTTTGTCAACTTTGTTGAAGATTAGATGGCTGTAGATGTGCAGCTTTATTTCTGGGCTGTCTATCCCATTCCATTGGTCTATGTATCTGTTTTTGTACCAGTACCATGCTGTTTTGGTTACTGTAAACTTATAGTATAGTTTGAAGTCAAGTAATGTGATACCTCTGGCTTTGGATTAGGATTGCTTTGGCTTAGGATTGCTTTGGCTATTGGGCTCTTTTTTGGCTTCATGTCAGTTTTGGAAGTTTTTTCTAATTCTGTGAAAAATAACAGTAGTTTGATAGAAATAATATTGAATCTGTAAAGTGCTTGGGGCAGTGCGGTCATTTTAACAACATTGGTTCTTCTAATCCATGAGCATGGAATGTTTTTCCGTTTGTGTCATTTATGATTTCTTTTAGCAGTGTTTTTTAGTTCTCCTTGTGGAGATCTTTCACCTCCTTAGTTAGATGTGTTCCTAGCTATTTTATTTTTTATACGGCTATTGTAAATGGGATTGAGTTCTTGATTTGGCTCCAAGCTTGAACATTATTGATGTATAAAAATGCTAATGATATTTATACATTGATTTTGTATCCTGAAACTTTACAGAAGTCATTTTTCAGGTCCAGGAGCCTTTTGGCAGAGTCTTTAGGGTTTTGTAGGTATAGAATCTTAACATCTGTGAAGAGAGAAAGTTTGGCTTTTTCTTTTTATTGTTTTATCTTGCCTGATTGCTCTGGATAGCATTTCCAGTCCATGTTGAATAGGAGTGGTGAGAGTTGGCATTCTTGTCTTTTTCCAGTTCTCCAAGAGAATACTTCCAGTTTTTGTCCATTCAGTGTGATGCTGGCTGTAGGATTGTCTTAGATGACTCATTATTTTGAGGTATGTTACTTCAATGCCTAGTTTCTTGAGAGTTTTTATTCTGAGGGGATATTGGATTTTATCAAAACCTTATTCCATGTCTATTGAGATGATCATAAGTTTTTGTTTTTAATTCTGTTTATGTGGTGAATCACATTTATTGATTTGTGTATGTTGAACCAAACTTGCATTCCAGGAATGAAGGCCTATTTGATCTTGGTGAACTAACTTTTTGATATGCTGTTGGATTTGATTTGCTAGTATGTTGTTGAAGATTTTTTGTGTCTATGTTGATCAGGGATATTGGCCTATAATTTTCTTTTGTTGTTGTTGTGTCTTTGCCAGATTTTGGTATCAGAGTAATGCTGGCTTCACAGAATGAGTTCAGAAGGAGTCCTTCCTCCTTGATTTTTTTGAAATAGTTTCTGTAGAATTGGTACCAGCTATTCTTTGTATGTCTAGTCAAAATTGGCTATACATCCATCTGGTCCAGGCTTTTTTTTTTTTTTTTGGTTTCTAGGTTTTTTATTACTGATTCAGTTTCAGAACTCAATACTGATCTGTTGATGTTTTCTATTTCTTCCTGACTCAATTTTGGGAGATTGTGTGTTTACATGAATTTATCCATTTTCTCTAGATTTTCTAGTTTGCATGCATAGAGGTGTCCTGATAGTTTCTGAGGATCTTTTATATTTCTGTGGGATTGGTTTTAATGTCACCTTCTTTATTTCTGATTGCATTAATTTGGATCTTCCCTCTTTTTTTCTTTGTTAACCTAGCTAGTGGTATATCAATCTTGTTTATCCTTTCACACAACCAACTTTTGGTTTCATTGATTCTTTATACAGAGTTTTAGGTCTCAATGTCAGTCAGTTCTGCTCTAGTTTTAGTTATTTCTTTTCTGCTGCTAGCTTTGCAGTTAATTTGTTCTTGTATTTCTAGTTCCTTGTTTTTTGTATTTCTAGTTCCTCTAGGTATGATGTTAGATCATTAATTTGAGATCCCTCTAACTTTTTGAGGTAGGCTTTTAGTGCTATAAATTTTCCTCTTAAGGCTGCTCTTGCTGCATCCTTGCTTGGGATTTTGCTTAGATTTTGCTATGCTGTGTCTCTGTTTTCATTTGCCTCACATAATTTTTTTTAATTTCTGCCCTAATTTTGTTGTCTATTCAAAAGTCATTTAGGAACAAAATGTTTAATTTCCATGTAACAGTGTGGCTTTGAGATACCTTCTTTGTATTGATTTCTATATTTACTCCACTGTGGTCTGAGATTATGGTTGGTATAATTCCATTTTTTTTTTTTGAGACATAGTTTCAGTCTTGTTGCCTAGGCTGGAGTGCAATGGCATGATCTTGGCCCACTGCAACCTCTGCCTCCTGGGTTCAAGTGATTCTCCTGCCTCAGCCTCCTGAGTAGCTGGGATTACAGGTGTGCGCCATCACACCCAGCTAATTTTGTATTTTTAGTAGAGATGGGGTTTCTCCATGTTGGTTGGGCTGGTCCAAAAATTATTTGATAAAAATTCAACATCCATTTATGATAAAAATTTTCAGTAAACTAAAAATAGAGGGGAACTTCCTTATCTTGATAGAGAGTATCCACAAAAAACCCTTTTGCTAACATCATATTTAATGATGAGAAACTAGAAGCTTTCCCACTAAGATCAAGAACAAGGCAAGGCTGTCCCCTTTCATCATTCCTTTCCAACACTGTACTGGAAGTCCTAGCAAATGCACTAACACAAGAAAAGAAAATAAAAAGCATACAGATTGGGAAGGAACAAATAGAGCTGTTTTTTGTTCAAAGAGTACCTAATTGCCTATGTAAAAAATCTAACAGAATTGACAAAAAACCCTTCATGGAACTAATTAGCAATTATAGCAAGGTTTCAGGATATAAAATTAATATACAGAAGTTAGTCACTTTTCTATATACCAGCAATGAACAAATGGCATTTTAAATCAAAACTATAACACCATTTATATTATCATCAAAAAATAGGTATAAATATAAAAACCTATGGAAAAGATCTATATGAGGAAAACTATAAAACTCTGAAAACAGAAACCAAAGAACTAAATAAATGGAGAGGCATTCCATGTTCATGAACAAAAAGACTCAATATTGTCCAGATGTCAGTTATTCCCAACTTGATCTATATATTCAAAGCAGTCCCAATCAAAATTCTAGTAAGTTATTTTGTGGGTATTGACAAACTGATTCTGAAGATATGGAAAGGTAAAAGATCCAGAATAACCAGCATAATATTGAAGAAGAACAAAATTGGGGAACTGATGCTATCCAACTTCAAGACTTACTATAAAGCTGTAGTGATCTAGAGTGTGTTACTGGTGAAGAAGGAAAATAGATCAATGGAACAGAATGGAGAGCCCAGAAACAGATCCCCATAAATAGAGTCAACTGATCTTTGACAAAGGAGCAAAGGCAATACAATGGAACAAAGATAGTCTTTTTAGCAAGTGGTTCTGGAACAACTGGACATCCATATACAAAAAAATGAATCTAGACACAGAGCCTACAGCTTTCACAAAAATAAACTAAAAATGAACCTTAGACCTAAAAGTAAAATGCAAAACTAAAATACTCCTAGAAGATAGCATAGGAGAAAACCTACATAACCTTGGGTATGGTGATGAATTTTTAGGTACAACACCAAAGGTATGAACCTTAAAGAAATAATTGATAAGCTGCACTTTATTGAAATTAGATATTTCTGCTGTATGAAAGAAAATGTCAAGGAAATGAGAAGACAAGACACAGAATAAAAAAATTTGCAAAAGACACATCTGATGACATACTCTTACCCAAAATATGCAAAGAACTATTAAAAATCAACAATAAGAAAACAAACCACCCAATTAAAAAATAGACTAAAGATCTTTAACAGAAACCTCATGAAAGAAGATGAACAGATGGTAAATAAGCATATAAAAAGATGCTCCACATCATATGCTATTAGAGAAATACAAATTAAAACAACAATGATATCCCACTGCACACCTCTTAGAACGGCCAAAATCTGAAACACTGACAATACCAAATACTGGAGAGGATGTAGAGCAACAGGAACTCTCATTCATTGCTGATGGGAATGAAAAATAGGACAGCCACTTTGGAAGGCATTTGGCAGTTTCTTATAGAACTAAATACACTCTTACCATATGATCTAGCAATTATTCATAATTGCTGAAGCCTGGAAGCAACAAAGATGTTCTAGGTAAGTGAATAAATAAATAAACTGTGGCACATCCAGACAATGGAACATTATATAGCAGTAAAAGGGATTTAGCTATCAAGTCATGAAAAAAACCTGAAGAAACCTTAAATGCCTATTACTAAGTGAAAGAAGCCAATCCAGAAAGGCCACATACTCTATGATTCCAACTATATAACATTCTGGAAAATGGAAATCTATGAAAGCAGTAAAAAGGTCAGTGGTTGGCAGGGGATAGAGAGAGAGAGATGATGAACAGGTGTAGCATGGAGGATTTTTAGGGCAGTGAAACTACTCTGTATGATACTATAATGGTGGATACATGTCATTGTACATTTATCCCAACCCATAGAACGTACAACACCAAGCGTGAACCCTAATGTGAACTATGGACTGTGGGTGATAATGATGTGTCAATGTAGGTTCATGAGTTGTAACAAATGTACCGCTCTGTTGGGGGATGTTGATAATGAGGAAGGCTATGCATTTGTAGGGGAAGGGGGTACATGGGAAATTCCTATACCCAATTGTGAGTGAAGCTAAAACTGCTCTTATAAAATTAAGTCTTTAAAAAAAAGCATCAGAAGTGAAACACAATCCCTGCCATCTGTGTATTGCTTCAAGGTTGACAAAGCGATTTTCCAGACTTTGGCTACTCTGTGAAGTTCATACTATTTTCACTTAGGAGATGAGGAGTCTGTGGTTCAGAGAGGTTGTGACTTCCCTAAGGCCAGACAGGCAGCAAGTGGAGAAGGTGGCCCCAGCCTTCAGACCTTTGTTTGCCCCTTTGAACTTCACAGTAACAGTAGGAGAAAGGTGACAGGAAAAGAGAACCATCAGGGAGGGCTTCCAGGGACATGAGGGGTATGATAGGAGTGAGGGACAGAGGCAGCAATGAGGAGATCTGTACGGCAGGAGTGAGGATTTTGTGTGTGTGTGTGAAGGAGTAGTAAGAAATCAGGTTGAACCAGCAAGTAGAAAGTTTTGAATGCCAAGCTGACGAGGTTAGATTTCTTCGGAGATCCCCTGAAGGCTTTTGCACAGAGGCGTGACCCAGGCAAACATCCTCTTGTTTGGAATGCAGGATAGGTTGGAAGGAGTGAAGTTAGGAGGCAGGGCCTTGCAGTTCAGAAGCTGCTGTGTTCCGGGAGAAAAACAGTCAGTTATGATATAGGGGTGCCAGAGAAGGTAGGGCAGGAAAAGATGCTGGGCATTGCTGGAAGAGGCCCCAGTGGGACTTGTTGAGTGTATCTGTGTGGTTGGGTGACTACCAGAGGATACTAAGGCCACAGCCATGTGCTTGGATTGCCATGACATTTGCTGCCAGGTTGGGGGGGAGGGTGGCATGTTGGCCAGGCAGAGGCTGAGGTGTTGAGAGGACACTCAGCTGGGGAAGCCAAGTGGAGGATTGGAAAGTTGAGCCTACAACTTGGAAGGAGGATCTCTGGGTTAACTAGCTTCTGATATGAATTAATCACCAATTAACCGATCATTCCTAAGCAGAATGCTGCCTCTGTGAATTTCCAGTCGAACTCTGCAACCCCAGTTATTGAATTCAGGCCTGTCATTCCTGAGGTCAGCCCCACCCTTGACTATCACTAATGACAATATTAGCTCATCCTTCCTTCTCTACGCTTTCTACTCCTTATTTTTGGCCAACTCTGGATAGAAACATAAAGGGAAGCTCACCTCTCAATTTCCATCTGACTTAGCTCCAAAGCTTCCTTAAGATCCCCTTATACCCCAAGGAAAATTATATGGTCCAGTCCCTTCATATTCTCACCAACTCTTTTGCTCATGTGTTTTACCCTCCTGGTGTTCCCACTGGAATGCCTGCCCTTCTCCTTGACCTATCTCAGCTTTCCCAGGTGGGCCGCCAAAAATTCTTGTAGGTTGAAAACCACAAGCCTATGCGAACCCTGCCCATTTTCCACAGCCCATTCCTATTTCATCTCTAGGAGCTCTCCCCTGATTTTACTTCAGCCAGCTCCCTCAACAAAGCCAGCAAGGTGTTGACTCGGTGTTACATGGATTGTTTGGATTGCCTATGGCATTTGCCCAGCAAGCTAGAACTTGGTCCTCTTCAGCCTGCTTTTGCTGCTCCCTGTTTATTTCATGCAGGTAGGCTCTCCCAGTCAGGATAGGCTGGGCTCTGCAGAAGCAACAACTCCACTATGAATGCAAGTTTCTTTCTCCTTCATGCTGCATGGACACTGTGGGTGGGCAGAAGGCTCTGCTCCTTGGGGACCCAGGCTGGTGGCAACCTGACATCTTGCAGTGTCACCATCTGGAGCAATGCTGTCTGATAGGACTTTCACTATGTAGCTACTAGCTACATTGTGCACTATGGTAGCTACTAGCCACGTGTGGCTATGGAGGAATTGAAATATGGCTAGTATGATTAAGGAATGGAATTTTACATTTTATTTCATACTAATTTATTTAAATTGTCACATGCAGCTGGTTGCCACCACATTGTAAAGTGCAGATCTGTAATATGAGGTCTCCTTGTGCACTTCCCAGGTGTCAGGAGAGGACAGGGTGAGGAGAACTCTTGTTTGCTTTTCTAGCCAAGAGGTAATCACTGGTCAGAACTTGTCACCAGGCCCCACCTAACTGCAAGGGGGCTGGAAAGTATAAGGGGGCACATGAATATTCAGGGAACAAGAAATGCTTTGCCACAGAACTCTTCCAAATGCAGCTAAAGCTTCCTGAGGCTAAGATGCATGAGGATCTGGGGAAGTGTGGGGGCAGACTGATATGTCTGGCTGGAGAGGAGGGCAGGGACGGACTGAGAGCAGAGGGCTTGGAGCTTAGCAGTGCAGAGATAGGCCCCAGAGAGGGCAAGGAACATAGTCACCACCACACAGTCAGGCTGGGCCTGGGCTTCTCAGCTCCTGGCTCCAAGAAGTCAGATGGGGAAGACACGATGCTTTGCCTGCTCCTAGGGAACAAAAACCCTGGTTGGAAACATCTAGCCTTTCATTCTGGGTCCTTGGGAAGAGCAGATTAAAAACTGCCAAAGGCCTGTTCTTGGAGCCCTTGGAAGGGAAGAGGCCCAAAGGCTTTCCGTTTTCAAATGGCCTTGGCCTGTCCCCCCTGAGGTGAGTCACTAGCTGCTGAAGGATGAACAGCAGGGCAAGAACCCAGCATGAGGTCATCTGGGTCACACTTCCTGCCTGACCCTAGCCCTGGGGCCAAGTTCATGGAGTTTCCCAAGGCCAGTGAGGAAGGGAGTTATGCCACAAGCTGTTGCAGAACTCTGGTCATTGCCAAGGGAGCAGAGGTGAGTGGGGTGCTGTCGGGATCAGGGCAAGAGCTGTGCAATGGGCATCAGGGGCAACTTGGCAAGGAGAGGAAACAGGCCCAGAGACAGCCCTTTCAGGGAGGCAGCAGCCAAACCGTGAGCAGCCCTTTCTATTCACAGCATGAAGGGGTCCCAGAGGCAGCACTGCTCCAGTTTCATCCTTACAGTCTCCCAGTTGGTGCTTGGTCCAGCTGTCTTTATTTTTCTTGGAGACCCACATAACCCAGGCTCTGTCCACTTCTGATTTAAATCCTTGCTGATGTTAGGACCCATTTCCTCTCATCTCCCCAAGACAGAGGACAAAGCTCCAGATGACAGAGAAAGACCAGTGTGAGCAAACGAGGTGTTTAATCTGAGCCTGGAGCCTGAGGAGGGAGCTGCTGCACTCCCCCAAATCAGGTCAACACAAATCTGCATTTTCAACAAAGCTGAAATGGGAGAAATTCTTAACTTTACAAAGTATTCTTCATTTTAGAGACAGCTTTGCCATAGGATTCCATTAAGGCATGGAGTTCTCTAGTATTTCATAGGAAATTTGATTCATAAAACTTCTAATTTCATCAGCAAAATGTTATTAACAACTACCATCCTGAAAAGCATAAAATGTTTTTAAAATTTGGCATCCAGTCAAAGTTAGGCCTGTGTATATGTTCCTCAAGCTTAAGGGAACCCGCAAATCAGCTTGGACTATGTTGGTCTCCAATCTGCTCTGGCCAGGAGAATGTAACCCCCATTTTATCAGGGGAAAACTGACTCTGGAATAAAGAATTAGAGCCAAGGTCTGAAAAATTGTTAGTTCTCTCTACTGCACAGGGGTGGAAGCATTTGGAACCTGGTCAGTTGCAGAGCTTCTTCGATCCTGAATCCTCCCACCCTACTTGCAGTGTGTCCTGTGGGTTTGGGGCTACCTAGCTAAGGGATTGGCTCCACCATGAAAGGGTCCCATGTGTACTCCAGGAGCAAACTCTCTTTTTCTATTCAGGGATGGACCCCTTACCACAGCCTAAAGTGACCTGCCTTTTGCTGGTATCTATGGAAGATGACATTTTTCAAAGGTTTCCAAATACATTTAATCCAGGTGCTCTTCTATGGTGTGATCACACCACACCCGCATCAGGGGAGGGGCCGAACTCCCCTTCCTTGTTTCTTGGTGGGCATCGATTGCCCTGAGGCTGCCATACTACAAGGAAGCCAAGCCACAGGGAGAAGTCATCAGCCTTGGCCCAGGTGCCAGGTGTGCGAGTGAGCAGCCTTCAAACGATTCCAGCCCCCAGCTCTAGCCTGTGGGTCTACCCAGCTGTAGCCCCAGACTGCATGGACAAGCCATCCTTGCCATGCCTTTTCCAGTTCCCAACCCACAGATTCTGGGAGCACAATCCATGGCTGTCTTAAGCTGCAAAGTTGTGGTGTCATTTGCTATGCAGCCACATAGTAACCCTGCTCTGAGGTCTCAGGTTCCTAACATTTCATCCGCAGCACTCGCCGCCATGATTATTAATGAACTACTCTGGCAACTCCTTGTTTAATGACTGTCTTTCCCATTTAACTCTAAGACGCAGGATAGCAGGGGTACAGTCAGGGCCTTCATTCTACTCCTAGGGAGTTGGCCAGTGAGATGCTTAGTGAATATTTCATGAATGACTGATCCTAACACTGTCCTCAAACTGACCCCTACACTTGCCCTCGGAATGCCTCTCGCTCTGAATTCAGACTGAGTCTAAGCCTGGCCACAGACCAACCCCTAATTCTGGCATCAAAGACCTAACCCTGGCCACAGACTGAGCCTAGCCTGTCACTCTGGTGCCTGTGCAATAAGCCTCGCTTCAGACTGACCCCTAAACTTGACCTCAGAATGACCCCTGACTCTGACCTCAGGCTGAGTCCTGGCCTCCCGATGGCCCAGATGATCTGGCCACCACCTCCCTGCCCTGGCTTTTTGCCCTACCCCGCCCCCATGCTCTCAGTGCATTGCTCTTCTTTCAGTTGCTGGAAGGTAGAAAGCTCTTGCAGGCTCCTGCCTCTCTATGCACTCTCCTCCACCAGGAAGACGCTTTCCCTCTTAACTCCTTCTCTTTCTTTCAATCGCGCTTAAATGTCACTTCCTTAAGGATCATTTCAGTGAGACCCCCTTTAGAATCGCTCTTAGCATTTTCACACTTTATAACTGCAAAAGGCCATACCTCGTTTTATTACGCTTCACTTTATTATGCCTCCCAGATACTGCGTTTTTTACAAATGGAAGGTTTTTGGTAACCCTGCACTGAGCAAGTCTCTTGGTGCCATTTGTTCAACAGCATGGGCTCACTTTGTGTCTCTGTGTCACATTTTGGTAATTCTCACAATCTTTCAAACTTTTTCATTTTGTTATATCTGTTACGGGAATTTGTGATCAGTCATCTTTGATGTTACTATTGTATTTTTTTGGGGGCACCATGAACCATGCCCATAGAAAATGGTGAACTTAACTGACAAATGTTGTGTGTGTTCTAACTGTTCCCCATCTCTCTCCCTCTCCTTCAGGTCTCCCCATTCCCTGAGACACAACAATATTGCAATGAGGCCAATCAATAACCCTACAATGGCCTCTAAGTGTTCAAGTAAAAGGAAAAGTCACCTGTTTCTCACTTTAAATGATCAAGATTAGTGAGGAAGGCATGTTGAAAGCAGAGACAGGCTAAAAGCTAGGCCCCTTCTGCCAAACAGTTGGCCAAAGTTTCCATGGTCTGGATAGAAGATCAAACCCGTCACAACATTCCCTTAGGCCGAAGCCTAATCTGGAGAAAGGCCCTAATTCTTCTCAATTCTATGAAGGCCGTGAGAGGTGAGGAAGCCGCAGAACAAAAGTCAGAAACTAGCAGAGGTTGGTTCATGAGATTTAAGGAAAGAAGCCATCTTCACAACATAAAAGGGCAAGGTGAAGCAGCAACTGCTGATGGAGAAGCTGCAGCGAGTTATCTAGAATATCTAGCTAAGATCATTGATGAAGGTGGCTACGCTAAACAACCGATTTTCAGTGTAGATGAAAGAGTCTTTCATTAACAGAAGATGTTAGCTTGGACTTTCACAGCTAAAGAGAAGTCAATGCCTGGCTTCAAAGTTTCAAAGAGCAGGTTGATTCTCCTGCTAGGGGCTAATGCAGCTGGTGACTTTAAGTTAAGGTGAATGCTCATTTTACCATTCCAAAAATCCTAGGGCCCTTAAGAATTATGCCAAATCTACTCTGCCTGTGCTCTATAAATGGAACAACAAAGGCTGGATGACAGCACATCTGTGTATAGCATAGTTCCCTGAATATTTTAAGCCCGCTGTTGATAACTACTACCCAGAAGAAAAAGATTTCTTTCAAAATATTGCCACACATTGACAATGTACCTAGTCAACCAAGAACTCTGATGGAGATGAACAAGGAGATGAATGTTGTTTCCTTTTTCTTTTCTTTTTTTTTTTTTTTTTTTGAGACGGAGTCTCCCTCTGTCGCCCAGGCTGGAGTGCAGTGGCGCGGTCTCGGCTCACTGCCACCTTTGCCTCCCAGGTTCACGCCATTCTCCTTCCTCAGCCTCCTGAGTAGCTGGGACTACAGGCGCCCACCACCATGCCTAGCTAATTTTTTGTATTTTTAGTAGAGACGGGGTTTCACCGTGTTAGCCAGGATTGTCAAATGAATATTGTTTTCATGCCTGCTAACACAACATCCATTCTGCAGCCCATGGGTTAAGTAGTAATTTAGACTTTCAAGCTTTATTATTTAAGACATGTATTTTGTAAGGCGATAGCTGCCATAGGCAGTGATTCCTTTGATGAATCTTGGCAAAATAAATTGAAAACCTTCTGGAAAGGATTCGCCATTTCAGATGTCATTTTAAGAACATTCATGATTCCTAAGAGAAGGTCAAAATATCAACATCAGCAGGATTTTGGAAGAAGTTGATTCCAACTCTCACGGATTACTTTGAAGAGTTCAAGACTTCAGTGGAGGAAATAATTGCAGATGTGGTGGAAATATCAAGGAAATAGAGTTAGAAGTAAAACCTGAAGATGTGGCTGAATTGCTGAAATCTCATGATCAAACTTGAATTCATGAGGAGTAGCTTCTTATGGATGAGCAAAGAAAGTGGTGTCTTGACTGGTTTCTGGTGAAGATGCTGTGAACATTGTTAAAATGACAACAAAGCATTTAGAATATTCCATCAACCAAGTTAATAAAGCAGTGGCAGGATTTGACTCCAATTTTGAAAGAAGTTCTACTGTGAGTAAAATGCTATGAAATAGCATTGCCTGCTACAGAGAAGTCTCTGGTGAAAGGAAGAGTCAATTGATGTGGTACACTTCATTGTTGTCTTATTTTAAGCAATTGTAGCAGCCACCCCCACCTTCAGCAACCACCACCCTCATCAGTCAGCAGCCGTCAACATGGGGCGAGACCTTCCATCAGCAAAAAGATTGTGACTCCCTGAAGAATCAGATGATCGTTAGAATCTTTTAGCAATAAGTATTTTAAAATTAAGGTATGACATTGTTGCTCTAGACATAATGCTATTGCACACTTAATGGGCTACAGAATAGTGTAAACCTAACTTTTATATGCACTGGGAAACCAAAATATTCGTGAGTTTCTTTATTGTGATATGCACTTTATTGCAGTAACCTGGAAGCAAACCTGCAATATCTCGAAGGTGTGCCTGTATATTTCCGTGTTTATCATTATCTGTTTGATGTTTGTCTGTTCTCCAGACTATAAGCTCCTTCCATGAGTACAGGACCTGGCACCTACAAGGGGCCTAATAAATAGCTGTGGAATGACTGAATGAACAAATGATGGGGTATGGCCTCTTCCAGGCAGCCTTCTCTGTGGCCCTCTCCTGCCAGGGTGGAGGTGAGCACTCAGCCCACAGCCAGCCTGTCCCCTGCTGGGCCGCGTGTGGCCACCTTCTGCCCTGAGCCTGGCTTCTCCTCTCTGCAGCTCCAGCACATACAGGCCTGGGTGGCTCAATAAACACTGGCTGGTTGAACTGTTAAACCAAACTGATTTTCTCCCAGCCGCCTCTCCAGCCTCAGCTCTCCCAGGTTCGTGAGGACCCATCAGGACTAGCGCTTCAAACAGAGAACAAGAAGCCGAGACATCGGCAGTAGGAGGCGGGTGGAGACATCCATTTCCTCCTGCTCTCTGTCCTCATGGCTGTTCTCCTGAGGGTTTCAGGCAGTCAAAAGTTCAGGCTCCACGTTTTCTGGAAGAGGGAGGGGAATCTGTGTGTGGGGGATTAAAAAAAAGTCCCCAAACTCAAATCACGCACACAGAACAACAAGTCATAAAACAGACACCATTGGGAGAAGATGGAGTCACATGGTGGGAATCTGTGGATTGCAGGGGAGGGGGAGGCAGCATTTGAGAAAACGCAGCCTCCTCAATGGGAACCAGATGGGCTGCATGTTCTTAAATAGAATCCCAGACTTGCAGCGCTGGGCGGGAGCTGGCCTGGGGTGCTCTCCCCTTGGCCCCTTCATGCGCAGAGGGGAAATGGAGGCAGAGTGGGGAGGTCATGGCCCGAGATCTCAAAGGAGCAGCTTCTAGACCCCAGGCTCCTGGCCCTGGGTCAGGGCTCTGCTCCCCCCGCCACGCTGTCTCCCAGCCCTCTGCCAGTATCTCCAAATTAGAAGCATATCGGGAAGCAGTACTGTCATTCCCCCTTTTCTTCTCTTTCTTCCAATTCTTTCTCTTTGGAGTATAATTTTAGAGGTGCCAGGAAGTTCTTGTTGTTCCAAAATCCCCGCCCCCATCGCTGCTCCATCAACAGAACCCAGGACAACTGTGATTAGCCTGTGATAGGCACTGTGCTAGGGGCTTCACAGCTATTCGTTTCTGTAATTGTCCTGGAGCCCAGTGACAATGGGGTTGGCCTATCAGTTCAGCCATCTGTAGAATGGGATGCAGGATCCAAAGTGGGGTAGGGACACAGGGATCACATACTGTCATTTTGCTTCTTATTGATCACTTAGGATCACCTTAACCAGAGGCCCTCGTAGCAACAAACACGTGAAATAAAGCTGACCCTTAGGGGATGAGGCAGAGCTCCAGAGATAATTGAAATCCAAATGGCTCCTACTTTCCCCGGCATCCCTATCACTCCCCCTGCAGAAGCCATTGTGTGGAAACCTGGAAGTGGACGTGAGTTCCTTATTTTCACTGACCCCTCCTCCCAAGAAAAGGCATCACTGGTCTATTTCCCGGCTCCCCTAAGAAACAGATTCTCACAGTGTCTTCCACAGGACACCGCAGGCGGCTCACACCACAGGGGATCATTCACATGGAGTATGATGTGGATGGCAGCCCGGGCCTGCCCCTGAGCTTTCCTGATGCCCACCCAGGCAGGAGGCAGGACCTCAGGCCTCCCGGGGGCGCTGGGAAGAATCCCTGCTTGTCTGAGCCTCAGAGGTGTCTGGGTCTCCCAGTAGGAGGAATAAAAAGTTGAGAATCCACTTCCTTTGAAACCTGTTGCCCTCAAGCCTGCCATGGGGCTGCGAATTCTTTCTGTCTAACCCCTCCTGGAGCTATTGTTGTCTACAACATCCAATCACGCCATCCTCCAGTGGTCATTAGCTTATAGCGTGTGCCTGATTTGTAGATGAACCAGTGACTGCGTTAGGAGTTGCAGGGAGGGCATTTCTGACAGAAGAAGAGCCTGTGCAGAAAGGCTGGGGGTGAGGGCCCCAACACACACAGGTGGCTGATGTGGCCACAGCACAGGAAAGTGAGGAGGAGAGCAGCGGGGGTGCTGGGAGATGTGAGCAGGGAGCAGGGACCAGCTCCGGGCTGGAAGGCCATGGCAAGGAGTTGGGATTTTATTCTGTCAATAGGAGCAATGAGGAGCCTTTCAAAGCATTAATCAGGGAAGGGATGAAACTAACCTACAGTTCTGAAATCTCACTCTGGCTGGCGTGGATTAGAGGGAACAGGAGTTAGAGCAGAGTGTCAAGAGCGGACGCTACTGCAGGGGCCAGGCGAGTGAAGGTGGCCCGGACAAGGGCGGTGTCAGTGAGAGGCAGGGGGCATGGATGGCTGTGAGTGTATGTTAAAGGAAGACTTGATGGACTTCCTGAGGAACTGGATGAGGGCCAGGAAATGTCCTAATTTGGGGCCTGAGTAAGTAGAGAGGCTAGAAAGGACATTCATTGGGACAGAAAGGTCAGCCTCCTTCCCTAACCCTCTCACCCTGACTGCCTCAGTCCATGACTTCAGCAAGTGAGTAACGTGCTGTGGCCTCTCTCTGCTCCCTTCCTTGCAAAGCAGATGGAGAGAGAAGGAAGAAGGCCAAGCCTCCGCGGCTGTGATCGTACTTTCCACTTTTAGCTCAGCAGTTGGGAGCCCGTGGCCTTGCCATCCCTTGCCTCCCACTCTTGGCTGTCTTAGCTCTGCTCTAAATCTAAGTCAGCTTAGTATTTTTCGTGGAGTTCCTGCTGTGGCCCAGCCACGTGAAGGCCACTAGGAGCTCAATAGGAGAAGGAACACATGTGGTCCAGCCTCTGTGGCCTGGGGAGAGCCAGGAGCACAGGCCCAGAAGGGCTGGAGCAGCCAAAGAAGCCTTCCCGGAGGAGGCAGGGGTTTGGCTTGGCATGGAGGATGGAGAAGACACAGAGAGGAATCCCCATGAAATTACTTTCATGTTAGGAAGAGTCCTAGAAAGCTGTGGACACTTATATGAGGTCAAATAGTAGGAAGTGGAAGCAGAGCTAGCAGTTCCAATGAACTCCCAAGGCAGGGAAAGGCTAACTCCATCTCCCCACCACACACACACACACACACACACACACACACACACACACACACACACGCACACCAGGAGGCCCCACCCAACTCCCCCTGATCCCTCACCTCAGCCTTGATGTCTCCCTCTCCATGCCATTTGGTCCACTTCCCTGCCTTACTGTCCCAGACCACCACTGGAGAACAGGCTAGGAGGTCTTTGAAGGCAGGCATTTGCTCATCTTCTGTTCTGAACCTTCCCCTATAGCAGGTCAACTTGTCAATTCTTCTAGAAAACTCCAGTGATTTTCAAGTGACCCCAGAGTAGCAGCATCACTTGAGAACTGACTAGAAATACAAATTCTTGGGCCTCACCCCAGACCAAAAATATAAATCAGAAACTGGAGGTGGGAAGAGGTGAGGCCCTGGAATCTGTATATTCCCAAGCCCCCCAGAGGATTCTGATGTGCACTCAAGTTTGAAAACCACAGCTATCCTGGGACAAAACTTCCCCAGACTCGTGAGATGTTTCTCTTCTGCTGTGATCCCTGAGAGGGAGCTCCCAGGCAGGCCCCTCTGGGGTCTAACCCTGCCTCCTCCCCAGAAGTCGCTTCCTCCCATATGGACTCTTTACTCTTTAAGTTGACTGCCCACTTCCACCCAGGCCTGTGGAGTGAAGGCCAGGTGGCAACATCTGCCTTCTCCCCTTCCCCCAGCCCCTCGCGCCTGGCTGGCCACATCCACGAAATGTCCTCAGGGGAGCTAGCATCGTCTAGCAGTCAAGCAATGGAATACATGGAATAAACAGGGGGTACTTTGTGAAAAGGGAAGAGAGGATACCCAGTGCCCCATCCCGGTTTAGTTCACCAGGCTTCCATTTTTGCCCCAGAGCTCTGTCCCTAGCAGTGAAGATGGGCGACACCAAGCCATCAGCACACTCATGCTTGGCCCCTTTGGGTTAGAGATAAAAGGCTGGCGTGCATTTCAGACACAAAATCATTGCCTGCTGGCTGCTTCCTGGGATGGAACCACTTTATTGTCCCCAGGGAGCCCACAGGACAATGTTATAGCCAACTAGGGGGCCTCTGTTTTCTTTAAAGCTGTGTGCAAAATCCACCCACTGAACAGATAGACACCTCCTTCGCAGAGCTCTTGGCAGAACCCTGTGGGAGGCGCTGAGTGCAGTTGGGGGGTGCTTCCTGCCAGTTAGGCCCCTCCTCTCCTATGAGCATTTGGCTAAATACAAAATTTCTTATATCATTTTTTTCATTGCTTTTCTCATTTTCTTTTTTAAGCCCCCAGTGAGGGAGAACAGACTCTACTTTCATGAAGCTACACTTGCTTAAACTGTACATGCTGGGATGGGGATGGGGACATTTGGGGCTATCTTAGGCAAGGCCAAAGAAGAGGAGGGCATGATCCAGCCTCCTCCAACAAGCTGGCAGAGGAGGTTGTGTGTGTGAGCATGCATGTCCCTAACTGCCCCCTGTTAGAAAGGATAGGAAACCAGGGGTTCTAGCTCAAGCTTCACAACCAATAGGCTGTGTGGCTCTGGGGGAGTCAGGTAGCTTTTCTGAGCCCCAGTTTACCCATCTGACATGTGGAAACAATATAGCTCCTCCCACCCCCTCAGGACTATTGTGGGTATTAAAGGAGCTAGAGTCTAAAATAGCATTAAAAATACTGATGGCTACACAAAGCAAGGCAACGCAGTCACTCAGAGCCATCGTCTCTTTCTTGAGGGCAGAGACGTGGCTTTCTCATGTTTTGTATTCCCCAAAGCACCTGGTACAACCCATGGCAGGTGGTCAATCAATACTTGTTGAATGGATGAAATAGAAGACATGGTCCCTGTCTCTGTGGAATTAAAGATCTAGCCGGGAGACGGTGGTGGGGATGAGAAACACACAATGGAAGAAACTTAAGAAGAGTAGGGAGAGGCCCTCGTTAGCTCAGACACCTCTAATTTAGAATTTGTGATGCTTTTACAAGGCCAGAGAGGAATTGGACCCTGCTGATGGGAACATGTGCTGAACAAACTCCTAGTGGGAACAAGATAATAATAACAGGAGCTACTGGCCTCCGGGCAAGTGTTGTGTTCCAGATGGCAGAGGGAGTGCTGTGCCCTTTGGCAACACCCGGTTGCATGGGAGCAGTTAGCATGCCAATCACAAGTGAACTCTGACCTCATCTCTGAGGCAGCCAGTACCTTTCCTTGACCACACTTTGTTAATGGCCGTTCTGGGTGACTTCATGTATTTAAGGAACATAAAATTTTATTTTGTTAAGACTAAACTATTACTGGCCTCCCTCTGCCTCTTCCCAAGCAGCTCGGATCCTTTCACAGTTTTCAAATAGAGTTGATGACAAAGCACATGTAACCAACTCTATCATTTCCCCAAGAAGAAGGGATGTGGGATCCTGCTACAGCAATCAGGGGGACCCCTGGGCCTTGCAGAGAGCTTCTGGGCTGTTGGAGAGCCTGAGACAGTTAGCCACTGCCCCTTCCAGGACCACAGTTGCCCCAACAAAATGAAGAGTTTGGACCAAATGAGTGTCAGCATAGGTGCCTGCTGCGCTGGACTCTCCTGGCTCTTGGCCCGAGAATGTCCCAGCCCTGGAGTTGTGGGAGAACATGATGCCTCCTCTTGGGCAGTGCTCTGGCCAGGGGAGATGTGCACACCATAGGGTGGAGGCAGAGGTGGCCTGGGTTGTTTTGTCCATGCGTCCTGGCCTCAGACGGTTTGGCCAGGTTCCCGGTGGGGACTGGCCTCAGACAGAGGGAGTGTCCAGTTAAGCCCTGCCAACTGGGGCTAGAGAGGAGGAGGCAGGGGCTGGGGCGTCAAGGGAGGGGGACATCATCCAATTTCCACAGACCAGGCTGTTGGGAGCTGGCCCAGGGGTCTGCAGAAGGCCAGGCCCCAGGCCACCCTGCCCCTCTGGGAGTGTGACTTCTGGGTCCTCCTTACATGAAGCCTCCCCTCTCCCCATCCTGGGTTAGGGCAGAAGCAGGGCCAGGAGGGAGTGAAAAAAGGACAAAGGGATGACATCTCAAGGTGGTCCCCAGGGAAGGTTTGCTCTTTCTCTAGACACCCTTTCCTCTGGAGTCCCCGTCCTGGGCAGGAAACACGCAGCAAATGGAGGGGGAATGATTTCAGTTGTCACTGGCCTTCCGGTAGCCCTTCTTCATGCAGTCAACAGCCTGCAGGGCTCTTGGAGGGGCCCTGGCTTAGCCGGTTTTCTCCCTTCGGTAGCCTCCCCACCCTCCTCTTCCTCTCTGTTCTCCTTCCTCACCTCCTCCCCCGGAGGCTTGGCTGGCACTCTGGTCAAGCTTTGCAGGAAGCCAGTGCTGCTGGCCTGGCCCCAGGGAGCTGTACCGCCTTGTAGTTACAGGATGGGCTGCAGCCTGGCACCTATGTCTCCTGGGTTTGGCTGTTCTCTGGGTTTTAGGTCTCAATGTCCAACAACTCCTGGAAAAGGAAGGCATGGGACCTTCCTCTAGATCTGACTCCAGCGGGGGACAATTCCTGAACCCTGAGAAACTGTGGAGCAGCATGGGGGGACAGAAGGGGCAGCTTCGAGAGAGAGGCTGCTGACTTGCCCATTCGGCAAGGGTGCTGTCTGGCAAGGGCAGCCGAGCCCACATGTATGTCCTGCCCCACCTTGAACTGAGCACTTCCTGTCTTAGGGCAGGATGGGGCTGCCGCTGGCCCACATGGTACCTTTGCGCATGTTAGACAAAGGCACTCCTTCCTCGGGATGGACACAGCTCTTCCCCAGGGCCAATCTCTTGGCAAGAGGAGCCTCCACCTGGCCCCACAGCTGGGTGCTCAACCAGATAGGCAATCATCAGTGAAGCACAGCCAAGCAAGGGTAGCAGAGTAACAGGGAGCTGAGCACCAGGAATGTGAGGGTAGTGGGTGACTCCTGGGAAGGTCTTGTGCAGGGAGTGGGATTTGCTTAGGGCCTTGAAGGGCAAGTCGATTTCACAGTGGTTGAGATTCCAGGCACGGACAAATGCATGAGCATTGGCGTGGAGGCTGGCAGGTGAGAGCCGAGGTCCCTGCTGGGGAGAGGGGTGTGTGGAGAGCCCAGTGTGGAGATGGTGTGAGCTTTCAGCTCGAGAGAGAGGAGTTCCATCTCAGTGGGTAGGAGGCAATGGTGGCAGAGTGTGAGCAGGGGTGGGGTGTGGTGGAGCTCCCGTGGATTGATCTGCAGCTGCTCAACTGAGATGGGCAGGAGCCAGCAGAGACACTAGGTGGGAAACCCAGGAGGGCTGACTGCTGTGGTTCAGCCCCCAAAGGCTGCAAGGAAGAGGGAGAAGGGCCAGAGGTGGACATCCCTCAGAAGGTTGGCATGGCCAGCTCAGGGCAGCAAGGAGGGCCCTGGGGAGACCCCTCAGCCCACAAATATCACAGATAATTAAGATTCAACAAGCCCCTCACTGAAAGGCCCAGGTGGCTGCATGAGATGTCTACATCTAGTTTTCTTATTTAAATCCTCATTGGTTCCAAGATATTGGTCTTACTGTTATTCTCATCACAAGGATGAGAAAACCAAGACCAGAAGAACTTACCATTCAGCTGGAGGTTACATGCTGGGAAGGACTTGAGACAGCCTTTGAACCCAGGCCTGCCTAACTCCAGAGCCCCTTTTCTGTCCACACTCCACCCCCCATGCCTGAAATGGCCTCTTATCTCCCCGAGCAGGTCCAGAGAGGACTCAAAGATCTGGGCTCCCAGGGTGAATGCAGCACATGCTGGGCAGAGGGTCTTGTGCCAGGCCCCAGCCCTAGAGGGATGCTGGGCATTGGTGGGAGGGAATGGGTCTGGACCTGGACTCTCCCTGGTGGGCAGCACTGCTGAGTGTCAGGGTCTGAGCAGATAATAGCAATAATATAAAAATAAATAGTGAATGAAATCAAGATGGGGGCAAAACAGATTAGAGCATAAGATGAAGTCAGGAGTAAAAGGAAGATCTTACAAATCATTGGGAAACCAACGGGGAAAAGAAAAATACTTTGATGGAACAAAAGGGACGAAAGCTCTGAACAAGCAACTTGCAAGTGAGTTAACCCCAAGGCCAATAAATACATGAAAAGGTGCCCCTGAAAAATTGGGAAAATACAAATTGAAGAAGCAATGAGGTTCCACTTCAGACATCTCAGCTTGGCAAAAAGCAAGCATCATGACATGATGACAGGGGGAAGCAGGAACCCTGTGGCTCACTTGATGGGAGTGTAAATTGCTGCAGCCTCCATGGACAATAAATTGATAATACCCAGTAAAGTTGAAGATGTGCGTCCCCCCACCCAGCTAGTCTATAGAAACTCTCACACATGTGCTAATAGAGATAGGATGCTAATTTGGCTTGGAGCTTCCTAACAGCTGAAGCAAAGAGAAACAGATGATGATTTATAGGATTCTCAAAAGCAGACCAGTGGCTGTGGCTTCTTGGCCATGAGATCAGAGAGATTTTTCTCCTATGAATTGCTCCTGGGAGCAATAGGTACTGTGACAGATGAGGTTTATGCAATTCCTCATAATAAATAGTACATTTCAGATAACTTTACAAAGTTTCAAACCATATATACAGTTATACAAAACTTAGTACTGATTATAGAAATGAAATGCAAGCTGAGGCCCAAAAGACAATTAAATAACAGCAATTATAGGGGAGTTCAAAGCCATGTGGCCCAGGTAGGAGCTCTGTCATGACAGGATGGCGGGGCTTGATTTGGGAATGAGATTTTCAATATTACCACGAATCACCCTCCTACCCTCATGATGACCATTTCTATAAACCAAGCTTTTGAATAGAACTGAGTAGCAGAATTCAGGTTAAAATTTCAGGCAAACAACCAGAGTGAAAATATCCTCTGTTGTTGATTTAAGACATGGCCATGAGCTCTGCTGAGCAAGAAGGCAAGAAGATTGCTACTTTCCATGAAAATTAAGGAATCCTCAAAAGGAAATGTCTGGGTAGATAGCCCCCTAACCTGGCAGGGTGTGGAGAGAGTAAAAGGAAAGTAAGGGAAAAATTATATTAAAAAATGCAAACTATGGTTGGTTCCTAATAACATTTTGATGGCAGCTTCTTTGTAACCAAAAGAAAAGTGAACCATGACCACAGAGTCTATCTTCCATTGCTTCTCTGCAAGAGCTCAGGTTCAGGTTCAGAGTTTATTGACTTTAGTTCTGAAAGGCCCAGGTCATGGCCCAAGTGCACAGCCTTGATGGCTTGGAGCCCTTGCAGGAGTGGGTGCTTGTCATGTCCCTTAGTCTAGTCTTTGTGCTGATCATACAAAAGCTACACAGCTGAACCTAATGCTCCAAGTCCCAGAGAGAAAGGAGGGGCCTAGGGACCAGTTCTCCCTTATCCCACTTAAAAACGGGATTTTTTCTTTTCCTATGTGATTCCAGAGTTGTGAGGTGGGCATCAAGGTTCTCAGGACACATCTGTTCAACACTAAAACCACACAGCCCAGAGGTTCCTGCCTGGGAGCCGAAGGCCAGGCCAGTGTGATCCACTCTGGGAAGAGGGTGGATGGTTTTCAACTGGGGCCTCTGTTGGGTGGAATGTTGTGACAGGGATCAGTGGGGGTAGTCACTGTGATCCCACATTTGAAGTTTACAGAACAAGAAGTGGCTACCTCTTGCTAAGATTGAAAGCAACAGGCTGGTATGTCTAATCCTGACAGAACAGAGGATTTGTCCTTTTGGTGGGAACGAGAGACTTGGCTTTAGGTCCGGCCTGTGGGCACCCACCCAGGAAACGGAATAGGCAGTTTGCAAAAATTTGGGCCTACCACCTAGGCAAATGTTTCAGAGCTCTGGGAGCAAAGAGGCCTTTTAATACATTTTCTCAGCTCTGGGAGGCAACCTCTAACCAATGACATCACCAGGTGTAAAGGATGCCACTGGGCTCTACCCACATACCCTTTGCCAGTCCTGTGTGTCCATCCCCAGCTCCTGAAAGCTTTGCTTCTAAGAGTGTGCACCTTTGAAAGCTACTTTCGGGTCACTGGAGCTGCCTCACCCGGACTGTAGGAGATCTAGAAGTGCCAAGAGTTTCTATGCACCTGGGACAGATTGAAGTTAAGTCCCAATTCGTGTAGGAACGTGAAAGCTCAGGTTCTTTATCTCTAGGATGACAGACGCACGTTACTCTATGCTCTGGAGCTCCTGCGGGGTCAGGCAGAGGCTGGGGCTTCAACTGAAATCACACCCTGACTTAGCTTCTTCCCTGTCCCTCCCTGCTTCCCCTCTCTTTTCGCGGGTCTCTCCTGGGAACATTTCCTCAATGAGTCACTTGCACATGAATCCTCTTCCCTGGGAGAGTCAGTGCACTGCCCTCTCTCAGGTCTACTAGGGGGACTTTTAGGGGACTGACGAAGAATGGAGGCGGAGACTTGGACTTGCACTGACTTTCCCCTGCACCCTGTTTCTCTTACTGTGCCTGGGTCAACGGGAGCCGGATCTTGGGGTCATTATTCATGGTCAGCCCTTCATAATGAAGCCAGAGACCTCCTCTGAGATCTGTGACAGCCGGCTGGGTGTTTGGGCTTTTGAGAACTGAGTTGTTCGTAGCGTGACTAAGATGCAATGTGTCCTGGCAGCGAGGCTTCCTCTGCAGAGCTCCTCTGGGGCTGCCCTGGTAGGCCTGCCAGGGGAGTTTTGGCTTCCCAGAGAACCTCATAAAACAGGAATTTTATAGCCAGAGTCTCTGCTGCCCAGATCAGGGAAGTCAGTCTGAGACTGAATGGTCCCCATTAGTGCTATGTGACTATGTGGAGATCATCCCCAGAGAGGCAGCAGCAGCCACAGTCTTTCCACCCCCAGGCCATAAGATGGTCCTCACCCCCTCCAGTGTCTTTACAACCACCTGGCCACACCTGCCCAGGTCACCTACAGTCAACCTGAGGGCCTCCTGGTAGGGGGACAGGCCCATGGCCATCCCCAACCTGCCCCTCCTCCCCCCAACTAGCAGGCCTCCTGCCCCTGGCAATGAAGGCAAATGCCCTCCTAAAGGGGGTTGGGCATGATGATGAGGACTGACCAAGCCCAGGCTGGGCCCACAGAGAGAGGCAGACATGGCAAGTGACCCACAGGACTCCTGCTGGGGGCAGGACTTGGGGGGAAGGAGTTAGGGGCAGCTCCCAGATTTCTGGCTTGAGCAACAGAGGTTGCTGAGGGTGGAAGAGCTCCCCTTCTGAACCCTCTAGATTGCCATGTCACAGATAAGGCAGTTGTTGCATCATCAAAGACAGCAGCCCTTTGGCTGAACTGTGAGCCCATTTCCCGTCACCATATGCCGCGGGCTGCTGTTGAGCAATAACATGGACGTTGGATCAGTTGGCCCCCTGCTGTTCCAGTGACTGTTCCCCAGAGGTGTGGCTCATGGGAAGCAGTCTTCTGGAGGCAGTATGCCCATGGTTGGTGCCCAGGCTGGGGCTTTTTGAGAAAGGCATCAGCATTCCTGGCATCCAGTTCACTGCTAATTTGTATGGGTAATTGGTGCTTGCTCGATACAGGAAGCTCAAAAGGCTCTGTAGCTGGGACCCTGCACCTGAGGAGCCTTCCCTGAACCACAGCAAAGGAGAGTAGACCCTGAATCTAGTACTTCCAGGTGCTATCTAGAGTCTGGACATTCCCCAGCCCTGGCCCAGTGGCCAGCCTTCAACAGGTCACCTTGTCAGCCAGTGGCCGGCAAAAGCTGAAAATCCAAGATTCATCCTTACAAAGAACATCAGCTTGGAAAGAAAAGGCAGGACCTGGGTCTCAATATGCAGTGCCCCCAACATTCTGAGAGAGTGCTTTTAACATGCCACTTCCCTGTCCCTCCCCCAAGCTGGGCACATGACTCCATCTCATGCCCGGAGCTGCCTTCCTTCCCATCTCAGGTGAAAAGGGCCTCACATGCTCTCCAAGCTTCCAGTCGTCTTCTATCCTGGGAGCCTGCCCCCTGGTGCCTTCTGCAAGCCCTGGTCCCAGCACTGCATGTTGCCATCCTGTGTCAGTGATTGTTCAGGCTGCAAATATGCTCCAGCATCTAACCTCATCCCCAAAGCTCTGCTTGCTCCTCGGCTTCACTGCAGCCAGCTTTCTCCTTCCCTGCTCCAAGATCTGGCCTCTGCTCTGCCCCATTTCTCCTCCAAAGGGCTCTTGCCGAGACCATCTGGATCCTCCACTACCAACAGTGATGCAAGTATCTTGGTCTTCAGTGCACTGTCCTCCCTCAGCATTGGACACTGTTGGACCCGTCCCCCTTCGTGATGCCCCCTGCTTCCACTGGCTGTGCCTTCTGTGGTCCTTTGCAGGCCCTCTGTCCTGTGGTCTTGGCCAGGCTCACTCCACACACCCTGGACGAGTGTGGCTGCGCCTGGAATCAGTGACCATCTCTGTGGCAACAACTCTCAGGTGCTCCCTTCTGAAGGCCTTGTTGTGTCCCAGCTGGACACCTCCCCACAAGTACAGCAGTCTTGGCCATCTCTCTTGCAGAAAACTGAACTCAGCTTATCCCTCCTGCCCTTCCCCCAAACCTGCTCCTCCTCAGGTAAACTCATCTTTGGTGCCCACCCAACTCTGCCCCCAGCACTCCCTATCGCAGCAAACAGCTGCCCGAGTCACTCTGTTGCTCAAGCCAGAGACCTGGGAGCTGCCCCTAACTCCTTCCCTTCCAGTCCTGCCCCCAGCAGGAGTCCTTGTGGGTCACTTGCCACGTCTGCCCTCTCTGTTGGCCCAGCCTGGGCTCGGTCAGTCCTCATCATCAATGTCCAGTCCCCTTTACGAGGGCAATTGCCTTCATTGCCAGGGGCAGGATGCCTGCTAGTTGCAGGGAGCAGGGCCAGGATGGTGATGGACATGGTCCTGTCCCTCTACCAGGAGGCCCTGGGGCACAGTGGGTTGAAGTGGTCTCTTCGCGGTGCCAGGAGCAACATGACCCCCAGCAGGGCAGACTCCCAGCCCTGTGTGCTGTGCTCAGAAGCCTTTCGCCAAGGGCAGACCAGCCCCAAGGTCATCTGCACTCCCAGGGCCACACTAAGCTACGTTCCAAGGCACCTGTCTGGTGGCTGGAGGAGGAAAATGGAGGTTTCCAAACTGAGAACCTGGAGCAGGTGGGCGCTCCCCACACAGAGCTCCTGGTAGTCTGTGTGCTTCCGGCGTAGGGAAGCTCTGCTCTGTCCACCCCACCCAAGGGTCCACCTCAGCAGCACAGCCCTCCTTGAGGTAGACCTTATCCCAGCCACGCTCTCCTGACTTCCTGGGAACAAGGCACTCCCTCTCCTGACCCTCTGCCCAGTGTGAACAAAGTGGAGCTGCAGGAGTGGAATAAAGCAAGACTTGCTGGACCCTGAGGAGGGGCTGGCGTATCACAAGGAAACTGCCTTGTTCCCAAAAACCGTCTGTCTGGCTGTGGTGGCAGAGACTCCTGGTAGCTCTTCCTTTCTCTGGGGTGAATGCACTGGGCAGGGTGAGAAGTCTGAGTCCCATCAGCTGCCATAACTAGCCCCTCAGATCTCCTGAGGACCACGGCGGGTGGGGAGAGAGGCAGAGGCAGGGCGACTCCCCCTGGGGGGCCTATTGGCACATGGCCCCATGGAAGTGGGGGCACTGAAGAGAATCCTGGGGCCTGGCAGGCTTGGGGAACCAAGCACGGTGGCCTGGGGGAGGGGCGGAACCAGTGGGAGACAAGCTTTCAGACTTTCAGGGAACGTAAATTTTACCCCCGGCTACTTTCTCTGGGATTTATTTCTCGGTGAACTTGAGACTTTGCCTAATTACGTTTGGGTCTCTTTCAAAGCACATAAATTGCATCCAGTTCTTCTGCCTCCTTCTTAGGAATAAATTGTCCCTGTGTGAGGGGGGATCTGGGGGAGAGAGTGAGACTTTATTAATTCGACACAGAACTCTGTTCCCCTGCCCTTCCCTCTGCCCCCCGTTGAATAATAAAATAATGAAGATTTGACTTGGACCAGGATGTATGGATAAATATATTGGTGACATGAATGGAAATGGATTTATTACATAAACAGGAGACTTCATCAATTTAAACCTGGCCTCCTTTCAATGAGCATAAATTACATTTTCTTTTCCTACCAGTTGCTTTTTTTTTTTTTTTTTTTTTTTAAGAAACTGGATTTATCGGAATTGAGATTCCACTAATTTATTTCACGGAGCGTGTGCTTCCTCTTTTTGCCCACCTCATTAGAGACAGGTTTCCTTCCAGCTCTCTTCTTTCCCACTCAGGGCAATGTGGTCCCCTGGGAGGTCAGAGGTGAGGCTGGGTGGAGTGTGGGCTGTCTCAGTTGGGCCCTGAGAGACCCTCGAGCCTCTACTCCATCTAGAGCAATCCAGTCCTTAGGCAGGGAGGCCACATCAAGATGTCCAGCCCCAGAAGCAGAAGAAGGCCCCCATGAGGCTGAGAGATGGCCCAATGCAGGACCTGGCCTCAGCGGGTCCTAGGACAGGGCAGCAGGCAAGTGGCAGGGGAATTCAGCAAACACGATTGCAGCAAGCGCTTCAGGTGTTTGGCTAGGAGTTCCAAGTGAGGTGGCCATGGGAAGGCTGAAGGGAGTGCCCAAAGGTCCCATCAAAGACCAGTGGCAGGCCAGGCGCGGTGGCTCACACCTGTAATCCCAGCACTTTGGGAGGCCAAGGGTGGCGGATCATAAGAGGTCAGGAGTTTAAGGCCAGCCTGGCCAACGTGGTGAAACCCTGTCTCCACTAAAAATACAAAAATTAGCCAGCTGTGGTGGTGCACACTTGTAATCCCAGCTGCTCAGGAGGCTGAGGCAGGAGAGTCCCTTGAACCCAGGAGGCGGAGTTTGCAGTGAGCCACAATGTGCCATTGCACTCCTCCAGCCTGGGTGACAAGAGTGAAACTCTGTCTCAAAAAACAAAAACAAAAACAAAAAGACCAGTGGCAGGACATAAGTGGCCAAGGATTGATGTAGGAGTGCAGGGCCCTGTTTAGGTAGGTCCTCTTCCTCCCACTCCTTCCTTTCTCCTCCTGCCTTCTCTTAGCACAATGGAGATTTGGATCAACACCAGCTACAACGTTTGGTTGGTACAGGGAGGAAGGCTTGCAACTGCCCTGGGGAGGAAGACGTGGCCAGTGGGCTCGGGCTGTGCTTTTTTTCCGTAACTACCAGCATGGCGATGTTCCTTCCAGCCTGAAAAGTCCATGTAGGGAGCCTCAGATCTGCCTCTCCCCAGGTATCACTCCTCAAGCTTGGACAGTGCTGAAAGTCTTGAATATTCTCATTCATTTAAAGTGGTGAGAAACTCAATGTGTCAACGCTCCCAGGGATGCAGGCATGAGGAAGAAGGGTAGCTGGCATTTTATTTAGAGAACCTGAAGAGGACCATGTGTAACTCGAAGGAGTGACTAATGTAGGGAAATTGGGGCACCACAAGAATGAACTGATGAGAGATTTCTGTGCACTAGGCCTGCCTGACTCCACCGAGTCTCCCATGCTGAAAGGGGAGGGGCACTGCCTCAGCAACACTGGCCCTGCGGGAGTAAGCCCATGTGGGGAGGAGGCTCATCCTCCCGAGGTTCATCACCCGAACCCTCATCCCCATCTCCCATCCCACCCATTTCACCAGCCCCAGGCCTGGCAGGGGGGCAGTGGTGGCTCTGCAAGCTGTCACTCACCAGGCCTGCATCGGGCACAGGTGTTTCTAATAAGGGCTCCTCAGGCCGGCTGCATCCAGGAGGATGTTTACAAGAAGGTCTGATGAGAAATTGTCTCCAAATGCTTGTCTTGTAAGCAAGATGTTAAGAAGGGGGGCCAGCGGGCGCGCCTTAGGCTGTAAGCAAACAGGACTCCAGAATTGGGCCTGGCCAGTGCTCTCCCTACCCGGCTCCCTTCTTGGCCAGGAGTGGCAGGCTGGGGCCTGGGCAGGTCTGGGCCCACTGCCAAGGGTGCTAAGTACCATGGGGGTTGGGTTTCAATAAACAAAAGCAATAATGTCGGAAGAACCTCCACAATAAACAAAGACTGGGGCATCCCAATATTGCTATCAAACCCCTGAGGCCTTGTCTCTGACCCTGTGGTCTTCCTTTAGCCCCTCCTCCACAGGGAGAGGGGCAGGAAATCACAGGTTTTATTATCAGCATAATGAATAATCAACACGTTATTAAAGAGCATCTTCCTGGAGAAGCCCAGAGAAGGAAGAGGGGTATCCTGTTTTCAAGCCTTCACACGGAGAACTCTCCAGTATGATTACATCCTCTAAAAGGAAGGTAGGGGGATGCAAAACAGGGGGGCTGCAAGCTTTTTCTGTAAGGGTCAGATAGTCAATATTTTCGGCTTTGAGCCCCGCATAGTTTTTTTGAAACTACTGTTCTCTGCCACTGCAGTGCAAAGGCAGCCTTGGATAATAGGTCACTGAGTGGGCAGGGTGGGTTTTGATTGGCAGGCAGTAGTGTGCTGACCTCTGATGCACAGGATCAAACAAGTCCCAGAGAGGAGAAGTGACCAGCCAAGATCATAAAACCTGTGGGCAACTGAGCAGGACAACTGCCCAGGCTCTGGACCCCTCTGCCCTGCAGGCTGCACAGACAAGCACGACCAGCTCAGTATAGCCTACCAAGGTGGGTCCTAGGGACCTGAACTAGGAACAAGGGAATTGCACCGCGTGGAAGAGGCCAGTGTTTTGGAGAGGAACTTGGTAGTCGAGAGAGGTACAGACAAAAGGAGGAGCATTGTTGGGCTGTCCCAGTGCTGCTAGACAACAGCTTCCGGTGCCTTCCCTGAGTTGCGGAGATGAACACGAAGGAGGGTTTCAGGAGCCAGGAGTGGTGCTGCTGACCACTGAGGCTGCAGATGTCCCCCTTTGAACATGATCCCTGTGGTGGTGGTGGGGGCTTGTGTGGGGTCACGGGGTCCCTGGGGTGAAGCTGTGCTAGAGAAGAAGGGTGCAGTTCAACTTGGGTAGTCTCTGTGAGAATGGAATCAAAGGTTCCTTGAGGTGTGGGTGAGATTGAAGGGCACTGAATAAGGTTGGGCTGGGCATGTTTTGTGGTGGGTTGGTGTGTGTACAGGACTTGAAGGCCCAGTGTAGCTGGGGGTTCAATGTGGCTAGGGGATCGGTGAACCGTGGGCAAGCTTAGGGCTGCCATCAGAGTGCCCTCTCTTTAAGTGGAGGGGCAGTGAGGTTTGGCACGGGGTGTTCTGCTTGTAGCCAGGTTGAGCATTAGTGTGACATTTGGCTTCAGGGTTGACATGTCTTTGTTAGGTAGACTTGGGCTGGAGGTTAGGGCATGGATGGGGTTTGAAGATCAGTGTAAGCTTGAGACACTGAGGGTTGGTCTGAGGTGAAGTTTGGTGAATCAGCTTTGGTAAGGCTTGGTAAGTCTTCGTATGAGGTGAAGTTCTAGAGTTAAGGGTGTGGCCTTGTTTTAAGGTCTTGGGTTGGCTGGGATTGAGGTCATTGTTTGGTTAAGGTTCATGGAGTCAGTGAGTGTTTAGCTTGGGGTGTCTGTGCCAGGGGCTCTAATTAGGGGGGTTAGGATCCATGGGAGGCTGGAGATGGGAGTGACAGGCCATGATTGAGATTGGGGTCGGCCTGTGGTTGGGCAGCTGGCAAACAGCTGGGGCTTGGTGGATCAGTGTCTTCTAGAATTGAGAGGGTTTGCGTGTGTGTTGTCTGGGACAGGGAGCCGGTGTGTATTAGGGGTTGGGGCATCGCCATGTGTGACTGAGTTCAGAGAGAAACACGTGGCTAAATGTTCCAATGTGGTTGTGTCTTGGGCCAGTGTGTGGTTAGGGATGAAACTGAGGCATCAGTGTGTAGTTGGAATTGGGGGATCAGCATGATTTGGGGTCACTTGTGATTGAGGATTCGAGGTGCAGCTGTGCTTGCAGTGTGAGGGTGTTTGCTTATTGTGTTCATAGGTTTGAGGGTCAGGGTACAGCCAGATTTGGGGTAGGCAGTGTGTGTTTGGGGATTAGGTAGTGAGTGTTTGAGGTTCAGTTGGAGGGGTTAGGGTATGGATGAAGTTGGGGAAAGGGTGCATGAGGAGTCTCTCAAGGATGACTCCTAGAGGAAGGAAGTCTCATAAACAGACACTTGGAGGCTGAGTCAGAATGAGCCAACAACCTGGGCCAGGGTTCCACATGCAGAGGGGTTGGAGGTCACTGTCGCTGTGACACAAGGGTGAGAATGGGCTGTAGGAATTGGTGGAAAGGGAGTTTATGGAGTCAGTACTTGGTTTCGAGTGGGAAGTCCTGGGAACGGACCTTCTTAAATGGGGCTTCTTAGGGAATGCAGAAACCAGGGGACCCAATGATCGAACTTACTTGAATATTTGGGCAAAAACAGTGCAGCAAATGCTACTGCCCACACACCCTTGGTCCTCACCATCCTTAATATGCTGACAGCTTTGTGCCGCAGCACCTGTGACTCTGTCTGAGGGTGTTGGCTGGGGGAGCAGGCTCAGTCCGCACTGAGCAAGCCGGAACGGCCTGATGCCAATGCCCAGCGATAGGCCAACACGAAGACAGGCAGGAATTGGTAGATAAATACCCCGGCTGCAGGGCCTTAGCCTGCCTGAGTGCCTTGCCTGCAATCGTCTCTTGCTCATTTATCTACCTGGGGTGGGCTTCCTTCCTTCCCCAGCTCACAGCGCCACTGCCTTGTGTTGTTTCCTGGGATCACAGCCCCAAGTACAAGGACTTGCTCTCACACCCTTGTCTCAGGCTTCCTCCCGGGAACCTAACCTCAGAAAGACACTTCAGTGGTAAAGCTAACAAAGACAGACTGTGGAGCATGAATTCCACATGACTCCTGGAGATAAAGCAAAAGCCCTGACAGAGAGCACGAGCCTCTGAAGTGGGGGCTCCCTGCCTTAGCTCACTAGTAGGGGCTTCCATTTGGGAACCCCAGCTGAGCTAGAGGGCAGGGGAGGTGCGGGGTACCTCCTGGAGGTCAGCCTCCTGGGTACAGACAGGGTGGAGGAGGGTGGGGCATAAGTCTAAAGGGGCAAAACAGCAGGTACTGAGCACTGCTGTGCACTCGGGGTTGGGAAATCGGCATGTGGCCAGGGGTGTAGTAAGTGGGTCGCTGGCATTCAGGTTCCTCAGCTTGTTTCTTCTATTGTAGTATCAGCATGGAATTGAGCTGGCTTAGCTTTGAGGTTGTTCTTGTCCTAATGACTTTGTGGGGATCAATGTGCCGTTGCTATGGGCGGCCAGAGTAGCCCAGTTGTGGTCACTGCATGGTGGGTGACCCTATTAAATCATGCTTGGGGTTGGGGATTATCCCATGGAACTGATGTTAGGCGTCGACAGTGGTCATGGATTTCCCTGGTGGGAGGGCATGTAATTGGTTTGGGAGTACAGTGAGTCACTGGTTAGGGGTCAATATTTGAAACAGTTAGAATGGGGATCGAGATTTATCCAAGGGAGCTGACAATCTGTATAGTACCTTTGCATGGATTTTTTAAAAGGCCCCTCTCTGGACAGAAGCAGCCCTGTCCCTGTGGGATAGGCATGGTACATCAGGTGCAGGTTAGATTTCAGCCTCCACTTGTCCTCTCATCTGGGTGCCTTTGGGCAGTGACCAACCTGCACTACTGTACACGTCAGCCCTGGGAGCGGTTGGGGTCTCTAGCAGGGTGTCCTCACTAACCCAGCCTCAGCGGTGCCCACGTCCTCCAGCCCTCTCCACAGTTGTTGCCTCCAGCTGTCCTGTTCTTTCACAAGGAGCCTGGGTGGGTTTCTGCAGCATGAGCCTCTGCACTCTGTAAGGCTTGGGAGCTGGCTTCCTGGAGTGAGGGTCAGGGTCAGGGTTCGAGTCCTGGCCACGTCGTATATGTGTCAGAATGAGCAATGCCTTTTTAGGTCACATATACTTTGGACTTCAACACTGCTTTATGTAGGCCGTAAAATTAATAGGTGGGAACTAGATTTATGGGCCCCGCTGGGCTGTTCTTTGCTTGTTAGGTTAAACACACTGATTTCCTGGTACAAAAGTGCTTGTTAAAATAATCTCCCCCAGCATGTTCAGAGGGGACATATCTGTCTTTTGAGGGGGTTGGGAGAAGATCGCGGCGCCCCATCCCCACCACCCCTGCTGGCCCACCTGTCATGGCCTCCCCCAGCCCCAGCTGGGTGTATGATGGAATGAATGATCATGTTTCTGGGTGTGAGTGGGGGGCCTAGGGAAGGAACGCACCTCTGTGCAGATAGCACCAGAGCCAGATGCACCCTCGTGTCAACCCCCATCCACCCTGAAGAGCCACTGGCCTTAGTTCCTGCCATATCTCGAGAAGGAGGGCTAGAATCAGAGGGAGGTGTGTGTGCGGGAGGCACAGTGTGGCTGGAGGGGAGCCAGAGGATGTCCTAGCTGTCGCTTCTGAAGACTTGGAAGTCAGAAATGGAGGCGGAGAGGAGGCACAGGCCCTGCTGCCTGAATGCCTCAGCTTCTTCCAGCTCTGCACGCCCTCAGGTGACCCTGTGCTTGCAGATACACGGGGCTCCTCCTCATCTCCCACAGTGCCTGAGGCAGGCATCCTCCCTGAATGACTCACCCCTCCCGGGGGGCAGAGACTGTCTTGCCACCTCCTGCCCTGGTGGGGTACCCTTTCTTCCCCTGGGGGTATGTCTGGTGGAGTCACAAGAGGGCTGGATTTTGCAGAGCTTGTCAGGAACTTCTGACAAGAACCAGGTTGCTCACAGACGTTCTGGGCAGAGCAGGGGCCGGAGCATGTTGGGTCCAGTTGAGGGGAAGACAGTGCTCTGAGCAACTGCAGAGACACCCCTACAGTGCAGGAAGAAAAGCCCAGGCTGGACCAACTCAAGAAGCGTGGTTGGCACTTAGTGGGCCCATGAGATGCTGGTTGAATGACCGTGTGCTGATGGAGTGCTTGGTGCCATCTGCTTGCTTGTTTAAATCCAGCTCGTTTTGAAACCCTCTGAAGGTGATGTTTCCCAGTCCTTGAGCCCATGGCAGTGCCTGGTTCCATGGAATTCCAGGGTGCTCACTGAGCTCCTTTCCTCCCTGCTCGTGTTTTTTCAGGCATCATGGCCTGTTAATCTCCATGGCTTGTCAGTGTTTCCCTCCTAGGCTGCACTCCTCACCCTCCTCTGTCAGCCAAACTGCTCAGTCTTGGAAACTCACTTCAAGACTGCTCCTCTAGGCTCCCATTGCCTTTTGTATTTGATATTTGCTGTCATTTTGGTAAAACACATGATCTACTCCATGCCTAATTCTCTACATGTGTTCTCACATTTCATCCTCATGAGGTCAATATTATACCCAATTATAGATGGATGAAAAAACTGAGGCCCTCTGACATCAATGAACATACCCAAGGCCACCCAGCCAGCAAGTGGAGGAGCCAGGCTTTGAGTCCGGGTCTGAGGACTCTGGTCATTGCTCAGCCCCACCACCTGCTGCCCTGCATGTACCTATTGTCAATCATTATGAGGCTTAGAATCATTGATTTGTAAAACCCAAATCAGCTGGCTGGGCCCCAGGAGCAAGGATATTGTCTAGATCTCTTTTGAGTCCCTAGCCCAGTGCAATGCTAAATGCATGGTAGAAATGCAGTATCTGCCTATCAGTTGAGTTATGATGTTACAACTACAGAGACTTAGGCCTGGGTTTAGACTGCCTGGTAAGAATCTTGGTTCCAGTATTTCCTGCCTCTGAGGCCTTGAGCAACGTACTAAACCCTTCTCTTACTAAACCCTTACTAAACCCTTCTCATGTGGAAAATGAGGCTAATAATAGTACCTATCTCAAAGAGTTGTCGTGCAGCTTCAATGAAATGCTCTGTATAATATGTTTACGACAATGCCTGGAATACACGCTAAGAGCTCAGCATCTCTACTTTCTATCACTATCCTAACCGACTTGACGCTCTTCTTGTTCTGAAATACTGCCACCTGCTGGTAGGTTCCAGGTGCAACCACCACATGCCATTAGTGCCCAGAGCAGCTGCGCCTCAACTGGCTCCCACCTGATCCCTCCATTTGGACCATCCTCCTCCCCTCCACCATAAGCCTTGCTGCTCCTCTCCTTCCAGACCCTGCACACAGCACCTCCTTCTGGGAGCTTCCTTGAGTATCAACCCTGCACAACAGTGAGCACAGAGCCATGTCTAGCTTTCTTTCCCCCTCTGTGCTCCCATCCCCTGACTATTTATTTGGTTGCATGACTTTTAGAGCCAGGATGATGTAGATTTGGACTCTGGTGCCAACACTTAGTAGCTGTGTGATATGGGAAAAATTACTGAACCTCTCTGAGCTCCACGGTTGAAGGACCCCCAGTAAACAGTTCTGTTATTATTCATCCATCTACCCTCTTGTTTCAGTCAGCCTCTGGTGTCCCCCTCAGCTTCCCACAGAGCACTGCTTGCCTTCTGGTTCCCAACTGCATACACCCTCTTAGCAAGTTCTGAAGATTTGTCCCTCCAGTAACCACGGGGCAAAGGGAACAACGCAAGGAAGGGGTTGCCCCGAAGTCAAAGCCCATTGTAATGGTCACATGGAAGGACCTAGGTCCTCACTCTTTTAGTTCCATTCTTGGTTCCCATGTGTTTCATCTTAGGCCTTGCTTGGAGGGGACCCAAACTTCCTGTCTCTCCTGACCACACCCCATGCTCTCCCAACACAGCAAGTTGGAGGAGCTTGGCTTACTCCAACTCCTTCTGGAGGGGGATCTCATGGGGACTGATCTGTAAGCATGGGGGCTGGACCACAAAGTTCTCCAAGGTCTTTTCTAGCTCTGGCATGCTTTGTATCTGAGTCAACCATATTTTGGCTTAATGACTTCCAAATGTCTGCCTGGGAGAACTTGCCTTTGCACCAGTAGCTGACACCACCCCACACAGACCCATGAAAATTTGCCAAGCCCCAAAGATGGGAACTAGGTGTCCTGCTCTTGAGGGAAGACTGACTTCTCTTTCAAATCCAATCCAAGAAGGTCCGAGGCTGAGAAATAACTTAGGTTCTGACTCTGGGTGGGAGACAGTCCTGGGCAACAAGGCAACTGCTCATCTCTCCCATCACTTATCTCTAAGATGAGCACAGCATCCTACTGTGATGGAGGCCTCTGCAGGCCCCTGAAATGCACCACCCATGCCTGTGATCTCACCATGAGCCTCCCTCTTTTGGGTTCAGCATTTGCTTTACAAGTTCATTTTAAACATAGCTTTGGCCCAGGAAGGGTGGCATGTTTTGTGCCTGTCCCTCAGGGATGTGTGAGTTTTCCAGACCCTCGCAGGCAGCCTGGGAGTTCTCAAAGAGGCAGAAGGCGGTGAGGGAGGGCTCCAAGGGGGCCGAGGCTGGGGAGCAGACACTCAGACAGCCTTCACTGTGGTGCAGAGCCTGCCCACAGGCCTGGTGGATTAGAAGGGGTATTTGGTGAGTCCACAACCAGCCCGCGGCGGCAGGGAGCTTTGCTCAGACTTTGTAGACCATCCAATGGCCTCTTTCAAAACAGGATTTTGATGAGTTAAGTGTAAATGAATCAGAAACACATGGGTTGGATTTCCCTCCAAATGCAATGGGGTTTGAATACAGCCCAGGGAGAGAAAAGGGGGTCTGGGAAGGAAAGACGTGGCTTAATCAAACAGGTCTTTTCTTATTTCTATTAACTGTTGCCACCACTGCCTCATGACTCCATGTCCTTTATCATCTGGCCACCCCATCCTCAGGAGTGGGAGACCTGGGTCTTTGCTGCCTGTGCCCAGCTGAGGACCCAGGGCCAGCCCTAGTGGCATCAGACTCAGGGGGAGCTAGACTTTCCTAGACTCTCTCCGGCTGCCATCCAGCATGCCTGGCAGAGGCACTGGAAGGCTTTTCTCTGGAGACAGTGCTTCTGCTCATCCTAGACTCCTGAGGTGGGGGGACTGGAGAGAAGAGGGTAGAGCTGGGGGGGTGCAAGTCCTCCTTAGGGTGACATACTTGTTTTACAGGGACTAAGCTCTGGTCTTGGAATGTAATGTCTCTTGAGTATGCAACTTTTGAGACAAGACTGTGTCTTCAGCTATTTAAACCACATATATGATTTCTTCATTATAAACATCATACTCTTTGTCTTTTGTACAAATCTAAAAGCATAGAGAAGCAAAATAAAAGAAAAGCTACCTATAACTCCCACTCAGAGGTAACTTGTTAACATTTTGGTACAATTGCTTCTAGGCCTATGTTGTGTGTGTGTGTGTGTGTGTGTGTGTAAGTACAGATTTAAAGCCATGCAGAATAGAAAACAGTAAAGTGTAATGGTTAGAGTTTTGAGTCTAGTAGACTACGTGAGTTCAAATCTCAGCCCCACCACTTACTTGCTGGCATGTTTCATCAACTTCCTAAACCTCCGGTCCCTCATCTGAAATTGACAAAACAATAACAGCAATAATGATATAGTAGTTGCCAGGATGAAACGGTGTAACACATAGAAAGTATCTAGAGGGCTGCCTATTGTGCAGTGGCCAGTCCATAGTTGTGAGCTATTAGTGTTTCTATTTTTCCTATTCTGACATAAACATCTCCCTGGGTCATTAACATTTTCTATAACATAATTGGATGCCTGCCTTCTTGTCTGCCGAACTTTTATTTTAAATGTCTATTATAAATAACATGGGTAATAAACATCCCTCTGAATGTTAAGATGGGAAAGCTTGAATCTGAGTTTTTCCCACACAAATTTGTTTTTGTGTGAGTTTATTTGCATGGAAGGAATTAACATGGAGAATATTTATGCTTGTGAACTTGGGGAGAACTAGATGATTTCTATTCCTATAGCTTTGCCTTTTCCAGAATGTCAAATGTATTAGCCCATTCTCACATTGCTGTAAAGAACTACCTGAGACTGGGGAATTTATAAATAAAAGAGGTTTAATTGACTCATGGTTCTGCAGTCTGTACAGGAAACGTGGCTGGGGAGGCCTCAGGACACTTATATTAATGGCAGAAGGCAAAGGGGAAGCAAGCACATCCTATGTGGCTGGAGAAGGAGGAAGAGAGAGCAGGGGGAGGTACCACACTTTTTTTTTTTTTTTTTTTTGACGGTGTCTTGCTCTTGCTGCTCAGGCTAGAGTGCTATGGCGCAATCTCTGCTCACTGCAACCTCTGCCTCCCAGGTTCAAGCAATTCTCCTGCCTCAGCCTTCCAAGTAGCTGGAATTAAAGGCACTCACCACCACGCCCAGCTAATTTTTTGTATTTTTAGTAGAGATGGGGTTTCGCCATGTTGGCCAGGTGGGTCTCGAACTCCTGACCTCAGGTGATCCACCCACCTCAGCCTCCCAAAGGGCTGGGATTACAGGCGTGAGCCACCATGCCTGGCCTAGGTATCACACTTTTAAACAACCAGATCTCGTGAGAACTCACACACTAGCACGAGAACAGCAAGGGGGAGGTCTGCCCTCATGATCCAATCACCTCCTACCAGGTCCCTTCTCCAACACTGGGGATTAGAATTTGACATGAGATTTGGGTGGGGACACAAATGCGAACCATATCATCAAATAAGTGGAATCAGATAGCATGTAGCTTTTCATGTGTGGCTTCTCTCGCTTTGTATATAATGCTTTTGAGATTCATTCATGTTGTTGCATGTATCAATACAATCATCCCTTGGCATCCCTAGAAGATTGCTTCAGGATCCCCCATGGGTATCAAAATCCATGGATGCTCAAGTCCCTGATATAAAATGAGGTAGTATTTGCATTTAAGCTATGCACATTCTCCCATATACTCTAAATCATCTCTAAATTACTTATACCAAATACAATGTAAATGCTATGTAATATATTGTATCATTTAGGGAATAATGATAAGAAAAAAGTCTGTAAATGTTCAGTACAGATGCAACCATCTATTTTTCTTTCCAAATATTTTCAGTCCATAGTTGATTGAATCCACAGATGCAGAACCATGATTAAGAAGGGACAACTATATTGCATTCCTTTTTATTGCTGTGTAGTATTCCATTGTATAGATATAATTTGTATATCCATTCACTAGTTGATAAACTTTTGGGTTACTTCCAGTTTGGGACTATTATGAATAAAACTCATGAAAATTTACATACCACTCATTTGGGTGAACATATGTTTTTATTTTTCTTGGGTAAATTCCTAGGAGTAGAATTACTGAGTCATGTGTATATAGTAAGAGTATGTTTAACTTTATAAGAAACTGCCAAACTGTTTTCATAAGAGGCTGTACTATTTTGCATTTCCACTGGCAATGTTTGAAAGTTCCAATTACTCACATCCCTCAGTAGCATTTGGTATTGTCAACTTTTTTAACATTAGCCATTTTAGGGGTGTAGTGGTATCACATTGTGGTTTTAATTTATATTTTTCCTAATGATTAATGGTGTTGAGCATCCTTTCATGTGCTTATTTGCTATCCATGTATCCTCTTTGGTTAAGTGTTTAAATCATTTGTACATTTTTAAATTGGGCTAATTGTCTTCCTATTAAGTTCTAAGAGTTACTTTTATATTTTGCATGCAAATTCTTTATTACATCTGTGTTTTAAAATATTTTCTCCCAAATGTGTTGTGTCTTTTTGTTTTTTAAAATTGTGTTTTTTGAAAAGCAGAAGTTTTTATTTCAAGGAAGCCCAATTTATCAATTTTTTTTCTTGAATGAATTATGATTTTTAGGTCATAGCTTTGCCAAACCCCAAGTCAAAAAGATTTCTTCCAAAGTATTTTTCTACAGGTTTTATAGTTTTAGAATTTACCTTAATGTATATGGTACATTTGTAGTTAATTTTTGTATAGAGTAAGGTATAGACTGAAATTTTTTTTTCCTGTGATGTCCAATTACTTTAGCACCATTTGTTGAAAAGAGTATGCTTTTTCTAGTGAATTGTTTTTTATCCTTTGTCAAAAATCAATAAGCCATATATGTGAGGGTCCATTTCTAGATTCTAGTGTGTCCTATTGATCTTAGTACCTATCATTTTACCAGTACCACAGTCTTAAAATCAGGTAGTCTGAGTCTTTCAGCTTTGTTTTTCAAAATTATTTTGACTATTCTAGTTCTCTTGCTTTTCCATATAAATGTTAGGGTTAGCATGTCAATTTCTACCAAAAAACCCACTGAATTTTTATTGGGATTTCATTGAAACTATAGATCAATATGGGGAAAGTTTGGGGTTTTTGGCAGTTTGACTATATGTAATATGTCAGATTTTATTTCTTTTTTGTATTTTTTTTCTCTGAGCTTCTTGGATCTATAGTTTGTTTTCCTTCAGTAATTCTGGAAACGTTGTCACCCACTACCTCTTCATATATTTCTTCTTCCAAGTTCTTTGTCTCTTGTTCTGGGACTCCAATTTCACGTTGTCCTACAGCTTTTGGATCTGACTTAAAACCTTTTTTTCCTTTGTGCTTGAGTTTAGAAAATGTCTATGGACCTATCTTCAAGTTCAATGGTTCTTTTCTCTTCTGCGTTGTCTGCTGATAGGCTTGTCAAACAAATTCTTCTCTGTCTCTGATGTCATATTTTCTCCATTTGACATTTTTATAGTCTCAAACTCTATGGTGAAATTTTTCATCTGTTTAAGTATTTTGCTCACCTTTTTCACTAGATCCCTGAATATATTAATCACCATTATTTTAAGGTGCCTATTTTATCATTGCAACATCTGAGTCATCTGTGGGTCTATTTCTGTTGATCACCCTATCTCTTGATAATTTTTAAATTGCTTCTTTGTGTCTTATAATTTCTTTTTGAATATTAGACATGGTGTATAGAAAAATAGCAGAGATGGAGATAAATAGTACTTACACCTTGGGGTTGGTGCAGTGGCATGTGCCTGTAATCCCAGCCACTCAGGAGGCTGAGGCAGGAGGATAGCTTGAGCCCAGGAGTTCAAGATCAGCCTGGGAAATACAGAAAGGCCCCATTTCTAATTTAAAAAAGGAAAAGGAAAAAATAGTACTCACACCCTGAGATAGGGATGCCTCTTTTTTTTTTTTTTTTTTTTTTTTTTTTAATGTGAGGCCATTAGTGTGTGGCAGGGGGAAGGGGAGGTAAGGAAAGTGTTAAGTTAATCTAGTCAATAGTTGAACTAAGTTTCAGTTTTGTTATTGCTACAGTTATCTTTACCATATCAGAGCTTGCAAAGTCTTCCAGCAGTGGGCTGCTGCCACCTCTTTCTTCTGTGTTCTGCCAAAGGAAACCAGTTTGCATGTTCCATCTCTCCTCAAATGGGCTTTTCACTCTTTGAAATCCAGTTCATCTTATAGCCTTGTGACAACAGCGCTCTAATGGGCTCAGGAAAAGTCAGTTTTGTAGATTTTCTGGCTTCTTACAAACATTGTTTATGGAGGGGAAGTAACATTTCCTTGTGATTTTCTGCATCCTAAGAGAAAGCAGATTTTGTCTTGCCTTTTCATACCTATCTAGATGATTATAGAGTTTCTCCTTTGACCTAAAAATGCAGTGAACTACTTTAATAGATCTCCTATTAAACCATGTTTACATTATTTTTAATAATGTCTATTGCCTCATGTTATATTATTCTTTTACTGTAGTGTTGGATTTGATTTTCTAGCATTGGTAAGTAGTTAAGTAGTTTATTTTATGCTATTCGTGTATTTATTGGGTTTTTGTATCATAATTAACCTAGGTTTAAAAAACTGACTGTAATCTATTACATCTTTTTTTACTCTCTGTAACAGTTTGTGTAGCATGAAAATCCTCAATTTCATGAGCATTTGAGTAACAAAACAGTCAGATTATTGTACTATTTTTGAAGGTAATTCTGCATCAATCTTTTCAATTTATTTCTTATTGTTTTTTAAAGGCTTTATGCTTCTTGAATTCATGTGGCAATTCGTATTTTTCAAGAAAACAATGTGTTTTATTGAGTGCTTTAATGTACAGACTTGACTGAATCTAAGGCTTGGCATGACATGAGAAGAAGAAGGAGCCTGGACAGGACCCCAAGGAACACTAGTGTTCAAGAGCAGAGGAAGAAGTGTTGCAAAGCAGTTGAGCAGCGTCCTAAGAAATAGGAGGAAATCAGGAGGCCGTGCAAGCGCAGAAACTAAGGGGAGAAAGATTTTTCAAGATTGAAAGCAATCAAGCTGGGCTCATATTTCTTTGCAACTTTAGATAGTGGAATAAACTAGATATCTATCTGTAGAATTTTGAAAGGAAAAGTTGTGATCCAAGAATTCTATGTGCAAGATAAGGTGTCATTTGTGTATTAAGGCAATACAATTATATACATATTCAGGGAAAATACCACAAGTCTACATTTTCTGAAAAGACTTACTTAAAAATATAGTGAATTCACAAGTGGGGAGGTCATGGTATAAAAGAAATGGTGGTGATTACTGAAGTAACGTAAAACACAGAACTAAGTCTAAACAATTGTCCTTAATATTGTTTTGAAGCAGATGGCTTTTTAAGTTCTATTTTTAAAAGACAAATGTATAAAAACAATAATGACACTACTGAAGTAAAAATATCTAATTACTTGACAAAAATTGAGAGGAGGAATGTGGGATTACATAACAAAACATAAACATGTACCAGAGCTTTATGTTTTATGGGGATAGCTTGATAGGTACTCTTTTAAAAGATAAACTTCACTGGGGTAAAATTTACTACAATAAAATGCACACACTGAAAGCATATGAAGGATAAATTTTGACAATGTATATAACCATGTAACCACTACTACAGTCGAGATACAGAACATTTTAATTGCCCTAGAAGCTTCACTTGTGGTCCTTCCCAATTAATCTCTACCTTCTACCTCCACCCCTGGCCCCAGGAAACCATTACTCTGTTTTCTATTTCTCTAGATTAATTTTTCAAGAGTTTAATATAAATGGAATCATATAGTAATGCTCTTTTGTGCCTGTCTTCTTTTGTTCAGTAAAATATAGTAAGCTTTGAAATCAAGTATTGTAAGTCCTCCAAACTTGGTTCTTCTTTCCAAAATTATTTTGACTATTCTGGTTACTTTGCTTTCCCATATAAATTGTAGAATCAACTTGTCAACTTCTATTACAAAGCTTGCGGGGATGCTGATTGAGTTTGTAGTTGAATCTATCGATTCATTGGGCAGAATATGCATCTTAATGATTTTGAATCTCCCAACCCAAGAACATGATCTCTCTCTCTACTTATTTAAATTTTCTTACTTTTTCTCAGCAGTGTTTTGTAAGTTGCATGGTATAGATCATACAAATATATATTTTAATTTTACTCCTAAACATACCATGTTTTTGATGCTATTGCAAATGGTGCTTTTTTAATGTTTAATTTCCAGTGAAGTTCCATTGCTACTATATAAAAGTACAATGTATATTTGTTTATTGACATTTTATTCTGTAACTCTAGTTACAGAATTGTTCTAGTAGGAATTTTTTTGGTAGATTGATTCCCTATGATTTGTGTACCTGATCATGTCATCTCTAAATAGAGTTTACTAATATTTATCCAAATTTATTCCTTTGTTTCATTTTCTTGCCTTATTGTACTTGGTAGGATCTCCAGTAAAACACTGAATAGAAGAGGTCAGAGTGGACATCTTTGTCTTGCTTTCCACTTTAGGAGGAAAGCATTGTGTGTCATCATTAAGTATTATTTGAGGTATAGGTTTTTCATAGATTTTTTAAAAAACTGGTTGATATAGTTACCTTTTGTTCCTAGCTCATTGAAAATTGTTATCCATGCTCATGGGTAGGAAGAATCAATGTCGTGAAAATGGCCATACTGCCCAAGGTAATTTACAGATTCAATGCCATCCCCATCAAGCTACCAATGCCTTTCTTCACAGAATTGGAAAAAACTATTTTAAAGTTCATATGGAACCAAAAAAGAGCCCACATTGCCAAGTCAATCCTAAGCCAAAAGAACAAAGCTGGAGGCATCACACTACCTGACTTCAAACTATACTACAAGGCTACAGTAACCAAAACAGCATGGTACTGGTACCAAAACAGAGATATAGATCAATGGAACAGAACAGAGCCCTCAGAAATAATGCAGCATATCTACAACTATCTGATCTTTGACAAACCTGAGAAAAACAAGCATTGGGGAAAGGATTCCCTATTTAATAAATGGTGCTGGGAAAACTGGCTAGCCATATGTAGAAAGCTGAAACTGGATCCCTTCCTTACACCTTACACAAAAATCAATTCAAGATGGATTAAAGACTTAAACGTTAGACCTAACACCATAAAAACCCTAGAAGAAAACGTAGGCATTACCATTCAGGACATAGGCATGGGCAAGGACTTCATGTCTAAAACACCAAAAGCAATGGCAACAAAAGACAAAATTGACAAATGGGATCTAATTAAACTAAAGAGCTTCTGCACAGCAAAAGAAACTACCATCAGAGTGAACAGGCAACCTACAAAATGGGAGAAAATTTTCACAACCTACTCATCTGACAAAGGGCTAATATCCAGAATCTACAATGAACTCCAACAAATTTACAAGAAAAAAACAAACAACTCCATCAAAAAGTGGGCAAAGGACATGAACAGACACTTCTCAAAAGAAGACATTTATGCAGCCAAAAAACACATGAAAAAATGCTCACCATCACTGGCCATCAGAGAAATGCAAATCAAAACCACAATGAGATACCATCTCACACCAGTTAGAATGGCGATCATTAAAAAGTCAGGAAACAACAGGTGCTGGAGAGGATGTGGAGAAATAGGAACACTTTACACTGTTGGTGGGACTGTAAACTAGTTCAACCATTGTGGAAGTCAGTGTGGCGATTCCTCAGGGATCTAGAACTGGAAATACCATTTGACCCAGCCATCCCATTACTGGGTATATATCCAAAGGACTATAAATCATGCTGCTATAAAGACACATGCACACATATGTTTATTGCGGCATTATTCACGATAGCAAAGACTTGGAACCAACCCAAATGTCCAACAATGATAGACTGGATTAAGAAAATGTGGCACATATACACCATGGAATACTATGCAGCCATAAAAAATGATGAGTTCATGTCCTTTGTAGGGACATGGATGAAATTGGAAATCATCATTCTCAGTAAACCAACGCAAGAACAAAAAACCAAACACCGCATATTCTCACTCATAGGTGGGAATTGAACAATGAGATCACATGGACACAGGAAGGGGAATATCACACTCTGGGGACTGTTGTGGGGTGGGGGGAGGGGGGAGGGATAGCATTGGGAGATATACCTAATGCTAGATGACGAGTTAGTGGGTGCAGCGCACCAGCATGGCACATGTATACATATGTAACTAACCTGCACAATGTGCACATGTACCCTAAAACTTAAAGTATAATAATAGTAAATAAATAAAAATAAAAATAAAAATAAAGAAAATTGTTATCATGAAAGGAAGTTGCATTATGTCAAGTGCTTTTCTTGATTGATTGAAATTTTTATTGTATTATTTTTTACCTTGGTGAAACACATTGATTGATTATTGAAAGTTAAGCCAACCTTACATTCCTGGGAAAAATAAACCTCCTTTGCTCAACATTATACATATTGCTGGATTCAATTTGCTAGTGTTTTGTTGAGGATTTTCGTGTCTATGTTGTGAGGGATATTGTCCTGTTATTTTCTCTTTTTGCAATGTCTGCATCTAGTTTGGTATTACGGTAATGCTGGCCTCTTCCTCTATTTTATGAAATAGTTTATATCTTGATTAGTTATATTGGAAATATTATTTCTTAAATATTTGATAGAATTCATGAGTGAGCTAGTTGAGCCTAGTGTTTTGTGTGACTGTTTTTAATTTTAAATCTACTTTTAACAGATTGCTTACTTATAAAAATTATGTATTTCCTGTAAGTTGTCAAATTTATTGTCATAGCCAAATTCCTTTATGACTCTTTAATGTATATAAGATCTGAATTAACTTCCCCTCTTTTATTCCTGCTGTTGGTCATTTGTGTCTTCCTTTAATTTGATAAATTTAGCTAGAGATTTCTAATTCGAAAAATTCTTTTCAAAGAACCAACTTTTGCTTTGAGTTTCTCTCATGTTTTTCTGTTTCCTATTTCTTTGATTACTGCTCTTACTAATATCACTGTTTTCTACTTCCTTAGGCTTAATTTTTTTCCTCTTTTTGTAAATTCTTAGACTGATTAGTTATGTTATTAATTTTGGACCTTTCTTCTTTTTTATTTTTCTTTTCCCATGGCACAGCCTCAGGAGATCCTGATGACGTGTGATCCCCTTTCTTCTTTTTTAATATAAACGGTTTGCGATATAAATTTACCTCTAAGCACTGCCTTAACTAGAGACCATGAATCTGATAGACCTTTTTCATTTTCATTCTCTTCAAACTATTTTGTGATTGTATATGTAATTTCTTCTTTGGCCCATTGGTTATTTATAAATGACTTGTTTAATTTCCAAGCACTTGGGTGTTTTCCAAATATCTTTCTTTTATTGATTTCTAGTTTAGTTCAATTGTTTCCAGATAACATACTCTATAAAGTTCAATCCTTTTCTAGTTTATTGAGATTTTTGAATAAGTGGCTGAGCATATGATCTGTCTGCTGACTGTGTCATATGCCTTTGAAAAGATATATATTTTGTTGATGTATAGACTTTCTATAAATTTCAATTAGGTCATTGTCTTAGTCACCTTGAGCTGCTATGACAAAATACCATAGACTCAGTGGCTTAAACAACAGACACATTCTTCACAGTTCTCGAGGCTGGGAAGTTCAAGATCAAGGTGCCAGCGGACTCAGTGCCTGGTAAGGGGCCATTTACTGGCTTTCAGACAGCCACCTTCTTGCTGTGCCTTCACATGGTGGACAGAAAGTCTCTGGTCTCTCCCTCTTCTTACAGGAAACTTAATCCCATCATCTACTCTCAAGACCTCATCTAAACCTAATTACCCCAAAGGCCCCACCTCCAAACATCATAACATTTGGGGTAGGGTGACATAAACATTCAGTTCATAACAATCGTGTTGCTTAATAGTGTTATTTGGGTTTTCAATAGACTTGCTGATTTTCTCTCTACTTATTCTTTCAATTACTGGGAAAGAAGTGTTAAAAATTCTAATTATACTTATGGATTTGTCAAATTTTTCTTTCAGTCTGTTGGCCTTTGTTTCATCTATTTCAAAGCTGTTTTATTGGGTGCAGGCACATTTATGATTGTTATATTTTTTTCATGAACTTACTCTTTCATCATTATGAAATATTTTTATCTCACATATAATTTGTTCTTGAGTTAATCTTGATATTAAAATAGCCTCTCCAGCTTTCTTATGATTAATGTTTACATTGCTTATCTTTCTCCATCTTTTTACTTTTCAACTATCTGTGAATTTATATTTAATATAGTTTACAGCATGTAGTTGGGGTTTGCTTTTCTCCATAGACTGACAACTCCACCTTCTATTTGAAGCATTTAGATCAAGAGTCAGCAAACTACACCCTGTGGACTAAACATGGCCACATTATTCATTTATGTATTGTCTATGGCTGCTTTTACTCCACAATATCAGAGTTGAGTAGCTTCAACACAGACTGTATGGACCACAAAGCCTAAAATATTTACTATCTGGGCCTTTGCAGAAGAAGTTTGCCAAACTCTGGTTTATACCGTTTACATTAAATGTGATATAAATATGGTTGTACAGAAGGCTGTCATCATACTCTTTGTTGTCTGTCTCATTTACACATTTTCTTTTTATCTCTTTTGAGTTAATCATTTTAATAATTTTACTTCATCTCCATTATTGCCTTATTAGCCATGCTTCTTTGTTTCATTTTTAGAGATTGCACTAGTGTTTATTATGTGTCTCTTAAACTAATCACAGTCTATCTTGAAATGGTATGATACTTTTTCATGTATTATGTAAAACCTTATGATGTACTTCTAGTTCCTCATCTCTTGTGCTTTTGTTGTCATATATTTTTACCTCCTCATAGATTTAAATCCTGTAATGCATTGCTACTTTTTTTTGCTTAAACAATTGTATTTTAAAGAAATTTTTAAAATGAGAAAACGCATTTTATATTTATCCATGTATTTACCCTTTCCAGTGTTCTGCATTCCTTGATGTGATCCCAATTTTCCATCTGATATAATTTTTCTTCCACTTGAACTACTTCCTCTAATATTTCCTGTAGTGAAAGCCTATAGATGATGAATTATCTCAGTTTTTCTCTGAAAATGACTTAACTGTACTTACATTTAAAAAATAAATATTAACTGGATTTAAAATTCTAGGTTGACACCTTGCTGCAGTGCTTTATTTTTTGTTGTTTTTGTCTTGGTTTGTTTTGTTGAGACAGTGTCTCACTCTGTTGCATAGGCTGGAGTGTAGTGGCACCATCTCAGTTCACTGCAACCTCTGCCTCCCAGGCTCAAAGGATCCTCCCACCTCAGCCTCCAGCTATTTTGTTGTTGTTGTTGTTGTTATATTTTTTGCCATGTTGCCCAGGCTGGGCTTGAACTCCTGCACTGAAGCAATCCACCTACCTTGGCCTCCCAAAATGCTGAGACTACAGACTTGAGCCACGGTGCTCAGCCATTGTTTCAGTGCTTTAAAGATTTCATTCCATTGTTTTCTGGCTTGCATAGTCTTTGATGAGAAGTCTGTGATAAGCTTATATTTATCTGTATATTATGTTTCTTTTTCCACTGGCTGCCTTTAAGATTTTCTCTTTAAAAAGTCATTAAGAAATCTGAAAACCCATGAAAGCTCTTTTTGGAAATTTTTGTAATGGTGTGGTTCTCTTTGTGTTACTCCTTCTTGGGGTTTGTTGACCTTTCTGGGTCTGTGGGTTTATAATTTTCATCAAATTTAAATTTTTTTCGGTCAGTTTCTTCGAGTACTTTTATGCACCTCTCCTGTTTCCTTCTGACACTCCAATAACAAATGGGTACGCATTATACCCTTGATCCCTTGATATTGTCTCACACATCACTGAGACTCTGCTCATTTTTTCCCAGTTTTCTCTCTGTGCTTCATTTGTATAGTTTCCATTGTTATGCCTTCAAGCTCACTAATTTTCTTCTGCTGTTTCTAATATTCTATTGATTCCACCCAGTGTAATTTTCATTTCAGGTATGTGTATGTTTGTGTATGTATGTATGTATATGTGTATATATATATCTTCCATTGTCTCCACTCACTATTTTCATATCTCTTGTTTAATTTTTTGAATATATTCATAATAGCTGCTTAAGCAACCTTTGACAATTCCATCATTGATACCTTCTGTATCTTTAAACCTATGTCACCAGTGAGTGATTTTTTTTCTGGTTATGGATTACATTTTCTGCTTCTTTTCATGTCTAAAAATTTTTAATTGGAGGCTGGGCAATGTATCAATGCTGATACATTGTTGAGAGTCTGGATTTTGTTGTCTTCCTTTAAATAGCATTGAGCTTTGTTATAGTGGGTAGTTAAGGTACTAGTGGTTCAGTTTTATCTTTTCACAGACTATTTTTAAGCATTTTTCTGCTGGGCCTTTAGGGCTAACTTAGTCCTACTACTAAGATGTGATTCTTTTAGGATCTCTACTGAATGCTTTGCATGTTCAATAAGGAATCTCCCATCCCTGATCTCTTAGAATTGTTCAGCTTGTGGCTCCCTGATTATTCTTTTCCCAGTCTCATGAAGCTTCATTCTATAACCACCTTAGTATTTCATCAAAGACCAAAGGGGACCTTTATGTATATCTTTCAAGCTCTTTTGCTACATGGCTTACTACACCTGGTAATTATTTCCTCAAATTTGTGAGACTGCCATTCACATCTTGGAATCCCTTCCCTGTTCGATGGTCTGGAGAGCTTACAGGCCCAGTGCAATCATAGGGATCTCGTCATTTGTTTTTCTTTCTTCAGGAACCATAATGCTCAGCTGCCTATTGTCCAATATCTAAAAATAGTCATTTCATTTATTTCAACTTCTAATTGTTTAGGTTGGAGGGCAAATCCTATCTCTGTTAATTCATCATCACTAGAAGTAGAAGAGTAGATACTCTTTTCATTCTTGACTTGGATAACTACAAAAATATAGATTCAAATTAATTGCAGAAATTAGTTTTGCTGACTTTGCTGATATTTACTGTAAATATTACCAAAATACAGAAGTTATGACAAAATAACTACGGTTAACATTTTGGCATGTATCCTCACAACTTTTGTCAAGATTTGGAGACATTAATAGATGTGAATTTTACAAATTTAATTTTGTGGTAGCCATGAAAACCTTGGGAATTAAACAAAATTCAAATAAGTAGTATAGATGTTAGAATGGAGTTAGTAATGTTATCATTACTTACAGATAATACGATTACCTATTTAGAAAGCCCAAGAAAACAAGCTAAAAATGACTAGAAAGATTGTTCAAAAATAAGATTTTTGTATGTCAATAGTAACTAAAAATTAATGGGAAAATGATTTAATACAATAGTAACAAATATGTAATGTCATACATATTTAGGTTTATAGAAATAGACAGGAATAGATTGTATGAATAAAATTACAAAGCTCATTTGAATGATAAAATTTTAAAAAATAACTAATGAGACTATTACGTTCTCATTTGGGAACATTTAATACTGGGAAGTTTCCAATTTCTCACAAATTATAAATTTTTTGTGATCTTCATAGAAATCCATATGGATTTTTTTTAGAGCTAGGCAAATTGATTCTACAAGTCACTGAAAGAATAAATTTTGAGAAGATTTAGGGAATTTTTGAAAAAGGAGAGTAATGAAATGGGAGTTTTCCTACCAAATATTAAAATGTATAATAAAGTTGCAATAATCACAATCATATGGAACTAGGACAGGAATAGACAAAACACATCAGTTGGAACAAAACACAAAGCCCAGAAAAAGTCCAGAAATATTCAAGAATGTATTGCAAGATCAAAGTGGCATTTCAGTGGGGAAAAGATACATTTATTCAGTAAATACACTTGAATTTACTGTTTAATATATGTGGGACTGGAGTATATGCGAGGAGTTAAAATATGATTTATATCAGAATAAATCCAGGTAGATGTAAATATGAAGCTAATCAAGGGGGTGGGAAACAGGTACTCATACATTTTTTGTGAAGAGAAAATTTGTGCAACTCTTTGGATGGCTATTTGGCAATATCTAGTAAAATAAAAGGATGCTCATACGCTTTGGCCCTACCATTTCTTTTCTGTTAATTCATCTGGCAATTCATGTAGATATACCGGTCCATGTGCATAAATAAATATCTTTGGACAAGAATATTAATGGCAGTGTTATTTATGATATTATAACAAGATACTAGCATGGAAATCTTCTTGGCTCAGGACACCACAGTGAATGTGTCATAGGATCCCTCTGTTACTGTAGATGGACAAAGGAATTTGGCCTAGAATCTGTGCAATGATTCTTGGGTTACTCAGCCAGATCAAGGATGAAAACAAGGTCAGAGACCGCCAGGGTGGGAGACTTGGAGAAGGAATTCTTTAGAGCTATTGTTTTTATGGGGTCCTCACTGTACCTTTAGGGGAGCAGCGTGGGAGCCTACCATGACAACTAGGAAGGGGGGTTGCATAGAATCTCTTGGATAAATTCAAGAGGAACTTCCAGCAGTGAGAGACACAGAAGACCAATGCCCACGCTGGACTTGAGGGTGCTAAACTGGCCTGGGGCCAGGGATTGACTCTTCTATGAAATCCAGAAGACAAAGAAGGGCTGCCTTGTACTTTTAGTGGCAGAGCCCTGCAATCACTGCTGTGTTGGGACCAGGGACACCTCGGTCAAGGGACAGATGAGTGTTTCCAAGACCAGATATGGGCCATGTGCCCAAGGTAGGACCAGCCCGAGGTTTCCCTGGGTCTGGTTCAATAAGACCAAGAAGAATTTGGTGGAGCAAGGTTGGAGATACCTCCACATGCCCATGCCAAGGAGTCCCAAAAGACCACCAGGAACAGGTCAGAAGAAGGAGATAGCTCCACATGCCCATGCCAAGGAGTCCCAAAAGACCATCAGGAACAGATCAGAAGAACTGTAGGGAAGAGCTGCCTCCAAAACTCCCAAAAAGCTCCATAAGAGAAGGAGGCAGCATGAGCCATCCATCAGAAGCAGAGAATTCAGAATCATTCAGCCAAATGACAACAACGATTTCTTCCCTTCACCTTTCCTTTCTCACTCCCCAACAGCCCCACCTTGACCCTCACTGGGTAATGGAACAGCAACTAGTGGGGGGATGATGCAGGGAAGAGAGGCAGGTAGACAAGGCCCTTTCCCCACTGCAGGTTTCCTGCCAGAGGGGGAAAGATGTAACAGTAGGTCAAGTTCAGTGTTTTATTACATAGGAATAGATCTAACTTCTGAATTGATGCTGTGTTTTTGACTAAAAGGGAAAAATCATGAGAAAAGCCAATATTTTCAAACAAAGGCAGGAAGTATTATCCTAAAGAAATACTTGTAAAGCAATGATAGAAGAAAAAGTTGTCTTTTGATGATGTCATGAGTCATGCTTGTTCAACATACCAGTTACAGCAGTAAAGCACCGGACAAACTTAAAGGCCCACTACAAAGGACTGAATAAATCCACTGCTGTGTCCATATAATAAAATATGATGCTGTTCTTCAAAATATGAAGGAAGACCTTTATGCATCACTGATGAGGAATGATCTCCAAATAAAGTGTTCAGTGGAGACAAAAACATATAAAACACTTTATATAGTGCATCATTCTATGTGGAAAAAAAATCTGAAAATTACCTAAGAAACTGGTCATCCAATTTGCCTCTGAAGAAGATAAATTGGAGACTGGAGAGCAGGCATGAGAGGGACATCTCTTTTCTACTATGTACATTTGTTACATATTAAAATAAATCGTAAATTGAATTATGAAAGATTGAAAAACAAATGGGTGAATTTTACTTATTGAAATAAAACCTGGGCAGCTTACAGTTCAGTCTCAACATTGAATAAGAGTCAGTCTATACAGAATAACAGTCAAACCGTCATACAGAAAAACAGTTGAAAGACCTTTAAATCTTTTCTCTCTCTAGTAAACACCAATGCGCTGTAGTGATAGTATACACATGCATAAGAGAATAACATTCTTGATGAACCACAAAACATTTAAAAAACTTTCCCCACATCTCTGCGATTCTCTGTGTCCTCCACATGCATAGCAACTGGTAGCTACAAAATTCTGTCCTTATTCCACCCTTAAACTTCCAACAAAAACTTCTGAAACTGAGAATTCATGGCTCAAGTCTGTCTTCTTCTTCCCTCTCCTGTAGATAGACTTTTTTCTTTTACTAGAATTATTTCTCTTTCTATTTAAAGTCTCCCTACCTCTTTTCTAGCTCCTTCTGATTCTGCAGCTCTTTCTACCAATTCTTTGTAAACATGATAAAGAAACAGGAATCTAAGTAAACAGATACGGAATAGTCTTTGGCACAGAGAAGGATGGAAAAAGCTATCAACTATTTATATATTGTCCCTCTGACATTTATGCCATCTTGGGTGGGGCATACCTTTCCAAACACAAAACTAAATATAAGTGGGAAAATGTTATATTTGACTACATTTTAAAAAAACAACTTCGGAAAAAAAAACCTGCACAGGAAATTTTTTGATCATGCATCAAGACACCATAAAGCTCTGATTCATATAATGTGGTATCGGAGGAACTGGCAAGGAGAGCAGTCGGGCAGGACAGAGATCACAGAAACAGAATCACTCAGATACAGAAAGTTGATATGCCAGAAAAGGCAGTAACTTACCAGTGGCAAAGGATGAACTATTTCATAAATGGTTCTGGGAGAGCAGGCTATCCATCTGGAAAGAATAAAATTAAATCCCTATGTCACACCATATAAAAGATAAATTCTAAGTATATTAATGATCTAAATATGAAAAGCAAAAGTTTTTAATTTTTAAAAGGAAGTATAGACTATCTTTGTGATCTTTGGGTAAGGAAAGACGTATTTAAAACAAACACACACAGCCCAAACTCTGAAGAAGAAGACTGATAAGTGAGATTACATTAAGGTTTGAGACAAAGACACCATGCAAATTTATTAAGCCAACCAGAGACAGTAGAACAATCTGCAACATGTATAGTTATAAAGGAATACTGCAATTCAATGGGAAGGAAAAATAGAATTGGCAAACCATGTAAGGATTTGCCTTAGAGGGAACCCTGATGGCCAATGAGTGCATGAAAAGAGAACCAAAGTCACTTGCAATGAGGGAGATGTAAAAATAAAACAATGAGATACCACTTTTCACCCATAACATTGTCAAAATGTAAAGTCTGATAATACTAGAAATTGGGGTGAAAAAGACAGTATTCGTAAGAGAGTAAAATGGTACCACTGCTTGTGGAAACTATTTGGCACTATCTAGGGACTCTGAAAATGTGTACATAGTTATGCAGACAGTTCACGTATTGGCATATGCCTGGAGAAACTCTTGCATAAAGAGTCATGTACAATAATGTTCATTGCAATGTTGTTCTTCTAATAATAATTTAGAAAAAACCCTATGTGCCTAATACAGGAAAAGGGATAAATTGTGGTACGCTTATAAAATAGAGTATAATGCCTCCATTAAAATGAATGAATTAAAGCTGATATTTCAATATGAATACATTTCTAAAACATAATGTTGAACAAAACAAATTACGGAAGGACACAGATTACAGTATGATTCCATTTATGTAATGTTTCAAAACATGAAACACAAAAAACAGTTATCATATACATCAATTATGGATACACATATATATTTTACTGCTATTAAAACATGCATGGGAATGATAGACAAAAATATTAGGATAGTGATTAGATTTGGAAGGGAGTAATGGAAATACAATCATGAGGAAGAACAGGGAGTACATCAACTATAATGGAAGTGTTTTGCTGCTTTTTTTAAAAGTTTTTTTCTGAGATGAATTGACGAGTTCTTGATATTTCATAAGACCATGTGACAGAATACACAGATATTTACTATGTGATTTTATATGGCTATTATGTCATAATGTAAACTGTGAAAAATATTTGCCACATGTCTAACAAAAAGGGGTTAATATTGTTTATATGCATGGAATGCTGAAAATTTAATAACAAAATTACATAATCACCCCTCTTAAAATCTAAATCTAGACAACTATGTAAGTTTGTCTCAAAAGAAGGATACAATTTCCAACTGTATTCAATCTGCCTAGTAATCAAAGAAACTCACATTGAAATAAGATGCCTCTTTTTTTTTCAGATGGGCAAAGATGAAAAAGAATGATAAAATCAGTTAGTGAGAGCGAAGATGAGGCAAGCTCCAACAAAACGAACAAAATTATAAATCCCCTTATAACTGTTGGTAGGACAATATGGCGTAAATCAAATATTTTTTAGAATATGTATATCATTTGACTCACCAATTTCATTTCTAGGAATTTATCCTAACTGGGACAGGGCAAGGACACAGTAATTAGACTATTCTAAAAAGGAAGTATATTGTAAGTCTATTTAGAATACTAAAAATTGGAGACAATTTCAATGTCCTAAAATAGAAGCTTAATTGAATAAATTACAATTCAAAGACATAACAGCAATATGAAAGTATGGTATAGATATATTTATGTTCCTGAAAATGCTTTCATAATATAGAAAGTTTAAAATCCACGTTACAAATAACGTCTACTTTTATATCTATAAATTCATATTTTAAAATATATACACATATAAATTTGCATAGAAAATAATCGAAAAAGAAAATACAAATGTTAAGATAGATGGTTGCATTTCAAGTCAGTTTAATTAAAAAAATTTTGAACTATGTACATATAGTACTTGTGTGCAAAAAGGAGACAAAACTAGCACAAGGCAAATATGTGTTCTTCCTCTTGAGGGTCATGCTTTCCTCTTTGTTGGTCTAAATATTGAAGTGGAAGAGAAAAATGTCACTATTTGCAGATTATAATATTGTTTACCTAAGAAAACCAAAGCAAAGCAATTAGAAAAATATTAGAAACAGAAGGGACAGTGGCTTATTAACAAAAATAGATACATAGATCTCAAATCTTTCCTATACACTAAAAATAACAAACTAGGAGGCATAGTGAAGAAAAAAAATGTATCACCAATAGCAATAAAAGCCATAACATATCTAGCAATAAGCTTAATAAGCACAATGAGATCCATGTAAACACACGTGCACACATCCTACACACACATAACCCCTCATACAGGATCACATACATGCTTCCCCATGCATACCCTTCCATACACACAACCATACCAGAAAGAACTTTAAAAAACATTTCAAACAAAACTTTAATAAGTAGACATATGTCCTTTGATGGGAAGTTAGTTTTAATATTATAAAGATATTTTGGAAGAACTGACATCAATAAATTTAATACATTCCAATCAAAATCTCAGTGCAGTTTTGGGAGGTGGAGCACTTGTCAAATTGACTCTATAATTATCCTAAAAGCATAAACTCATGACAATATTGAAAGAGAAGAAAAATGGCTTGTACTTTTAGATATTAGAATCTACCTCAAAAATATAACAATCAAAAAATTGGCTGGAGTCTAGAGTAGAATAAAAAACTCAGAAACTCAATTATATGGTGGAATTTAGTACATATGTAAAGGTGTTATTTAAAGTCAGTAGAAAACTTATTTTAAAAAACTGGTGCTAGGACAATTGATGAAACACTGAAAAAAAAGTGAAATTAGATCCCAATCTCACAAGACATGTTCTAAAACCTCCAATTATATTTGAAATCATAAATTACCTAGAACAAAATTTAGGTATTTATCTCATCTCAGGATTGGAAGGCCTTTCTGAACACTCCCACAGGGCAGAATCCAAAAAGAAAGAGATTGCTAGATTTAACACTAGAAAAATACGTTAGCACATTAACCCAACCACCATTTTTACAGGTGTGTTATCTAGGAAGCTGACTCTGAGGTGGAAATCAGAGGGTAGCAGGTTGATCAGAGGGTGCTCTTGGGAACATCACATGTGAAAAGGAAGGAAGAGTGAAGGAAGGGAGGGAGGGAGGGAAGGAGGAAGGAAGGAAGGAAGGAAGGAAGGAGGGAGGGAGGGAGGGAAGAAGGAAGGAAAGGAAAGGAAAGGAAAGGAAAAGAAAGGAGGAAGGAAGGAAATGAAAGGAAAGGAAGGATTGGGCAGTGGGAAGTTGAGCTGTGTTGTATCTCAATGAAGGCTTCAGCTGACCCCACAGGGAGCTCTGAAGCTGGTATGGCTCTTCAGAGTAGTCCTGAATTGGGGGAAGGGCCCTGGCCTTTACATTCTTGGGTGACCATAAATTGGATATGTGGGTTCCTCCAGGAATGCAGGGTTGTGGTGGTTTAAAAATATGTCCACAAATTGGGAAGCTCTAATTCCTCTCCCTTTGCAGGAGGACTGGACGTCTTTATGAGTCACCTCTATCAAATAGCATGTGGCAGAAATGATGGCATGTGACTTCCAAGGCTAGGTCATAAAAGACATAGCAGCTTCTTCCTGGACTTCCCTTTTGAAGGAAGAAAGGCTGCCATGTTGTGGGGACACACAGGTAGCCCTCCATAGAGCCCCTTGGGTGAGAAACCAAGACCTTGTGCCTATAGCTATTTGAGTGAGCACCTTTAAAAGCCAATCCTCCAGCCCTAGTCAAACCTTTAGATGACAGCAGCCCTGGCTAACTCTTGACTATTACCTCATGAGAGACCAGAACCACCCAGCTAAGCTGTTCCCATGTTCCCAACCCACAGACTTCAAGACAACAAATGTTTTAGGCTTCTGCTTGGGAATAATTTGTTACATTGGATGGCTATTACACGTGTGATCTTGAGCAAGTTGGCTAACCACTGAGAACTTTTTGTGAGCAGCGCTCTCTGCAACTGGGTGAGCAAGCTCTGCAGTCCCAGAAGGAGATCTGGGAGGCGTATCACAGTGTCCACCACAACCACAGAGAAAATGCATAGCCTAACGGTAAACTGGGTTCAAAATTATTTGCATAATCCAAATATCAACTCCTGGTTCTCCTAGGCATCTTGATGGTTTGGGTTTATCAGTTAAGGGAGCAAGGGAAACCCAAGGATAACTGGCTCTGATGTCCCCCAGCTTCATGGCTTGATGTCACTTCATGTCATCTGGGGTGCAGAAATCAGACCAAAAGAATCACATTTGCACCAAGCCTCCAGTGGGCTTCTCTGAAGGTTTGAGGGTCCTGGGGAAGCATCATATTCTGGAACTTGCTCATGTTTTTCTTTCACTCTTACCTCTTCCTCTCTCATTTCCATCTCTCCTCCTCACTCTGCCTTCCAGGAGTCCTCCACTTCCAAATTCTTCCCTTTCTATTATGCAGAGCAGTACAGCTCTTCCCTGCTTTGTCTCATAAGCAAAACTACCCCAATCTTTGAAGCTCAGCAAAACTTAGAGCCTGCAGTTAACAGTCGCCACCGACCCCAGAGGGCAGTTGATTCTTAGTACATTTGTAACAAATGACAAACAAAGGATCAATATATTCCATTTTAGAGTAATAATTCTCACTTGAACATTGATTATGTGTTCAACATTATGCTAAACATTACAACAATTTTCTCACTTAATCCTCTCAACAACTGCATGAAGAAAGTACTATTATTATCCCCATTTCAAATGTGAGGAAACTGAGGCACAGAGAGGTTAAGTAACTCACCCAAAGTTACATAGCTAATGAATAGTGGAGATAGATTTTGAACCCAAACTGAGTAGCTGCAGAGCATAGTCTCTTAACCACTGTGCAATATAATCTCCTAAATGTATTTACTGCTAGGGAATTATACCTGAGCAGCAAGAATGAGAATCTTGCATAAAGGACAAGACAGTGAAACAGGCAACAATAGTGAAAGCAGTTGTGGGGGTGGAGAGAAAGAGAGAGAGAGAGAGAATGCAAATGCGAGAGGACTTACATCAATCAATAAGAAAAGATGAAACACTTCAGTAGAAAAATAAGAAGTGGGTCTGCACAGTACTTAGGTGGTTGGAGGTCAGCTGCCCTGGTAGGAAAGGCTGACACTGGGAGCTGGTGCCAAGCAAAGGGTGATCTGGGGCTGCAGGATACCCTGCCTAGGTCCCAGTGCCCAGGACCACTCTTGGCCATGCTCCTCTCCCAAACCTGGGAAGTAGTTTCATGTGTGTGCAGCCGCAGAGCAGGTGAACTTCCTAAAGAGCACGTTTTCACTCTAACCCTAATGATTGAAAGAGAAAAATGGTATCAGAACTCAGAATTTAGGGTTGACCTAGATATTTGAAACATTTCATCCCAGCCTTTCGGGGAGTCCACTTGTCTTAGTCCATTCTCATACTACTGTAAATACATATCCGAGACTGGCTAATTTATAAAAGGAGGAGGTTTAATTGACTCACAGTTCCACATGGTTGGGGAGGCCTCAGGAAACATACAATCACGGCGGAAGGGGAAGCACACAAATCTTACATGGCGGCAAGAAGGAAGAGAAGTGTGAGCACAGGAAAAACTGCCACTTTTAAAACCCTCGGATCTCGTGAGAATTCACTCACCATCACGAGAACAGCATGGGGGAAACTGCTCCTATGATCCAATCACCTCCCACCAGGTTCCTCCCTTGACGTGTGGGGATGACAGTTTGAGATGAGATTTGGGCGGAGACACAGAGCCAAACCATATCAGCGCTCTTTCTTCTTCTCCGTCCTTTCCTTCTCTGTGTCCTCGTCATTTGTTAATCCCTCCAATGGTCCATCCATCAGCCTGCCACGGTGTCTGAAACACCGCCGTTGGCACTTTTTCCCCCAGAGCCGTGGAGCCCCGGTCCCCGTGCCTGGATGTATCTGCTTCTCCCTTCATCAAGTCAGGTTCTGCCAGGCCCCCAGATCCAGCCCAAGTCCTGCCTCATCGATGAAGCCACCTTTGAATGCTCCCCTCACCTCCCCTGAGCAGGCAGTCAACTCACTGCCCCGTGTAGTGCCGGGCGGTTTAATCAGTGCTGACTATGCTAAGTGGTTTCATGTGTGCGCAGCCGCAGAGCAGGTGAACTTCCTAAAGAGCACGGCCTCATCTCTTCCCTCCGTTCCCTTACCGTGCAGCTGAACACAGGGCTCGAAGACAAGAGATGTGACCTTGGGTGAGGGTGCAGGTCCTACTCGAGATCTACCCACTCAGAATCATGGGACATGGGGCCAGAGAATCCAGTCTGACACCAGCCCCTCGGGTAATGGCTGAGCCCCGTTAGGGTTTAGAACCACTGCAATGTACCCCACTCCTTACTTACCGCATGCATCTTGAGCCAGATGGTTTGATAGAACCTTTATTCCTTGGTGTCCTGAGTGGGGTGACGAGGAGGGACTCAGGAAGGCCACCAAAAGAGCAAAGAGATAAAGGGAGGAAGATAAAAGCTGCCCCTCAGAAATGCGCCTGAGGCCAGGGGCGTACAGGGGTTTCAGCGGGGTGGACGCTCAGTGAGGCTGCGGGAAGCCTGGAGGTGGGGGCTGGATGCCTCCCCACTTTATGGGCAGCCCTTCGCTTCTGCCCTGGAGGTGAGGAAAAGCTTTCAGGCCCCAGTGGAGTCCTTTGGGCAGCCCCTAGCTGACCAGGGAAGGCTACCGACAAGGGGGAGTTAGTTACCTGGGGGAGAGGGGTTCAGGAGAGAGAGTGAACAAAAGAGACTGAGTCGGGGCCAGATTTGTGAGGATGGAGACAGTGTTCTCCACCTCTCTGGGGAATGGGACCTGAAGAAGTAGAATCAGATATAAGGGAACGTTTTCTGGATGTAAAATAAGTAATGGACAAAGAGAGCTGGGCCAGCTTCAAGAAGAGATGGACCAGCTTCCATTGGTCCTGCATGGATTGCAGTTTTGCTCACAGGACACACGGAGCTGAGGAGGGAGCCTCTCCAAGTCCTCCAAGCACAAAGGCTCTAGGGTTCCTACCTGGGCGAGCAGAGGAAAGACCGGCTGCAGGCTCTGTGTATGTTTGCAGATCAGCTGGGTTTCCTACGCCCCTGCCCCTGCCCCCAAGTGCTGGGTTTGGGAAGACTCCGAGGCTGACAAATGGTTCTGAATGTGTGCTCCGGTGGGGATAAGCAGCCAGCTGCTTTTTGCCTGCTGCAGGCAAGCTGAGAGGCAATGGGGAGGCCCAGGTGTGGGAACCACCTGAGAACAGCATTAGTGCAGGGAGGGCGTCTGCTCCCACCCCTCCTGCTGCCCTCAGCTTGGCCTCTGGCCTAGTCAAATGTGCTTATTTAGGGGCTAATTTAGAACAGTTGCAGACAGAATTGAGAAAAGGAAGGCATAGTGGGTTGGTGCAATCAGGGAAGGCTTTCTGGAGAAGACCAAACTGGGTCTTGAGGTTCTAGCCAGGTTTGATGTGCGGATAGAACTGCTCATATTTTGTTGTTTGTCAGGTTCCTAGAAAGCAAGCCTTAGAAAAGCCACTCTATACTGTGTCACTATATCCTTATTCCCACAGACTTTTCTTATCACACAGAAGTCCCGACAGTTTTTGGGTGGAAGGGAAATTGGAGTAGGTTTTGCTTCTGATTAGTCCCCAGGCCTGGTTTTAGGGCTGTGGAGGTGGAGGCCTAGGGCAGAGCTGCCTGGCTTATCTGGGGCAGGCACTGCATGGTGCAGAGCTGAGGGGTAGGGGAGCAACTTGACATTTCCAGAACAGAATATGGCTTCCTTCCTCCTGGCAGGCGGATAGTAGGTACTTAGCTTGTTCCTGGGCAGGGACCATGGCAACAGGCCCAGTGTTTCCCACGTGCTGCATGGCCAGGGCCTGGGCCTGCCCTTGGCAGTGCCTGGTGCTCACGGCCACGTGGAGCTGGCTGTGAGGAGGGTTCTGGGCCCCTCCCTGGGATGGGCTGGCACGGAGGATGCTGGGCTGGCAAGCGGGGAGACCACCTCTGTCCCCAGCACACCCTGCAGCCAGAACATCTGCCTACCTCCTGAAGGGGGTGTTCATGGCTTAATGAGGAACTTGCTAAGCATGTCTCGGGAGACCCCAAACCACATATGGTGGAACTATAGCCACATCTTGACCCTGAATTCAGACTGATGCTAACCGACCTCACATTGACCACAACCCTGCTTCAGGCTGGTGACTGGGGGCCTGGCTTAGCATTACGGGCACTAGAACCACACATTCCTTACTATGTGCCAGGAACTAGTGTGAGCACTTTGTGCATATCAACTTATCTAAATCCACACAGCAACTCAGCAAAGCAAGTCCTACTCTCACCCGAGGCACAGTAAAGTAAAATAATGTACCCCAAATTACACAGTGAGCAGGTGGTGGAGCAGGGCTGGCGCTCAGGTGGCCTGGCACTGGAGGCTGCTCCTTAATCATCACAGCATACCCTCTCCATCCTGTCCCTGCTGCTGGGGAGGAAGGGCAGAGCTCGTGCTGGCTGACAGATGGTCTGGGGCCTCATATTCCTGGTTAGATGAGAACACACTCACACTTGTCACCCAAAAGATGATAGAAGAGGGGCAGAGCAAAACTGGAAATCATCTGGCCCCCAAGCCTCGTCGCTGGGCCTCACAAAAGCCCACACTATCCAGGGGAGGTTTGAAGACAGCAGCTGCTGGCAATTAATTCTAGACCCCTGGACATCTGCCAGCTTCCTGCTCGACCCAAGACTTGCCCTCCTCCAACCATCCATCCATCCACCCATCCATCATTACTGTGTGCCCAACTCTGTGCTGGGAATGGGGGCAGCACAGTGACAGATAATGCTCCCTATGTGTCCTAACAGTCTGATGGAGGTGACAATTAAATCTATGTATGTATATATGTATCTATCTGTCTGTCTATCTATCTATCTATCTATCTATCTGTCTGTCTATCTATCTATCTATCTATCTATCTATCTATCTATCTATCATCATCATCATCTATCTATATATCAGTCTGGCCTGGGGGAGAGGAGAGTTGATTGGGGAAGCCTTCCTGGTACCTTAGAAGGAGCTGGGAAGAGGTGGCAACTTAGCTCAGTGTTGAAGAAGACAGGAGAGTTAGCCAGGTGTGGGGCTGGGGCCCTGAGCAGTGCAGGAGGAGGCTGCTGGAACAGAGACTCTGGGCTGAGGCAGCAGAGCAGGGCTGTTCAAGAGTTGCCATTTGGGGTACAGGGGGTGAGGGGCCTGGCAAGGGGAACTGCAGAGTTAGGTGTAGCTAAGTTCCTAGGAGGCCCTTGGAAAATAATCTGGAACTTGCTCCCCCAGGCTGAGACAACTGGCCCTCCCCAGGGTTGTTAGAGAAGGTCCCAGGTGGGCCTCCAGAGAGTATCCTTGGGTCCTCTCTCCTGAGCCAGGAGCTCTCTCAGCCGCACCCTAGGTTCTGTGAATGGCCAGGCCTGCTGAGGGGTCTATGGGCCGCATCTCATGAGTCCGCCCCATGAGTCACTCAGGTGCTCAAGGCAAGTTTTCCTGGGAGACAGGAGGCCATCCGTGAGCCCTGGGGGTGCCGAGCATTTTGGCAAAAAGGTGCTAGGCTGCTGGGTGACCAACCTGTCTGGTTGAAAAAGGGCCTGTCAGCCAAACCGCAGGTTGCATATGGATTGGTTGCTGGCTGAGCCCTTAGGCTTATCTCCAAATTCACTGACTCCATGCCCTACGGCGTTAGCCCAGTACCCTACAGCCGGAGTGAGGTGGCCAGCCAGCCACAGAGGAGCCAGGGGCAGTTTCCTCAGCTCTTCTGCTGTGAGGAAGTGTCCACTGCAGTGGACTGTTGTTCGTAAGAATAGCTGAGGGACTGGAAGAGACAAAAAATAGCAATCCCTATCAGCACCAGTGACTCTCTCCAGGAGAGACCTCAGAAATGTAACAAATCAATCTTTATAAAAATTAACATTTTTGGCAGGAGATTCTTTGATACTTCCTTAAAACTGCAGAGGGAAAGGATTTTGAGGAGCAAAGAGAAAAGGAGGAGAGAGGGAGGGAGAGAGGAAAGGAAGAGGGAAAGCAGTGGGGCCTTCCTGGGAACCAGACAGTCTAACTTTTGTAGGTCCCACCCCAGAGTATATAAAAGAATTAAAATGCACCCACATCCCACATTAAATGGAATTATTTTGCTATAAAATACTTGGAAAGAATTTTTATAATTTTGCTTTTGAAATTATTTGGCTTAAGTTTACTCGCTTAGTTTACGATTGGCTCCGACTTCCCAGCCATCATCAGACCCAGACATCCGTACAAGGCGAGAAAATCGAAGGTACAAATTGTTTTCAAATGGAAAGAAACTTTCATGAGGATGAAATTGAACAATTAATAAAATTTGAATGCATTCATTAAATATTTATTATCTCCAATTTTTCTCTTTTGTATTTTGGAGCAAATTCATCTTTCCCAGGTTGTAACATTTTGTTGGGTAAAATGCTCATGGGTGCGAATCACTGTGAAGGGCTTGCAGTGGAGCCATCCTGGGGAGGGGTGAGAGGAGACGGAGCTCGCATGAGAGGGGCTCATCTCACCAGCAGGCGGGGCCACTCTCTTCTGGACAGTCCTTCCAGCTCCCTGTCTAGAGCCCACCCGCTGGACCAGGCAAGTGCTGGGGTTGGGGAAAGGGGCTGCTCAGCAGCTCCCTGCCTGGGCGCCTAGAAGGGGCACCTTGGAAAATGTGGATCCACGTGGGTCAACCTGTCACACTCAATTGTGGCCCTGGGATTCTGAGAACCTCATTCCAGGGACTTCTGAGGCCACCTGGGGCCAGGCCACTTGGAGCCTGCACTTTGTAACTTGGACTCCTTGTAACTCGCCCTGGGGAGACAGAGCGGGAAACAGAAAGCCACTTGATGGGCTCCTGCTTTCAGTCACTGTGGAGGTTTTATGATCTGAGAGGTGAACAGAGGAGCAGCCGCAGGCCATTTAATCTTGATATTCACATACTGAATGAAAATGCAGACAAACCCTTTTGTGTTTGGATTTTTTATTTTTTTAAACAAAAAAGAAATAAAACTCAGAGCTCACTTCAGGTAGTGCTGCTGGGGTTTTGCAACCTTCCAGGTGGAGCTGGAGTAGCCCCTGGTCTCCTGACAGCTTCCTGAGGAAACCTCTCAGCTTTGCCTCCGTGACCCCATCACAGACAGATGCCCCCGGAAGCCTGTCTCTAGGGCCCAGAACTGAGGCTTGGAAGCCATGCTGTCCATCTGCAGGGTGCAGGCTGCCGTCCCGGACAGCCACCCACCCACCGCAGGACGGCAGGGCCTCCCTCCCTGGCGGAACACAGCCGAGGAAGTCACATTGGCAAATGAGGTGTTGTGATTAATGGGGTCTCTTCTGCACATCAGGATGATGTATGGGCTGCGGGGAGGGGGCCTGACCACAGGACGGGGGGCCGTGCTGGGACCACACCCAGCAGAGCCCCGTCATGCTGGGACTTCGTGCTAACACATGGTAGAGATGTATTACATGTTGAATGAATGGTCTGTTGATGAAGACTTCAATATAAAGTCAGCACTGCGTTGGGGAGGCGAGTGGTGGGCTGGATGTTGTCAACTGTTTTCTGAGGCACTGGCATATGCTGAGCGAGCCCTTGACTTTGTAGTTCATTGCACTCTTCCATTTCTCCAAGCTCCCACCACAGGTGCCCTTCCTCCCCACAGCTGCCCACATTGGTGTGTGTTTAGTTAAGGTGCTGGCATAAATTAACCCCTGAATTTCAGTGCCTCATTCAACTGTAGTTCGTCTGTCACTTATACGGCCATCCAAGGTAGGAGTTATTGGCTGACCGAGGACTTTCCTCCACGTGGTGACTCAGGGATCCTGGTTTCTTCCCTCTTGCCGCTCCTTTGTCCCACAGGGTCTCAGAGGCCTCTCCATTATCCAGTGGATGGGCAGGATGTGGAGAAGGCACACTATTTTTCATAATCCCTTAGCTCAGAAGAGACCCCCATATACCATTGGTGAGAATTAGTCACATGGCACATTATACGTCTGGATGAAAGAGGGGCTGGGACTGCACCTCCCTGGACAGTTGATTTCCTGTTCTACAGAGCGGAACCATGGAGAGTGAGTCATTTCATCGTCCATTCCTCAGAGATCTTCATCAATGCCATTCTTCTCTTCAGTAGCCAAATAGCTAACACACAGATGGTGCTATGTGCCAGTCACTGCTCTTGGCGCTACGCATATTTTAAGTTATGTAATTCTCACAGCAACTCTATGGGTAGATACTACACTATTTCGTTGGTTCTAAGATGCACATTTTTTTTTTCACTTTAGCCTCTCTGAAATCAGGGCATAGTCAATGGCATCTTGCAACTGCTGTCAGCCAGGCAGAAGTCATGGTGGCTTTGTGGAAAACCACAGTTCCTGACACTTTTTTGAAAGATCAAGAAAGCTCTAGCAACTACAGATGTGGAAACTGAAGCCCAGAGAGGTTAAGTAACTTGTCCCAAATCACATCCAGTGAGTGGTGCATCCGAGATTTGAAGCCTGGCACTCTCCACTTCTCTGCTTCCAACAGATTGCAAGACCTGCTCTGAGAAAACAGCCTTTTAATCAACTTTTCTCTCCCAGGCCCCTCCTTGGGGGCTGAGAGCTCCTGGCCCTCTTGTGGAAGGTGAAGGGGAAGTATGTCTCCAAGTCCAAGATCAAGGCCCTGAAGTGTCGGAAGCCAGCTCCTGGCCAGAGTGATGGGACTGCAGTTACAAGGACATCTGCTAAAGCCAGGATGACTGCTACATTCTTGCCGGCTGATAATTTAATCTCTCAAAAAGCAACAAGTGGAACTGGCAGGATACACTGAACTCTGATCAACTAAGAGGGGCACAGTGGTAAAATGACAGGGGCGTGGGAAGAAAAGGACTTTATCATCCTTCACAATGTTACAGGAAGGGAGTGGTGGCAACACCAGTTGTGTAGGGTGGACCTTGAGAAAGTAGATTGCTTTCAAGTAGAGAGAATATAGTGGCCCAAAGAAGATGACTCAAAAGATCAATGTGGCCCCTTGAAAAATCCAAGACAAAAAAACAAAAACCACCACCGCCACCAAACAAGAAATAGGGTGGTGGGAGAAGGGAAATTCAGCATACAGCCAAGAACAAAAATAACTCCCCCACCAAAAAAACCCAAGTCCTCAGATCAGATGGTACAAATGTGTCAAGAAGGCAGACCCCAGGGCAGAATGCCTCAAAACTTACGAGGGCTTTTGATGAGAGGGATGGCTGAACCCTTGCCTCCTGAAAATGCTCCTGTCTTCTTTGGAGAGTGAGCAAGCCTCCCTCGGAACAGTGTGCATGTGGGGGCGGCCACCTGACACCCAGGAGAAGTTTGGCTTGGTCTGGGAGAGCACAGAAGTCACTCTAATAGACTGCCATGAGTTGGGTTTTGGGCTCCAAGAGAAATGACCTACAAAACCCCTTAGATAAGAGAAGAAAGGTGGAAACCAGAGATGGATAAAGACTTTTGATTTTCAAGATAGATTTTGGAAGCTAGAGACAGGGAAGCCTATCTCCAGCCATAGAACAGGGCAGGTTTTTGTATTTATAAAATCATTAGCAGAGCTAGGTCAGATCCATCCTGTACAGTGCATTGGATTCTCTCAGCCCTGCCTGACTTCTGACCCCAGCTCTGCTGCACCATCAGTGAGCAACACTTGAGGGTGCCTCCCACCCCCAGGGCTTCTCTGCGGGTGCTGCGGCAGGGGCTCCCCAGGAATCTCCTCACATGCATAACCCGGAATCGCCAGAGAGTTAATGCTCTATGGCCCCTACCTCAGAGCAACGTGAAGCAGAAGCTGAGAAATGCTCCCCACTGTCCCCCAAGGCAGGCAGCCCTGAGGTGCATTTCCTGTGCCTTCCTGGGCAATGCCAGGGGACCTAGCAACCAGCCATCTATCCTGGAGGTCAGCTCCCTCCCTACTCCCCACTTCATTCCCAGCCTTCTGTCTGGGCCACTATCCCCAGGAAAATGCCTTCACTCAACCTCTGCCTCAGAAGCTGCTTTCTGTAGAAAAAGTTTGCAAAATAGAGAGGAGAAATCACCCATCATCTGGTCTCCCTCACCCAATTTGTACAATATCTGAATCCTCCCCATGCATGCATAGTACTTTACAAATCCTCCTTCGTGGAGTGCACATAAACATGTAGCTTGCTTTTTTGAGTTCACATTTTATTTAAGTTTGTTGTCTGTGTTCACCACATAGTTTTTTGGGTTTTTAAGTGTTTTGAATTATTGTTGTAATGGTGCACATGCTGTTCCATGGAGAGGATATCTCACAATCCACTCAGCCATCTCCCTGCCTCCGGACTCTTAGATAACAGCTGTTAACTTTGCTGTGGGTTAGTAGTTCTGATAATTTGAACATCTTCCTGATTCTTGATACATATTGATAAACCAAGAAATGTCTTTGACAGCCCATAAGAGAATGTGAGGATCTCTAGGAGCCAGTGTGGCTTTGTGAAAGGCAAATGCTCCCGAATGAACTCATTCCCCCTTCTGGTGTAGGTCCCAGAGATCAAGGGAGTTCTGTATACTTCATTGTTTCAGTTTGGGACAGTCTGTCCATTTTGTGGACAGAATCAGAGATGGCTAAGTGATTATTCTCTATTTACACTGATTAAAAAGTTGACATCCACATGCAGGGAGGTCCCTGGTGGCCTGACTTGTGCAGCATTTTTGTCATGAAAGTGCATAGAGATAGAGAACTCCTCTGCGACACCATTGTGGATGACGCAACTCTAAGAGAAATGAATAGCCTATTGAATGAAAAGACTTAAGATGCAAATAGATCTTGAGAAGTTGAAGGATGGACTATAACTCTGCAGGATGAAATGTTACATAAGGCATTCAGTTCAAAAAATCAACTGCATATGGACAGGATGGGGAAGCCTTGCCTTACTTAATAGCTGCTCATGTGAAACAGACCCAGAGACTCCAGTTGACCTCAAGCTCAATATGAATCATCTGTGCAGTGTGGCTGCCAAGGAGAATCATGCAATCTTGGGCCACGTTAATAGAAGTATAATATTGAGACCCAGGGAGGGGCGTTCCCACCAGGTTCTGATTAGTCAGACCACACTGGGAACATTGGGTCTAGTTCTCCAAGATAATTTCTCAGTGGAACATTGGCAAATTCTTTCCTTCATAAAACATTTATTGAGCACCTACTATGTGCCCAACACTGTACTAGATGTGAAGGGTACATAGATGAATGAGGCATGCTCCCTGCCCATACAGAGCTCATAGTCTAATGGAAGTATTTCACACAGCATTTGATAATTTACAAAGCAATACTTATAAAGCAAAATATATTCAATCAGCTAGGCCTAGGGTCCTTGAAATGTTCTCAGGCATCACATAGAACACATAGTCTCTCTCTCCCTCTCTGTGTATTATCATGGTCTTCATTTGAGGTAGAAGGCTAACCCGGCTCTCTCCCCTCCACCTGCCCTTCCAAGTCCATCTCATGTGATTTTGTACCTCGAGTCCCTTTACCCAGCCCAACTATCAGGTTGCAGACTCCTCTCTCCCTGGCTTTGAGCTGGAACACCCTTAGAACCCCAGGGTGTGTTTGCTGTGGTGGGTATGCTGTGGTGGGTGTGATATCAAGGGTGGGCCCTTGGTATCAATCCACTGGGAGTGACACCTAGTATCACAGAAGCTGGGAAGCTAAAAGCTACATTTCCCAGACTTCTCTAAAGCTATGATTCTGGATGCAAATCAGGTTTTGCCCCCTGGATGTGGGATTTGGAAAGTGGAATTGCAGCAAGTGCTATCTTCCCACTGCTTTGGCTCTTGCCTTGGGCAAGCATAACTAAGGCAAGCAATGTTCCAGTGTCCAGTTGTGCCCATCAGAATGGGCTACACTATGCTAAGAAATAAGCAAGCCCCACATCACATGGGTGGTTGGGGCTGCTGGCCTCTGTTTACCACACTTGGGAACCCAGGCTGGTGGAAAAACCATCACTTGGAGCATTGAGGTCACTGTGACAAAGGAAAGAGAGAATACAGAAAATTAAAGAATAGTACTTAAAGCTTCCACTACGAAGTGGCACATATTTCATTGAGTCACAGGGTCACTTAACTCCAGGGGGGCAGAGAAGGCTAATCCTACCATCTGCCTGTGGGAGAACTAGAAACACTTGGTGAACAACCCTGATGACCACGACACCAGTCATCAGCTTCTGAACACTGAGACCCACTTGTGGGGTGGTGGAGGTGACTTCCTGACCCCAGTCCCATAGAAGCCTCCTGACTCCTCACCGTCCTGGTTTTGATGGGCGTACAAGCTCCCTTGGCCACATCCAGAAAGTATTTCCCAGAAGGTCAGCCTCAATCCCACTCTTCCAGCCCCTCTAGTGATTTTGTAATCACCTAATTACTGGTGTTAAGTCCCTTTCTGCTTAGCAGAGATTCAGTGTCTTCTGTTTCCTGCAACTGAACCGTGGTTGAGACATGCTGCCTTCACACCCTGCCCTGATGTCCACGACCACTCCTCTCAGCCCTGACCTCACTTAGCCCTCTGCACAGGGACCATCAGCTCCTATTTACCAAGGAAATAAATGAGGCCCATGAAATTCCAGTGACCTATCCAAATTAACAGAATCCGAATGTGGTAGAGCTGGATCACAAACCCAGCTCTCCTAACAGCTTGTTACCAGCTCACTCCACCAAACCACAAGCCATGTTCAGAGAAGTGCACTATGAGGAGGGGACAAGGGAGGCCTGGGCATGCATCTCATAAGGAAGACAAATGACAGTTTGGGGAGAATGGCAGACAAAGAGTTGACTTAAAATACTTTAAAAAGGCACGAAAGGAGATTGCATTTTATTTTATTTATTTTTTTTCCTGAGATAGAGTCTCACTCTGTCACCCAGGCTGGAGTGCAATGGGTTGATCTCAGCTCACTACAACCTCTGCCTCCCAGGTTCAAGAGATTCTTCTGCCTCAGCCTCCCGAGTAGCTGGGATTACAGGCTCATGCCACCACGCCTGGCTAACTTTTGTATTTTTAGTAGAGATGGGGTTTCACCATGTTAGCCAGGCTGGTCTTGAACTCCTGACCTTGTGATCCATCCATCTCAGCCTCCCAAAGTGCTGGGATTACAGGCGTGAGCCACTGTGCTGGGCCAGGAGATTGAATTTTCAAAAAACAAAAAAATGGCTACAACAATATTTCTGGTCCAACATGTTCTTCCTGAACCTTGTTGTCTTAGTCCGTTCTCACATTGCTATTAAAAACTACCTGAGACTGGGTAATTTATAAAGAAAATAGGTTTAATTTGCTCACAGTTCCACAGGAAGCATGGCTGGGGAGGCCTCAGGATACTTACAATCATGGCAGAAGGCAAAGGGGAAGCGGGCATGTCCTAAATGGATGGGACAGGAGGAAAAAGTGCAAAGGGGGCTGTGCTACACACTTTTAAACAACCAGATCTCGTGAGAACTCACTCACTATCATGAGAACAGCAAGGGGGAGGTCTGCCCTCATGATCCAGTCACCTCCCACCAGACCTCTTCTCCAACACTGGGGATTACAATTTAACATGAGTTGTGGGCAGGGACAGAAATCCAAACCATATTACCTGTCATTCCCCAACAAGAAGTGGCACCTATTTCCCCTCCCCATGAACCTAGGCAGGCATGTATGACTGTCTGGATGAGTAGAATGTGATAGTGATGCCGTGTGACCGTTGTGGCTGGGTCATCAAAGTCACTGCAGCACTGCCTGGCTCTGCTGGAATGTTCACCCCAGAACCTCGCCACACATTGTGAGGAAGCCCAGCACACAAGAGGCTGCACATTAGTTTTCTAGCTTATAGCACCAGCTAAGGTCCAGCCAACAGCTGGCAATGACTCTCAGACATGTTCATAGACGGACCTTCAGATGCTTCTAGCCCCAGCCCTTGACCCAACCCAGCTAATGCTGGGTGGAGCAGAGACTGCCTGTCTCCACTGAGTTCAGCCAAAATATCTGATTTGTGAGCAAAATAAATGTCACTTTTGTTTTCAACCAGTAAGTTTTGTTACACAGCAATAGGTAACCACGATAGGTGTCCACATTCAAGAAGAAGTCAGCTTATTCTACATAGCTGTTCATTCACTGTGCTAAGAATTTCTAAGTAGCTGCTGCTTGGCATTGTTGGATCTTGGAAGTCCAAAGGTGACTGAGACACCCTCCCTCACCTCAATAAGGTGTGGTCTTACAGGGGAGATATATGGGTAATGAGGCATTACAGTCCGCTGATTGCTAAAAAGGGCCGATGAGTACAACACCAAAGCAAGTTCAATGGGCTCTGATTGGGCGAGTCAATAAAGGGTTCACAAAATAACACCTTGTGAAAAGGAGGAGTCCTGTGAAAAGAAGTGAGGAGGGCATTCTAGCAGAGGGAACAGCAAATGCAAGAGCTTGGAGGTGTGACTGAGCATGGCACATCCAGAGAAGACAGGGAGGCACTCAGTGGACTGTGGAGAATGGAGCGGAAGGCAAGAAACCAGAATCAAGGAAAACCAGCAGGAGGTGGTCATAGGGGGTTTCCTGTGACCTCCCTGTAGGAGGTTGTCCTGCAGGATCAAGAAACAGAAGTGATTTTGGAAGGAGAGTCAAGGTGGTTGGTGACAGTCTAGATGGAAAAAGTGAGGAACAAGAAAGCAGTGATGATGTAGAATTTCTGGCAGAAGAAACTCTTTTGTTGAGAAGAGGAATTCTGGAGGAAGAGTGACTCAGGAAGGAGTTGATGGGTTTGTTTTTATATTTGCTGATTAAGAGGTGTAAACGAATACCTAACTGGAAGTGGCTTAGAATAAAGGCACATGTTATCTTATATAGCACACAATCCCAGGGTTCATTCACTGATTCAATCACATAATGACAATATTCTCTCATACTTTTGGTCTGCCAACCTTGGCACCTTAGGTTTATTCCCTCATGGTCACAAAGTGGCTGCTGGAGGTCCTGGCACCACCTTTAAATAGTAACTTCCGGCCAAAGGGAAGAGCTTCCATTCCTGAGCCTATATTAATAGAAAAACTTTCCCAGAAGCCCCTCGGTCTGTTGATCAGGATGAAGTCATATGCTCACGTCCTAGCTGCAAAGGAGGCTGGGAGAACAACTCTCTGGTCTTCACAGCCTCCATGTGGGAGGTGGATTCTGACAAAAAGAAAAAGGGCAGTGAAGGATGAATGGCTGTTGGGAGAGCATCAACCAGGTTGGCCTGTGCAGTATCCAGGTAGGAATGTCGGGGAGTCACATATGCAGGTCTGAGACCCAGGAGAGCAGTCTAGGCCAGAGAGTTTAAAGGTAATGTTGTTATATATGCTTTTCCAATATCTTTTGAAGGCTGTGCTAAACATTTTATGTAATTATCTTGTTAATCCTTCTAATAGTCTAGAGGACTTGAGTCCAGGCAACTGGAAGCTCTCTGCTTCTTTGAAACCATATGGGTTCTTCTTGTTCCTCTGTGGAGTGGACAGAAAAGGTCCCTGAGGAACCCAGTGCTCCTCTAGGCTCTCTCCCCATCTGACCTGGATGGATAAGTACAAATAATTGCTCTCTTATGCCTGTGTCCTGGGCATGGGAAAGCAGAGCCTCATTTAGTGAAATTCTGGTGGCAGAAAAAGGAGATCCTCTGAGGTAGGGTTGGGGTGCTTGTGGGAACCGCTCAGCCCTAGACATATGAGGGGGACCTGGAGCCCAGATACAAAATACTGTACTTCTCTAGGGATTTTTGGAATCATTGAAATAGCTATGGTGCTGGGCAAAGGAGGAGGAAAGATGGAAGGAGGAGGAGAAGAGTGAGAGCTGAGTTCCCCTCTTGCCAGGGGACAAGATGAGTTGAGTCAGTGGGATGGACTTCTGATGGCCCCGGGCTCTTTCTCTGTATTCCAGTTGCAAATGAAGGTGGGGGGGGGGGTGGGCAATGCTGCTGCCTAGGCTGTTCTTGGGAAGGGATTAGAGGACACAGGAAAGGGAAAGAGCTAAGTGACCCCAGTGGGTGGTCACCACTGAATGTTACCTAGGGAAGTTAGCCACTAAGAAGATAGGACTTCAATATGGACTTGGTCTAATTTGAATTCTATCACAGAGGTTTTTCCTTCCAGGCTTACCTGAGATTGGGCCCTACGCTTACACTAGCTGAAGTAGCTCGGCCTGGGTAGAGCGACTGTAGAGCTCAGAGCCCCTTGAGGGCATTCATAGTGATAGGACTTCCCAGGGGGTGTGGGAAGTCATTTAGGGTCCAGCACAAGCTACTGGACCCAGTGTCCGGCATCATCCATGGCCGTGGCAGATACTCCACATGCCCACCAGCATTCCGTCTGTTCCCCCATTTGTCCTGCTCCCCTGCAGGTAGAGCAGGGCCATGTGGCTAGTTCTGACCAGTTCATCAGTGAACAGTCTCATCACCCACCCCAGTGAATGAGAAGTCTTCTGATGAGATGACAAAGCCCCAGATTAAGCCAGCCCCAAACAAGTTTGAAAGATACTTGCCCTGAAGAGTACTGCTGCAGATTTTCAGTGAGAGGAAGATAAACCTTTGTTGTTAAGATGTAGGGACTATTTGTTATGTGGCATAACTTCACTTATCTTTACCAACACACAGACATGAAATATGTGTGCAGTACGCAACCATTGAAATTAAGCCAGCTGCTGACTCATTATTTGAACTTGAGCCAGTCCCTTTGTCTCTGAGATTCAGTTTCTTCATCTGAAAACTGGAGGTGGCCACATTTGCTTCATAGGAGTGTGCAAGGACTGAAAGTGACAGTGCTTGGCCCATGAAGGGACACATACTAGATGTTCCATTCTTGTTGATTTCATCCCCCTTCCATGAATGGATACAGAGAGGTAGGAGGCGAAGACCCTGACCTGGAGGAGGTAGGTCCCAGTGTCAGCTGGGGCACAAAGTGAGATGGGCAATGCAACATCCCTCCAGGTGGGAAATGACATTCCCTGAGAATCAACTGAATGTGGGGCTGGAGCCTCCATTCCGTGATGGGTATTAAAGTGGGGATGAGGTGAAGCCTGTCCTGCTTTGGTAGGGCTCCCCCTGCCTCTTCTTCACTGTCTCAAAACTGGACGGAAATCCAGAGGTCTTCCTAAGAGGGGGCCACTTTGCTCCTTTATGCTCCCACCTTCTCCGGGCCTCCTTCAGGAGGGAAGTCAGCATTCACGGTTTTCCTAGGCTTCCAAATCATTCTGGAGATCCCTCCGTAGAGGTGAGGGAGAGTTCCAGGAGATTTCTGCCAGACTGGGTCCTCTTACCTGGTTGTGATAGGAAATCTTTGCTCAGAGGCTGCTGTTGTTCCCATGTGCCCAGCTGTGGGTGCAGAGACTTAGGAGAGGGATCATTTCCTGGTGGGAGGGGGTGTTTGTGGGGTCTGCTGATTTCTCAGGTGGTGGGCTGTGAGCTGGATGAAGGTGAGTCCCACAGGGCCAAGGGCAGGCCCACAGCCCACCTCCACGTGTGCAGGAACACCTGAGCGATTCTGTAAATATGACAGACTTGGGTTGCAGTTTCTTCCACAATGCTAACTTCTTGTGTGGTCCTGGACAAATCCCTTATGCCCTCTGTTTTCACCTTTGGAAACTGGAGAACACGCACACCTATCTCACAATGCCTGGCACATGGTGGATCCTCACAGCGTAGTCAGCCACAGGCCAAACCTGCAGTCTGGTGGGGCATCCCACTGGGAAGCACAGCCCCAGCTGGGGACTAGGAATGGGGACGACTGGTCAGCTGGCTCTGCTCTGGACAAGGACAGCAGGGCTGGATGTGCAGCGAGGCAGGCAGGCTGGGCAGGAGATAGGGTGGCTCGCTGCCATGGCACGGGCATCCTGCGTGGCCTTGGAAAGCTGGCTGCTGCGCCTGGCCTCCCTCCCCAGCTGTTCCTTCTGTTTCAGATAAATAGTTTCCGCCTGAGCAGCCTCCTCCCTGCCACCCCCAGCCAGCTTCCTGTTGCAACACCTCAGCTGGACAGTAAACACAGGCCCTATCTGTCTCTACCACATCCCTGGCTCCCTGCCAGCCACAGGCTCACCCTCTTCCAGCCCAGCCCCAGCCAGATGTGCCCGAGGCTTCCACAGCTGTTCCCTTGACCCCTGAGTCAAAGCTCTCTCTGTCAAGGGATTGCCCTGTCCCTTCCTACCCTTTCCATATTAGCTCTGCCCTCTCCTCCCTATCAGGGCAGGAATTGAGACGGCGCTGGGGTTGCCATTTAATTGTAGTTTTCTCCTCCACTCTCCACTCCTTAGCGGCCTCTGCAGTCTCCAGCCTTTGGCAACACTATAAACAATGTCCATTGTGTCTTCACTGTGCCACCAGCACCCTGCATCCCAGATCCATTGGACTTGTCTCCCCTGCCAGGCACCCAGGACGTCTGAGTGCTCCTGGACTCTCCTGACTGGGAGGAGGAAGTCTAACAGGCCCACCCGCGTGAGGTGCTCCAGACTCAGCACCACACCCCTCCCAGGACCCATCTTCCTTTTAGGCTCACATATGGTCTTACCTTCCCAAGAGGGGTCACCTCCATCCTTTCTGCCCTCACCCTGGCCCCATCCAAGCTCCCTGGAGGGTGAGGTCCCCACACTCATTCCCACCGGGAGAAGAAGGCTTCTGTTGTCTCTGGGGCTCTAGGACCTTCTGGGAGACAGGTCCTAGTGTTGGGCATGAAGAAAGCAGGGCCTCTTTCTGGCCTGTGCAAGAGTTTGGTGCTGTAGGTCCAACCTTTCTAGGCCCCCACCTTCTCACCTTAGCATCCGGCCATGGCTTCAGCATCCCTGGGAGACAGTAAGGATGTACCTATCTGTCTGTTCATATGGCCCTAACAGGACACCAATGGATACTCACAGTTGCATCTCTCTTGTTCTTTCTCTTGCTCAATTTCCCCCCATTCTCTCTCTCTGTCTCTCTCTCTCTCTCACACACACAGACACACACACACATGCATGCACACCAGCACACTAGAAGAAAAGGAGGGGGTGCAACATTTTCAATAATCTTTTAAGATAATTTGACACAATGGTCATTCAGACCATGATGAAAAGATTATCTGGGGAAATGATGTGAAAAGAAAGATTCTTCTGCTCAGAATGCAGTGGAAACCTGAGGCTCAGCCTGAGCTGGGGAGAAGGCTTCCTCCCAGCCATCAGGGCTCAGGTTCCAGTCTCCCAGACCCGAGCCTCAGCCCCCTGCACTGAGCTTCAGAACTTGGCCTGGCTCCTGCTCCTGCACCAAGCCTTTCCAGAGCTCACCTCTGTTTCACCACAGTCCCTGTGTTGCATCTTAAATCCCTTTTCTGTAGTCCCAGAGATGTTTCCTCAACTCATTGTTCTCTCATTTGCCACAAGGTCCCAGTCCCTGAATTGATTGTGCAGGGTCAAGGACCTGATTAGAGAAAAGGACAGCTAGAGAAAGGGACTTAGAAATCATTCTTGCTATCCTCTTTTTTTTATAGAAGGACATAATTGAGGACCAGACATACTAGCTGGTAATGATAGCAGCTGAAATTTGCTGAACATTTAAATGACTTGCCCCAGGACACCCAGCGACTAAGTGATTCTCACCTGGGTTAGTCTGACTTCAAAGTCCAGTGCCTTAAACCACTAGCTGTACTGCCTTCCCTGTAGAAAGGAGATTTGTGAAGCAACTTGTCAAAAATCCCAGAACAAATTTTGGATGCAGCTGGCCCCAGAACCAAGGTTGCTGTCACTAGCTGTGCACTGTAAAAGGCGAGGACCTTGGTGAGCAACTGTGATGAGGGCAGGGCCAGACCTGGCCTGAAAACCTTCTGCTGCCTCAGGTCCTGGTTCCTTCCTTCTCAGACCCAGTTTGGCTCTGGTCTGGGAGAATGTCTGGAAGGGACCTGGGAGCCCATCTTGCTAACACTTCACTGTGAGTTGCTCAAGGTCACGGGAGAGCTGGGGCACAGCCTAACTCCCAGACCAGCCCTCTCTACCCTGGCTCCATTCTCTGACCCCTTCTGTGATGGGCCAGGGCTTTCCAGGGCCACGTCAGCTCCAAGACTATTTTGGTGGTCAAGATTTGGTGGCAAGTCCCAACAAGTCCTCTCTGAGGGGTTAAGATTAGCACAGGGACCTCAGCTATGACTCACAGAGGTGGCTGGGGTCAGGCCAGCCTGGCTCCTGTTACTGCTGTCCTCTGATTCACCAGTGGAAAAATGTTTGGCCCAAGACCTTTCCCCAGCTGCCAGCTTCCTCCCTCTTCCAATCAACTGGGTGCTGAAGAGTGGGGATGGGGCTTCCCCATTCCTCAGCCTCAGAACCTGGGCTACCAGCAGTAGCTGGGCAGCTGGTTTGGGTTCAGGGATTCCCTTCTTTGGGGCCACTCTGATGTTCCCAAAACCTTCTCTCATTTTATCCATATTCCTGGTCTCCCCAATATCTAGCCAAAGGGCTGCAGTCTACCTTCTCTGCTTCAGCGAGAAAACCCCAGGTCAGGAGGGGCCTGGTGCAGTCAGGTTCTGTCTCCACCCTGCTGAGACCTCTCAGAGTTCGCTGCACCTATTCAGGTGTGATGGCCTCCCTGTAAGTGTAAGGCATGCACCATGTATGTGTCTCATGTCACTCTCACAATCTTAAAGTCAGGGAGGTGTCAGTGAATTAGCTGTGTGTGTGGGTACACGTGTGTGCACGTGTGTATGCACACATGTATGTAGAGGGAGCATGAGGAAGGAAACTAAAGGGCAGGCCTGGATAACCCATAGGGCTCCTAGCACCCTGAGTTCAGAAATCCCAGGTCAGTGCTGGCAGAACTCAGTTTTCACCATCTATAAGAGAAGAGTTTGGACTTGATGGCCTGGAAGTGTCTCAGCCCTGCAGGCCAGATTTTCCAGAGCCATCTGCTTCTCAAATGCTTTGCCTCCTGAACCACCCTTGGTCTTGTCACACACAGACGTGGCTTGGGGCTACAGATAGACAGTCATCATATTCCTAAGCTCCTTTCCAGGTCTGCATCCTGGAAGCACCTTTGAAGGGGCAGCCACGGCCGTCCGCCAGGCATCCCTGACCTCTCCAGAAGGCAGAAGGGAAGAAGCTGGAGGAAGGGGAGGGGCTGACTTCCGGTAAAACCTCGTGATTTCTGCCAACAATCAATCAGCAGCCGCCTTTCTGGCCCCACCCACTGCCACCCCTGCCAGCTTTGGATTCAAGTTGGCTTTCACCAAAGGCCTCAGAAGCCCTGGAATGGCGAGTGCAGTGGTCATTGTGACATTTCTTTTTCCTTCTCTGTTTTTCAAGAACATGGCAGAGACGTGGCTGCTGTGGAGCTGTGACTCGTGAATGGAACAGTCCTGGTTGGAAGGATCTGGGGCCTGGAATGTGCTGCTGTGGGCATCAGTGGAGCTGCCATGTGAAAAGGATGCCGCGTCCCCCTCCCCAGCATGGGGCAGTGAGCAGGGGCAGTGAGCAGGGCCAGCAGGGAGCAGCCTTCCCGGCATGCTGTGCCTCCAGGGACACAAGGGATGGAGGGCACAGTGGGGTAGGTCCCGGCAGGGAGGAAGGGTACCTGCTCCTGCCTCTTGCCTGGCATGAGGCCAAGCTGGAGAAGGGTAGTGGGAGCCCAGAGCCATCTCTGCAGCTGCAGAGTCCCTGGGACCACCTGCCCAGGAGCCCAAAGGCTGGTTAAACAAAGCAGCTAGCCCTGGAGAAAAGGCTGGACGGCAGCCCTTCAGAATACTGTAACCCTTCTATGCAGACAGACGCCGCTTAAATAATCAACAGAGGATGTGAACAGATGCTCCAGCTGGGTCAGGGTCCCGATCTCACAGGGTGGGGCTGGTGGCCGTGTGAGCTGGTGCGCAATAAACAGCAGTGTCCCTCCAGGGGCAGGGAGTGGTGTGGGCGGATGATGGCTTTAGATGGATAGTGTCAGCGGTGAGGAGGGATTGTTGTATAGAAGAAAGGATGATTCGGAAACCATGATGGAGCCAGAGGGAAGGGGAGGTACTATGACATGTCAAGACAAATCCACACAAGTGGGATCTCCTCGCCCATGAATGAGTGGTCCCTGTAGCCCCTAGTCACTGAGTGCTGAGGACACTGAATCCTCAGGGTGTGTGGCAGGCTCTGCTATGGTGGGTGGCTGCACCCTACAAAAGCTTTAGCTGAGCTGGGGCTCCAGGCAGGTCATGGAAGCTATGGCCACACACAGGGTGGGCTCAAGCCAGGGCAAGAGGTTGCCTCTCTGGCTCACCCCAAGCCTGCAAGGCAGGTTTGGCTGTGCTGCCCAAGGCCACCCTGTGTGTGGGGAGCACAGCTGGTCTGCCTGGAAGAGCCCGGCATGACCCGCATCCTCCCCACTTTGTTCCTGTTGCCCCTAGGGACCAGTGGGGCCAGTTCAGGTTGTTCCAGCTGACATCTATCAGCAAACAACACACCCACCCTCACTGGCCAGGCCTTGTTTACACCACCGCCTTGGCTCCAGACCTGAGCATCACAGGACACAGGGTGGAAATTCAAGGGGGATCTCATAACACTGCCTGAGAGGAAGCCCATCCATCAGGCGCCTCCCAGAGTCACACAGTCTCTCTTCCATTGAGGGGAACAGCAGGTGGGGTCTGTGGGTACCTCTACAATCTTCTGCATCCTTGTCCCTACTTTTGATGGGCTAGTAACAGGGCAGGCACGTGGATAGTGGAACAGCAAGATAATTGAGATGACAGAGACCTCTCTCACATCAGAAGGAAACCTCTGGGACATCACTGTCACCTTCCAATGTCAACCTCTGTACCCACTTCATGGTAGGGGATCCCTATGATTTCTAGACACAACAAACTCATCCCTGCTTTTGGGACACTTCTCCACCCCAGCCTGCGTTGCCTAGATACCTGCTACATACCTGTCCAGGCTCAGTTCAGATATGACTCTTCTAGGAAGCCTTCATGGACTGCCCGCCTCACAAAATTTGTGTCAGGCACCCATGTTCCTCTGTGCTCCCACAGCCCCCTGGGGATCTCATGCTGTAGCATTTGTTCCTCTCCGTTGACATTGCTGAGATGACCACATGAACTCTATGGCCTGCCTGCTACCCTGTGAACCCCGCACAGAGTGCTGGGGAAGAGATGAAGAAGGCACAGTCTCATCCATCCCCAGTTTCTAGGATGTCTTGTCCGTGTGTTAGTGCTATAACTGAACACCACAGACTGCACAATTTATAAAGAATAGATATTTATTCAGCACATTTTCCTGGAGGCTAGGAAGTCCAAGAGCATTGGCACCTGCTTCTGGTGAGGGCCCACCTGCTGCGCCATGACACAGCGGGAGGCATCACGTGGTGAGACAGAGCAGGCGCACTTGCTCAGGTCTTCTTCCTTCCTTCCTTCCTTCCTTTCTTTCTCTCTCTCTCTGTCTTTCTTTCTCTCTTTCTTTACTCTCATTCTGTCACCCAGGCTGGAGTGCAGTGGTGCAGTCTCAGCTCACTGCAGCCTCCACTTCCCAGGTTGAAGCAATTCTTGTGCCTCAGCCTCCCCAGTAGCTGGGATTACAGGCGCCTACCACTGTGCCCAGCTAATTTTTCTGTATTTTTAGTATAGACGGGGTTTTACCATGTTAGCCAGGCTGATCTCGAACTGCTGACGTCAGGCGATCTCGAACTCCTGACCTCAGGTGATCCGCCTGCCTCAGCCTCCCAAAGTGCTGGGATTACAGGCATGAGCTGCCGCAGGAGGCCTCTTCCTGTTTTTATAAAGCTATCAGTCCTATTGTGGAGGCCCCACCCTGATGACCTTATCTAATCCTAATTCCCTCCCAAAGGTCCCACTTCCAAATACCATCAACGTATACATTTGGGCATTCAGTTTCCAATACATGAAATTTGGAGACACATTCAAACTACAGCACAGAGAAAGGCAAATATCTAAATTACTGTTAGAGAATGATGGCCTCACTCATGCCTGTGGTTGACCTGCCAGCAACTTTTCCTTCAGCTTTATCACCATCATCATGACGGTCACCAACCCCATCTTTTAGTACAGCTGTATTGAGGTATAACTGAGCATATAATAAGCAGCACCTATTTTAGGTGCCCAGTTTGATCATGTCTGACATATACATACATCTGTGAAACCATCACCACAATCAAGATAATGAACATATTCATCATCTCCAAAAGTTTCCTCCTGCTCCTTGGTAATCCCTCCCTCCCTCCCCTCCAACTTCCACTCCTTGTCCCTGGCAGCCACTGCTTTGCTTTCTGTCACTATAGATTAGTTTGCATTTTCCAGAGCTTTATATAAATGGAATCATACAACATGTACTCTTTTTCCTGGCTTCTTTCACTTAGCATAATTATTTTGAGATTCTTCCAAGCTGTTGCATGAATCAGTAGTTCATTCCTTTTAATTGCTGACTAATGTTCCATGGGATAGATATACCAGAATTTGTTTATCCACGCACCTGTTGATGAATATTTGGGGTTTTTCCAGTTTGGGGCTATTACAAATAAAGTTGCTCAACATCTGCGTATGAGTCTTTGCACAACTTTGTATAGACATATGCTCTCATTTCCCTCATCACTGCCTCCCCGCATGGACACCTCCAATGTGGGAGCAGGGACCCTGGTTGGGAGGACATCCTGAGAGGGATGTGGGAGAGGAGGAAGGTGGGAAACACCTTGCTGAGGCCTGGCTGGGGCCTTGTACAGGCCCCCAGGGGGAGAGGTGGGGCATCCTGGGAGGTGCCAGCTTTCACACACCCCACACACCCCTTAGGGGCTCCTGACTCGTCCTCCCCAGGGTCTCTGCCTCCACAGGTGGCTGCTTATGGAGCAAAGTTTTAGAAGCTTCCTCACTTGTCCCCCATTTAGAATGGAGAAATATCCACCAGCACCATTCTATTCCCACTGGGCAGAAGGCAGGGACCCTGCCTTCCCTCCCCAAGATTGACATCCTTCATTCCTAAGGGCGCACACACACACACACACACACACACACACACACACACACACCCTCTGCAGCAGAGGGACAGGAGCTGCCGGGCTGAGGGCTTAGAAGGTAAGAAGTCCCTCAGACTCCCTGCAGGTTCTGGCTGGGAGGTGGAGTTGACCTGAGATTCCTGCTCTCACCTGGAAGCAGCTGCCCAGCCCAGCCTCAGGTGACCGAGTGGCAGCTGACATACTGAGGAACTCGAGAAAGCCCATCGCTTTCCTGGCTGCTTTTAATCCCTCAGTCTCTCCCTCTTCCCCTGGACCTGAGGTCCAAAAATCCTTTGTGCCCCTAAACCTCCCACATTGGGCCTCCCTGAACTCTTCCCCACCTGGACAAACCCCAATTCAAACCCCTCTCCCTCCAGCTAGCCCAGCCACGAGCTACCCCCTTCCTTCACTTCAGGGCCTCCCCATCTTCAAAGTGAGCCATTGCTGTCCTTGGGCCCATTCCCAAGGCCATTCTTGCTTTCCTCCCCCTTTAAGAAGTTTCCTTTGATCAACTCAAGTCAAATCAACCTGATTTGCCAAACTTTGCCCTTTTTCCCCCGAGGCCTGTGTCCTGAGGCGGCCCCCTTGCAGAGCCTCAAGGAGAGAGAATGGGATTGTCAGCATCAAAAAGGTGACCTCAAGGTCCCCTTCTCTTCCTGCAGTCTCACCTGTAGGCACCAGGGAAGAGGACCTATCTCTCTGTTGCTGGTGGGCTCAAGGCTGCTACATTAGAACCAGGGACACAGAATCTCCAGGGCCTGATGAAGAAGGAGAGGAAGCAAGAATAAGCTGTTTTCCTGTCTTTCCCGTTGGATTGGGTCCCTAGAAGCCAGGAAAGGGGCCCCAGTTGGAGCTAGAACCCGAGGGCTCTGACTTCCCATTGGGTGCTCATCCCGCTCTCACATCAAGGCCAAACATTTTAACAAATGCTCTTCTATGCTGAATGTGCATGTTGATAATGAAGGCCCAGAGAAAGACAAATGGGATGCGGAGATGCGAGCTACTGCGGTTGCCTTCAGGGAGGCTGCAAATCGGTGAAGGCAGTAGGGGAAAGGGGGATCCAGTGGGGATGGCACAACAGAAAAACTATCAGAACTGGGTTGTGTAATCCCCAACACAAAGAACTCAAGCTGTGAGCCTAGCAAAAGAAGAGGGCCCTGCTATCTGGAAAGGCTTCATGGACAGGCTGAGTGGGAGCTGGTCTAGAAGAACGGGCAGGTGCACCTGGAGAGCACTGTGGAGGGCCCTACACACAGAAAGCATAGCCCCCTCAAGGGGACTGAGAGCCCCTGCCCAGCACCCTCGCACCTTCACCCTAAGCTCAGCCTTCTCTCTTTCTTCACTGATCCACTCAACGTTCCCCAGCTCCTTCCCTCAACCTGTAAGCTCCCAAAGGCCTCCTCTCAAGGGCATCCAGGGATCCGTGTGGAGTCAGGTCTTGGCAGAAAGTGCTGGATGCCAACACTTCCCTTTTCTTCCTTGGCCCCTGACATGAGATCGTTACCAAGAAATGACCATCCCAGGCCCCTGCTGCAGTCCTGGGCCCCACCTCTTCACCTGGCAAATCATCTATTCACCTACAGCTCCCAAGACCTTATGGGTGGAGCAGGTGAAGAAGTGATGATGTGGAAATATTGTTGCCTTCTACTATAAATAACCCCCGGCCCAGTGGCAGAGATAGGGGTTGCCAAATATCGTATCTGGGCATGGATCTTGATGAGTGAGTGTGTGTGTGTGTGTGTGTGTGTGTGTGTGTGTGTTTGTGTGTGTGTGTTTGTGTGTGTTTATATCAGAATCACCTTGGGAGCTTATTAAAAATACTTATGCTCAGACCCCACCCTGGACAAACTGAGTCAGATTGCCCAGTTCATGTTGGGAAGAGGTGTGTTTATATTTTTAACATTCACCAACTGATTCTGACCTCCCTCCACAGCCCCACCTTCCCTCTGAGTGGAAGACAAAGAGGGTGAGGGACAAGAAAGGCACAGGTCTGGCCATGAGTCCTTCCCCATCTGGTCAGGAGCAGCCCTGGACTTGCCAGACTCATCTGGCCAGTCCGGAGGCATGACAGCTCACTGTGGGTCTTCAGAGCCCTCAGACCCAATCTTGCAAGGGACTCCATAAAAACGAGGCTTCCCCCCTCTCAGCTTCCCAGTCTTGGTCCTGGGATCACACTTTGAGATGCTTATAACTTCCACAGCTTCAGATTTGGTCACTGGTGCTCCTGTTTCAGGTCTAACTTGAACCACTTTTGAATACAAATACAGCTTTGGTTTCCCCTTTCCACTATGGTTTAGCTTCTCCCCCAGCTATTCTGGATAAATGTCCCTCTTCTTCCCTCAACTCTCTGCTCTCCTTGGCACAGGACCCTTTTCTTTTAGGGCAGGTCTCCAGCAGGTGGCGATTGGTTTACAGTACCCACCACTTCCACCACCAGTGCCAACCTCATCCATAATTGTGGCCACCCCCACTGTTGCAACCACCATCAATACCACCTCCCTAGTTCTCCCCACCACATCCAGCACTGCCTCTTCCACCGTCACTGACACTACCAAACACAAGGCCTCCAGCTTCTCACCACATCCATACCATCACTGGCACCACCACCAGGTATCACTGCCCTCTTCATTACCAGCTTCATAAGCATTATGATGCCCACCATCATTTTCTTTTTAAAACCTGCATGGGCGTGGACTGGCATCCTATCCTGACCATCAACTTGAGCGTGACTCAGATTCTTGGTTGACACCTCCACTTTACTTTGACTGCTCTTGTCCAGGAATTGGCAAGAGTTGCCCAATCTGCTGAAGCTGTGGCCCTCAGGGGACCCACACTACTTAGGGCATCCCCTCAGGGGCCCCACACTGCTGGGGGTATCTTCTTAGGAACCCCACACTGCAGGGGAAGGCATCCCCTCAAGGACCCCACACTGATGGAGAAGACCCTTCCTTGATTAACCACAATGATGGAGACTCTGAGGGAGGAACCCTGTCAGGGAGCCCCTAGACTGATAGGAGAAGTATCCCTTCTGAGAGTCTCCAGACTGATGGGGAGGTGCGGTGTTTCCTCGGGCTTTTTCCAGATTGCTGAGGGGACCGTTTCCTCAGGAAGCCCCTTCCTCATATTGAGGAGAAAGAAAGCCTTTCAGAGAACCACTTGCTGACTAAGGGGACTGTCTTCAGGGAGCCTTTGACTAATGGGCGAAGGCCACGCTCATGGAGGTGGGAGACGGCCGGCAAGTGTGGGAATACCTGCAGAAGGGCCTGGAGAGAAGGGCAGTGTTTCCAGTGGCTATCATTTGAGAAAGCAGAGCTGAAAAGCATGCTGCAGACCATAATAAAAACCGTCAGGGAACATGGTGGATGGCCCTTGGGCCTCCTGCAGCCATCAGATTCGGTGGCCATGATGGTGAGGCCTGGAGAAGGTGGCTCTGGGCTGAGTGGGCCCCTTCTGCTCCATGTCCCCAGGCCCCAGCTTCCCCAGGGGCAGCCCAGCCCATCTCTAGCCTGGGCATGGCCAGCGAGCTTTTGCCAGACCCACATTGTTTCCACGGCCGCTCCCTATTTCCAGGTTGTGTCCGCCCTGCCTGACACCAGCCCCTGCCCTGGCAGCCCAAGTGCAAACACCGGGCCGAGGGGCACTCAGGGCCAGGAATGTGTGGAAAGGTGCCCTTGGCCAAACCCAGTGGAGAATCCTCTTCCCCCACAGGGCCAGGGAGGGTGGCCTGGGAGCTCAGGTGTCTTCCTTCTCCTTCTCACTCAGGAGGGAGGTCACATAGCATCTGCTGATGAGCTGGACTCTGATCAGGAGGCAGCATCTCTTGGGGACTTGCACTGATATTACCTTCAATTGTGTCCAGCCATTCTTTTCAGTCCCTCAAGGTCTTCCTCTGCCACTGCCAGGTTTCTCTTTCAAGGTCTTACTAGAAGCTTAGCCCCTCCATGGAATCATCCCTGGTTTTTTTCCTTAGAGAACATCATGGTTCATTTCTTATGCAATCCCATAGTTACTTTGCTTCCCAAATACAGTATAATTCCAACCCTGACCTCAGACAGAGCCTTGACCTTGGCCTCATATGGATCCTGATACTGACCATCAATTGACTCTAACCCTAACCAAAGATAGACCCTAACCCTGGACCCAAACCCATCCCCCACCCCTATCTGCTGGCTTTCAGAGACAGGAGGAAACCAGGTAAGAATGGGTGGTGGCTGGCCTCAGCCCCTCTGCAGTGGTTCTAGTTTTCACACACAATAACTGCTTCCATGAAGTGTGTGTGTGTGTGTTTCCTTTATTCTATTTAGAATCCCTTTCATCACAAGTCCATCCCATCTTCTCCAGGGAACAGAGGAAATAGGAAATGGGTCTCTGGTTACAAGGGGCTGAATTCTGTGCTGAGCCTGGAATTCAGAGGAGCCCGCGGCCGCCTAGTGGGCCGGGACGTCACTGCACCATTGCCTCTCCCTCTCCCGCGCTCGGGATGGGCTGGGAATGTGAATGTAACGTGAGAAGGAGGCAGCCACTAGGACATATGGGACCTTTAGAGCTTGTTTGTCACCTCAGACAGTATCCAGAAGGAATGACACCCTCCCCAGTACATCTCCCCCCACCCCCCACCAGCCCAGCCCAATCCTGGGCCTCCCCACCCTGTTACTCCACAGCATCTGACCACTCCTGTCCTCTTTCCTGCTCATTCTCCTTCTCTCTCTTATTTTCTTATTTTTAGTCTTTCTTTTTTCACACCTTTCTTTCTTTCTTTCTTTCTTTCTTTCTTTCTTTCTTTCTTTCTTTCTTTCTTTCTTTCCTTCCTTCTCTTCCTTCCTTTCTTTCTTTCCCCTTCCTTCCTTCCTTCCTTCCTTCCTTCCTTCCTTCCTTCCTTCCTTCCTTTTCTTTCTTTCGAGACGGAGTCTCACTCTGTCGCCCAGGCTGGAGTGCAGTGGCGACATCTCAGCCCACTGCAACCTCTGCCTCCCGGGTTCAAGCGATTCTCCTGTCTCAGCCTCCCAAGTAGCTGGGATTGCAGGCGCCTACCACCACACCCAGCTAATTTTTGTATTTTTTTAGTAGAGATGGGGTTTCACTGTGTTGGCCAGGCTGGTCTCGAACTCCTGACCTCAAGAGATCCGCCCGCCTCGGCCTCCCAAAATGTTGGGATTACAAGTGTGAGCCACCCCGCCTGACTGCCACCGTTTCTTTCTTATCCAATTGCTCTGTGTTCTCCTTTTGGCCCCTTCCACTTTGTTTTCCCAGCAAAGTCTTATGCATCCCATACTTGGTTACCAAGTTTACTCTTGCCTGACAGTACAGGGCTCCTCGAGCGGATGCAAGCATCCATCTTGCCTCTTTAACCAGAAACATGACCAGCCCCTTTCTCTTGTCTCTTCCACAGCAGGGCCTGGCTCACAGCAAAATCCAAAAATAGCAGTGAGGAAGACCTTAGAGATTCAATGCTTTCATATAAAAAAGGAGGAAAATTGATATCCCCCAAAAGGAAGGCTATTTCCCTGGACAGTCCAGCCTATTAATGATAGAGCTGGAAGCCTGACCAGTCCCCCACCCCAGCCAGGCTGTGCCTTCTCCTCTCTAAGGAAATGTCTTTTGTTCATCCATACCTATTGATTTCAACTGAATTTGATCGAGTTCCTCTGGACTGGCCAATGATCTAGAAATATAGTATCAGATAATCCACAGACACATAAAAACACATCCAGAACTATGGGGTCAGTTTCCCGATATACGAAAAGGAGGATGAGACCAAGTCAGCTGAGTCAGAAGCAAACAGGATGCTGAGACTTGGTCCAGACTCACCGAGATCTGACCCTCCTGGACAGTTAACTAGATGAATGGACAGGTGGACAGAGTGACTGGGTTCTGAGTAAGAAAACGATGTGAGGACAGGAGTCTCTCCCTCCTTTCCTCCTACTCGCCGCACCCCAAGATTCTCATTGAAATGACCAAAGTATTAGAAATGTGTAAGTAGGAAATGTGCAGCATCACTGACAATATGGGAGAGGACCACTCACATGCAGAAGATCAAGGGCACTCTGCAAGATCACACACTGAGGGACAGTGGTAAAGCCGGTCTGTCGTGGTCCCTCCGAGGAGCAGCACCCTTCAAGAGAAGTGAGTTGAGGAGAGCCTGCAGACCCTACCACCGTGCCCTAACTCGAGGGATGAGGGTGAGAGAGGAGGGTGAGCTGGAGCAAATGAGGAACAAACCACATGAACTCCTTCCCTGTCACAGAGCAGCAGCATGTGTAAGAGGCTCTGTGAGGCTCCAGGTTTTGAGTGGCAGCGATAGTGCACAGAAAGCCTCCAGGGAAGTAGAGTTTGCTCCTGGTAGAGTGGATAACTTAGTTGGTTTGGGGTGCTATAACAAAATGCCTGAGACTGAGTAATTTATTAAGGACAGAAATTTATTTCCTCACAGTTCTGGAGGCTGAGCAGTCCATGATCAGAACACTGGCAGGTTCAGTGTCTGATGAGGCCCCAGTCTTTCTGCTTCTAAGATGCTGCCTTTTTGCTATGTCCTCCAGAGGGGACAAAGGCTGTGTTCTCACATGGTGGGATGGCAGAAAGGCAAAAGGTGTTAAGTTAGTTCCCTCTGGTCCATTCATGAGGGTGAAGCCATTGTGACTTCATCACTTTCCAAAAAGAATACCACCAGGGAGATTAAATTTCACCGTGAATTTTGTGGAGGACACATTCAAACCATAGCAGAGGGCAAGGATCTGATCCATGGAAGGAGGCTTAGCAGGCTATGGTTTATACCTAGTATGAAGGCCAGATCAAATGGGAAAATGGAAGTAGAAAATAGCTTCCCCAAACACCAAGCCAGTATCCCAGACACACGACTTCCCTGCTAGCATGCTCATCGCTCTGCCTCCCTTCCCACTTTGAACTGATTGCGTAAATTATCACCAGTCACCTCTGAAGATCTTGCAGCAGAATGTGTAGAGCAATCAAGATGTGGTGGGAATTAAAGACAATCCACTCACTGGTTGCCCTGGTTGGGTAGACACCAGGTCTTATTGATTTGTCCTCAGGAGGAAGCCTAAGAATCTAGCATGGATCAAAGAGATTCTGCAAAATAAAGCACCACAATTAAGATGCATATGACAATTACACTTTTGTCAAATATTAAGAACAGGAAACAGAAGAAATATTGGGAAGTAAATGTTTTATATTCTCAAATAATTCAAAAAATGTGAACTATATGAAAAAGGAGATAAAAGAGGACATGATGAAATATCAGACTGAAATGAAAAAGGAGAAGACTAAGAATTTAAGAGAAAAGAGGAGTTTGGTGATGGATAAAGAGAGTAAGGAAATTAGAAATGCCATCACAGAATTTAATCTTCATTAGAAATGGAAAGGGGAATTTGACATTGCAGAGGATCAAGGATGTGAAGGATGCTTGAGAAGTTTTCCCAGAATGCCAAGGAAGATAATGAGGAGACATCATTATTAAAAGAGTTCATGGATGGGAAGACTCAATATTGTCAAGATGTCACTTCTTCCCAGCCTTATTATGGGTTTAATACAATCCCAATCAAAATCCAAGACAGTTATTTTCTGAGTATCAGCAAACTGATTCTGAAGTTATGTGGAGAGGAAAAAAAAAAAAACCCAGAATAGTTAACACAGTATTTAAAGAGAAGAACAAAGTCATAGGACTAACACTACTTGGCTTCCAGGCTTACTATAAAGCTGAAATAATCAAAATAGCGTGTTATTGGTGAAAGAATAAACAAACAGATCTATGGAACAGAATAGAGGGCCCAGAAATAGACCCTCATAAACATCGTCAACATCTCTGACAAAGGAGCAAAGTCAATACAATGGAACAAAGGCAGTCTTTTCAATGAAGGGTGCTGGAACAACTGGACATCCACATGCAGAAAAAAGTGAATCTGGACACGGACCTTACACCCTTCACAAACGAACTCAAAATGGATCCCAGACCTAAATGTAAAATGCAAACTATAAACTCCTAGAAAATAACATAGGAGAAAATCTAAATAACCTTGAGTATGGTAATGACTTTTTGGATACAACACCAAAGGCACAAGTCATGAGAGAAATAATTGATAAGGTGGATTTCATTAAAATTCAAACCTTTGCTCTATGAAAGACACTGTCAATAAAATGAGAAGATAAGCCTCAGCCTGGGATAGAATATTTGCAAGAGGACTGTTTTGTACAAAATATACAAAGAAGCCTTAAAATTCAACAATAAGAAAACAAACAACCTAATTTTAAAACGGTCAAAAGACCTCAACAGACATCTCATCAAAGAAGATATACAGATGGCAAATAAACATATGAAAGGATGCTCCACTACATATGTCATTAGAGAAAAGCAAATTAAAATGAAACACCACTACACACTTATTTAATGGCCAAAATCCAGAACACTGATAATACCGAAAGCTGGTGAGGATGTGGAGCAGTAGGAACCCTCTCATTCATTGCTCATGGGTATGCAAAATAGGATAGCCACTTTGGAAGACAGTTTGGCAGTTTCTTAGAAAACTAAGCACACTCCATGTACCAGATGATCCAGCAGTTGCAATCCTTGGTATCTACCCAAAATAATTGAAATCATGGTCATACCAAAACCTGCACACAGAAGTTTATAGCAGATTTATTAATAATAGCCCAAACCTGGAAGCAACAGGATGTCCTTCAGCAGGTGAATGTATAAACGACCGTGGTACATCCAGACAATGGAATATTTTTTCACTGCTAAAAAGAAATGAGCTATCAAGCCATGAAAAGATGTGAGGAAAACTTAAATGCATATTATTAAGTGAAAGAAGCCAGTCTGAAAAGGCTACATGCTATATGACTGCAACTATATAACATTCTGGAAAAGGCAAAACTATGGAAACAGTAAACAGATCAGTGGTTGCCAGAGGTTAGGAGGGAGAGCGAGATGAATGGGCAAATCACAGAGGATTTTTACGGCAACAAAATTATTCAGTACGGTCCTACAATGGAAACACAAACCAGCCAAATTGCCACCTATGTGCGAAGGCTATTGTCAGATATGTAAGGGTCCAAAGAATACTGCACCCAGTTCCCTTCCTAGAAGAAAAATATGTACTTGAAGACATAATCCAGCAATAAAGAACTCAAGAGAGGGGAGGGTATAGAATAGGACTGTCAGCGAGCACTGTAAAACATAGACTTGGATCTCAGTAATTGTGGTTATGGTTTAAAGAAAAATGACTACACTTGTCCAAAATTGGAGAGAAGCTATCTGGGGCCTACATGGCCATTGCTATGTACAGCTTCCATTCTAGATTCATTAATTTTTTGACCATAAAGAATTGACCTGGCCAGGTGTGGTGTCTTAAGCCTGTATTCCCAGCACTTTGGGAGGCCAAGGCAGGCAGATCTCTTGAGGTCAGGAGTTCGAGACCAGCCTGGCCAAGATGGTGAAACCCCATCTCTACTACTACTAATAATAATACAAAAATTAGCCAGATGTGGTGGTGGGCACCTTTAGTCCCAGCTACTTGGGAGGCTGAGGCAGAAAAATCACTTGTACCTGGGATGTGGAGGTTGTGGTGAGCTGAGATTGTGCCACTGCACTCCAGCCTGGGCAATGAAGAGAGTCTCTATCTCAAAACAAAAAACAAACAAAAAAGAATTGAGCTAAGCCATTCAGGTGATAACTTGATATAAAGGTGGTTACATGAGCATATCCATATGTAAAAATTCATTAAGCTGTATACTTAAGATTAATGCATTTTATTGCATGTAGGTTATACCACCATTAAAAATAAATAAACAAAATGAAAGTACCAAAAAAAGAAAAACCCCACTTATATGAACAGCATTGGAACTCTCGCCACCAGGAGGAACTACCATTAGATGGATGACTTTTCAGGGCCAATACTTGTCCACAAGATGTCTTTATGTGAGTTGGAAAATGTCGTTTCCTTTCTCAAGATCCTTTGCTTCCATCTCTTAAAAACTGTGCTAATACATATACAGGCCTTTGATGACTATGATTAAATAATGCCCCCTTAGCTTTGGTGCAGTTGTGCAGTCCGTAACGTGCACAACCCTATGATGTAGCTTTGCCTCCTGCCTGACTCAATCCCTTTTCCCCCAGCCTCTGCCTGCACCTAGAGTGGGAGCAGACTGTCACTGACCTCTTTTCTTGCTTGGTTGGCAGAGCTCATCAATGCTGGCCTATTCTTTACTTCCAAACTTAATTTCTGGAGTTGTGCATCGGATTTCCCTGCATAAGGCAAGCTTGCCCCAAGGTTTGCCCGAAAATTTCTTGCTACAATGGCCAGAAATGACTGGATGACTCCCGCCTCCCAAGGCAACTTGGAAATCCCTCGTCATTTCCTAAATCTATCCCACATGTCCTAGAACCCGCTTGTGTGTAGGGGATGAGCCTCTTGTTTGTCACAGCTGTCCTGTGTGTAATCAGGCACCCTAACGTGAGAGGCAAACTCATGGGCATAGTCTGCACAGAACCCTGGGCTCATTTCAGGAAGTCTACTGACCGAGGATGGGAATGCAGCCACTCCTGCTCCCCATGAACCAGTGTGAAGCCACCTCCCCCAGGACTGCCCGTCTCCACCTTCCTACTTCGTGTATACCCTGAGGGCAGCCAATGTCTTTACTGTCTTTTTCTTTTCCTGAATTAGTGATGCGAACCACAGGAATTCGAGGGCACCTTTATTCTCATGAGCTGTAAGCTCTTCTAGTCCCTGGATAGGTCTACAGTCCCTTCATTCTTATCATAGAATTAATTAATTAATTTTCTCTCAAGGAATAATGAGATTAACAAATTTTAACAGATTTCTATTGTAAAGAGGTCAGTGGCCCTAGAATGTGTGTGCACCTTTCCATAAAGATGAATTTTACAAATAGTGACAAATGAAATGTGTAAGAATGACAACATTCTTGTGCAAATTATTCTGCCCCAAATTGCACCAGTTTGGTAAATGTTGTTATTGCAGAACATAGAAAGAAACTTACTCATTATTCTCAAATGAGATCATAGAGTTATGATTGACATTCGTCGTGGCCAATAATTCTAGTCCCCCAAGATGTTATAAAAGGGGTCTAGGTATCTCTCCCCTTTGAAGGAAATGACCAGTTGTGAGCAAAACCTTCTGTGTCCATCTGGTCCCACAAAAAAACTAGGGGGTTGGGTAGACCTGCCTAGACCTTACTTGAAAGAAAGGAAGGAAGGGAGGGAGAAAGGAAGAAAGGAAGGAGGGAGAAAGGAAGAAAGGAAAGAGGGAGGAAAGGAGGCAAGTTTGTCAGCAGGTGGCTATGCTAATATCTAAGTATTGTCTAACTTTTGGGGTATCCAATGACTCATTTTTAGGCTCCTTCGTGACCTGAAATTTCCCTTTACTGCTATCTTAAAACAGTGTTTCTCAACTGGGAGGGATTTAGTAATGTCTGAAGACATTTTTGCCTGTCATGACCTGGGGAGGTAGATGCTGCTGGCATCTAGTGAGTAGAGGCCAGGGATGCTGTTCAATGTTCTGGAATGCACAGGAAAGCCCTTTCCCACCTCCTCAACCCCAGAATTATCCAGCCCCAAATGTCAGTAGTGCTGAGGTTCAGAGACTCAGTTTGAAAAGAACCAGAATTAAGCCTGATTCAGAGAATGGGGGTCACCTCTGATAAACACAAGCACCCCAAACATGTTGGAAGTCTTCCCTGAACTCTCTTGGGCAGCCACTTGGTCCAGGTGGGTCTCATTTTGCTCTCTCTCTCCCTCAGCACCTGACTGTGTGGCTCATAACAAAATCTCTGTTGTCCCAGCATATGTGTGGAGGCCTTTTCTCCCTCTTGTTGGTTGTGGTCAGAAACCTTAAGGGCATTTTGGCACCTCCCCACATCCCCACATACCCATTCGAGGGTTGGCAGGTCTGTGCCTTCGCAGATGGAAAGGCATTTGTGGCTTGGAGACAATTTGCGCTCCTCCTGTCTGTTCTGGCTGACCTATGAAGCTTTCTCTCAGCCTGGGCTCTCTGCCTCAGAAGCAAGCACCCCTAAGTTTAAACCACTTGCAAAGTCCTCCCCATCGCCTCTGCCGTTGGCCAATCCTGACACATGGCCCTAGGGTCTGCAGCGGCCTTGGTCTGTGAGGCATAGGAGACACAGTGCCTGGGGCTCACGAGACTTTTAAGGACCCACTAAAGAGTTTTAGTTTTATCTACTATTAAAATCAGGAGAAAAGTATAGATAAAGTAACATATAATAATTGAATTATATTAGTCTTTTACCAACACAGTTGTAAAATGTAATTATAAATACATACTTTTTTTTACGGAGGAAGAAGCTCACAAAGGCAACGGTGCTTGGGGTCCATGAAAGTCACAGTGGGGCCCTAGATTCCTGGAAGTACACAGCCCCAGGTTCAGGGAGGCAGGAAGTCAGGTGAATCAGGGTTGTGGAAGCTGAAAGAAATCTGGCAGGGATCTCCCTTCCCCTTCCAGGAAAGATTTTAACTTTTTAAGAAATCATTTATCTATCAAGGCCTGCTGTTTTCACCAGGGAATCTCTTAGACTTACTTTAGTGAGTTGACATAACCCTGCATGACCTTGTTTTTCTGTCTGAGACATCCAGTATTGGATAGAGCCGCCCCACAGGTTGTAAATCAGGCTCAAAGAGCTTCCCAGGCTTCCCTCCAACTGCGAGGTGGATCTGAGGGCCTTCGGCAGCTCAGGCGGGGCTAGTCTCTCCTTCAGGAACCAAGTGTCCCTGAGTCTGGCTTTTGTAGTGAGAATGCACTCCTCGGATGTTTGAGGATGATGATTTAATTTGTGCCGCATCTGGGTACTGCCCTTAGATTTAAAAAATTTGGGCAAGCCTCCAAAGTGTACCCAGGGTATGAGCCATCTTCGCCAGAGAGCCTCTCTTCTCTTTCCATACCAACTTGAAGCCAACTTGGGAAAAAGGAAAGGAAACAGTGCACATAGCAAAGAAGAGCTATAATGAACATGAAACAGCCTCAAAAGGAAGGGTACACAACACGAATGGATGATGACTGTCTAGCATATCCATCTAGGACATGCCAATTACAAAAGACACACCCATACTAACGTGGCACAGAGGACAGCAGCCAAAGAATGAGTAAAAGAATGTCAAACAAATGAGGAAAAAGAGAGCAGAAGTCACAGTAATGTCCAACAAAACAATATAATTGGACAAAGGATCACTTGATAAATGCTAAAGGATACATCTGCTTCAGTACTCACCAACATTTATGCACCTATTAGCCTACTGCTGGACTTTATAGGGAAAAATCTGCTAAAATGCAAGAAGAACTTGACAGGAGCATGGCATTATGGGAGATTCAGCAAGCCCATTTCACCATTTGACAAACTACACAAGCAAGAGCATACAGCATCTGGGTAATAAAGCAGGAATAATATGCTTATAAGCCCCACATCCTACAAACAGAATACACCTCTTTTTCAAGTATTTATAATATATTAAAAATGATCAGCCCGGTGCAGTGGCTCACGCCTATAATCGCAGCACTTTGGGAGGCCGAAATGGGCGATTGCTTGAGCCCATAAGTTGGAGACCAGCCTGGGCAACATGGCAAAACCTCACCTCTACAAAAACTTAGCTGGGTGTGGTGGCATGAGCCTGCAGTCCTAGATATCTGGGAGGCTAAGGTGGGAGGATCGCCGGAGTCTGGGAGATCAAGGTTGCAATGAACCATGATCACGCCACTGCACTCCAGCCTGGGTAACAGAGCAAGACCCTATCTCAAGAAAGAAGAAAGGAAGGGAGGGAGGGAAGGAGGGAGGGAGGGAGGGAGGGAAGGAAAAAATGGCAACTCAGAGTACACTTTGGAAAATATCACATATTAAATGAATTTAGAGTGAGGATTGAGACCAGGTCTGATGTACTCTTTCCTCTACCACAGTCCCCTCCTGGGGCCCTCGTTTTCTCCAAGTAATGGGAGATGGTAGGTGGTTTCTAAGGGACCCTTCCAGCTCAGCCCTTCTGGGACTCTAAGAAACAAAAAAGGAGACAACACAGCTCTCAATTCGCCTCTATTCTAGCTGGGAAGATACGCTTTGCAACCTGGAAGCCCTCAGTGACTAGTCCACCTGGAGGGGAACGTGAATCAGCATGGGCTGGGGTGTGAAACCTTCATCTGATCCTATCAGACAGACACGTATTGGGCACCACTGGTATGCGTCAGCACTGGACATGGGACAAGTGGGCATCAGGGCTATAGAGGGCATGTGACCGGCTGTCCGCAGAGAGCTCTTAGCAGGGAGCGGGCACACTGCCCCAATATCTTTATAAAACAAGATACACTATGGTAAGAGCCATACTGGAGCCTCAGCGGGTTGGAAGAAACAGGGACAAGAGCTTTTGAGGACTAGGCTGGTACAAAGAGGAGAAGGCACTCCTGCCGAACGGGTGACATGAACAAAGGCTTGAGGACTGAGCCGAGTGCAACACTGACTGGGCGGGGCCCTGAGCAGGGCTGAAGCTCACTGTGCTCTCAGGCTGGAAGGGCAGATGTTTGGCTTTTCTTGCTTCTGAGGAGAGCCGCTGTCTCACAAGCAAATGGGTCTCAGCTTACCTCCTCAAAGACATTTGCTAAGAATGAGATGTCTCTAACATGCCCACATTCTCCTCTTCTTTGCAGAATCCTCACCACCCTTCCCAATCCACAGTGCTTTAGGGACTCAGAGGTGGGCCACCCCCTGCCCCTCATGTCTTCTTGGCTCCTTTTGAGGAACTGAGACAGGCCCCTGTCTTCCCCATCAGACAGCCATGTCCCAAGGGCAGGGCCTGTGTCTCTGCTGTCTGGGGACCCTGAAGGGGTAGGTGATCTGTATTCTCCCACGCTCTTTGGCATGGTTTCACCCACAGCTCCCTGGCATTTTAGAGGAAAGGACTCAGCATTGCGGCTCACAGACCAGGAAGGCTGGAACATTAGCTTCATGGAATGTTAGGGATCCTCTAGCCCAGCATTTCCCAGCCGCCAGTCCACAGGAAGGCATAGGGCCAGGGCACATTCTCACTGGTCTGCACAATTTTTCCTCCCCCATATTTCTTACCTCCTAAACCTACAAACTGAAACACATCCAAGTGACTCCCAGCCTCCACGGACAGATCCAGGGAGTCTGGCTGGGACTCCTGAGAGGCTGGGGTGATGGTATGGCATTGTCTCAGCGTTGAACCCAAATCCTGTCCTCCTCTTCCAGCATGCTAAGGAGGCTGCAGAATCCCATCTGTCCTCCTCCCCTGCCTACAGACCCCAGGACAAGTCAAGGTTTGCCTCCTCTGCAGGGTTTTCATGAACTTTTTCCTCTGACTGATGTAGTCTTTCTCCTTGTCTGCCTGGCAAACTCCTATTCAACAGGGATCGCCTGTCCTGGGAATCTTTTCTTGACCAGTGTCCCTTCTCTGAGGCTCACTTGGTGACCCTGGTCTGTGATCCCATGGAACGCTACCCTCCTGTCTCACTGCACACACATTTACACACATACACCTTCACACACTCAACCTCTGTGATTGTGCAGGTCTATCTTCATTCTCTACCCCACCTTTCAGACTGTGAACTCCTTGAGGAAGGTGACCTAGGCTCCTCCGTCACCGTGTTCTTGGGGCCTGGCATGGAATCTAGCATCTGGCAGGTGCCCAGTCAATATTCATTGAACATATGAGGGGGTGGATAGATGGACAGATGGATGGTTGGATGTGTGGATGGTAGATGGATGAATGCATGGGTGAATGGGTGGATGGAATGGTTAAAAGAGGGTCTGGGCTTTACTATTTATACTCCAACATGAGGGTGGGAGCAAGTGTTTCTGGCTAAGGCCCACAAGGAGGTGTACGCACCCCTTTTTCTCCACCTCATGCTAGGTGAAAAGTATATCCTGTAATCAAAGTGGAAAGATTTAAGGATCATGTCCTTGTTACCCCGTCCCCTTTCTCTCCTTCAGTGGCCAAGGGGACAATTCTCGATCCACTCCCTTGGCTCTTTCGATGACTGTAGCCTCAATGTCCAGAACAGAATATGTGTCTATCTATGTGTGTGCAAATGGCAGGGTGTATGGGGCATGAAGAGGAACGTCAGGCTACACTCTCCTCCCAAGCTGGCTTCAGGCTGCCATCAGACCTTCGTCATCCCTCCCTGCCATCCAGTCCACCTCGTCAGTCATTTCATCTGCTGCAGACTTATCCCCTGAGGATGGACAGCCACTGTTAGAGGCTTGGGTGGATCACAGATATGAACAAACACTCACACATATTCACACATTTATATACATCCACATTTACTCATGCACACACACTCACATACATGCACTCACATGCTCACATGCAAATGCACACACTCGTGCACTCTTACATGTATACCCTGTATCTAATCAATTGGGAGTCAAACAGGGATCAAGGCACAGGGTCAGAAGCCCAATAATTTCACCATGCATTATTCCCTGGCGTACGTGAGACAGGAACAAGGCTGGATGTCCACCTGTTACTTGAGTTGAGGCAGAGTCACTGGAAAAAAATGTGGCCTTTTTAGTGCAGTGACCCAGCCCCAGCTTAAGGGATCAGGGGACATCAGCGTCTCACCAGCAGTTCCCTCATCTGCTCTCTGAGTCTCCACAGCAATGGCAGAAATTGCTCCAGTGGAGGACATAGTGAGATTAACAAGCATTATGTTTTTGGGTTTTCCGGATAGTTTTATTGAGGTATAATTTACATGGCAACCCTCATAATGTCAATGTCATCAATGATTCTCAGCAAATTCACAGAGTTGTGCAATCCTCACCACAATCTGGTTTTCGAGCATTTCCATCGCCCCATCCAGTTTCTCTGGTTGAGGAAGCTGCCATCCCTCCCTGGTTTACTGAGCATGTTCCTTGTAAATTGGAAGACCTTCTTTTGGGAGAGTAAGGAGGTTCTTAGTCATTGCTGCCTTAGTATGGGTTAATTTAATACACTGCTTTTATAAGTTTCTTTCATTCATTAAGCAAATATGTACTACTCTTTCTACCATTGGTGGGGCTGGTGAGACGCTGATGATCCCTGGGCCCCTCAGCCAGTGGCCGGGTCACTGCACTGAAAAGGCCACATCATTCTCCAGGGGCTCTGCCTGAACTCAGGGAAGAGGTAGACATCCTGCTCCCTTCCCACAGGCTACACTAGGGAATGCCACACTTGGGAGCAAGATAGGCATTAGGAGCCCATTCCCAATGAGCCGAAGTTTTATAGAGAGAATATAGTAGTTACACGACAACCACAAAACATATCAGAAAGCATATATGGGGTTAACAGAGGTACAAAGGGACAGGGTGCTGCAAACTTTAGAGGAGGTAGAGCCCTTTTCAGGGGACAGAAGGGACGGTGGAGTGACAAAGGCCCTGATGCAGGGTTCAGGGAGAGGGGAAGGGCCCAGGAAGATTGCTGGGGGATGGCAAGCTCGCTGGGACATTGTTGGGGGGGGCACTATCCTGGAGCTCCTCCTGTGAGCTCCATTCTGGGGGACCTGCTAGGCCAGACATTTTGGGGAGGAGGGGGTCAGATGCCCCTAGGTAGTCTGGCTGGCCCTTATAGATAGCAATTTCCACTCAAGAAGAGGCAGGGCAGAAGGCTCACCCAAACCCAGGCCAAGACAGGATCTGCCTCCAGATGCTGTCACAGGAGGCATGGACAGGGTTCCCTTGGCCCTGGCCAAGCCAGCCAATCCTCACCTCCTTCTTCCTTCACTTGTCTCTTTCTTCCAGGTCTTAGTTCCATCTCACTTTATTTTTTTCCTCTATCCCTTGCCCCAACCCCTGCTCTCATTTCCTCTTTCCACGGTGCAAGGGAATTTCGGCTGGAACAGCACACAGTGTGTGGTGGGCCTGGGGGGGCATCCAGAGGTCACTGGAGCTGGGAAGGCCCCAGGCAGGGGCTGAGCAATGTGTCACTGCCAGGGCTTGGCAGGGGCTGTGGCCCTGGGGGGTGGGAGCAAAGGAGCGCCTGGAAGGTGGGAGGTGGAGGGCAGAGCTGGGAGGCCTGGAGCTGCCAGAGGAGACCTGAGGTGGGAGTGGGGAGGACACCGGAGCTTAGAACAGACCTTCTCATTGGCCACTTCCTGTCCCAGCTCCCAGGGTCTTTCGTAGGGTCTTCTGGCTCTGATTTGGGAGGTACCACCCCAGCCAAGAATTCCTCTTTCTTTTTTCACTAAATTAAATAATAAAGGGACTGTGTCTATCTCTATTTCCATGTAGCCAAGTCTGAGCCTCGGCTGATCCTGGAAGCCAACCAGGTACGTGGAAAGAGGAAAAAGCCACAGCCAAGGAAAATGAAGCGATGCCTTGAAGGCCAGATGGAGGCCATGGGCAGGGATCTGCAGGAGGCCCTGGACTGAGGGGCCGAGGAAGGGGGGCTGTCTGGCCTCAGACAGACAGGGGAGAGCAAGTCGGGGGTGGGTCCCCCACAGTGGGCTGCTGGAGGGTGGTCAGCCCAGGTTGGAGTCAGAACACGGGCATGGGTGTCCCATCAGGGTAGAGCTCCCTAAGTCTCCTTGAAGGTCCCACAGAGAGCAGAGAGGTCTCCAAGTTTGGTGAGGGGTAGGAGGGAGGGGTGGTGGGCTGGTTTGGTTGGAGGAGGAGGTCAGTCAGGGCTTGAACCCATTCCCCAGCCTGGTACCCTCAGCTCTTCACCTTCCAGCCTTGAGCTCACGTTGGCCCACAGCTCCACTCCTCTTTTCTTCCACCCTGACTCCCATGTCCCCATGCCTGGCCGAGCCTCCCACTGAGGGCCATTAGGGCTGCACCCCAAGAAGGGAAATAGGGCAGTAGGGAGGAAGGACTCTGTCCATGAACTATTCCTGAGAAGACACACTCACTACTTTGCTGCTGGTAGCTGTTACTCTCGCCCTCCCCTCCCTCCATGCCCGCTGCTTCTGGCGTGGGTGGAAGCCCTGACAAAGAAAGCCCCCTAACCAATATGCTGTGTGTGCTCCAGGCTCCTCAGACCCTCTCTCACACCCCAGCCAGAGTCATGGTTCTACCTTCAAATTCCACCCTTGCCTCACAGCACGACCCACTGATGTTCCTCTCAGCTCTCAGGAAAAGTTATCAGGCATGGCCCCAAAGGTTCTGCCAGGTCCCTGATCAGCACCCCCTACCCCTGCAACACCGCATCCCATACCCCCACCTTGCCAGTGCTCTCATACCCACTCTGCCCCACTAATAACTTCCCCAGCATTCTGCACTCTCCCTGCCCTCACACCGCCTGCCCCCTCTGCCAGGATAGTACCCACTGACACGCACCTGGTTAATACCTCTCATCCCAGCACCAAGGACAGCGCCTGGCACAGAGCAGATGCCCACAAACAAGGATGAACTGGTGAGTCTTTCAGACTCTGCCCTCCTTCCCTTCCCTCAGGCCAGATTGGGCTTCTCATTCAATATTGCTCATGTTGTATTGAAATAAACTGACCATTTATGTAGGTGATAGGATTTTTGCATCCTCATTGATGTATTTTTCCCTCCCAGTATTTATCTTCAGCCCATGGCTTTCTCCCAGCTAAGCTGGACTGTGACGCATCAATGCCTCCGGAAAGGGCTGTTTCAATAGAAAGCAATAGACCTCTTAGAGTTCACAGCCTACCCTGAGTGGATGGAGGAAGTGACAGGATGCCCCAGCTTAGGATAAAGGGAGAGAAAGGAAGATGGGAGGAGAAGAGTGGAGGCTGGACAGGAAGACACTGCACTCGGAGAAACTGTGTATCCAGAGGTGGAATTGGCATCCTGAAAGGCATGGCCCCTTCTCAGTCTGCTCCATTCATTACCAACACCAGGAAGCCCGTGGGAACCCACAGGTGTAACTCCAAACTCCCTGATCTCCACTTGAGTGGGCCCCCTTGGAGGTCCTCCCTGATATCTGAACAGCACATGCTGTAGGCAGCAGCCAGAATGCTGCTGACTGACTAGGAAGAGAAAGGGAAAAGCCTCCCTCCATGTTCCATGTCTACTCATTCCACACCCAACTCACCCAAGGTGGAGCCCCACCATCACTGTGATATCACACGCATGCGGGACTCTGAAGGGGAAGTGGGACACAGGAGGCTATGGAAACAAAAGTTCCCCACACCCATTTCACACCTAACAGAACAGAGCCTGCTCAAGGCATTCCTTCCTGCAGGACAGCAGCAAAGACAGCACATCCATTTTTCGCATTGCTTTCATACTAGGCCAGGAGCCTTGGGCCGGCTGCATCCCCAGCTCTTAGCATGCTCCCTGGCACATTAGAAGTTCTCAATATATCTGAGGTAGTTATCCTCTTCCTCTCCCTTACTAACAAAACCTCACAGCTGTTCAGGGAAGCCATGAGATTCCTTAAAAATAGTCAGCTTTCTAGAATCCCTTGCAGCTAGGATGGCATTAAGACAGTGTTCTGGATAATAAAATACAAGTGGGACAACGAGATAAAATATCTGGTGGCTGGAGCTCCTGGGCAAGCTTGTTAAAGGGGCTAACTCAAATGACATGTTCCTTTTCCCCTTTCATCCATATTAGTGCCTGGAACATGGACACTTTGCGTTTCATCCATATTAGTGCCTGGAACATGGACACGAGGTTCAAGGTTCATGAGGTATGGAAACCAGCTTGCAATAATGATAACATATTTCATACCCTAAGGATAGCAAAGCAGAATGGTAGAGAAAGTATGGGTCTCTAATAGCATTGTGGAGGCCAAACTATGCCATCCTTGGATTACTTATCTTTGGACTTCTTGGTAGTGAGTGTATCAGTTAGCAATTGCCTCAACAGTGCTGCGGGACAAATCATCCCCAAAGTCAATGGTTTAAAATAACAATGACTTATTCCCACTCTTGCATCTGAGGATCAGCTGGTGTTGGCTCCAAGCTGCAGGCTGAGTCTGCCCCATGTGTCTCTCATCCTCCTAGGACTAGCATTTACCCAGAGCGTGTTCTTCCCATAATGAGAGTAGAATCCTGAGAGGTCAAGCTTAACAGTGCAAGCACATTTCAAGTACCTGCTTGCATCACATCTGCTGGCATCCCTTTTGCCAAAGCAAGTCACATAGATGAGCCCACGGAGTTGTGGGTTAGCAAAGTATACTCCACCTCTAATAGCAGGAACGAAAAATTCACATGGCAAAGACCACAGATGTAGAGAGGAGTGAAGAATTGCGGCCAGAAATTAGGAAATGCAGGCTGAATGAATAAATGCTGAGTGACCATTATGTACCAGGAACCATTTTAGGTGCTTTGTGCTTATTAGTTATCTCATTTAACCTTTGCAACAACTGACGTGAAGCAGGTTTTATTCTATTTACTTTGCAGATTAAAGAAAGTGATGGCTTAAAGAGGTTAAATATTTCATCTCTTGTGAAAGGTAGGGCTTTGACTCAATCCGGGTTCTGGCCAATCCAAGGCCAATTTCCATCTATTATATCATGTGCTCTAATTTTTTCCCCAGAATCTTCTGGGAAAAAGCAGGTGTCTGACTTTGGAATCTACACTGAATGGAATATTAGCTTAGTATCTTGTCTCTGAATATCTAGACTGCAGGCCAAGTAGATTCTAAGTTATGGGTGGGAGGTGGGTAAAGAAAGACTCTGAGAATCCAGACCGCATCATTTATAAGCAACAGAAACTTAGTCTGGCCAGTTTAGGCAGAGAAAGGTTATTCAATGTCCCCCAGAATTGCACAAAAGGGTAGAAAGACAGGCTCAAAAAAACAGATGAGAGTAGTGGAAGGCTGAAAAGCCAGGGCATAGCCCAAAGCACGTCACAGAAGGGGCTCTGAGATGCACCAGCTCTGAACACTGGGCACAACAGCTGGCACTGCTGCTGCTGCTCTCCCTCGAAACTGAAGGCTGCTGATGCTGAAGTGACCACCAGAATCATTCTTCCCTGTCCTGGGTTTGGTTTAGAGTCCAGGCAGGGAGTCTCCAGCCCTGATCAGATGCCCCCATCCCAGTCGCATGGGAAGTTAGCATCCAGCTTCAGCATCTGTAGCAGGAGTGGGAGTGGGAGGTGGCTGAGCCTATGCCTCTCCACAGCCTCTCAACAGGTTCAGCCAGCAATCAGCTGCTACTGTGGTCAGTGAGTGTATGAAGGAAAGGGAGGCCTGCCCTCTGGATTCCAGGCCTGTGCATACCCGTGTGGCACCCGCTGTGGGCAGCGGTGAGGCAATGCGGTACAGAGTTGGAACCTGAGCATCCTGCCCTCTGGGTCCTCACCCGGCCCAGGGGCACTTTTATGATGGTATTTCTCTCAAGAGCTCCCAGGCTGGTGAGAGAAAAGTCTCACCCATAGAAAACTTCTGGAGACATCAGAACAAGGGCAAGAAATGCATCTCGGCCTTTAAGTGCTGCTAAGAATTCAAGGAAGAGATTGGGGATGTCAGGGAGGGCTTGGCTGAGATGGGCCTTGGAAGAAGATGGTGTTTCAGGATGGAGGGATGAGGGAGGGCATTTTGCTGTGAGTGGAGTTGTGAGCAAGAGAAATTTCTGTCCCTTTAGCATCTCTTACTGAGATATGCCAGTGACTGGCCAGCTCTCTCCAGGGATAGGGGGTAAGGAATGACAGAGGGGGCCTGGGTTCATACCCCAGCCCAGCTAACCATGAGGTTTGCAGCTAGAGGCTTCTTAAGTGTTGGGAAGAGCACAGGCTTTCAATCTTGTTCCTGATTCTTCTGATTTTGAGAGCTGCTTCATGTATCTCTGAGCCTCAGTATCCCCATCTTTAAAGTAAGCATAATAGTAGTGCCTCCCCTGGGCCTGCTGGGAGTGTTACAGTGAGGTAAGGGATATAAAAGGCTTAGGACATGGTCAGGCACATAAAAGCACATCTTATAGCCAGTGTGGCTGCTGCTTCTGGCAACGACACAGCAAGGTCAGAAAAGTGCCCAGCATGCAGGCAGGGTCCATAGTGGGCACCAGTGCATGTTTTCCTTCCCTATTCCCTGATTCCAGTGCTGTCCCTCCCACCCAGGTGCACAGTGTCCTCAGCGCTGCCCCTACCCAGGAATCCCTCAGCTCTCTGATCTTGGAGCATGTAATGAAGGGTCTGTGGGAGGACAGAGAGTGCAGGAAGTGTGGGCACCCTCAGCCTCACCTCCCCTTGTGTCCTGCAAAGTGTGATAGAGGCTCCTGGTCACTCACTCAGCCAGGAGGTGCTCCCTACAACCTCCTGGGTCTGACTGGGAGCTCTCTGAGGTGAGCCATGCCGCGTTACCTGGATGGGCACAGGGCTGGGGGTGGAAGGACAGTGGAGGGCACAGACTACAGCCTTACCCAGAATGGGCCTCCATCCCCCACTCACCTTCTCTCCACCCCACACACCCCCAAGGTAGAATGGGGGCAAGGAGCTCCACGGCAGGACATAGAGGCTTAGAGGAGCTTCAGGTGCCCTTGACCTCAAAACACCGGGGCTGGGTCAGCTGGACTGCCCTGAGCTTTGAGGGGAGGGAGCAGTGTCCCTGTTCTTACACCTTCAGCCAGGCACAGCTCACACCACTAGTTCCTGGGGTCAGGGTCTGGATACTTTTCTCCCTCCAGCCCCGCAGGTCCAGGCTCCGGGCTGCCCTTTCTTCCCTCCCAGCCAACCTACCGAGCAGCCCTGGGCCAGCCCCAGCTGCCGCTCCCCTCCCCGCCTCCCGTCCCCAGCACAGAAGCCCTGTCAAGGATCACTGCAAAGCACCACGTGGAGATCTAATCTGGGGCGGGGGCGCCGAGCTGAGGCGGGGTGGAAGGGGTCGACGAGAGGAGGAAATTAATGATTAAATAATGGGTTCCAAATGTAGCGGCTCCGAGTGAAATCCCCAGCCGCAAGCCGGCAGGCTGCACGCTCTCGGCCCGGCTCCAGGAGCCCCGAGGAGGCCCAAGTAGGCGGCGGAGATGCTGGTGGCGGCGGGCAGGCGGCTCCCCCTAGGCCCGGTCAAACAGTCCTGGCCAGGACGCGGGGTCACCGGGTTGCCTGTGGGGCCCTGGTGATTCCTGATGACAGGTGGGAGCCCTGCCACTTGGAGCATGCCTGCCGCAGAGCAGGGACCCACCGGGGGTACACGGCAGTAGGGGCTGAACGGGCAGTGAGGAAGTCTTGGCTGGCAGGGCTGCAGACACTCTTGGCCTCCATGCCTGGCACCCACTCCCCAATTCATTCCACCACTTCATTGTTCTGGCTACCCTGAGCCTCAGCTCTTCCTAGAGCAAGTCCCCAGAAAGAATCTGAGGAGAGGGGAGACCTTCCAAGACCACCAGTCCTACCCTGAACCTTCCCCCATGAGCATACACCCCTTCCTATGTGGAACTGTGACGCTTGCCCGATATGTGGGTGAGACAGTCCCCTACGATGAAACTTTGGTCTTATCTACAGCAGATTCCTTTCATTGTGCCTCAGTTTCCCTCTGAACACTGAGGGCTGGGATTCCTTTGTAGCATTCCCTGGAAGCTAGGATTGTTTTGTATGCATTTTTCTCTCTGACCAGTCGGGAAGGTGTGTGAGCCAGCCCCTGGACTCTACAGAGGTTTCTACTAGAGAGTTCTGCCCTGGGCTCTTGACACACCTCCTGCGTGTGAGGGGAGGGCCCAGGTCTGGGAAGCTGGGGACAAGTATCTTGGCCCCATTGCTCCTTTCCTCCTCCTCTGGAACCCTGCTTGGAGCCTGAAATTTTCCACACTGAGCCTTTGGCTGCGGACGCTGGAACTTTTGCAATTTCCTGACTTGAAAACTGCTCCCCCACCCCTACACCCTCCACCACGTTCCCGTAGGTCTTGTGGGGGTGGTCACCTCAGCAGGGGCCCAGAGCCCAGGCTGTAGGGAGAGCATGCATCTAGGCCTTTGGCTGTGATGTTGAAAGGTGCACTCTTCGGCTGGAAGCTCCCATGCCACTGTCTGTCATTGTCTGCCTGTCTTACCCCAGACCTCCCAGGAGAATGACTCACTTAAAGGCCCAGGAGAGTGGGGATCAGTGGGGCAAGAGGGAAATCCATATCCAGGTAAATTGAATTGAATGATGGTAGTAGAATTTCTGTGTGTAAGTCCAACCATACAGAACAGATTCTACCCTGGAGTTGGGGCACTGTCCCCCTCCGAGACCAGGTGAGGAATGCTGAGAAATATGTGGGCCTGGGAAGGTGACACACAGCCCCGAAAAGCATTGGGTTTAGAGCCTGGGACCAGACCAGACTCAGAACAAATTGGAAGCCAAGGTGCCCAACTCTGCTCCTGGCCATTTCTATATTGCTGAGGCTGCCACAGTGGGCCCTGGCTGCTTCAAAATGCTGCATCTGGCCAGGGGACAGCTGCCAAGCCCGAGCCTGCAGGTAGAAGCCGAGAGGGAGCAGTTCTCATATGATTTGTGCAACAGTGCGGAGCCATGTCATTTTCCACTCCTGCAGCTCTCCAGAGCTATTCTGTATCATATCATCTGGGGGCTGATAGCCCAGACCCAGTCCAAGCCTGCCATGGGCCTTGTGTCACATCCTGCCGAGCTCTGGGGCACAAATCCTGGGTCACTTTTATGGACTTCCATTCTCTATCACTCTGGACAGGCAGGCCAAATAAACACCAGGCCCAATAAGCCTAGGGCCTTCCTCTCCCCGGGTCCCCCACACCGCCTCATCCAAAATCCACACACCATCAGGGATTGCGCGTGCAGAAGAATTTTAATAAAAACAAGCAATTCAGAAGGGCTGGCAGGGCAGCCAGGCTGGCCTTGTAGACTGGTGCTATTCCTGGCCTGGGAGGCCAGGAGGCTCTCCTAGGAACAAGCACTCCCAAGACAAATATGGAGCAACAAGCCGGCTTTGTTTTTTACCTTTGAAGACAGAGTGTCCAGGCTGGGACTTGGCCACACAGGACGAGAGGGGAGGGTCTCGGAGGGAGGGACTAAAGAGGGATCAGGGCTGACAGCAGTGTGTATTTGGGGCTCTGGTCCTTTTTGAAGAGGGTGGCCATTTAGGGTCAGTGTATGGAAGTAAGGGGGCAAAATTTTCATTAGCTTTGCCACCTGTCTGGTCTCAAGTTGTCACCTCACTCAACACCATTCCCCTGCTCGCCCACAGCTCAGTCAGGTGCCTGCTGTCCCCAACATGAAAGTCAGTCACTAAGGGCCCCGAGCCATGGCACAGATGGAGTAAAAACAAAAATCAAAAACAAAACTGAGAACTTTTAATCCCTTGGTGCTGTGGAAATGGATTTTTTCCAAAAGGAATTTAATTAAAGACAGAAAAAGACCAACATAAACCAAGAAATCGCACACACATGTGAAAAGTGCTGTGACAGCCCCATAGCCCTGGCCTGAGAAGAGAAGTCTGGGCACTGGGTTCCAGGGCCCCCAGAAGCCGGGCCTGTGGAAAGCAACCTTGTCTGCAGCAGTTTCAGAAGGCCATGGGGGTGGGGAGTCTCAGTCCTCCGCAAGGTGTGAGCCAGGCAGTCTCACGGCCCCAGTCAGGGAAGCTCAGCTCTCGGCGGCTGCCCGGTGACCATCCAGACTCAGTGGTCAGGATCCCTGCTTTCTGCCTTGAGACACGACCTTGCACTGCTCATGCACAGGGTGGTGAGGGTTGATGCTCCCTGGTACTCACCAAAGCTCACATAATAACATCTGCCCATTTTAGAGAAGTATCTGACCCTTCTCTCCAGTGGTTTTTCCTTTTCTTTCTTTTTTTTTTTTTAAGCAAAAATAGGTCTATTTTTGTGATTTTTAAAATTTGACAAAATTTTCTTAGTCCAAATCGATCCAGAAAATTGTGGTCAGCAACTCCCTCCCCTGTATGCAGCCACATCAAGGCTCTGGACGTGGTGAGCCTGCTCCTAACAGCTCTTCAGGCCCCTACGCCCTCCTTTCCGACCTGACTCCTGTCTTTTCAGATGCTGACAATGTGACTCATTTCTTTCCAAAGCCCTCACTTTGTCCCTTAATGTGTGGCTCAGCTCAGGCTGGTGGCTTCTCCTTGTCACCAGGATGCAAGATTCCCACAGCTACAGTGCTCCTGCCCCCTGGGGAGACGCCTGCCCCAGTTCAGCCTGACTCTGGGCCCTTGCGTCAGGGCACAGCCCCTCCCAGACAGCCCCCTTCTAGGCTTACAGGGCCTAAAAGGAGGTTAAATGAATGAATGAGTGAACGGTGAACCCGTTTGCAGTCTGCACACATAAAGGCCTTTCCCGAATGCCCAGGCAGAGCCACTCATTCTGTATTAACCCCTTTCTCATAACCCTTATTACACATTTCTCATATCAATATCCAATACTGATTATCTCCAGGCCTGCCTTGTGTACGCTGTATCCTCCTAACATTTAGAACCATGCCTGGCACATAGTACATGCTCAGTAAATGTCCATGGAATTAGCGACTGAGATTGATATGATTTCAATGTTTGTCCCCTCCAAACTTCCTGTTGAAATGTGATTCCTAGGTGGGGCCTGGGGGGAGGTGATTGGGTCATGGGCAGATCCCTCATGATTGGCTTAGTATCATTGCCTTGGTAATAGGTGAGTTCTTGCTCAATTAATTCTCATGTGATCTAGTTGTTTAGAAGGGTCGGAGACCACTCCCTTTCTCTCTCTCTTGCTCCCGCTCTCACCATGGGACATGCTGGCTTCCCTTCACCTTCCATCATGATTGGAAGTTTCCTGAGGCCTCACTAGAAGCAGTGGCTGGCACCATGCTTCCTATGCAGCTTGCAGAACCATGAGCCAATTAAACCTCTTTTCTTTATAAGTTACTCAGCCTCAGGTATTCCTTTATAGCAACATAAGAGCGACTGACACAGAAATGCCACTTGGAGTTTTCTCAACCTGGGCTGTGATTCTCTTTCTTCCTTTTGTTTCTGCACCTCTCACATCTCAGTTTAAGCTTTTTCTTTCCTTTCTTCATCAAAATCATTCAAGATTTCCCTGGAAGCCTCTCTCTCTCCCCCCGCCCCCACCCCCCTTCTCTCTGTGTTTCTTTTCTGAGACAGAGTCTTGCTCTTTCACCCAGGCTGGAGTGCAGTGGCACAACCATGGCTTGGTTCACTGCAGCCTCAACCTTCCAGGCCCAAGTGATCCTCCTGTCTCAGCCTCCTGAGTAGCTGGGACTACAGGTATGCACCACCACACCTGGCTAATTTTTTTTATTTTTTGTAAAGACGAGGTCTCACTCTGTTGCCCAGGCTGATCTCGAACTCCTGGGCTCAAGCAATCTTCCTGCCTCAGCCTTACCATATCTGTCTCAAGATTCTGGGGTTGTAAGGGCCTCTGCCCTCTATTAGGCTTTGCCTTCTCAAAGGCAGTGGCCTTCCATTCTAATCTCCATCTCCTCTGTTGCAGCATAGTGCCCGGCACTCACAACTGTCCTATGAATAAATGTAGAAGAACCAACAGAATGCATGAACTAATGAGTGACTATTTTTCTCAGAGTTTTTGGAAATCTCACTGGCTATCTAATGGTCACTATTCATCAGAATTCCTCCCACTGTCACTTTTCTAGTTAATTTGTTCTTGCAGATCAGAATTAACTCCAAAGAAAAATTATTAACCCTGGGTGTTATAGACTTCTGGAAGATAACTCTTCTATCTTTTATCCACTTTCCGTCTCTGCCCCACAGAAGCCACATAGCAGTCAGTTTGGTATCAGTCAGCATAAGCAAAGTGATGATATGGTAACAAATAGCCCTCAGTATCAGTGACTTAACATAGCAGGTCTGGGTGACTCTCCTGGCAGGCTCTTCTGTGCAATGTCTTAACATGGCCCCTCCACATCAGCAGGTGCCTACACAGCTGCTGCAACAAGACAGAGGTGGAGAGCTGAGCATGGCCAGGCAAGTTTGATTAACCAGAGGGGCACACAACACTTCTGCTCACATATCTTCAGTCAAAGCAAGCCACATGGTCCCTCTTAATTCCTAAGGAATGGAGAAGTGCCACCTCCCATGTACCTAGAAGGTGGGGAGAGCAGATATTGGGCAACAGTTAGTGGTCCCTGCCACACTGGAATTGGGGTCAAACTCAGCCTGCAGAGACTGGTAGAGGTTCCAGCTGTGGCTGAGGAGATGAGAAACAGAACAATGGAAAGAACCCCACCCTGGATCTCAACCAGGACTTGGACTTCTCAGTCACACTAATTACCATACCAGTCACTTCCTATGATTTTTGCCAGGAGCTCTGCCGGGAGCCCTGAGTAATCACAGCTTCACAGTTACCATCAGGGCAAGCTTTTTCAAACTTCCCTCAGGCAGCAGATTTCAGCTCAGGTCCCTGGGCCTGGGGCCTGAGCATCTTCCTCTGAGGGCCTCTCATTCAAACCTTGTCCCTGTCGAAGGGACACTCCAGGGAAGAGTGACTAGAAGGAGATGGTCTGCTGAGTTGAGTCCGCTGCCACAGCTTCACCCCTGCTGCAGCCCTTCCCAGCCCCTACCTCTTCCCTCCCCTATAACCCCCTGCCTGCAATTCCCACATCTCATGAAGTCTCTTCCCCTTTGGCTTTCTTGGCCAAACCCTTGGTCTGGGTTCCTCAGGTGCAATCTAGTGGCAGGGCCAGAGAGCCAATTTGATCTCTAGTTTAAAAAACAATAAGATGAAGAAAGGGGAACGGGAGAGGGAGGAGAAGGAGATTATTGAGCTCTCCAATTAGAGCAAGACTGGTTACAATTCTTTTTTTTTTTTTTCTTTTTTTTTGATATGGCATTTGCCAGAGCCCCTTAAGGGTCAGCTGCCTGGCTCTTTGATCCAGCAGTCCGTTGATTCTATCCTCATCAGCCCTGCCTCCTTGCTCAAGCCTCTCTGCTACCCCTCATCTTCCTCTCAAAATACCCAATGGCTCCTCCCCGCCACTCCTCAGGCACTAAGACTCCCACTCACACCAACAGACTCACTACGAGTCTGTCAACCTAATGCCTCAGATGAAACAGGGAGGCTGAGATCCCATGACTCTAGCCAGCTGCCTGCACCTTTTCACCCTCACTCCTGCTGATGCTGTGGAATGTGGCAAAGCTCCTCTACCATCCATGAATCCATGATCCTTTTACTTTTACTGGGATGCAGGCCATGGAAGTCTCACCTTTTGGCTCTGAATACCATATGCCCTGATTCTTAAATTTGCCCTCATGCCCAGAACATTCTTCTGTGCTCCAGACTGTCTTCAAGATGTTCTACTTGGAAACACCACAGCTACTTGTGTCTTAGCATGTCCAAAACTGAGCTCTCCATCTTGCCCCTATATCTCTTCCTCCCCCAGGCTCCTTATCCCTTTCACAGGCCTCTCTGAACCATGTCAGAAACCTGCAAGTGACCCTTGGTTCCCCTCCCTCACCTGCCATATCCATCCACTACCAGAACCTATGGATTCCACCTCCCAGATGTGTCCAGGATTCACTCACCTCACTTCTTTCCATCTCTACCACCACTACCCCTGTCTAAGCCTCCATCATCTCCTGCCTATGCTGCAACCCTACCCTGTCCTCCACTGAGCAGACAGGGTCATCTTCTTAAGGTATTGACTGGGTTATGCTACCACCTTGCTTAGAATCCTGCAGTAGGTTTTCAGCTGCTTCGTGATAAAGTTCAAACTCCTGACCATGGTTCTCAAGGCTGTGCATGGTCTGGTCCCACCCGCTCCCTCTAGTCTCACTCCTGCCATGTCAGCCACTTGTCATGTTTTTGAACAAGACAAGCTTTCTCCTATCTCTAGGCCTTTGCCCCTGTTGTTCTCTTGTCTGGAAGACTTTTTCCTCCATTTTTCCCCTGGTTGATGTCTTCTCATCTCAGGTCTCAGATAAAATATCCCCTCCTCAGAAGGCCCTTCCTGATCCACATTCTAAATGAGTTCTCTTGCTATTCCTCCACCTAGCACCTGGCACCTTCCCTTCGTAACACTGCTGAAATATGAAATGATGAATTTGTAGGTAGGTTATTTGACGTGTGGCTTTCCCAGCAGATTGCAAGCTCCAGCAGAAAGGGACCATGTCCGGCTAGGACCTGACTTTGTTCCCAGTGTCTTGGACAGTACTTGGTACACAGTCAGTGCTCAAGAAATGTTTGGTGAGTAAATAAATGAATCATTGGCCTTACAGATGAGAAAACAAAGGATTGGATTGGCCAGGTGACCCGCACAGTGTATGAATGACCAGAGTAAGACTACAACTCAGCTCTCCTGAGAGTCCCCTGTCTTCCCTCCTGCCCAAAACTACCACCATATTATTTATGCCACCATTGCTGTTACAATGAACAACACACTGGCTTCCAAGGATGGTGGCGCACTGGGGAAGAGAACACAGGTAGAGGCCATTCTACAAAGCCACCACACCTTCTCACTGCTCCAGCCTCCCAAGCCTCCCCCCTGTACCCCACACACTACTCATCATGGCCAATCGGCCTATGTAGAAGGGCTCCCCACTTGGCATGCCACTCCCTCCTTCTCTCCTCACTCATTCCTATCATTCTGGGTCCCATGGAAGGTTCACCTACTCCAGAAAGCCTTTCTTCAACTGCCGAGACAAGCCCCATGACACCCTTTCCTAGTGTTAAGCTGCTCTCTAGCTCTTTCATTGATGTAGAGTTCTCCCTCCTCTAAAGACTGTGAGCTTCCATGGATGGAGGCCACCCCTTTGTACCTCCTGGAATAATTCTTCCTCTGTTCCAGGCACTGTCTGAATGTCAGGGATACCAAAGGGAATAAGACAACATCTTTACTTTCATGGGAATTAGATTTTAGTGGGGGCAGACAATTGATAAGTGAATAAGTCAATGCATAATATAATTTCCTTTGGGGGTGATAAGGGGACACAGTGGTGTTGAGGAGGGCCTGATTTAGACCCAGCGTTCCTGGGAGGAGATTGGCATCATAGCAGTGACCTAAAGGGATGGGAAGGAACCAGAGTGTCCTGGCTGAAGGACATGGAAGGAGAGACCAGCCTTTGCCAGGAGAAAAGCCTCCTGCCTCTGACCCCAGGGATGCAGGGGTGGAGGAAGGGTCTGTGGGGAGGTCCCTAGGGCATGGGAGAAGACACTTGTAAGTAAGGATGCCTCCTTCCTGTGGGTAAGGATGGCTTCTTCCCTTGTTTCTGTCACAAGTGGCCTAATAACGCAGCGTTTCAGAGCAGGTGTTCAACATTGCCTCGTTCATTGATTTTTTCATGAGGTCCTTTCTTGATGCTTAGCCTAAATCCAGGCAGCTCCTACCCTGTTTAAATCTCTGAGTTTAATGGGCAGAGTTGCAGGGACCATTCTTCCTAAGCCAAAGAACTTCCTTTCTTCCATGCTGCTCCCATCTGCCTCTCTCTAGCATGGGTTATCTTTATAGAGCTTGAATCTTCTGCAGAAGTCCCATTTCCTCCCCGGGCTGGCCGAAAAAGAGCCTTAGGTCCCTGCCTCAGAAGCAGGTAAGAGGTCATCCCAGACAGATGCTGGCGCCCAGTCCAGCCTTTTGGGGCATCCTGGCCTTGCCCCATCTCCTTGGTAAATGCTGTTGCCTCCCAATCCTCCAGGCCCAGGGCTGCTGGCTGAGGCACATGTGGGTGAGTATGGTGTATTCACTGGAAGGAGTGTGCTGTTCATACAATTCCAGCCTGCAGGAGGGTGGAGGTCAGCACGAGGGCCTGAAACACTCTCTCCACTCAGAACAATTCCCAGTCCCACTGGCTTCCAGGCCTGTCCTGGAGGGACAGAGGGGAAAGGACTGGAGTGAGTCAAGAATGACTCAGAGGTGAAGACAGGGGCGATGCAGAGCAGACATTTGTGAAGTGCCTGAGCTAGAGATCAGGGTGTTGAGGAGGCCTGGCCCTCCTGTCTGGTTGCTGGGTGGGTCTTAGGCCCTTGGGAAGGGCACTGGGTCACCAAGAATGAGTGCTGATGGGCAGGAAGGGGCCCAGAACCCAAGGATCCTGGTGCTACTGGCCTGAAGAAACCTTGCAAGTGAAGTGGGGCCTCCCTGGGGCAGAAGACGAAGTTGGCATGCTCAGGTTGGGATAGTATTCTTCAAGGTTCTAGTTCATTGCTTACTTTTTAAAAGGTAAAACCCTCCTTCTCACCTTCGACTTTCAGCCTCATCTGCCTCAGCTTAGCTTTCTGGAACTATTTTTCTGCCACTGTCTATCAGGCCTCCCCATGCTGGGCCTCCACCACTGAGGACTCCACTTCCCCCTACCTCTCTCTTCTGGGTGTTCTCTTGCTCGCATGGCTTCAATAGCACAAGCACATGCATGCATACACACACATGCACGTACACACATGCACACATGCATGCACACATACACACATGCACACACACGCACACATATACACACACATACATGCACACACACACAGTCTGTGCTGAGTGGCCTTCTGACATACAGCACACACCACAAGCAGTCCCTAACTTATATCTGTAGGCTCCAGGGCCTTTTCATTGAACCACCATTCCCTCATCATCCTTGATGGGCAGGGCTCCACCAAGGCTGGAAACAGAAGGATGAACAGCATCAAAAAACAACGCTGAATGTGAGTGTGCTGGGATGGCCACAGGCCACATGCATCCTAGCTAGAGCCTTCCAGAGCAGGCCCTGAGACAAGGATGTAAGTGAAGTTGTCTATTTAAGAGGTATTTCCAGAAGTGGGGACCTGAGACAAGGAAGGGAGGGCCATCAGTGGGTGCCCTAACAAGACAGTTACCACTGTAGGCAACTACAGTTTAGAATCTGACTAGAGACTATCCAGGGACCAACATAAGACCCCTGCTCAGTCATTTTACCCAAGAATGAGGAGCTGGGTATGTATTGGTTGAAGCTGTTTGTAGGGAATGTTAACATACCCATACTTCTAGCCCGCTGTATGAAGGACAAAGCTACCAGTGACCAGAGAAACCCCTCTGGAAAATAAATATGGGGGCTGGTACTTGGAAATTGAGCCAGAATGCACTAAGATGGAAAGAGCAAGAGGATATGGGCACAGACAGCATCTGTTAAAATTTACCAAGGGATTTGTTTAAAGGAGGCAGAGATAAGGAATGGCTTCATATAGGAGTTAAATTTGAGGTGGACCAAGTAGGTTGGGCAAGGTTTTGAAAACCAGAAGTAAGAGTAGGGAAAAGCAAAGAGAGGCATTCAAGGAGAGAGAAACAGCAAGATCAAGGCCATGGAAGGAGACCACATGAACACTGGGATCTTAGAATGAACTGTGGGTAGAGATATTTTGTGAGGTGATGTATAATCTGTGGGAAGTATGAGGAGACCAGAGCTCTACGCATGGGTAGGAAGTAGAGTACTCACTGTGATGAGATCCAGGCAGGTTTCAGGAGAAAGATGATGAGTAGGGATGTGAGTACATTGAATTTGAGGTCCCTGTTAGTCATCCATGTACAGATGTCTGGTAGGTGATTGTACACAGGGGTCTGAAGTTGGAGTGGGAGGACTGAGCTGGAAATGGAAATTCAAGAGTCACCTGCTTAGAGGTGGAGGTCAAAGCTAAGGGACTGGTGAGCCCACCAGGAGGAAAAGGAGCAAAAGGAGAGAAGAGTCTAGGGGAAGATGAGGGAAGTGGAAAAATACCTTCACTTTAGATATGAAAAGGAGAAAGAGATGGAAAGTAAAGACATAGATGAAGAATGGACAGAACTCAGGAAGCCAACAGAGGAAGTTTCTAACAAAGGAGTCAAGGAACAAGAGGAAATCCTGCCAAAGCCAAGGTGGATAGGGGCCATAGATGTAACAGTTAGAGGGTCTACTGAAGACCAGAGCAGAGGTGTATATATATATACACATACATAAAATGAGGGAACACCTGGACTATGGTATCTATCAAATTTAGGATTAAAGCCTGCCACTGCTAGTAACTAGCTGTGTGATCTTGGAAAAAAATCACTTAACCTCTCTGAAGCTTTGTTCCCTCACCTGTAAAAGTGAGAATAGTAATACCACCTTTAGGGTTGCACTGCGGATTAATGGGATGATGCTTACACAGAGTTCAGCAGAATGCCTAAGTTATCATTTAAAAACATCAAGTTTCTCTCTTTTTGTTGAATTTTCCATGATGTAAAAGAAGTTGGTTGAGCCCCCATGAATGTAAGCAGTTATGTTTTAAATGGTCTCATAGTATACAGGGGTTTCTCAAACTCAGAAATCAGGAAGCTTGAGTCTCAGTGCCCATGTGGAAACAAGAGACCAGACATGGGCGATGAAATATATTCCCCACCAAAAATATCAATGGTCCATGGAATTTATTTCCCTTCATAATTCCAGTATCGTGGGATATGATCTAAGTGCAAAAATGAAATCGAATAATATTCAATTGCCTACTTTCTCTGTCTATGATTTAGATGTGGGAAAAAAATCCTCTAAAATTTTTTAACCATTTGTCTGCCTTCTTGGAAGCTTGGGCTTCATGTTTGTGCTCCTCATAGGATCCTCAGGAAGAGCAGTTTTATCCCAGTGATATCCCTAAAATGTCTGGCAGAAGCAAACACAAAATCCTTGAATATTACGTGCTTAATCCATATAGCACTAGATTTCCATAAAGACCCTCTGAAGATGAAACTCGGAGGAAAAAAAAATCTGTAATTAACTAGTAGTTGCAGTAAACTCCTAAGAATTCTGATAATAGAACTATCGATAAATACTGTAAAATAAATGTGTCTTAATTATTAAAGACAAAAGAAAATATTAAATGTATGAAAAAACAAAAATGCCTTCTAAAAAGACCAGGTGAACCTTTAAATGAGCCAAGTGGAACTTCTAGAACAGAAAAGTAGACTCACCAAAATTAAAAACTCAGTGGGTGGGCATATTAAACACAGCCACAGAGATAATTAGTCAACTGGAAGACCATTTTGAGAATATTCCCCAAATTGCAGGACAGAAAGAAAAAGAGATGGAAATATAAATGGGAGTTTAATAAATGTTTCAGGAAGAAAGAGAAAGTACCAAATATAAATTTCTGAATGGAAAGAATAAAGAATGAGGAAGAGGCAATATTTAAAGAGATAACAGTTAAGAACTATCCATGTTCTTGATGAAAATCATGACTTCTCATATTCAAGAAATAAGAATTCCTAACAGGACAAATAAAAAGAAATCCACATCTAGACACTTCATAGTCTATTAAGTGTCAAGGAATTGCAGAACCCAACGGATAATAAAAGCAGCCAGTAGTAAAAGACAGATTACTCACAAAGGAAAAATATTTAAAAGTACAGACTTTTCATCAGCAATAAGAGAGGTCAGATGACAACTGGACCATCTTCAAAGTACTGAGAGAAAGCAACTGCCAACTAAAATTCCACACCCAGATAAAGTATAATTCAAAAGTGAGAATGAAATAATGAGATTTTCATAAGAACAGCAGACGCATACTTGCAGGCCCTCACTGAAAAGCCTACTAATGGATGCTTTTCAGGAAAAAAGAACTGAACCCAGAGGTTAGTAGTGGGATGTGAGAAACTATAGTGAACAAAAAAGTTGGTAAACATATAGACAAATCTAAAGAAGTATTGATTCTATAAAACAAGAATTATCATGATGATTAATTTGGGGGCATTACGCGCATGGGAATGAAATACAATACTTTAAATACAATAAATATTTTGGCATGCAAAAGTTAGAAGATGCTTGGTCCTCGTACTGTTTAGAAAGAGTATAGATATATTGAATAACTTTGGACTTTGTTAAGCAGCAATGTAGACAAGGTAAGTTCCCATAGAACATAAACAAATATGTATTTTCCAAATAAGAGTGATCAAATGGAATATTAAGCCCTCCAATAATTCAAAAGAATAGAGAAACAGAAAAAAAACTAGAGAAATTGGAGAAAATAGAAAATCCAAAATAATATAATAAAATGAACCCAAATGAATTAATAATCACAGTAAGTGTAAATTAATTAAACTTTCCAGTTTAAAGGGAAAGATTTTCATCACTTTATATTGGTTACTTGAGAATACAGCTAAGTGCTTTTAGAAGATATATTGTAAATGTAAGAACACAGGAAAGTTAAAAACAAAAGATAAAAAAGTATATCTACTTGGCAAATATTTACCAAAAGAAAACTGGTATAGCTATATTTTTTCTACTTTGACCTGGGTGTACAACCTTTATTAGTGTCAAGTTTTTTTTCTTAACAATCACCTCATGCGTGTGGTTCAAATCAGTCATAGATAATTTGAGGCCATATTTCTTTATCATATGAACTATTACTGAGCCATGTTTTCACCATGCTGTGCTTACAAATTTGACTTTCTAATTTTTATTGAGATATATTTTACATACAGTTAATTGCACACTACAGCCTGATAAGTTTTGACCCATACATACACACTGGTGAAAACCACACCTCAGTCATGGTAGAGAATATTCCCATCACTTTTATGCCACCTTCTGGGGGGTCCTCCCCTCCTCCACCCCCAAAGCAAGCCACTGTTCTGCTTTCTATCATGTTAGTATTATCTGTTCTGGAACTTTCTATAAATGGAATTATATAGTATGTACTCTTTACACCTGACTTCTTTGATTTAAAGTGATGTGTTTGAGAGTCATCCACGCTGCTGCAGTCGTGGTTCATTCCTTTGTATTGCTGAGTAGTATTCCACTGTATGATTAGACCACAATTTTAAAAATCTATCTGTTGATAAACATTTGGTTGCTTTTACTTTGGGGTAATTATGAATAAGCTTCTGCAAATTATGACCAATCATGAACCATCTTTTTGCGGATCTGTGTTTTTATTTCTCTTGGGTAAATACCTGGAAGTGGTATTGCTGGTTATACATTAGGTATGTGTTTAACTTTATACAAAACTGCCAAACCGTTCTTCAAAATAGTCATCTCTCAGTATCCATGGGAGATTTGTTCCAGGATCCCCCTACCAAAATCCATGAATACTCAAGTTCCTTACATAAAATGGTGTAGTATTTGTATATAACCCATGCACATCCTTCCATGTATTTTAAATCATCTGTAGATAACGTAGAATGCCTAATCCAATGTAAATGCCACGCAAACAATTGTTATATGATATTGGTTGTTTATTTGTATTATTTTTATTGTTGTATTATTATCTGTTACTGGGTATTTTAATAATTTTTTTTATCTGTGGTTGGTTAAGTCCATGGATGTGGAACCCACAGAGGGCTGACTGTATTGATATCAGTATAAGTAGAATTGTTATTATTGTATTGTTTATCTTTTCATTATTGATTTGTATCTTTATTCTGGATATGAATCAGATAGATAGAGTTCTTCTAGTTTGTATCTTGCTTTTTAATTTTTCTAATAATATTTTTTGATAAGCAAATATTTTTTATTTTGATGAGCAAAAGTTATGTTTATAATTTTTTTAATTTTATGGTTAGTACTTTTTTTTGTCCAACCTAGGAAATCTTTTCCCCGAAGTCATAAAAATATTATCTCATGATTTCTTCTTGAAGCTTTATAGTTTTAGCTTTTACATTCTGATCTAATCCAGGTCTAATAAATTTTTGTGTTAGGAGTCAGCATTGAATTTTGTTTTCCATATGGCTATCCAGTTGTTCCAGCACTATTTGTTGAAAAGACTTTCCTTTTCCCATTGAATTGCATTGGTACCCTTGTGGAAGCTGCAATGCAACAAACAAAAAGTTATATTTTCCAGCTTCCCTTTGCAGCCAGATATGTCCAAGTAATTAAATAAGCTCTAGCCAGTAAGATATAAGTAGAAGTATTGTAGGAAACTTCCAGGAAAACCCTTTTAAGGGGCAGAGACGTTTCTTTATCTTTGCTTCCTGTTCTGTCCTGATACTTGAAAAGGGTGAAATGATTGGAGCTTCAGCATTGATCTTGGAATATGAGGTGTCCCTGAGAATGGAAGCCAGGGTAGTGAAGCAGAAAGATCCAAATAGTGTGGATTTCTTATGACTTCATGCACTGCTCTACTAACTGTGGGCTGCCTACCTTAGGCTTCTCTCATGGGCAAAGAGAAATAGTTTTTTCTTTAAGGCACTGAAGTTGCATCTCCAGTAGGCACTGCCAAATCAAACCTTAGCTAGAGTAATTGTTTAATAATATTTCTTCACCAATATACTATAAGACCCAATGAGGAAGAGACTGTTTCTAGTTTGTCCCCTCCTATATTCTGTAATTTGGTGCAGTGCTTATATAAATTGGATTTATGAAAAGAAAATAAAGAAGGGAAGGAAGGTAGGAGAAAAAGAAGGAAGAAATCAGGGGGAAATGTAGTCTATCTGTGGACTCTTAACTGTACGAATGATCATAATCCAAGAGTGTTTGTTAATGAACCAGTGTCAACCTGAAGACTATACTGGTTCCTGCCTTCCTCAACATTTTCATCAGTAGTTTGCATGAGAATAATGGCTGGACGCAAATCAATTTGACAGATGCTGTAACTGTTAACAGAAATAATTAGTACATTAGACTCTACAATCAGGAGCCAAAATATCTTAACTGGTTGGTAGGCAGAATAATGGCCCTCTCAAAATTGTCCATGTCCTAATCCCTGGAATCTAAGGATATGTTACCCTTCATGGTAAAAGGGACTTTGCAAGTATGATTATGTCAAGCATCTTGAGAAGGGAAAATGATCCTGGATTATCTGGGTGGGCCCAATGTAATCACAAGAATCCTTTGATACTGCTGTGGCTGGTCAATGGAAAAAAAAAAAAGAAAAAGAAAGAAAGAATCTTTTGAATAGTTACAGAAGGAGATGTGAGGGTAGAAGCAGAGTAGGAGAGAGGTTTGAAGATATTGTGCTACTGACTTTAAAGATGGAGGAAAGGGTCTTGAGCCAATGGATGCTAGCAACCTCTAGAAACTAAAGAAGACAAGGAAATTGGTTGTCTCTTAGAGCCTCCAGAGGAACGCAGCCCTGCCTAGGCCTAGATTTTAGCCCAGTGAAATCCATTTTTGACTTCTGATATGCAGGGCTACAAGATAATACATTTGTGTTGTGTGTTGTAATTTTTTTACAGCGGCTATAGGAAACTAATACTCTGGTTGAGATGATAAGGTGCATCTAGCAAAACTAAGTATTTTAAAATGTAGGTTTAGTACAAAATCCTATATTAAGGTCCAGGAAAATAACCAAATACAAATTGCCAGGACATAGAAGACTATTTCAGTTTGTAAAGGGCCTAAGAATTTTGATTGACTATAAGCTCAGTGGAAAACAGACAGACACAAAAATACTTGCAGTCTTGGAATGAAAAAATGCACCATGTCATCATTTAGGAAGGGCCCCATGGGTACCACGCCATCTCTGATACATGGCGCTAAGTTGTGGCTTCAATCCTTTAAACAGGATATTGACAAATAGAAGGGGCAGCGAGATGGGGAGGAATCTGAAATCCATGTTTCAAACAGAAGAAATGGGGCATGAAAATTTCATCAAAAGAAGAAAAGGTCTAAGAATACTTGCCATTTTATTAAAAATATATAACTTATGCTTTGTGCTCCCTAGGGTAGAACTCAAACCCAGAAGTACCGAGAGGTCTATTTTAGTTCCACATGAAGAAGAAATCTTTAACTGCTGAGGTGGCCCTGAGATGGGATTATTTCTTTGGGGGCAGGAATTCTGGGGTCCCTTCCCCTAAATGTATCTGAACATAACTTGGAGGTGTATTTTAAGGTCCCTCTGGCCCTCAGAGAATGTGTCCCTTGAATGGGAATGGGAAGTGTGTTAGGAATGGGGTTGTGGAAAGGAGGGGAATTACTTTACTTTCTCATCCAACCATCTCACCTCCACTCAAGCCACAATTACAAGAAGAAACCTGGACAGTTAGAATTCTGGCTTCATCTTGGAAAGCCCCAAATTTTGCTGATACAGGAAGAGGGGCTTGAGTTCTTGTCAGGCAATTCACGCCCACTCTCACCTCAAGTCTCTCCACCCCATCACCAAAGGAAAAATACAAACCAAAATAAAAACATGTTATTACATCAGTAGGGCTTCTCACAATCAGTCAAGTCTTAAAATTGAGGAAATATTGTATTTTCTGTTTTGTGCCAGTTCTCAAAAAAAAAAAAAATAGAGTGCCAAAATTAGCTGTGGTGTTCTATTCCTCACAGAGCCTCACTCCTGCTGATCATGGAGAATAAGGAATCCCCCTCCCCAACTCCTCCCTTCCTGGGGCACTCTGCACCCAATCCCCCAGGAACCCCAGCTTTGTGGGGGAAGCATGGGGGAACTCCTTTCCCAAAGCGAGACATGGCTCTTGACTTTAGGGAGGGCTCAGGACTCTGTCTCTTGCTGGGTCCCAGCCTTAACATCTGCATGGGGAGAGGTCAGATGAGGGACACAGATTAATGAGAGAGTAGACAGCCTATGCACAGTAGACAGCGCAAGAGAGTAAACAGCTCAAGAACCTCTTTCAGGTTCCAGGGAACAGGGGACCCTTGGGTACAAAGGATCTCAGGTTGGGGGGTGCTAAGAATGCATCCTTCCTGGAACAAACTTGAAGCCACAGATTAGTAGTTTCAGTCCTGCACATGGCACCCCCAACTATTGCCAACTTTAAGGGAATTTCCATCTCTCCTTTGCCCCTCAGTTCACCCTCCGCCCCTGCCCAATCCCCAGGATGGTGGGAAGGGAACTGTGGAAATTCCCTTTTTAGGAACATGGGGTAACAGAGAGCAGGATAAAGGGATACTGAGAACAGAAAAAGATCCTTCGACCCCCACCCACCCACTTTCATCCTCAGCCAGGGCACTCTCCGAAAGGAAGAGGGACTCACCAGACTCATCTGCAGGTGCTGAATTTTCCCAAGGCCTCTAGCCCACCCTCCTCCAGTCTCCCAGCCAGCCCATCCCACTGGGGAGTCAGCAGGCCCAGCCAACAGCTGGATTGTGCAATCAGAAGCCCAGATGTGGCTGGGACTCTGGCTTGCGGCAGCTGCCTCTGTCATCACCCAGGGCCTATGGCCTTCATTTCACCCTTGAGCTGTACTCTAGCAACATTCCTGTCCCCATCCCAGACAGGTCCCACCCAGCCACCATCCTCCTCCAGCAGCTCCAGGAAACACTTGGCGGCTGAGAATCAACAGCCTAGCTCGGCCACAATATGTCATGCGACCAGTGTGGGAGGCCTTACCCTACCTAGGCCTTAATAGGTATGAGCTAAAGCTTGAGCCCAAGTTCTCCAGTGAATTTTCTCCTCATTCCTGAGGTCTTTGAGTTTAGTGATGCATTTATTGCTCCCCACAGGAACTGGAAAAGATATAAAATTGCTTTTATTGCCCTTGGGTATTCTAAACAGGGCAAGGTCACATCCCGTTGTGCAGCTACCATGACCACTGTTTTCATAAAACCTTAGGTGTGGTCAATGTCATGCAATGCCATTGATTGTTTGGCCTCAGAGTTGGCAGCTGGTCAGACTTACAGTAGGCCTACTCACTCCTCCAGATAGGAGAGCCTGGCTCAGCAGATGCACTGTAATTATTTGCTAAACAGAAAAATAAAATGAAGATTCACAGAGATGGAGAGAATTGTCCAATGCCACACAGCAAATCAGCAGCAGAGATGGGATCAAAGCCCAGGTGTTAAGCCTTGCAATCAGATTCTTTTTCTCCATACCATACTCTCTGACTTCATAATGATAATGGTGGTAATAATGGTGATAGTACTGGTGGCTGATGATAATGGTAGTGGTCATGATGGTGATGGTGGTGGTGATGATGATGATGATGATGGAAATAGTGATGATAATATTGGTGGTGATGGTGGTGGAAATGGCAATGGTAATGGCGATGATGGTGGTAATGGTGGTGGTGATGATGGTGATGATCCTGCTGGTGGTGGTAGTGTTGATGGCAATAATAGTGGTCATGGTAGTGGTGATGATGTGGTTAGGTGATAGTGGTGATTATGGGAGGAATGGCGATGATACGGTGATGATGATGGTAATGATGATGGTTAAGGTGGTTATAGTATGATGATGGTGGAGATGGCGGTAATGATGGTGACACAGCCTTGATGTGATAATGAAGATAAATTGCCTTCTCTCAGGGAATTCTCTTTAGGAATACATATTTTTGGATTTAATTCTTCAACCTTGGAATGATTTGGAGTTTGCGTCCTCATTCAAATCTTCATTCAGCAGCAGAAACCAAGTGTTGTGTGGCTGCCATGAGAATGCCCTGTTGGAACTCCTGCTGTGATGAGCAGATGGACAGGTGGCTCCTGCTGCTGTCCTTATAGATCTGCCATATCACTTGTGCCAAGGCCCTGCTTCCCAAGGGCTACTCTGGCCAGTGACCAACCACAGCGAGGTGACTGGCTCAGGCACTCCCCGTCCGACTCCACATCATGGATGAAATTTTCTTAGAACTGCACTGCAGTCTCAGACTCTTCCTCCCCAGCCCTTCTTTCTTCCTTCTCTCCTCCATAGGAGTCCAACATGCAGTGCCATCTGAAGGCTGTGCTCCCCTTCTCTAGCTCCTTCTCTTTTATTCCTCACAGCCATTTCCCCCAACAAATCTCTTCCATGTCTGCTCATGTCTTGTTCTATGTTTTTCAGCAGAATCATATTAATAAGCCTGGGTCACCAAACTGAGTAATACCACTCTGGCAAAAATAAAAATAATGGCTAAAATATTTTAGCAATGAGAAGAATTTTCTTCTGTGACTTAGAAGCTGTATCTGAGGACAGTTCCAGGCAGGAATGTTTGTAAACTTTGAGAAGGAAATTTGAGTTTGCCTTTGGCTAATTAAATCCTTGCTAGGGATCTGACATACAGTGGAGAGAAGGGAGGAAGGTGGGGGATCCACAGGACAGAGATCCCCTAAGGGGAATAAGCTAGATATGTTTCAGGGATGGTGAGCGACTCAGAATGACAGGAGTGGAAGAGAGGAGGAGGGGAAGAGAAGCTAAAGCTGGGCAGAAGCGGGGAACCAGGTAAAGACCTTGCAGCCAGAGCAAAGACTTGAGATTTGATGAGACAAGAAAAGAGGTAACAGAAGACTTGTGAAGGGGTGGCAGTGGCATTGCAGAGGGGCAGGGTAAGAAGGGGTTTCAGGGAAGGTACCACTTGGGGGCTGTGGGGGTCATCCTGCCAAGCAACAAGGAGAGCTGGGATTGAAATGGTAGATGTGGCAGAAATGGAAAAGTGGTGCTGAGAAAGGATGGACCCATTTTGCTGCCTAACTGGATGTGGGAGGTAAAGAAGAGGAGCCATGTCCCAGGGGCTCAGCCTGGGAGGAGACTGGAGGCATCCCTGACATAAACAAGATGGCCGAAAGGAGTTACATTCTGGAGGGAAGACTGTGAATTGTTTTGGGTCATGATTCTCCAGTAGTCATGTCCACTGAGGACTTGAAAACATGAACCTAGAGCACAGAAAAGAAGCTTTAGACTGGGTTGTAGCGAGGGAGCAAATGAACTCTCCTCTAGGAGCCGTTGTGTGCACTATAGATTCCTAAATGGAGAAAGCAGAGTCTTAGAAAATAACCTGCCCCTGCTTTGCTGGCAGAGAGGTAGGAAATGGCGATGGAGAGGCAGGGAGCTGGAAGGTAACAAGACAGACAGGAAGGGCAGAATTCCCGGGAAACAAGGTTGAGGCAGACATTTGCAATCCTGAGGGCTGGATCCCACAACCCGCGTCCTTCCACAGCCTTCCAGCCTGAGGGGTGCCCATATTGGCCCTGAAGGAAATGGGGACAGGCATCTGGGGCTTCCCATGGACCTCAAAGAAACTCTCCTCTAGGGTCATGCCAGAACAGAAGGGTGACATTCTGGCAGAGCTCGGGACTGTGGAGCCTCCCATGGGGCAGCCTCCTACAGCCTGCTCCCGTGGTGCAGTGGACACGTCGCTCTCCTGGGGTCAGCGCTGGGGCGGCAGCAGCCTCTGTGTGAGGTAGTGGTGCTGGCATCTGCTTCCCTGGAACAGGCACTAGGAAAACAGATGACCTCAGGCTGAAAGCTCTTAGAATCATTGCTCAGAAGAGGGCAGAAAAGACAGGCTAAAAATACACGCAGACCCAGATTCCCTACCTCTCCAGAAAAATTCCAAGAGAGTGTCCTACAAATGCATCTGATGCAGGCCCCTGAAATCTGCTGTTTCCTCACCAGCCTATCCATCACTCTCTCCTCGGGGCTTACACACCTGCCTTCTACCCAGGCCTGGCTCCTCTCCATCTCCAGAGCAGGCTGGGCTCCTTCCTACCTCCCAAACTTTGTCTGCATTCTCCCCTCCCCGAAGCACTCTCTCTTCTCCTCGTGGTTTATCCTCAGCTTGTTCAGGACTCATATTCATCTCACAGATCACCTCTGACCTCTTCTGGGGAGGCTCCCAGGCTTCTAAGCTCCTTTTGACTAAGAACCTGAATCACACAATGTGCCACTGGATGGTCTATCTTTCCCTCAATTTCTGAAGGTTAGATTGATCTTCTTATAAAAGAATCTTCTTAATGGCAGTCGGGGGAGGAGCGTGAGGAATCTCTGCCTGGGCTTTGCCCTGTGCCTCCTCCCTTTGGTTGAACCTCTGGGGGCCCTGGTGAGATCTCACATCAGAAGCTGGATTTCGATTGCTGCCGTTGTAACTGACTGGGATTTTTATTCTTTAGTGGCAGGAATGAGGACACGTGGAGTCAAGGGTGTGTCTCATGGCTGACCATTCCTATACAACTGTACCTTTGCTCTTCCCCCAGGGCCCTCTCCTTCTCACTGCCTCAGTCCAGCTGTCTCACTCTGAATGTGGGAGCCTCTGAACTACAAAAGCCCTGGGCGTAAGCAAACAATCTGACCCCTAGCAGGTCTCTAAAAGTTGCAGGTCGATAGAAGGAAGGAAGGGAGAGATGGAGGGAGGGTGAGAGAAGAAAATTAGTTTTTAAATCTAAAACTTCGGGCAGAAAAATGGAAATGAGGAATAAATATGTAGACTTTCTATAGCACAATTTAGTGTGTAATTATAACATACAAACAGTACAGTGGCTCACAAAGACATCAGTCTATCTCAGTTTTAACAAAGTAACTACAGATTATGGTCAGAATAGTAAACATTAAATCTTTCAATATTCTGGAGAAGAGCCAGGATGCTTACCTCTACAGCTCAGCTTGACTCACAAAGGGAGGGAAGTCCTCCTAGCTTCTCTCCAACCTTGGGCATGGCAGGGGGAATGATCATGAACCTCCTCCTCATCTTCCTCCTATCTGGTCCTTGAGAAACGCGTTGCTCTAGTCAGAGCAGAATGCTCCCTTGACCAGGCTTTCTGAGAGTGGGCTCACTCAGATACCACCTTCCTTTCCCTCTCACTTCCTGGGACTCAGCCTTCCCAGGCAGGCACGACCACCTTCCTGCCCACTCTCGCTTACTGTGCTGTGTCACACCTCCCAGACACAAAAGCAGCCATGTCTTTCTCTGTTTGCCTGTGGGTAGGTGGATGGGACATTTCCAGCCTATAGCTAGGTGGAGACGTGGATGTTAGGGACTTGGGGACAGGAAACATCCCTTGGGCTTCCAGGAAAGGGTCTCTGGGGCCAGCCCAGCTTATCAGAGAAGTCCTGCTTCAGGGAGATACTGGGCACTCATCAGAGATTGAGCTACTACTGTGTTTCCCTTTTGGATTTTATCCTTATGCTGTGATTCCCTTGGCAGGAAACCTGGAAGGAAGGGAGGTGAGCAGCCAGATTCAGGCCCCAAACCTCCCTGGAGTCCCAACAAGAAGCCAGGGCAGCAGTAATTCAGTGAAGATGCTGAATATGCCGTTCTCAAGGTCACACTCCCCCCATATCCTGTACATTCTGTGAAATTCTGCCCACAAGGCAGTGGATTAAGGTGGAAAGGAAAGGCTAAGAGATAGGAGACCTACAATTCCATCTCTGCTCCTAAAGAAATCCTTCCTCCTCTGCGGCCTCAGTTTCCTCAATGTAGAATGAGACTCCTCACTTGAAGCAACTTTATGGCCAGAATTTAGTTTGATACTTACAACCTTGTGTGCAGGAGAGAAGCCGACATGATCCCAGGCGTTGGGATTTAAGGGTGGAGTGGTGGAGTTAGGAGAGGAAACTCACATGTGTGAACCAACTGGCGAAAAATGCAAGAGAGAGTTTGATTGAATGCCTGAGTTAGTGGATCAGACCAGCAGTGCCTGGCTTGTGGGCTGGAGCTCTTGCAAGAGATCTGTACATCCATATGCCCTACAAGCATCGACCGAAGGCTGAATAAATAATACAACTTGCACGTATATGTGGGACTATTTTTCAAATCATCAATGCTGCTGTCACAAATAAAATGCAGATTCATTTGAAAGTGGTCCTGAATGCAGACTCCCTTTGGGTTGCTATGCATTTTCTCAAGCAGCAGACCTTATAAAGACAATTGTTGTTTACAGGGACATAAAACAATATCTGGCCTTTTATTTAAAATACTCGAGGGAAAAAAGGCAGGGGTGGATGAAACTGGAAGGAGAGAATGTTAATAATTATTGAAGCTGGATGATGAGTATTTGGGGGATTATTATACTCTTGTCTCAACTTTTGTATGTTTGACATTTTCCATAATAAAATGTTTCTTTAAAAGTATAAATGCTCTTTCTTATGTGGTCATTCATGAAATCTTTTGACATTAAAAAAGGGATTATTTGTGGAAAGCTGCTCACAACACACTGTTGAGTGAAAAAACACAGTTATAAAGCCATATGTAAGTATGAGTCTAATTCGCTTTCTTTAAAACAGCAAGGGTGTGTGCGTGTGTGTGTGCAGGAAAAAACCTTCATTTTAGACCTTCACTAAGATGTGAATGGTGGTTAACCCTAAGTAGAGGAAATGGGGCAGGTTATATTTTCTTTATTTTGTTTATCTGTATTTCCAATGAACATACTTTCCTTTTGTGATCAGCCTGAAATATTTGTTAAGATTTATGGTAGGTATTCTTAATTCAATAAGGCTGGGAGTTGCTCCTTCAGGGAGATGGGCGTGGGTGCCAGACCTTGGGAAGCTGTCATGGTGGACAGCCTCACCCCGGATCTCAAGAATGGGTAGGATTTAGAAATCCCCAGGCGGGTGAGAAGGCGTGCTGGGCAACACATAAACCAGGACATCTTGTCTTGAGAGAGTGACTTTCCCAGGGCAGGGGTGAGCCCAAGGGCCAGGGGCTGCAGAGGGTGTAGAGCAGGGATGGAGGGGCTGGGTGGGGCAAGGTCTTGAAGGGCCAAAGGGTTCTGGGAAAAGAGGAGCCTGAATTTCTGGCTAAAAATTGCCCTGGGTATGTGTGTGAGTGTGCACGCGCATATTAGCTGTGGCATTCAGAGCAAGGAATAATTGGAAAAACATGGCCAATGCTGAGCCACACGCATTTGGGGACATGTGGCTCCAGTTCTAGGATTGTTTGTCATTCCTTATTTCAGGGAAGCAGGAAGACAAAAGATGAAGCATTGAACTAAACGAAGATTCAGATGACACCAAGGAGTCAACTTGAGACCAAGACCATCAGCTATCAAAAGACATCTTTTGGGGCCTCCACCCATCCCATGACCAATCACACTGTGAGGTTGTCCATATGTCCTGCCAGCTGCCGCCAGGACCAGTGCCTTAGCAACAGGAGCTTTTGCACGCTGGGAGAGGGAACTCTGGCACCTTCCCAAGGGTTTGCCGGAAGGGAGCTGGAGGGGCAGCAGGATGGAGAGGAAGAGGGCGCATTACAGGCAAACTGGAGACAATCCGGGAAACTCCCAGAAACCCCAGCAAAGACTGCAGAGAGAGCCTGGGGATCCACAGAGGCCTACATGACCTCAAGGCCCAGAGTCACTGGCTTCCAGAAGGCAGGGAAGTTGATGACATGCATCTCTGTACCTCTGTGTCCTTACCGGTAACTAAAGCAGAGGCCTGGGGGCCTGGTGGGGAAAGTGGCCCAGATCAGACCTCTAGGGGATCCAGAGAAGGCAGAAGACCTTAGAGGATTCAGAGCCTAGGCTGGGAAAGTAGTCTCTTGCTGGGAAGACCTGCAAAGGGATGGCCATTTGCAACCCTCTTGAGCAAGATGGTGGAAGGTGGACTTGTAAACTGCTAGCATGGGGCTTCCCTGAGTTCTCTTCACTCATTGCTACCTAGAAGACCTTGACTTCACCTAGGGTGCAGAGTCTTGAGGTTTTAAGACTGAATGCGACCTTACCCAACCTTGCTCTGCCCTTTGCCAGAACACTACATGTGGTACTTGACTCTGGAAAGACAACAAACGTGAGATTCCCTTCCCAGTCCTGCATCCCTAACTCCTTTCGCCTGGCTTATCTCCTCCTAGGAGGCCTGGGCGGCAGCCTTCCCCAGGAATGTAAGAGCTTCCTCTTTGCTCTTCCAGCCAAGTCCCTTTCCCCCTTCACTTAGCTAAAATAAGATTGGACTTTCTCAAAATGTTTACTAGGAAACTAAGAAATAAACAAAACAAAACCAAAGGCAAGTGATGGAGGTTGATGAACTATTACAGGATTGTAGAATCTAACAGCAATCTTCGGTCAAAGAACCCAACTCAAATCTCTCGGGATTTTTTTTAGAAGTGCTTCTTATTTCTTCTTTCTTATTTTATTATACTAGTCCTCATTCTCATTATGTTTTGCTAATCCTTTTGAGCACATGCTATGTGCCAAGCATTTTGCAACATGATCATTTATCGTTTTATCAGGCAAGGCATTGTGTACATATATCATTGTATCATGCTCAGACGGGTTAAATAATTCATCCACAGCTGTTCCCCTGGAAAGTGGCAGGGCTAGATGTTGAAACCAGGCTCTCTGACCTTAAAACTTATGTATTGATCACCCTCCACCCTGCCTCTCTTTGACTGTGTGTCCACACCCCTCCTTGTAACTCAAGGCATCTAATGTGAAGTGCCCTGCCAGGGACACATGTGAACCTTTGGACCCATTCCTGCTCCAGGTGAAATTCATGCAGAAGCTCCTGACACTGGTTATGAATAGTTTGCAACTTCAAGAAAACAAATAAATGCGATTGTCTTACATTTCCTTTACCTTTTCTTCTTATGGACTTCAGGTGCAGAGTTACAGTGTCTGCTCCATGATTCATCATCATTAGTTCACATGTGGATTTCCTTTATTTCTTATATATGTATTTGTTTATTTTTAAGAAAATAAACACCCACAGACCACCACCCATCTCAAGAAACAGAACATTACAGACAATTTACAACTACCTATTTTCCTCCCCAATCCTGTTGCCTGGCCCCATCTCCTTATCATTCTCTTGCTTTTTTAAAAAAAAACTCATTTAAACTTATATATGTATATATGTATTTTAAAACATAATTCTTTAGTTTTATTTGTTTTCAAACTTGTGGGATTAGAGCTGAGGGCCAGAACCTTCTGAAGTTTCTTTTTTTCATTCTAAATAATGTTTCATCCAAAATGTATGGATTCATCCATGTAAGTAGTACATGGATGTATACTTTTTTTCTTTTCCTTGTTCTTATAACTACAAATAGACATATAAGTTTAACAAGATTTTTCACCACCTTTGAATCTAAAATATCTTGCAGTAGCTCTAGAATTTAGCTCTTTTCTTAAAAGATACTTCAAAAAGTATCTTCAGTGTGCGTCTTTTGCAGCTGGTCATCTGAGCCCATGTATAACTGGGAATATTTTTATTATGTCATTCAAATGACAATTTGGGTATATACAAAAGTCTTAATTCAAAGGTTTTCCTTCAATATTTAAAAAATATTAATCCATTGTCTTTTTTACTCTGCTGCTGCTATTCAGAAGTCTGATGTCAATACAGCTCTTGCACCTTTGTAGTTGTTCAGTCCTTTCTCTAAAGAAGCTTTTAAAATGTTCTCTTCTTTCATATTCTTATATTTTACTGTAGTGTATTCAGGAGTGAGATTTTCCTTCTTTCTCCTGTTTGCACTTTATTGCACTTTATTGATCCATTTAATCTCATATTATTTATTTTTTAATTCTGGCAAACATTTCTCTATTATTTTATCAAATACTTTCTATATATTTTTATCTTCTTAATTCTTATGCTTTTATCTTCTTCTGGGACTCTTATTATCTGGATGTTAACACTTGCATACTCTATCTTCTTTAACTTTTTTTGTGTATGTTCTATTCCTTTATCCTTTCCTATCACCTTCTGGAAAGCTTCCTCAATCTGATCTTCCAATTCATTAATTTGTTCTCCGGCTGTATTCATACTATTATTTATTTGTGTATCATGTTCTTTATTTCAACTATTATATTTCTCTTATGTAATAATTCTACCGGGTACTTTTAAAATTTTTAAAATTGTCATTTCATAGTATTACATATATGGTGCTCCATTTCTGTAAATGTGTTTAGCTTATTTTAAATTTTCAATCCAGTTTTCTAATATTCCTACTTCAGAAGTAATGCGGTTTTACTCTTGAGGTGGTGGCATTCCCTCAGGGTTATTTGGGCACGTATTCTCCAAGGGTCTCAGTTACTGTCTTAAAATACATAGTAGAGAAGGGAAGGCCACACTGTAGTCATGGGGCCAAGACATTGAGACACTTGTTTACCATCATACTTCAAAGCAACTCCTCAGGCCAAAGGTTGGTGGAAAGAACAATCTCTCTGGATAGAAACCACTAGCCTAGGGTGAGAGAGGAAGAAGATAGAATATGCAGCTGAGCTTGTCCCAACCTGTCTTCCCCAACTACCTCCTCCAGAGGAGTAGGTGCATTGCCCAGACAATACCCCTACAGATACCTGCTCAAACTGCACGGCCACTGTCTCCAAAATCTGCCGTAAGAGGTACACAATGCTTGCCCTAATGTAATGTAGGGAAAAGGCAAGATCAGATCTTAAACCACTTTTCTCTCATTTAACCTCTCATTGTCACTATCAATCACCTTTCATTCAGGTTTTTACCAAAATACCAGTTCAAAGTACCTTTCAGTTTCCCTGGATATTTCTATTTTTTTTTCTTTGCTGGCGTGTGTGTGTTTGTGTGTGTGTGTGTGTGTGTGTGCACGCGTGTGTGTGGTGCTGGTGATGGTTGTGGTTTTGTTTCCTGGATTCTGCATTCTCCTTTATAGGTTCCCCTTTATAGAGGCTGATTCTTGGAGAGGGAGCCATTGTGCTGTGACTATTTGCACCTAGGTGGGAACCAGATACCCTCATCTTAACCATTTCTATGTCTATGTTCCTACAATCCTTTCATCTGGACATTCCCAGGAAACAGATTATCTCCGGTTCCTTTTTGATTTTTAAATGACATTCTACAACCCATCTAAAAAACTGAAACATACTTAATACAGAATGCTCTAAAAGTACACAAACACACAAAGCAAAAGCCATCTACAATTTTACTACTGTGAGATTTCTCCTATGAATTCAATGTGAATAGATCCTGTCAGAACCTTCAAGAGGGTTGTAATTGTGTACATGCCAGCCAGGTGTCTCAGATTCCTATTTCCTCACACCCACTACTAATACTGTATGTATTATTGATTTATTAAAAGTTTGCCAAGCTGGTGGTGGAAAAATGTGTAATTTCTTATTGCTATAACTTGTAGTCCCAGGTCTAAAGAATAGTTGGGCACTGTTCCATATGTGTACTGGATGTTTGCCCTTCTGTGAAATGCTCATTCTTACCCTTTGCCCAGTTTGCTTTGAGTTGTTTGATTTTTTTTCTTATTGATTTGTAGGGCTTCTTTATATATTACAAATATTGACTCTTGCTATATGTGTTTCATATATTTTCTTCTCTATGGAAAAATGATTTTTATTTAATTGTGTTAATGTTGTCTTTGAAAATAAAGATGTTTACACTTTTCATGTGGTTGAATCTTTCAATATTTTTCCTTTAAGACATCTGAGTTTCATGTGTTGCCTAGCAAGGTCTTTCCCACCCCATAATTAGAAAAAAAATGTCAAAGGATAAAATAAATATTTCTCCAGAGCAAATATGCAAATGGCCAATACTTATATGAAAAGATGCTCAACATCATTATCCATCAGGGAAATGTAAATCAAAACAGCAAGGAAATACCTCTACACACCCATGAAGATGACTATAATCAAAAGGTCAGATAACAGCATCTTCAATGAATGGTGCTGGGAAAACTGGATATCCTTATGCAGAAGAATGAAACTAGAACCTTATCTCTCACCACTTGCAAAAATCAACTCAAAACAGATTAAAGACTTAAATGTGAGACCTGTAACTGAAGCTACTAGAAGAAAACAGAAGAAAAGTACCGCATGACATTCGTCTGGGCAAGGACTTTTTAAACTAAGATCTCTAAAGCACAGGCAACAAAAGCAAAAATAGACAAATGGAATTGCATCAAACTAAAAAGCTGCATAGCAAAAGAAACTATCAACAGAGTGAAAAGACAATCTACATAATGGGAAAAATATTTGCAAACTATGCATCTCACAAGGAGTTAATATCCAGAATATGTAAGAAACTCAAAGAACGCAATAGCAAAAAAAAAAAAAAACAAATAATATGATTTTAAAATGGGCAAGTGATTTGAATAGACATTTCTCAAAAGAAGATATACAAATGCCTAGAAGGTATATGGAAAAATACTCAACATTACTAATCACCAAAGAAATGTGAATCAAAACCACCATGAGATACCATCTTATCCCAGTTAGAATGGCTTTTATCAAAAAGACAGAATGATAGATGTTGGCAAGGATGTGGTTAAAGGGAAAACCTTGTACACTGTCTGTGGAAATGTAAGTTAGTACAGTCATTATGGATAACAGTCCTCAAAAAATTAAAAATGGAACTATGATATGATCCAGCAATCCCACTACTGGGTATATATTCAAGGGAAATGAAATAAGTATGCTGAAGAGATATCTGCACTCCTGTATTCATTGCAGCACTATTCACAATAGCCAAGATATGGAATCAACCTAAGTGTCCATCAATGGATGAATGGATAAAGAAAACACGATGTCCATATACAATGGGATACTATTCAGCCATAAAAAGAATGAAATCCAGTCATTTGGGACCACATGGATGGACCTGAACGACATCATGTTCAGGGAAATAGGCTAAGCACAGAAGGCCAAATACTGCATGATCTCCCTCATATGTGAAATCTTAAAAAGCTGATCTTACAGAAGTAGAGAGTAGAATAGTGGTTACCAGAGGCTGAGGAGAGAGTAGTGGAGAGAAGATAATGGGGAGAGGTTGGCCAACAGGTTTAAAGTTGTGATTAGATAGGAGAAATAAGTTCTGGTATTCTATTGCATAGTAGGGTGACTATAGTGAATAGTAATGTACTGTATACTTCAAAATAGCTAGAAGAGAGGATTTTGAATGATCTCACCACAAAGAAATGACAAATGTTTGAGATGCTAGATATGCTAATTACCCTGATTTGATCACTACACAATGTATGTATCAAAATATCACACTGTACCACATAAATATGTACAACTCTTATGTGTTAATTAGAAACAAAATAAAACCTGTAAAAAATAAAAATAAATTTTACTTGTAAAAATAGGTTATATAATAACAAGTAGCGAAATTGGAACCTTTATACACTGCTGCAAAACAGTACAGCCATTTTGGGAAGAGTCTAGCAATTTCTTAAAAGAATAAACATAGAGTTACCATAGGACCCAGCAATTCCACTCCTACATAAATCCCCAAGAGAAATAAAACCAAATCTTCACGTGAACACACACAAATATTGTACACAAATGTTCATAACAGCAATATTCTTAATAACCAAAAAAATGGACACAACCCTCAAATTCCTTACACTAATGAATAAATAAATAAAATGTGGTGTATCCATATAATGAAACACAATTTGGCAATAAACAGGAGTACTGAGATATGCTACAACATGGATGAACCTAGAGAACATTATGATAAATGAAACAAGCCAATCACAAAAATACCACATATATGTTTTCATTTGTATGAAATGTCCAGAATAGGCAAATCTATGAGCAGGAAAGTAGACTAATGATTGCCTGGGGCTAGAGAAGTAATGTGGGGGGAAAATGATTTTTTCAGGGGAGTGATGGAAATGTTCTAAAACCAATTGTGGTGGTGGTTGTATAACAGCGAATATACTAAAAGCCATTGAATAGTACACTTTAAATGTGTGACTTGGATGGTATGTGAATTATATCTCAATAAAGCTATTTTTAAATGCTTATATTTTATTCTAATTTTATACAGTTTGCTCTATAAATCTTTAAACTATATGGAATTAATATTTTGTGTAGGATGTGAGAAAGGAATTTTATTTTTTTAAAGGATAGTTATTAGTCCCAACTCCATTTCTTTTTTGCATAAACTATTCATCTGGCACTGCCTTGAAATGAAATGTTTATTATATACTGATATGATTTGGCTATGTCTCCACCCAAATCTCATCTTGAATTGTAGTTCTCACAATCCCCATGTGTTGTGGGAGGGACCTGGTAGGAGGTAACTGAATCATGGGGGTGGTTACCTCCATGCTGTTCTCATGATAATGAGTGAATTCTCAGGAGATCTGATGGTTTTGTAAGGGGCTTTTTCCCCTTTTGCTTGACCCTTCTCCTTGCTGCCACCATGTGAAGAAGGACATGTTTGCTTCCCCTTCTGCTATGATTGTAAGTTTCCCGAGGCCTCCCTAGCCGTGCTGAACTGCGAGTCAATTAAACCTCTTTCCTTTATAAATTACCCGGTCTCGGGTATGTCTTTATTAGTAGCATGAGAATGGACTAATACATATACTAAATTTTCAAAAATATACATGAATCTGTTGCTAGACACCATTCTCTATTTCCTTGTCTATTTGTGCTTGCATCAATATTGCATAGTTTTGGTTAGTGTTGCTTTATAGAATATTTTGGTATCTGGCTGGACTCTTCTCAAACAAAATAACCTATGCCATTTTCTTTCATTTACTCTTTCAAATGAACTTTACAACCAATATGCTAAACCACATAATTTCAAAAAAGAAAAGAAAATTGGGACTTGATGGAATTCCATTGAATTTATTGGTTGATTTGGGGGAGTGTTGCCATCTTTGCAATAATGAATCTGTCTTTCCATTGAAACAAGTGTTTCATCATTCAGTGACATCTATGGTTTCCTTGCAGATGTTGAATATTTATTGTGAAGTTTATGATTTTTTTTTACTATTGCTAATGAGAAATAATTTAGTTTTATTTTCTAATGATTATTGACAACATATAGAAAAGCTATGTTTATCTTATATTTAGCTAACTTAGGATATCCTCATATTAATTATCATCGCTTTTCCATTTATTCTTTTGTATTTTTTAGTAGCTGTATTAACTAGGAATTTTTAATTTTAATTTTTTAAAAACAAAAAGCAAACATATTTGCTCTCAGAAAGAAAAATCCAGAGGAAAGACTGACATTAGGAAAATGTAGTTTTTCTCCATATCTCTCCTTGGCCTTTGGATCTGTAAGATTAATTCTCAGGCTACATGCACTTGGTCATGGCCATCACCAAATGACCTAAGGGCATGGAGTGTTTTAATTGGCTAGGCCTGGGTCACAGACTTCACTCTTTTGCTGAAAGAGGAGTTCCATCCAGATTACATGGAGCAAGACTGTATGAAGGAATGGATCCTCAAGTGAAATTGGTGAGGAAGAAGAAGCAACAGATGCTGGAGAGCCAATAGATATCCAATTTGGAGACAATCAAATGAAATGAAATTATGAAAATAGTGGTGTTGTTGCCTCTTCATTTCCCATATTTGTGCTACTCATTTTTTTTCTTATTGCATTGTCTAGGATGTTCAGAACTAAGCTGAAAAACTGTAGCAATAGTATTCCCTGACTTTATTGGTATTTTACCATTTTGGACAAAGTTATCTGGATAAACTTTGATACTCTTTACTAAGTAAGAAAATATCATTCTACGTCAAGCTGATTGAAAATTTTTAATTAAAAATAAATGATTATGCATTTGATGTCTTATTTGTGTGATACATTACATGAATACATTTCTTAACATTGAACCATTTCTGCATTTCTGTGAATTGCTTTTATAATGTGGGGCAGAGTGAACAGACTTTTTTTTAAATAAAAAGCAATGAGCAAGTTGTGACATTTTTCCATTATGGGTGAGCTCCTGGTTAAAGGAGAGAAATGTGGTGAGCATCTATGGAGGGCATTTGTGAGCCAAGTTTGAGGATATGGCAGCTGGCTCTGTTTTCAGACCCAGACTTTAGGTCTGTGCCCTTCCAGGACATGAGCCACAAGGATGGTAACCATGTTAGAAGCAGGCACCCAGGATAGCCCAATCCACCAACTGCTCCTTCCATATGACCTCTATTAGAATGGTCTTGGAGGTAACAGACAGGATTAAAGTCTGATGGAGGGGGAGAGGCACTCAGAAGACAGATCAGGACACTGGGACAGCCATCCTGTGACTTGCCCCAGTCACATAGGTTTTGAGCCCAGGCAGTCTGCCTGCAAAGCCTGAGCTCTCAGCCTCACTACCATATTGCCTTGAGGGCTGATCTATAATGCTCAGAAGAAAGACCATAAATATGAAAATGAAAGTTCAGGAAAAGAGGAAACAGTTTCCTTCCCCACGCCTACGTCTGACATTACCTGGGCCTGAAGCTTCTTCTGGTCCACAGAGACCTTTTCATCAGGATTGGCTACTTGGTCCCCTGCTGTCTAAAAGGGTTCTCAGGGATGGAGGTCTCCTATTCTCACACCACACACATTTTTTTCTAGAGATGGAGAGGTGTTAGGAAAATAAAAATTTTATGGAAATCCTAGTCAGTCCTCGACTGGGAAAGGATTGGCCCCATCACAATGTTCATGCAACTACCAGCTCTGTGTTCACAAACACTAGAATTGACATAAAAATGAATCAGAGTTGCTGGAAAATCCACAGGACTTTAGTAATCCCTGAAAAGTCTGACTTATCTGACATTTGCTGAAGAGAGATTGGGAAAATGTAGGACAAACTTCAGTAACAGCGAAAGCCAATGTGGGAAGCCCTTGGGTTAGCCGTCTCTTCCTACCAGAGAACAGTGTTGATTTTGTAGGACTGCAAAAAAGGAAAACAACTCTTTTTCATGTAAATAAGTATGTATCTTTTTGATGCATACTTCTTTAGTCCCTTCTGTGTGCAAGGCAGCCCACCAGCTGCTTAGTATATAGTGAAGAACACATGCCTGCTTTGACAGACTTTAGAGTTTAGTGAAAGAGACAGTCAACGAGAAAACAAATGTTAAATTCTGTTATGAAGGAAAGTAAAGAAAGAATGTGCTGTGGGAGAGAAGGAGAGAGGATACACACATGGAAGTGTCAAGGGTGAGAAAAGGGAGAGCAGCCACTACATAGGCAAATTCTTGGCAGCAGGAGAGCGTTTGGCTTCTCTGAAGAACTGGAAGACTCAACCATGTACAGGAGCATCCTGCGCAGGGGGCTACTTCTGTGAGAGGATGTTGAAGATGGATCAGGACCGAGTCATGCAGGCCCTTTTTTGACCTTGTTAAGGAGGATGGATTTTATTCCAAGTACAATGAAAACCCATAGAAAATGTTTTAGGCAGGTGAATAAAAAACCTAATTTTAAAAAATTGCTCAAACCTCTAGGTGTAAAATAGATTGAAGAGGGAAGCTTAGGAAATAGGAACACTGGTTAAAGGCAAATTCCCAGTTGAAAAATTAGAGGAGCTTGGACAAAATTGTGTCAGTGGAAATGGAGAGAAGTAAATGATCTAGAGATGTATTTTGGAGGGAGAATCAGCAAAACCTGCTAATGATGTAGACATTGTGGGAAATAAGAAAGAGGGGAGAATCCACAATTACTCCCAGGCTTCTGAATGGTGTGGCTTGTTGGGTGGTGTCGCTATCTTGAGATGGAAACGCTTGAGGGTGTGGTGAGTCTTCAAAGGATAAATCAGGAGTTCTACTTTAGGCATGCAGAAATTAAATATCTACCTTTTGAACTCCCTCTTCTCTAGGGCAACACACTAGGCCTCATCCACGGGGGACCTTAGTCTGGTGGCGGTGGCGTCAACCACCAAGGACTCTAGAGCACAGAAGAGCCCTGGAAAACCCTATCTCCTACTCTTTGGCCAAGCCCCGCAATAGCTGTTCTCCAACTGCCCCACAGTGCCCCAAGCACTGCTCCCCCATTGTTCCATCTGGACGGAAGGATTGGTTTGACCCTGGGAGTAGCTCTTGGCCTCCTCTTGAGAACTGGCTCCCAGAAACCTACTCCCGCTGCGTCAATCCTTTTCCTCTAAATGCTTCCCAGATTTCCAGATGGTCTCCAGATACCCCCGCACCCTCCCCTTGGGTACAATCATCATTCCCAGGGTCAGTTCAGCCCCTTGGATCCCTCAAACTTGGGAGAGTCATGAGTCCATCTGTCATCACCCACCCCCTGGGGACTGAGGAGGGCAGAGAGCCAGGCCAGTGGGCAGAGCACATCTGCATCTTCTTGCTCAAGCCCAACTCTTTTGGTTAACCTATGGGAGAGCCCAGCTGGGAAGTCTATAAAAAAAAAAAAACACACAAGAATTGTTAGTGTGAGCCTTCTACCCACACACGCCCCCTCCCCATCATCAAGCACATCTTGCTGATCATCCCAGACTTATCTCAAATGCCCCCTTCTTTGGGAAGCCTTCTTAATTCCCAGGCAGATCCATTCACTCTCTCTCCTCTACTTCCTTGACCCAACCACAGTGACAGCTCTGACCATGCTGTCCTGATCATGTAACAGCCTGGTTACTTGTCTCTTTCCCTTTAGATTGTGCTGTCTAATATAGCTTCGCTTAGCCACAGGGGAATGTTATGTTTAAAGTTAAATTAATTACAATTCAATAACATTAAAAACTCAATTATTCAACTGCCCTAGCCACATTTTAGTACACAGTAGCTACATGTAGCTAGAGGCTTCCATGTTAGACAATACAGATTGAGAACATTTTCTTCATCACAGAAAGTTCTATTGAACACAACTGCATTAGACTAATGACTCCCTGAAGACCAAACTGGCTCTTATTCATCTTTGTACTCCTGGCCCTCAGCATGGTACCTAGAAAATAGAATATGCTAAATATGTTGATTGAATGAGTAGAAGAGAGATTAAGTTCTGAATACTACATGTCAAGAGGAATACAGACAGCTCCATGAAGCATGTTCAAAAGTCAGGGACGAGGAGAAAATATGATGTCAGGGAAACGCAGAGACAACAACTCAGTTTGGGCCGGATGGTCTTTATCTGTCCTGAGACGCTAGAATGCTGATGCTGGTGGCCTCCAACAGCACCATTCTGTTGGTGCACAGCCACACAGGGCTTTTCATTCCTACCAGCCTCTCTTCCATGACACCTCTTTTCACCTCTCTTCCAATCTATGCCTCTCATTGTCTTTGAAGACTCCTCAGACGGCTCTCCTGGTCAACTTCAGCTGGTTCCACTCTCCATGGTCTACCCAACACCCCCCCCAGCATAGTTTTGAGCCTGCTGCAATCACTGTTCATTCTGTGTTCCTGTGCATATGTCTCATGTCCATGAGTCCTCTTTATTCTTTAGGCTGAGCAGTGGATCTACAAGGGTGAGGTTCCCTGAGACCTAGCTCACCAGGGAAGAAAATGTATTTTACTGATCAGAACAAACAGAAGTTCCCCAAAGGCTAGTGTCTGTTTTCTCATAAGGCAAAAGGCTTACAAGGGAAGGGCCATAGGTCTAACCTTATGGAATCAAATCAGCCAAAGTCTTGTCCACCATGGCAGACACAAAGCAGACATTTGAAAAAGCTTAAGATGACACTGTTTCTCCTCTGCAACCTCAAGTGAATTTTATGCAATGGTTTTTCTTAGGGCAAGTGGCTGCTCCTCCTAAGTGGGGAGCAGAGGCCTGAACCCTGAGGTTTTGAAGAAGCGGAATGTCCCATCCTCCATGGCCTCCTTGTTGCTGTTTTCCTGTATCAGCTTCTGTGTGGACACTTTGAGCCTCATCAGCTTCCCTTGCATTTTAAGAATCCATGGCAGATGGACTGGATAGTCATGCAGCTCTTGTTTGGCTCCCTAAGTGTTCCTAAATATCCCTAGAGCTATCCCTGCATTCACTGCTTCATAGAGATGCCTCTGCCATCAAAAGGGTTCTTTGGAGTCCTACTCTGACCCTGGGCCACTTCTCTGTGGCTGCTGGGCTTGTCTGGAGTTTACACACAACGTTCCTGTTAATAAAGCTCTGCTCTCCTCTTGGGGTCAGTTCAACTTCTTCCCTTATTAGAACCTAGGCCATAGACCCAAGGCCCAAGATGGTGGCCCCACTGATGGCAAGGTTGTGGAGGCGGATATGATATGTACAATGTCCTCAGTTATTCACCCTGTTCATCCATGGACTTTCAACACTGGCCTCTTTTACCCAAGCACTGTCCCTTAAAGGCAACTGCAGCTGCCTTCTTTGTTCCTTAAAAGAGAGTCTGGTCTTCAGAAGCTCATCTTTGGAGCCTGGAGAGTGGACACCTGCTGTGCCCCAGGTGCCTACTATGCCTTCTTACTGATTCTGCCAGTGAGAGGGCAGTCTCTCCTAATCGTGATTCTGAAGGTTCAACAGAGTTAAGCTGTACAGGAGCACACACCATCACTCTGAGAAGGCTTAATCTTGCACAGTGTGGTGTGAGAGGTGCTGGAAAAGCTTTCTGATCTTACAAGCTGTCTCAATATTTGCTCTTTACCTCCATTTCTCTGAGTTGAGGCATGCCTTACCCAACCCTTAGTTTTAAACAATAGTCTTCCCGCCTCTCCTGGGAGGTCACTGGGGTGGGTACATAGAGGTGCCTTTGTGGGTACCAGGTGGCTCTGTACCTGCTCCACAAAAGGGCAGTGGGACAGGTGGCCATCCTAAAGACTACCCCCTTTGCTCCTCCTCTGTCAGCTGACACATCTGAAAGTGGAGGCTGTCTTTCCCATGTTCAGGGCAAAGGAGGAGAAGAGCTGGAAGTCATCAGGGTGTTGTTTTTGCCAGTGGAGCCCTTGAAGTAGAGACAGGAGAAAAACAAACAAACTCATGTCATTTCCCCAGGGCCCTGAAAGAGGTCCCTTTCACAGCCAGGAATGTGACAGGGAGTGAAGTCAGCCAGGAGGCTGCCTGCAAAGGGAGGGGTGCAGGCAGCCCTGGGGCTGAGAGCAGGAGATGCAGATCCAGGAGATGGGGCTAGAGCTGGGGGGATCGGCTGCCACCCACACCCCCAAGGAAGATCAATGAGCCATCAGAAAGAGCTGTACCCCAAGGCTCAGAGGGCCCCTAAGCACGGAAAGACACACATCTGAGCAGCTACTTATAGTCTACTAAAGGAATCCAGCAGATGTTCCCTGGAGACCAGTTTTGTGGTATCCATGTAGCGATGACACAGATTGGCCACAACTGGCGGGGAGATCAATCATAGGAAGCAAAAGAAGGTCAGAAGTAGAGACAGGGAGAGCAAAGAGAGTCCCAGGGAAACAGAGTACCAGGGATGGAAAGCAGGTTCAGGCTGAGAAGCAGAGCTGGAGAGAGAGACCAAGCAGAAGAGGGTCAAGGTTGCGCTGAGCAAGCTCAGCTCCAGCACACCAAGAGGTCTCTGACAGGCCAGCACAGGCACCATTCTGCTATTGCTTCAAGAGGCTGGACTCCGTGGGGCATCCCCCCCATATCAGGGCCGGCAGCCCTGACTTCTGGCTTCATTCTCAGCTCAGCATGGCCCCCAGGAACCAGGGGAGAGGAGGTGAGGGGAAAATGGAGGATTTCCTTACATATTCTCCTTCCTCATCTGAACTGCATTTAGGGTTCCCTATATCACAGCCATGACCACACGACAGAGCTCTGGCCCCACCTGCTCCTTCTTGTTCCTCTGTCCCTTTGAGAGAGACTAAGGCATTCCTTGCCTCCAGCCCCTGCTTTGGGTCCCACCAGAATGAGGGGAGCTGCCCGGACTCTGCAGAGCAGGCATGCAGGCCTCATTCTACCACCAGCTGTGTTTGTAGCATTGAGCTCACCCTGAATGGTCAGGAACTCAGTGTGCCCATTTGTAGAAGAGGGAGACAAATCCTGACCTCTCACCCCACCGACATAGTGGGGACTAACATGAAACTACAGCTTCTCAGGCACCCAGGAAGCAAAAAAGGCAATTTGAAGTATTCCAGAAGAAATCCTCCCTTGGAGGATCTTCTGCTGAAAATGTTGAATCCTTCACCAGCCTAAGAGGATGGGAAGACAGAGCCCCCCAGATCAGACAGCCAGCGCATGCTCTGAACAGAGCCAGGACCCACTCTGCATACAGTCCCCAGCACACACCCCTCTGTTCCTGACACTCAGGTGGGCCAGAGGGAGGAGGGGCCTGGGCAGTGTAGGGCCCATCCTCAGGCAGCCTGGACCCTGGGCCCACAGCCTGCCAAAGGGTTCTACCTTGTGCCAGTATCCAACCAAACTTGTTCCTGAGTCTGAAGCTCTGCTGTGAGATCCTCTTAGCATCACTCTGAAGCCCAGGCCTGGACCTCGCTCTTAATCTCCTCCCAGAGGCCCAAGCTCTGCCCAGCTCCCAGATTAATGGCCAAAACCCCCTCCCTGTTCCACAACTCCCCACTGCCTCCCACCTACAGCTCTTCCAGACCTGGGCTCTCACTGGAAGGCGAGCCCCATGCAGGCTGGACCTTGGTGTCTCTTGTTCACAGATGTTCTCTTGTCCCAAGTCTCTCAAGCAGTGCTGGCACAATAGAGATGCTTGATATTTATTGAATGGATGAATGAATGAATGAATGTGCAAAGGCCTGAACTCACTATAAAAGGATGGGAGAGAAAAAGGAGCCCAAGAATGGATGGGAAACAGACAACGAAAGACACCATGGGGCAGACACCTGCAGTCCATCCTCTCTTCCCTCACCACGCATTGCAGCTTCATCGGTCTCTCTAAAACGAACCAATCCATCATACAGAGAACAAACTCCTCCCACCTGCCCAGGACCCATAGCTCCCTAGTGCCTGGTTGAACTTTCTGGCCTCTGCCTCTCTTCCTGGGTGTCCAGTGTCCGCCACAGCCTTGGGAATGGTCCCCGATCCTGTGGGATACAGACTCGCCAGCCATATGGACCTCAAAGGTTCCATCTGATGGCTCCTTTTTTGCCATCCTGGGGTGTGGGTACTCAGGGCTCACCCCTATTCTGGAAGTGGTCAAGAGGAAGGGAGGCCTGGCTGGACCCAGCTCCCAAAGCCCTGATGAATGTTGTCAAGGGAGTGGGTTTCTTTAGCCTCCCTCATCTATACACCCCTGCTCCTCCATGCTGGCTCCCTCTCTACTTCCTCAGCACCTCCTTCCACTTGCTGGATTCCCAGGGGGTCCAGATCCAAGGCCACCTCCTGCCTGCCGCCACCCAGAACATGAGGAGGCAGATATCGCTCATCCTTGGACTCCAGACGCCAGGGAAGGCCGGAACATTTTGTTCCTCCACAGCATTCCAAGATGGTCTGGGCTCCCAGGAATAGCCAGGCCCCCTCTCCCATCTCACTCTAATATCTCACCACCTCTCAAGCCTCTGGCTTTCAGTTGCCTGCTGGAATCTTGGCCTGAATCTCCACAAACCCTCCTTCTACCTCCCCTCAAGGCCATTTCATTCTCTTCCTCACTGTCAGGTCCCAAGAACTGCCACCTCCTCACCCAGGAGGCTCCTCCTGTCCTGTCACTCCCTTTCCCTGTCCCTGAAAAGTAGTCTGCTGGTTTAGACCTTTCAGAATAGTTCTTATGAAGCTGGAGCCCCAAAGCATAGGCCCCATTTGAGGGTATAATTTCTGTACTGTTAGCTTCACCCCAGCAGAGACAGGCCCATAAACCAGGCCCAAACTGAGACCATACTCTAATCAAAGACCAGCTATCCCTCAGGCTGTCCCCTAAGCCTGGCTCAGACCTCCCTGACCTGCACAATGATTGACCCTTAACTCTCACCTTCATTTGACCCCAGCTGTCCCCTCACAATGACCCCAAAAGCTCATCCAGCCAACTCTCAAGTGTGGGATGTGAGACACCTGAGAGACCAGATGTCTGAGGCCTCAGGGGACACCACTTCCCCTGGCTTGTATGAAGCTCATGGCAATACTCTGGGGTTCATCAAACTTCTTTCCCCACTAGAACCTAGGTCATTCTCATCAGCAGCCCCAAATAAGATGGCAGCTTCATCAATGCCAATGTTATGGAGGGTGATGCAGTGTTTACGATGTCCTTATCCCCTTTAATCAAACACTATCCCTTCCAGAGGGCTACAGTTGTGTCCCCTCCTAGGCCTCTCTGAGGACTCTACTACTGTGCAGCTCTCCTGAGGTCTCCAGGGATCTCTGAGCTCCCTCCCTTAACTCTCACCTGAATCTCCACCAGCACCCTGAATCTCTCCAAAATGTGGAAGTCACTTATTTCATACTTCTCTCATCCCATTCATGTGGGCTCCTGAAACTCCACTCCATGTGCTAAGTCACGGCCTGGCTGTCTGCATGTATTTGGGTCTCTGGTGAGATGGCTCCAAAGTGGGGCCTCAAAGGGTTGAAAAGGGAGTCCCAAGCAGATGTTGACTCCAGAATTTCCTGCGCAGTCCTGATACCCTCTGCTCCCACCCTCCCTGCTGCCCCTCTTGTCCATATGGTGACCATGGACTCTGGAGAGGAAGACCTGGAGCTTATCTGGAGGCACGAAGGGCACAGTGGGAGGAGCCTGATGCTCCTGTGGTCAGGTTCAGAGGGGAAGGCCATCCCCCAGGTGCCCAGAGTCCCAAACAGCTGCCTTTCTACCACCTTGACTTTTTCCTTCCCTTTCCCCAACTCCCTAAAAATGTGCTTACTGTGAATTTGTTTGAGGAATAGTATTTTTTTTAAATGCAAGGCCCTCTGCAAAGTCTAGGCCTTGTCCTCATGCATACTCTAGAGTTCCTGCACTTCCGACTGAGACCAGGACCCTGTGGGCACATGGGTGTCTGGAAGAGATAGTGGGTAGAGGAGCAGGGACCCCTGGGAGCCCATGGGGGTTGGGAGCATGGTGATTGTCTCTGGCTGGCTAGAGGAGGTGCTCCAGAAAAGGAATGAGGGCAGGTCAAAGACAAGAGCCTTTGTGGAAATTTTGCCCAGAGTTAGCTCTTGACTAAGGTTTCCTTCTCTTTCTCCTTTGCCCCTCCTCCTCTTTCTTTCCCTTCTCCATACTGACCTTGTATCGCTACTCTCCTGATCATAATAGAACTTCATCAAATTGCAGAAAGATGGGGCATCTCTACTGTTGGTTTTCACCAACTGCCTCTCTGTTTCTCTACTGTTTCTTCGTTTGCCAAGTATTGATCAAGACCCTGCAGTATACAAAGTGCTGGGCTCTTTCTATCTTCTTCCTCCATTTAAAAAAAAGGATTATGAAGTACAATCAGGATTCCAGCCCAAGATGAAATCTGACCAAGGGTTAGGCTGGTCCAGCCCAGGTATGGGTGGAACACAGAACTTGGTACGCAGAATGGAGACTAAATTCCAAGAGCCCCCTTTGAGTTAGACAGAATTCCAGGGAGCACCTGCTTCTCTGCAGCTCCAGCCTTTCTAATGAAGCTGCTGTCAACCAACCTCCCCCTTCTCTGTTCTGAAGTTGTTCCCACTCAGCAGCCAGGGAGATTTTTCAGAATACAAATCTGAGAATGTCATTGTCCTGCTTAAAATCCTTCCAGCGCTTTCAAGGGCTTTTAGGGTAAAGGTCAGCATCCTTAATGGAATACCAATTTCAGCACAATCCGTACCCTGAATGCCCTCCCATGTTATCTTGAGTTGGGCATCTTCTCACCTATTACAGCCACAATGGGTTTCAGGACCCTCCACGTCCAAGTTCCCTCCTCCCTCACTACCTTTGTTCCCCTGCCTACCACACTTTCCCAATCCTCACTCTCTTCTTGCTAACTCCTACCATTCATTCACATTTCAATGGAAGAGTTACCTCTTCAGAAAGAGACATCTTACCTGACCTTCAGGCAAAGTGAGTGCAGCTCATGTGCTCTCATCATTGCCCTTAGCATATGCTAAGTAATCATTTAAGTAACCATGGCTTCCTTCCCGTGACTATCACAAGCACCTCAAGAGGAAGGACCCTGTCTGTGTTCACTGCAGATATTGGGCTGACTCAACTAACCCCAGGCCTTCGTGGTGGAAGAGCTTGGAGAATACTATCCCATTTATCCCTTCCAATGGCCTGGCTAAAGCCTGTAGGCCATATTGGAGTAACTGGGATGAAGCCAAGCTGGGTTGGAAAAGACGCTCTAAGCACATTTAGAGCAGTGCTTCATTAGCCTGTACAGTGCCTTTGTGAGGTTAAGAAAAGATGCCCCTTCTTCAGGGAGGATGCAGCCCCACAGCAGAGCACAGGCCTGGTACATTTCAGTTCCCAGCCACCCATTGGTGCAAGCATCTTATTACAGGGTATGCCCTGATTAAGACCCAGGTACAGAAATAAACTCATTTTCAAGCCAATGAAAGGCACTGACCCATGTTCAGAAACTCTGCAGCTTTCTCAAGACCCAGTTGGGCCTCAAGAAGCTGTGTCCCCTTTTCCTCCACAGTGCCTTTGAGCCTCTTTCTGAGTTTTATTTCCTAGTCCGCAGACATCTCAGGGCCTTCCACAAGCCCTGGCCACTTAGTTCCTCGGTTCTTTTTAAATCAGGGATTTAAATCAGGGATTTTAAATCAGGGATTCGCCCTCCCCTACTCTCTCCCCAGTTCTGCTGACACTTGTCATGGGACTTGCTCAGAATCTTGTTTGAGGAGGGGCCTTTGCCATGCAGACAAGACATCCCAGCCCTACATACTTCACTGGGCTCCCAGTTGTGTCTCTGTGTTTAATTATGGGGGGTTCCCCATTCAGCCAGGGAGAAACACGGGTTGTACTTCCAGAGCAGGATCTTGGGGATGATCGGAGATGCAAGGGCTGCATCTAGCTGACCAGAAGGAGGGCCTGTGCTGGGTGGTAAAACACTGCAGCATTTCCAGTTCTCAGCAATGTCTGGATGACCGGTCAGTGAACAGCTGCACTGCAGCTGGGACAGCTCTGGCCCGCCCTGTCCTCCCCACGGCTGACCTCCACATGGCCCCGTAGATCACACTGCCCCCCTAAGCCAGCAGCCTGTCGTCAGCCTCTCATTTCACTCTCTCCCATCCTCCAGCACACAGTGCATTCTGTGGCTCACACCCTGAGAGTGGCTGGGTCCAAGCAAGCCACGGTGGGCTCCTCCCATCTTGGATGGCAGGTGTGATAAGCACTCCAATCCCCATCAAGCCTGAGCCTTTGGTCCCTGGAGGTCTTCCCCGACACATTGCCATAGTGGCCCCATCTGGCCATATGAGGCCATGGACTTACTCACTGTCCATGTCTCTCTCCCTAGGTGTGGGGCTCTCTCCAGGACAGAGGGAAAAGGATCCAGGGACCCAGATCTGTGGATGTGGATTCTGGCTTGAGAGGGTATGCACTTTGCCTCCTTCATCCTACAGCTGACCAATCTTGCTGTGTGTCCTTACATGTGTTTTCTCTCATTCTGTCTTCAAAGAAGCCAAATCAGTGCTCACAGCACAAGCCCTTCATCCTTCCACTTATACCCTGGCTCTGGTTCATCAATTCTTCTCAAGAAAGGAATTGGTGCCAGGAGTTCTAATCTTCTCAGCTCATAGAACAATTTGCTCAGAAAATCCCTCTTTGCTTGGGAGCTAGATTTTGGGGTTGGGTTTTAATGGGAAGGAGAAATCCAAACCAAGAGGCATGCTGGCCATAAAGATCTGGGCATATCTGTAGCTAGCATCATCAACTTACTGCCATTAAAACCATCATCTTCATCACCACCATCATTACCACCATAACTATAGTCTTCACAACCATTACCAACATTGCCACCATTCAATAAGCATCATCACTCTCATCATCACTGCCATCTTTATCACTATCTCCATTATCTCCACCATGATCACCATCACCATCACCATCATTGAGAGTCATCACCACCACCACCACAATCATCCCCACTTATAATCACTACTATTAAGATAACTACATTGCTTCTCAGCCTGTTGGCTAAGATCAAGTGTATTAACATCACCACAATCATTGCCACCATGATCACCATCTTCTATCATTGCCCCCTCACCACTAGTAATATCAACACCATAATCATCATATAGTCACCATCTCCTTCACAAACATCATCACCATTGTTATCACCAATCATCACTAGGATCACCATCACCACCACCTTCACAAGCATCATTATACATTGCCATCACCATCATCATGACTATTATCATCAGTACCATTGCTAGTATCAACACCCATTGCTACCACCCTTCATCAGCATCCGCATTGTCAATTATCCACTCTATTCAGTTGTTTTCTCTGACTAGTGGAGTCTATGAAGTTCAACTCTGTTCTGAAAATCTTCACAAAACACAATCCATGAGTTTAACACACGATTGGTTATTCAGGTTGAATTAGTGTAGCTTTTACTACATAACAAACAACCCCAATGCTTAGCATATTAAAACAACCACCATTTTATTTAGTGCATGATCTTTGGGTCAGCTGGGCAGTTCTGGGCTTCCTCGTGTGTCTGCAGTCAGCTAGCAACTGGATTCACAAAGATAGCCTCACTCACGTCTGACGGGCACCTCAATTTTCTTTCATGTGGTCTCTCATCCTCCAGAAGGCTACCTCAGGCTTCTGGTATCACAGCAGTATCATGTTCTAAGCTCAGCCAAGGGCAAGCCCCAATGCACAAGGGTGCTTTCCAAGCCTCTACTTGTGTCATGTTTGCTAATGTCCCATTGTCTAAAGTAGATAACATGGTCAACCCAGATTCAAAAGGTGGGGAAATAAACTTCATCTCATAATGGGAGGATCTACAAAGTCACATTGTAAGGGCATGGATTGAGGGAAGGGAAGAATTTATGGCCATTTTACAATCTACTACACAGGTGGGCAAAGACAAAACAGACCTGTTCTTTACAACCAGGAGCATACACTGTCTGAGAAGGTTCTGATTTAATGTGCTTTATTATCCAGAGGATGCCCTTGAAGTAGCTTCCAGAACTGGAGTAGCTTTCTATCCAGAGTCACTGGGTCTTTCTATTTTGCCTACTTAGACTTCCATGACACCCTCAACTTCCCACCTTCATGTTTTCTCTCCTAGAGTTCCTTCTTCCCTCACTTTCAACGATCTCTAAGTACCTTCCCTCTCTGAAGGGATCCCTTCTTTCCATCCGCATCCTCTAGGAATCCTCTCTATTTCTGTTGGGCACATCTTATGAACCTCTTCAGATTCTCTTGAACACTCAGACACTTGCTTCTCCTCAGCTGCTTCCACAGTCAACTGACTCCTTTCATACTTGCACGGTTCTGCCATCTGAGGTTGACCAGCTGCCCTGCCAGAACCGCAGACTCCTGCTGCATTTTAGACTTGGAAGAAGGAACAATATATATGGTGTGGGATCTAGCTTCCTAAGCCACTGCTGAAGGGGCCAAGTGATACAATCAGGGAGTTCAGGTGAGTGCCCTATAAGAGTAATTTCAAAAGAGAAAAGATGGAAGAGAACTTTAGATAAAATTCTCCCTCCTTTTCCCTTCTAATTGTTGGTTCCAAGGGCAAATGTTTTCTGAACAGCTTGTCCAGAGATATCCTTCCTGGCTGATGGGATGCATCTACATCTTGGACAGCGGTGTCTCTTTGCAACTTGTCAGAAAGCAACAGCCAGTGCAATAACATATCATCTTGCATTGTTCCCTACCCTTTACTGCCTCACTTCTACCTTGTTTCACTTTTGCTTCCATGGGTTTCCACTTCCAAAATAAAGCATTCACACTTAAGCACTGCTGCAGTCTCTATTTTCTAGGGAAACCAAAGATATCATCTTGAAGGAGTTCACAGCGAGAGATGTCTTGGGAGGAAGTCTAGGACTTCCACCCAAGTCACTTAGCCCTAGGTCACTTAGCCCTAGTGTCTAACTGAGAACAGCACACAACTGAGTAACTGTGCCTTTCGCAAGAGAAGACTCAGAATTGACAAAGATAGTTTGTGTTGTTAATGGGAGTAGGGGTGGTAGGACATCCCTTCCCCATGAAAAAGCTAGTAGCCCATTTCTAGGAGGCCAGGGCTTAGGGATAAGGATCCAGGAACTCATACCCCTATTGTTCTAGCTCCCTGGGAAAAGGATCTCATTTTTTTTCCTTTGTCCTGTCACAGGTGCTCAGATGTAGGTCCAAAGAGTCTTAGCTGTGCTAAATATTAGAACTGCTTTCTCAGCCTTGTGTCTCTGCCATGTGTCTGAGTACATGGACCTGAGACTTCTCAAGTCCAGAGGTTATCTGCTCATCAGACTGGCAGCTCCAGCTGACTAGGACTTTGACTCCTTGATCAGGGGAGGCTAGGTCAAGGAAGGAAAATATGTGAGTCCCCTTAAAATCCAGCCAGGATAGTAGAGGGCAGTCATGAGAACACATGTTCCTCTCTCATCTGATGGTCTCCACTTGCACGAGAGTCCTTCCCCCAGCTGTATCCTAGTCTTCCTCTCCTCACTCCTTCTTCCCAGGGTCATCTCTCATCAAAGAGCTTGCCATTGTCCTCCCCTCAGCCTTCCTTGCCAGAGATTAAGTCATATGCATAGAAATGCAGCCCCTTTTGGCCCTCTGTATGTGTCCATGAAACTGGATGACTGAATTTTCAACATGGTTGGGAGACAGAAAAATGCTAGCAAGTAATCCCACAAAGGAATTTATACAGTGTAAAAATGTTTTCGTTTGGAGAAATTTAAAGCCCCTCCCACTCAAATCACTTTGTATTTGGGTTTCCTGAAATTCCCAGTAAACCAGAAACAGGCCATGTAACACTTCAGTCCTCGTGTTTCAGGACTGAGCCTGAGTACACGTAGTACACATGTCCCTCTCCAGGCCTAGAGAGGAGTGGCAGGTCACTTAGCCCTAGCCTCTAACTGAGAACAGCACCAACTACCAAACCTGTCTCCTGAGTAGCTCTCCTGCCTTTAAAGATATCTGAGTCTAAAACAGAGGCAGGGAAAATATTACTGGCTGCCCATTTCTAGCTGTGGCCCAACCACTCTTTCAGGAAGTCTCCTTGCAGCTGACTCAAACCTTTATGGGTGTAGTTCAAGCTTGTTTCTACCTGACTTTTTACAGTGAATGTTGGAGCCCTGGTGCCATGCTATGTTCATTGGCGCTGGCTTTCAGGGGCACAGCAATATCTACAACACCAGGGCACAGAGTTTAGCCAACTCCTTGGAGATCTGGTTAGCACTGGGTGCTACTTTACATGCAGTGGTCTCAGAGAACTATGCAGGCAGGGCTGGGTTCTTCACTTTACCCTGCTGGGAATGCTCTCACCAGGCATGAGTGACCAGGCCCTCAGTTTCCAGTATTTTCTAAGGCAACTGCTGCTGACATGGGCTGCATCCCTATGGTCATGCAGCATCCCTGGAAGCGGAAACTCTTGTGTTCTTGGATCCATTATGAGATGCAGTCCATCTCCCAATGGTGTTGAATCATAAAATGCAGTATTCAAGACACAGTGAGGTTCTGCAATGCTCCTTCGCTGTTGAAAGCCCCTAGGATCTGATTGGTTTGGGATCAAGGGCAGACACTGGGATTCCTCCATTTGAGCCCTTGTTTCCCTTTTCTTTACTAATGGCTATCTTCAGCATGCAACAAAGACCTACGAACATTTTGTCTTTGCAAGCAAAACAGCAGGGGAAAGGGGATGGATGGAATGGAGCCCCTAATGAGCCTTTATAGTATGTGTGTTATCCTAGAAGGACCTCAAAATGGCCCAGTGATGCAGTCCTAGCCATCCCTATTTAGTCTCAGAGGTGGCCTTGGAAAAAGACCCCTTCTTTCTTTCTGGGAAGGAAGAAGAGGGAGGGAGAGAGGGTAAGGTCTTTGTTATCAGTCAGCCCCGGTTCAGCTCAGCAATGAGTGTTTCTCCAGCCTCCATCCACCTCTTCCCATGCAGGTAGGCTGTTTTATGGCTGTAAGTAGCAGGACATTCCATCTTCAGCTAGACAACATGGTGAGAGAAACTGATGATCTTGTTTTCTAAGAAGGTTCATCAGGGCTCCTGTTGCATGCTTCTGAGATGCTCTTGGCTTGTCCTCATCTGTGTCACGGCTTCATCCTCAGATGCTGCAGGCATTCTACCATCTCATCTAGGCATGGATACGACCAGAGGAAAGCAAAGGACTTGTTTTCCTGTGTCACTGTATCTCTGTCTTGGGTGTGAGAAAATATTTCCTCAAAGCCCCCAACAGACTCTTCTCATATTTCATTCCTAAATTGTTACAGGCAAGAGAATTATCGTGATCAGCTAAATTAGTTCAATCAGCTGAGACTCAGGGACCTCCCAAAGGTGCCTAAGAGGCTGTTCCAAATCCCTCCAGGGGTGTCTTCTCTGAGCTCCACCTGCACCAAACAGTGTTATGGAAAAATAAAGGCTGCCCTCCTGGCACCGTCCTGCCCAAGGGGCTCATAGTCCGAGGGGGTGTAAGACAAAAGTAGCAGAGCTAAGGCAACTGGCAAGGCAAGACCCCACCTCACTCACTCCTCTTCCCAAGCTTCAGCCACTGTGTTCTTTGGAGTCAGACAGGGAAGGCCCTAGGGAGAAAGTGGAGCCTCGGCTGGGCCTACAAGAAGGCATCTAATTGCAGAAAAGAAGCAGAGGCAGACCCAAGGTTGGACACTTGGGGGACAGTGTAGAACTGAGTAGGTTGGGTAGAAAGAGGGGACAATGAGATCAGGAAGGAAAGTGGAGGCAGATCTGAGAGGAAGGAAAGCTTAGTTGCGCTTGGGCAGGTTTCTTCCCTTCCCCAAACCAGAGTCCTCATAAAAGGTCTCCTCTCGGGAGGACATGTGGGGCAAGTGGACAGGAGGAGAAGCTGGGGACCCAAAGGCCAGAACAGGAGAAGAGAGCAGCCCAGAGGCTGGAGATGCCCTGCAGACTGCGCAGAAGCAGAGCTTCTCCTGTCCACCCCTCCTCCAGGGAGCCCCTGGCAGGGAAGGAGGCACCAGCACCCTTGAATTTACCTTCAGGTCCAAATGACAATTACAGTGGAGACAGGAAAACTTGGGAGAGTGTGCCCCCCACTGGTCAATGGGGACAGAACTGACTGCCAATGCAGGGCCCGAGGCCAGACTGGGAAGGCTTTCAGGCCTCCGTTCATCTCCCCCAGGAGCTGCGCAGGCTGGGGGAAGAACAGCAAGCGCCCAGGACATCTGCCTTCTGGGTCCTGGGAGGGACTGTGGGGCCTCTTCTGCTCTGGAATCAGCCTAGGCGCTCCTACTGCTGAGACCCTGGCCTTGCCTCTGCGGTCCGTCAGAGAGCCCAGGACAGACGGCCTCCGTGTCCACATGCCAAGGGCACCTCTCGGGAGTCTCTTTCCTTCCCCTGGCACTAGGATTGGCAAAGTTACAAGGATGCAGGGTTCATAGGGGAGAAGTGGGTCCTTCAGAGGGCAGGAGCCTAGAAGCCCTAAATGATCTTCTGAGGAAGGCATCCCAGTGAGGGGGCTGGGAAGGGCAGACTCCCAAAGATTTCCCAGCCCAGCTGGCTCCAAAAATGAGACTGAAGCTCCAGTCTCTCCCAGCCCAAATGGAGGGAGGGGTCCCTTCCATGCTGTGAGGAGCCTCACAAGGGAGGCTGGAGGTCAGGGTTTTCTGGCCTCTGGATTCCACTCTCCTGGGTGTTCAGGCTTATAAGGAAACCTAGGAGTTGAACGAATTCATTCCTTTCTCATTTACAGGAGAAATCACACCTTTTAAAAAGCTTTCCCCAGACCTTCCTAATACATAATGACGTTCTCCATCACCTCTTTCTTTCTCGCCTGAATCCCTCCCATTGCAGCTTAAACCTCTGGAGAAGAGTGACATGTTAGGCCAAAGGCCACAGAAGAAGAAAATATGACTCCCATCTTTGGGGACCCCCTGTCTGATGGTGCCTGTCCTGAAGAGACTTACTGCTTCTGGGGTAGACTGGTTAGGCCCTCCTCAAAGGAAAGAGTCCTGAAGCAGACAAATATACAAAGTAGAGCAGAAATCATAAACACATTTTATTTCTAAATAATTTTAAGACCACTGGCATTGTAGCAAATTGTAATATATTTCCAGAATCAACTCAAAGAGATTTTTTTTTATAGCAACATATGAAAAATGTCATTTAAATATCCACCAGCAGCTGCACCACATGTTGGGCTCTTAGGAAAACACTTTCATTCCTTTCATCAAAGTCCCTTGATTAATGTTCCACTTTTCTTTGACACTTTTTCCATAGTTTAAGAAAAAATTCAAAGCCTGTACTATTATCTGGAAGAAAATTAAACCGATAAGATTTAATGTCTGCTATATTCTACAGTCATGGCAAAAAAACAAAATATATAGTTTAGGCCCTGGGCCAAATGCAAATGAATATTAAGCAGAGGGTGCATCCCCACTGGAGGCTTTGGGGAGGGGTGGGGCTGGAGGAAGATGGGAGCAGCAAGGGCCTGGATGGGGCACGGGTGGGGAGAGGCCGGTGTGCAGGCTTACAGACCAGCCTGGAGGGAGGCAGGAGTAGGACTGGGCAGAGGTGACTTCCCAGCTGCAGTGTCCCGGAGCAGAGTTGGGAGGTGGGGAGACATGGCCCTGGGGGGACACCAGCAATGCCCGAATGCCACCTGCAGCAGGGCCAGCGACATGGCTGGGATTTTGTGAATGGGACTCAGAGGGAGGCAGCTGATGGGGGCAGAGGAGAGAGAAGGAGAGAACGGGAAGGAGGGAGGAGAATGCAGCAAGCTAGAAACTGCGCCAGTGGGAAGGCTGGGCAGATGGAGTGAGGGGAAATCGCAGCATGTCTGGCACGACAGCTGATGCCATAATTTAAAGGTCAACTCAGTGGAAAAGGAAGAGAAAAGGGGGGAGGGGGTGGTGTTGGAATGACTTTGCCTCCACAGTATGGCTCTTAACCCCTCCCATTCCGGTGCAGCTCGACTTGGCCTTTTCAGCCACTGGACGGTGCTTGTCCTCTCGACTTGATATCCTCTAAGTTCTGGGGACCCCCTCTCCCCTGCAGTATGGGCTCTGCAGGTCAGCAGACCTGGCTCTGCATCCTGCCTCCTCTTGTTACATCAGAGTAGAAGCAGCTTAACCACCCTAAGCCTCAGTTTCTTCATTCACAAAATGGGGATGGTAACACCTCACCTCCCTGGGGTTTACTGTACAAGTTCAATTGCATAACAGGGCAGAGGCTGGACGAACTCACTTAAAAATTCAAATCTTTCTGGGCTTCCCTAAAAGAAGTAGCTTTAATTTACCTTTGAGAAAAAAAAAAAAGTCCCTTTGTTCTAGGAAAACCACCATTTGGACAAATGAAACCTGGCAGCCATATTTTGTCCCAAGGCATCCTTTGAAGGCAGCTGGTCACCCTTGGACTAAAAGCTGTGAGGTGACATTGCCTCACTTCCTGCCTTCCCATTGTCTGTCCCCAGTCCTCAGTCCCCAGTTCTTTTAATACACAGGTATATCTTTTAGCAGTCTCTCTCTCTCTCTCCCACTCTCGGCTGGCTGGGCTGCTTCTTGGGGAGGAATGTTACTTTTCTCCATATGGATTTGGACTGCCTTGTGCCTATAAATTATGGCAAGTTCTTGGGGAGCTGTGAAGGTTTTTGTTGGAATAGTTATTTGCTAGAGGGCTGAAGAGGAAACCCCAAGGGGTGCAGGAAGGACTTGGAGGCATAGGTTTCAACTCCAGCTGGGGGAGGCCGTGTAAAGTAGCTGGACAGGCCCAGAGACTTCCCACTGTGGTGCTACTTAAGAATGAAAAGCCCAAACTGAATGGAGCTATTACATGCAGGGGCCATGAGACAAGCCCACATGGCCAGTTGTCCCTGGTGGGAGAGAACATAGGACTTGAGCAGGGGTCTTGAGGCCATTCCTATGTTCCCAGGGCTGAGGATGTGGGCCAGGCTTCAGACTCTTGGCTACAGTGCACTGGTCTCATGGACCCAAGGGCTGGCCTGTCCCCACTGGCCCCTCACTTCCCTTCCATTATCTCCAACAGTTTAGTGATTCTCATTTAAAGTCACAGCCTAGAGCCCCATCCAGTTCTACCCACCAAGACATGGCTTTGAAAGGCTTTGGCTGGAAAGGCGGTGAAGGTAGCCATGGTGGTGCGGCTGGTGGCAGGAAAGATGGAGGACCCTCCTTCACAGCCCTCATCACCACTGGGGCCACCTATTGGCAATCATGTTCCAATCCAAGACACAAGGGGAGCTGCACCCCTTCTCCTGGTCTCCCAGCCATGATAAGGGTCCTTCTCCCATGGACTAACAGTGACCAGGACACATCAGCCCCGGGCAGGTTAGATGACAGCAGGGCCCCAGCCTGACAGCAGGCATTGATGACATCGCCTGGCTCCCCGCCCTTCCCGCTGTCTGTCTCCAGTCCATGGTCCCTTTTTCTCCCCTGGTCCTTGGTGAAGGAGAAGGGGCATTTCAGCAGTCTCAGGGACAGCCTGAACTCTACTGTCTGGTCCTGTATGTGCCAGGACTTGGCAGGGTGGCGTGAGAATGTTCAGGAAGAGGTGCTCAAAGAAGGTCACTGCAGGGAGAGGACAGTGGGCCTTGGCCAAGACCTTTGACCTTCTGCCTGGTGGGCGGCACAAGGAAACTCTAACCCAGGGGCCTTTGCTGGCCAAAGGGCCTTTACAAGGGAGCCCCTGGCAAGGAAAGATGAGCCCTTTGTCCACTTGAGGGCTGCAAGGGAACCCTCCAGGAGAGCCGCACAGCTTCATAGTGACCACCAGGGGGACCCTGGGAGAGCTGCCTCTGGAAGAGAGCCTGCAGTGACCCCTGGCCTGACCTGTGGCCCTAGAGCAGGTGACAGAACCTATGATCAAGTAGCAGGCAGTGAGCTCCCTATCACAGCAGGTATGCGATGGAGGCTGGAAGGGTTGTCTTCCAACAGGGGAATTTCTTCATCATGTAAAAAGTTGTCATGGGTCCTCCCAGCTCCAAGATCCTGTTGACACAGCCCAAGCAAATCAGCACTGTGTCCCCATTAGCTGACCGCACACGTCGCACTCCACCACCAGCCATCCAGGGGACAGTGAAGGCTAAAACCAACCGAGACTTTTAGGGACAAATACAAGTTTCATTCATAGTCTCAATCTAGCCAAATGTATAATAGCTGTTGGCAAGTCCTTGTAGATAATTAAAGAAACAGCTCACATTTTCCTAAAATAACTGAAGAATTATAGAAATACAATCATTAATTCCTGGGCAAAGGAGTCCAGGGGTTATGATATGTCAATACATCATAAACCAAAGAGTGGCCTCTCTGAAGACAGGGACAGCATCTCCCCGCTGGGACAGAGGCTTCCCCAGCAGAGTCTCTGTTCCCTGCCCCATGCCACTCACCATCTTAGGCCAGGAAACTCTCCCGGGGCACTTGAGAGAGCTGATGTGCCCACCTCTCAGGAGCCCGGTTGCTGACTGGGGTTTTGAGATGGGTTATGGGGTAGAAACACTGCATCCCTGCAGCAGCACAGGCTAAAGGCAGTCGATGGCAGCCCCAGGGTCCCAACAGCATCTGGTCCCCCCTCAGCAAGCTCTACCCATGGCAGGACTCTATGGCCACAATAGAACTCTATCCCACCCTGAGTGCTGGCACCTGGCGCTACTGCTAGCATTTCTCTGCTCAGCATTTTCAAGGGCCAGATGCTCCTGTTACACAGGCACCCTCTCCCCAGGGAGTACTGGCCTCCAGCCTCCACCTACTTTCCAGAGCAAGCGAGCCTCCCTGACCACATGGAGTCCCCAAAGCCAACTGCAGCCGCTTCTCCATGGCACTCCCTGCTTGATTTCTTCCAGCCGCTGGTCCCACTCTCTTGCCTGAGTTCTCTTCTATGCCAGGCCTGCCCTGGGCACTGGGGACACAGAAGCCAGCTACCCTCTATGGGCCCCATACTCAGGTTGCTCACAGTCTTGTGAGTCCTCTTAGGGCTTTGATTTTCAGAGGCCCATCCCAGATCACAGACCCTAGCATAGACCAAAGGCTGAGGCCCAGGGCAGGATGTTGAGGCAGGAAAGTGACAAACAGTCAGAATCAAGCCGGCCTGGGATAGGCTGTCAGATTGTTCGGGGGTGCTGGCCAGGGAGCTGGTAGGCAGGGAAAGAGGAAAGAGCATGCACCAGCTGCCAGGTTGGGGTCTGGGGTCTTAGTCTCTTGGAATCTGCTTGGGTTCAGAGAGAAGGGATATTGAATCAAACTCACAGTGGACTAAGTAGGCTTCACATCTGGGTTCTAGCCTAGACTCCAGCACACATTCACTCCAGCCTTAGTTTTCTCCTCCAAAAATTGTCAAGCTCACCCCTGCCGTACCCACTTACAGGGACATAGTAAGGATCACAAAAGATTTAAAGGCCACTATGAATGTGAAAGATTTTATTCACAGACCTGCAGGACGGGGAGCTCACTACCTCTCAGGTGAATGCTGACTCTATTGATAGCTTCACTTAGCTTTCCAGAAGAGCTCTGGAAAAGAACGGGGTTTGTGCAGCCTTAGCTGGAGACCATGACTTCATGCTAACCAAGACCATGACGGGGTGGACAGACCCTGGAAAGCCAGAAGGTGATGCTGTCTGCTTTGGGAGCCTACCTGCAGCCTCTCCATGGCCTTGGCCTGCTCTGCCCTTGCCCAGTGGCACGTGTGCCAAGGTCTGGGTCCCTATCACTCACTCTGAAGGGGACTCATCCAAGAAGCTGAACAGATTCTGCTTGGTGAGCAGTGGCTGAGCCCTGAGCTGCCCCAGGCAAGCTAGGGGATTTCTGCCCTATCCCAGGAGGCAAATTCCTGATGCTGGCCCTCGAGGACGAGCCCCCTGGGAGTAAGGGCGTTTAGGGTAGTCCAGGGGACTGGGGTGAGAAGCAGGCGGCAAAGGCAGGCAGCTGGTTCAGACCTGTGGCAGGAAGTCACAACCAAGATTCATCCTGGAAAAATGCAACTAATGCTGCGCAGCTGGGGCCGCTAATCAGAAACACAGGCCCAGAGGTGGCAGCAGGGACAGGCCCAGAGGGCAGGGCCGGCACCGAGGTGATAATGGGCAGCCAGCTCTCAGGCCCTCTCCGCTGCAGGCTGTGCTGCTGTTTGGAGAAGGAGGTTGTCACATTGCAATCTGGAAGGGCAGTTTCTCTCCTGAGCCCTGCCTGCCTGGAGGGGGATTTGTGCGCTGTTCGTCAATAATGCTAACATCAGTTTAAACAATAGCTAAAGCAAGGGACTACAGGGTGTAGTGACCTTTACCTGTGGAGTCCCCTTCTCAGGTAACTGTGCTTCCAAAACCCTTGGGGCCTGTCTCCCTTCCCCCAGCACAGCCTGCCAGCAGGAGATTTCTGAGATGAGCCTCCCAGCCCTCAGTGGGCTCCCTCTCCTAAAGGTTTCAGCACATGGGCACAGGCTCTCCCTCTGAGAAAGGTGTGTGGCAGTGACTTCCTGCCACAGGTGTGAACCAGCTGCCTGGCCTTGCCACCTGCTTCTCACCCCAGTCCCCTGGGCTGCCACAAATACCCTTACACCCAGGGGGTTCCTCCTGGAGGGCACAGCCTCAGGAGTTTTTCTCCTGGGGTGGGGCAGATGTCCCCCAGCTTGTCTGGGGCAGCTCAAGACTTAGTCACTGCCCACCAAGCAGAATCTGTTCAGCTTCTCAAATGTGTCCCCTTCAGAGTGGGTGATAGAGGCCCAGACCTTGGCACATGTGCCACTGGTCACCAGACAAGGGCAGAGCAGGCCGAGACCAGGGAAGGGCTCAGGACAGACTCCCAAAGCAGAGAGCATCACTTTCTGGCTTTCCAGGGTCTGTCCACCCTGTCATGCAAACTGTGGCTTCAGAAAAACCAAGACTAGTGCCTGGCATGCAAGTAACAGCTGAGCTTACGGGAGAAAGGTGAGGGTTGGGCTCAGCCAGCACCCCTGAAAATGCAGTTCTGTTGAGCTCATTTAGCACTGAACAAGCTCCTGCTGTTACCCACACTCCGGGCACTGGGTTACAAAGCAAATTCTTTGTATTCTCTACTCTCAGGAGGCTCACAGTCTAGTTGCAGAGAAAAACAAGAAAAGAGCTATTTCAAAAGAGGTGAGTACAGTGACAGGAGAGCACTCTGGAGCTGAGGGCTTGCAGAGGGGCCCCTGCTCAAGAATGGGAGGCTGGGCTGTCCACTGGATGCTCTCTGTTGGTTCTCAATCCATACTCTCCCACCCCCCACCTTCCCAGCACCCCCTTCTCTCATCTTTTTTCAAGCTTCCCTTCTGCCCCTGATGATGTCTTCCTCTGGAAAAGCCCTCAGGGCTAAAGAAAGGGTATGGCCCATCCCCAGGGACATGATGGAGAGCCCTTCCCAAGGGAGAAGAGACCAACCCTGTAGACCCTTGGTCCGGAGGGGGTCCCCTCTGAAGGAAGTTCGCAGTCCTCTGAGCTTCCCCATGCTCAGCGCCTCCTCTGCCCCAGGCCTGCCTGGCTCCATGGGGAGGGATCTGAAGGGCCCCTTGCACCCGCACCAGGAGCCCCTCTGGGAAGGCCCAGCTTCTGCTGGGGCATTTCAGTGGTGCAAACCTCTGCCTCTGGAGACATCCAGAAGCCACTTTTTGACAGCTTTGAAGGAGCAGAAGTGATTCCCTGCCCTATACGGGGGAGCATCAGCCTCCTTGAATCCTCCAGACTCGAGTCCCAGGCCTGGGTTCTAAGGCCTCATAGAAAAAGTCTTGAAGAACACAGCTAACATGGCTGCAGCTACCTCAGGACCAGGTTACCCAGCAGACCCCTTCCCAAGTGGCTTGCCCCTCCCCACTCTGGCCCTGCAGCCTCAGGGGCCTCCCATTCTTCTGCCCAACTTCCCCCTCACCTCCACCCAGGACTTCTCACTGCCCTGAAACCTAATGCTTGGCGTCTCCTTCACTCTGGCCCAGACAAATCATCTGCTGTAGCCCCAGATCACAGAGCTCCTGAGTGTCAGCCTGGGTGACAGCAGAGGCCCCTGTCTTTAGCATAAGCATCAGATCCCTCAACTTGTCTCACTCTGTCACTATGTTGAATTTACCGGAGACATGGAGCACCCCTGTGGCTCTACCTGTAGATAGGACCCTTTCTTTCCCCACTCAAACTGTCTCACAGAGTCAGCTGCAGAGAGGCTCAGCCTCCCAGGCACATTGATGAATTGCACTGGGATGGCCACCACCTGCCTCCTCCCATGCTTTCACGGGCCTTGCTTTTTTTCCCTCTCTCTGCACACTGTGCCTGTAGACTGGATGCTGGGTGTGGGGCTGGGCTTCCAGCTGTCCCTCCCAAGTCTAGGAAGAAGAAGCAAGGTGGGAGGCAGGGGTGGAGGTTTGAGAAATGGAGGCAGAGGGAAGGGAGATGGAAGAAAGGAAATTTGGGCCAATGGATGGGAGGCATGGAGGGGGAATCTGGAGGGCTTGTGTCAGGTGGAGGGGGTTGGCATGATATCAGGGAGCTTGAATGGAGGAAGCAGGGGTCAGAGAGGTGGGAGCAGGGGAGAGGAGATGGGGAACCACAGCAATGGCAGGAGCTGGGAGCTGCTGCGTTGGAGGTTTCCTTACTGTCTGAGTGTTTGCCATGGAATTTCCCAGCCTAATAAAGAAGAATTTAAATAGACCACAACTTGCTTAATGTTGACTGTGTAAATAATCCAAATCCCCAGTTCCCTTTGTTCCACAGGCTATTTGTGTCAAGAAAGAAAGGGGTGGGGGGGAATCCAACAGAAGCCGCTGTCCCAGATAGCGAGAGTTGGGGACTCTCTGTTCTCCTCCATCAGGGCCCCAGGGAGCAAGGGTTGAGGCCTGGGACAGGGAGACTTGGGTTTCCCAGCCAAGCCTTCCATTTGTGAGCCCACATACGCAAGCACGTAATCCCCACACTGACTCACGTGCATACATGTACAGTGCGTATGTGTATGCACAGCACATTTTCCCTATACTGACTCATGTGCATGGATGTATATACATACACACAATTGCCCATGCAGGCTGACTCGTGTGCAGACAGGAAAACATGCAAGTGTGTACACACTCAAACACAAGGAATCTCAGGAAGGGTCAGCTGAAGGGGCCAGGCACAAGGTCTTAGCATGGGTCAGGTCTCAGCCACTTCCCTCCACCCCGTTCTACCTCTGAGCAACCCTGTGGCAAGGCCCTGGCTTACATGGCTCAGGAATGGGATCCTGTTGGGTGGGTAGCAGAATGGCTTTGGTCACACTAAGTCACATCTAAAGAGGGTTCCTGTTGGAGGAACAGCATGAAAACCAAGTTCAGAGTTGTTCTCCAATCCCCACTCTTGGCCAATGACACATCCCCTCCTCCCACAAGACCCGTGTACCACCACACTCAGCTATGCTGAGGACTCGGAAGAGAGGGAGAAGAAACAACCTTCCCTCAAGCTTGGGAACCGAGCACGGCAGTTTCTAGCCCCTTATTCATAGGCATGGCATAGGCAATTGAGATATATCACCACCCAGTCCGAGGTATCCGAGAGAGAGAGGAAGGAAGAGAAGGAAGGGAGAGAGAGAAGGAGAGAGCTAAGAGGACAGGAGTGGAGAAGGAGATGACAGGAGAAGAGAGGCAAGGGGAGGGGAAGATGACCAGTGTCATTTCATTCTTGCGTGTGTGCCCAAGCAAACTCACACACACATCACACAGAGCAGGGAGAATAAGGTCTGGCAGTGGGGAAGGGGCTAGCCATGCACGTATTCCCAGGTTAAAAATCCCTGCCCCAGTCCTAATTCTGCTTGGTGCCTGAGCCCTGGGTCTTTCCTAGCCACCTAAACCATGCTCCCACCCACTTCACTGCTACTCCTGCTCACAAGGGCATGGCTCAGACTGAAACAGTTATTTCTGTGCTCAGCCTCAAACTCTGGAAGGCCCAACAGAGGTCCCAAGAAATCAGTGGCAGGGGCTGGCTGAAGACCAAGCCCAGACTATAGAAACCTTGTAGGGGTGCGATCAGGGCTCCTATCCCAGGAAGTCACAATGTAATTACATCCTGAGAATACAAGAACAACCAGTGAGTTAAGAGTAACCACTCCAGATAACCCAGGAGGTATCAATCACCAGCGGCTGCCTTATTTCCACGAAGCCCCCAGTCCACTTTCTCTGCTCCCCCTTTAGGGCAGGGCCTCCAAGGATGGAAGAGCAGGCGACTGGTGCCTCCTTTTCTGGGTGGGCTGGGGGCTCCAGGCTCGGCACTGGGGCAGATGGTGTGCATCTCTCAGGCTGCCTGGGAAATGGACGGAAGTGGGGCTGTTCACACGCCCAGAATCTCTGGGCTGTCACCAGGTCCCCTTGATCCTCTTTCCAAGAAGGAAGAGGGGAAAATGTATCTTTCCAGGCCCTAATCCTCTCCACATGGGTGGGCACTGGAGCCGCCAGGGCCCCGCTGCAACACGCAGGCCTGCAGGAACACCAACGCCACTGCACGGGGAGGACCCTGCCCCCAGGCCCTGCAGGTATGTGATTGTAGAAGCCTCTGCCTCCCCAGCATTTTTTACACAGCCTCCACACTGCCCAACTCCTACCCCAGGCTAGCCTCTGCCTGGTATCCCCTTGCATGCTTCACATCAAAGGGAAACTGAGTCAGCACCACCCGATGGACACCTGGGTGGAAGAAGCCAGGCAAGGAGTCTGGCCTGAGCTGAGGCAGCCGTCTGAACCTGAAGCCCTCACAAGGGCATAACAGGCAAAGACGTCCAGGAAACCTGCCCGGGAGTTGGGGACCAACTCCTGCAGATCGCTGCAGTGCATCAAGAGGGGCTTATCTGCCTCCCTGTACACTAGGAGCAGGACCCTAAGCAGCTGTCCTCTCATCATTGAGCAACCCCCAGGGCTAGTTCCCCAAAGGGGGCCCAGGCTGGTGCAAATAAAAGGAAGGTACTAGAAATGCCCCAGGATGGAGCCCTTTGGGCCAGCAAGGGGAGCTAGGGGACCCTTGGGAGGAAGGTCTGTGTATGGAGACCCTTGTCCAAACCACCCCTGAAGCCCTCCCAGCCAGGATCCCATGAAAGGCCAGCTTGCACAGCAGTGTTACAGCTCTTTCTTGCTATAGCAAGATGGACCCCCCAGCCATCTCCACAGGCTGCAGGATCCAAGGCATGGCTCATGTAACAGTTGATCTGGGCCATATGGAACCCAACTCCCAAGTTCCCACGACCTGGGCATTAGTGACCTCCACGTTTAACATCTCATCTGAGGACACAGAACCAGCATGATAAGCACAGGCATGCGTGGACAGCAGATATGGGCTATATCCACGGCTGCAGCCCCCCGCAGCCCACATCCTGGTCCTCTAGCTTGCTCTTGCTCTGGGCCTACCAGGGATGCCAGGCTGCCTTGCCCTCTCCAGCCACCATGACCACACAGCCTGGACCCTGCAGGCAGAGAGGCTGCCAGGAGGCCTGGAGGCCAGGATGGCCTGGCCCTGCTTTGATCTTGGGCATCAAAGGCCAGGAAATGCAATCAGCTCTGAGGAGCACTCGCTGTCTGGTCGTCCCCAGCAGGCACAGGCCCAGAGCCCTCCCCGTCCTTCTCAGGCTGGGCCAGTCCCTAGCAGGCCAGCCAAGGGCTCTGGGCAGGGGGCTGGAAAGTCCACCCCCATCCCCAACCAATTCGACGGAAACTATTTTAATAAGAGCTAATTCTGCTGACATGGCATCTTCTTTCTGCACCCCCACCCCTGGTTCTATGCTCCCCTCCAACCCCACCCCCGTCTTCCCCCCTGACTTTTATTGTCCCAGACATTTGCGTGAAAACAGGAACTTTGTGCTCTGGGCTCCATCTGCTCCTGCTTATTTCTCACTTGGAGCTGCAATCCTTGGCCACGCATGCCCCCTCTCCACCACCTCACCCTTTTCTCCTCAGACTGCCCCCAGCATCAAAGACTTGTGGGGTCTCTGGTCCCTGGGACAGGCTGGGGTGGCCAGAGAGATTGGCCTCCTATGGGACCCCTTCTCTACCAGGCTGTGGTCATGGACACAGGGGGCTAGGAAGCTGGGACTGAGGCAGGACTTAGAGATGGACACCCTCTGCCCTGGAGCTGAATTCCCACCCCTGCCTGCATCCCTCTTTGCCCCAGAGGAAGAGAAAACCTCCCCCACCACCTGAGAAGAATTCAAGGTATCAGGGGAGCCTTGCAGACACCAACAGCATCTTGTGTGAGGAGCTGGAGTTTGCAAGTCCCAGGGATCTCCCTCCCTGAAGACCTCTGGATGAGCGTCTGGGAGTCGCATGCTTGAGCGAACGCCATCTTGTGTTGCTCAAGGGAATTAAAATGAATAGCCAAAGGCTGTTATTAAATAAATGAATAAGTGAATAAATACTACACAAACCTGTCATGAGGCACTCACTATGCGTCAGGCATTTGCCTAGAATTTTACAAACATGATGTCACTTAACCAGGGCGGCATAGTGCTGTTACAATCCCCACTACGCAGATGAGAAACTGAGGCACAGACAAGTTAAGTTGTTCCAGGTCGCGCTGCTGGGGAGAGTGACAGAGCCTAGCCTCCTTCATACCTGAAAACAGTCGCCGTCCACTCTCCCCTCTGAATCTTTGCTTCTGCTTTGCTCTGGAAGGTGCTCCTTCCTCTTCCTTCCCATCCTTCAAAGCCCATTTCCATCTTCCCCATGAAGCCTCTGTTCTCTTACCGCCATTTTAAAGCTAAGGAAACTGAGACCTACAGCGCAGTGACTGCATTGACCGTCAGCTCTTGCAGGGGCCAGGCTGCCATCTAAAACTGAACTCTTGGCTGGGTGCAGCGCTCATGCCTGTAATCCCAGCACTTTGGGAGGCCGAGGCGGGAGGATCACCTGAGGTCAGGAGTTCGAGACCAGACTGACCAACGTGGCGAAACCCTGTCTCTACTAAAAATACAAAATTGGCTGGGCATGGTGGCACATGCCTGTAATCTCAGCTACTTGGGAGGCTGAGGCAGGAGAATCACTTGAACCTGAGAGGTGGAGGTTGCGGTGAACCAAGATTGCACCATTGCACTCCAGCCTGGGCAACAAGAGCAAAATTCCGTCTAAAAAAAAAACCCAAACAACAACAACAACAAAAACTAAACTCTCTGGTTACCTAAAAGTTTTAAAACCTCTTTTGCTATTACCCATGGGGTTGGAAATTTGGAAATTTTTCTTGCCAAGCTGTCCAAATCAAGTGCCTTCGGATGCCAGGGGGGCAGGGCAGGGCAGGAGCCCAGACAATCAGCATGCAGGCCAGGCAGCGAGGTCTTCCGAGGAGGGCGCAGCATTGGTGGTCCTCAGTCCTGCTTGGCCAGGATCCTACCCATCTCACCAAGGTCTCTGCCCCTCAGTCCCTGCCAGCTTCTATGCCTGAACAGCACCTCAGCTCTGCCAAACCCAATGTCATGTCAGCAATCAGAACTGGGGTGCTCTCTTTAGGCCTGCCAACCTGGGGAGATAGGCACAGCCAAATGGACATGGTGTGACTGACCCCTGGACTGGGGAGGAGAGCCAGAGTCTATGTCTGGCTCTGTTTATTTTTGGGCAAGTCATTTGGCTGCCCCGGGCCTCAGTTTCCCATGACGTAAAATAGGAAGGGGGGCTCATTACGACAAACAGACTGACTACCGTTTGTGGAACAGGATGGAAGGAGTCCACAAAAGCAAGGTGTGTCTTTTCAAAAGATCTGGCAGCAGGTACCAGAGAGCAGAGAGGCAATTCTGGGGGCTTCCTGGGGGAGGTGAGCTGTAATCCCAGATCCTGGAGGAGGGGAGGGACGTCAGCTCTGCAATATATAACTGGCAGAGCCTTCCTGAGCTAGTGCTTGAGTTGCTGGTGCGGGCCTGGTGTGCTACAACAGAGGCCAGGGAGGGGGCCGCCAGCCCCACAGGAAGCTCCAGCATGTTGTTGGGTAACTTCTCCTCCTGTTTTCTGGGAACAAGCTATTTGGAGAAGAGGGGGAGGGAGACTTTAAAGGCTTCCAGATGGGGGGCCCTTCTGCCCAGGCCCGCTGCTGCGCCGCCACAAAGTCTGTGCATGCTTTCTAAGAATCCCAGCAAACGCTAGTCAGGGAGGCTTGGGGAGGTCTTCTGGGCCATTCCCCTGCCTCTGTGATCCCCACTATCCCCAAGCTAACAGGGGGCCATATCCCATCCTTTAGTAGTCATCATAGTAGTTATTCAGGGAGTGCACAGACGGAGAATGTGGTGTCACTGTTGCTACCCTCTTTCCTCCCTGAGATGCTCTCAGTGTCTTGGCATCCCCTCTATCCGCTTCATCTGGCTGCTTTGCCCTGAAGGCAGGGAGATAGAGGGAAGGGCCTTCCTCTCCCAATACCAGGAGAGACCATTTTCCCAGAGAAGAGAAAACATATCCACTGTGGGGCCTCTGTGGAGGGGAGGGGTGGGAGCTAGGGATGGAGGGAACAAGGGGAAAGCAGCAACTGAGGCTTCCCAGGGGAAAGGAGAGGAGGGCTGGGATCAGCTGGGGGCAGGTCCAGCCCCTCCTGCAGACATCTCCCTGTGCACCCAGCCAGGGCTTGCTGTGGGGTGGGCTCCCACTCTTGTCCCATCATTCCATGATGCCCATGCTCTGAGACAGCCGCCTAGCTGCCTTTTAACCTTCTTACCATCCTGGCTCCCATCCTCTCTCCTGGCCTGTCCCCACCAGCAGCCACTCCCTGAGCTGGAGTGGTCAGAACATGCAGCCCTATCCTGGGGACACCTAGTCTCACCCAGGCTGCAAGGACAGAGCCCTGGAGAGGTCAGAGGAGGCCCAGAGCAGAGACATTGTTGTCAGGGCTCAGCCTGCCAGGATCCCTTACCCCTGTCAGCCCTGGCTGGGATTTGCCCACCAGCCTCAGGCTGTGGGATGGGATGGGGTGGAATGGGGAGGGGGGCGGGGGCAGGAAAAGGAGACTTTGAGAGGGGTCCTCTGCCCCTGGGGCCAGACTGGAGCTCTACCCGTATACTGCTGATCCTCTGGGTCCCATCTGGGAGACGGAAGAAGGGGGTCCCCAGGCCTGGCTGCCACAATGGGTTGGCCTGGTTCAGGGAAGAGCCCATCCCCAAACCCTGCCAGAACTCTGGGTCTCAGAAAGAGCATCAGGTTCCCCCAAAGCCTCTCTCCCCAGACTATTGCAACACAGATGAGAGGGCATGTTTGAGTCCATCAGAAACCCATGATGCACGCACCCCACGGGTGAAGGAGGGAGCATTCGTGCAGACCCAGGGGTGACCTCCTGGAGCAGAGCAGCTCCTTGTCCTGGTCACCGGCCAGCCCTGGACCCAGTTGGGAGCACGGGGTCTCACCCATAGGACTTCTGCTTGGAAGACGGAATGGCCCCTGGGGTCGAGGGAGGCAAAAGCTTCCCGGGTGTGCCATGGCTCTCCCTCCCGCTTAGGGCCCAGAAAGACCTGAGCTTTGGCTCTAAGGTCCTGCCCGGGTGGAAGGGGGACATGAGGGAGGGCCTCTGTGGGTGCTCACCCTTGGAGAGGGTCTGTCAAAAAAAGGCCCCAGGGAGGCTCTCCCTGAAGCAATGGACTGCTCTCAGGTGCACTGTGGCTGTCTGGCACAGCAGAGGCGGAATGGTAAGGTGGGGGGCTCAACAGAGGAGAATGCTTTGGCCATGCCAAGCTCCCACCAGGTCTGGGCCTTTCTGACAGATCACTCGTGTCCAGGTAGGGTCCTGGTCATGACTGACACCAGCAGGAAGCAGAAGGAGCCAAGGGGACCCTGGCTTGTGTGTTCCTGCTTCTGGCATCTTCCTTTCCTTTCCCGCTTTTCCCTACAGAGGCCTGGGTGAGACCACGTCAGCCAGTCCTGTCCTCAAGGACTGCCTTTGCAGGCTCCCCTCCAATGCTCCCCCTCTGTGGAAACTTCCTGATAGGTGTCCTCAGGCCTCCCGGTGGCCGTCCCCACTGCCGCCCTCCTCCAGGGTGCTCCCACTGTCCTCTCTCCTTGCCCTGGCCTTCCAGGGAGAGAATCCGGAATCTGCTCACCACAGGCATTCAACTTCTGACTCTCTGTTCTACTTCTATCTAAATCAACCCAGCTATATCTATTGAAATCCTTCCTGGGTCCAACCCTACTCTGCCTCTGCCTTCCACTGTGCCACGGACAGGTCCCTGTCCCTCCTGAGCCTCAGTTTCCCCTCTACAACAGGAGCTGAGACAATGGAGACTCTCAGTCCCAGTGGCTCCAACTTCCATGCGGTGTTTCAAGGCAGGCAATTTAAGGGGCAAATGTATGCAGATGGATATGCAAATGGGCATCTCCAGGATTTATGGGTGGCCTTAATTTCAAGGGGAGGAGGCGGCCTCAGCCTGGCTGGACCCACTAAATCCTGGCCGGTGTCAGCACCGTAAAGCACTGTGATGAAGGGCCGGCAGGCGCTGGGGGCGGCCCTGATTTACAGCCAAGAAGCCTCCTCCCCGCGGCCGCGCAGGCAAGCGCCACGGGACAGGGATGAGGAAGGATTTATGTCCCCCGCTTCCCCACCCCAGCAGCAGGCCGTCGGGAGAGCGGCAGAAGGTGACTTTCACCTTCAGAGCCATCACTACTCCGGCGGAGCAGCCGGGGCACTACCCCAGGAGGGGCAGAAGAAAGGCGGGGGTGGGTGGGGTGCCAGCAGGACCGCTGCCCAGCCCTAAGCCACAGCTGCCTCTTCCAGGCGGCCTTCCAGCACTGACACAGCCCTGGGTAGCCCGGCCCTCTGCCACCAGCTGTCACCTTCTCCAGTGGGGCCCCAGCGGCATCTGACCTACCTTCTCAACCCTGACAAGGTTCAGCCTGGAAGACTGAGGGGAGCCGCTCCACTGCTCTTCCTCTACAGATCAGTACTCCCCAAAGTCTAGCCTCACTCCCTTCTGCTGGGGAGAGAAAGAACTGCATTTGGATCTATTTTGGGTGGCCATAAGCAAGAAAGTTCTCCTTCATCTTCACCCAGCTAAAAGCTGTTTGCAGTGTCCTGCCCGTCCTCCCCACCCTGCACCATCAAGCAGGTGAAAAGGGTGGTGGGAAGGGACAAAAATCGAACTGCAGGCATCCCTCTCTCTACACGACTGCTGAATTCCTGAAGTTGCTGGAAAGTTAAATTTTGGAAAGGTGACACTGCTTCTCCAGTGACTCATCTGAGCGCCTCAGGAATGAATGATTCATCTGTCACTCATGTTGCTGACACCAGGGAGTCCTGCTGGGTGCCCAGGCTGAGACATCAGGGACAGAAAGCTCAGAGACAAAATTCCCCACCTGGTGGTTATCAGGGCTGCCCAGCCCCAAACTTTAAGGGCCGGCTTCCACCCCGGCTTGGAGTACTACCTCTCCATAAACAAAGTTTCATGTCCTGTTCTCATCATGAAAGGAACCCAGCCAAGAGTCCCTCAGGTAAAGAAAGTTTCCCTTTGGGAATGTAAACACATAAATCAAAGGGCCTAGTTCAGTTGAGCTGTTCATGTAGTGAGTTGTATGTTTTGAGCTGAGGCAAATGTGCCCTGGCCTTCCGCATGTGTGTGCCATAGACAGCCCAAGGACTTTGGCCTTGGGAAGAGATGTTTTCCTGATCAAAGGCTTCACCTTAGGGTACTGAGAACCTGTCTCCAGGCCCTCAGCACCTCCCTGCTGTAAACCGTGAACTCTGCAATATCTCCTGGGCCCCCCAAAAGTTCTGTGCCTCCCTCTGGCTCCCCTCAAATAAAGATCAAATCCAGTCACCATAAATGCTGCTGCCTTGAGCTCATCTCTGTGACACTCTTTTTTTTTTTTTTTTTGAGACAGGGTCAGGTCTCTTGCTGTGTCTCATTCAGGCTGGAGTGCAGTGGTGCAGTCACAGCTCACTGCACCCTCAAACTTCTGGACTTAAGCAATCCTCCTGCCTCAGCCTCCCGTGTAGCTGAAATCACAAGTGTGTGCCACCATACCAGGCTAATTTTAAATTTTTTGTAGAGATAGGATCTCCCTTTTTCCCAGGCTGGTCTCCAACTCCTGGCCTCAAGCAATCCTCCCGCCCCAGCCTCCCAAAGTATTGGGATTACAGGCATGAGCCACCACACCCAGCCTCTGCGACACTTAAATTATTTTGAGAACCAGACTATTTAAGCAGGATTTCTTATGATTCAGTAGAGATACCAAACTTCAAAGAAGTTTCTGCCTGTAGATTTGACCTAGAGATTGGCACCCACATTTCCACAGACCCAAGGCAGCAGGACAGGGGAAGGTGGAGGACAGGGGAAGTCACCAGAGAGAAGGGGAGGGCTGTGGGGAGGGCAGAGCAGGCACACTGATGAATACGCTCACCTCTTCCTTTCAACTCGGTCTGTTCAGGGTGCTTCGGTTGACAACTTGTGGGCCAAACAGAATCACTGTGAATAACTATGCAGTTTGGGCCAATCCCAGCACCCTAGTCCAGGGCTGTATCAACCCCAAAAAAGGGACACCTTCACCTAATTCATGCAAAGACTAACGGAAGCCCTGATGCCAGGCACTCTGTAGATATGTTTATGTCCATTGCCTCATTTAATCTCAGCAGCGGTAAATGTTACATCCCTGTTTGCAGGTGAGAAAATGAAGGCATGGCAAGGTTCAGTTACTTGTGCAAGGTCACATGGCTGATAATTGATGGAGGTGAGATCCCAACAACACTGTCCATTCCCCATCTCAATCTCATTCTTCTTTATTTACCTGTTCTAACTGTATTGTCACCTCCAACTCTGTCCCTTTAATGTTGCTGTTATAACCCACATGACCTCAGCCCTCATCTAAAAAGATTTACAATACCAAGTATTGCAAATAGGTGGAACAACTAGTACTCTCATAGATTGCTGGAAGGGATGTAAAATGGGACAGCTACTTTGGAAAACTATTTGTGAGTTTGTTCAAAAGTTAAACATATACCTACTGCATGACTCAGCCATCCCACTCCTACATACATAACCAAGAGAAGTGAAATAAGATGTCTAAAGATTTGTATCTGGAGATGGGTGGGCAGAAAGAAAGAGGGGGAAATGCAGAGGCAAGGCAGTGCTGGAGAGATGGGAGCATCCCTAGGCTGCCTCAATTAGCTGCATTCCTCTTCAATCCAAGTCAAAAGCTCTTGGGAGTCCCATGCCAACATCATGAGGGCTAATCTGTGAGAAAGGGGAAGCCACTGAAAAGTCTGGACAGTGCTCAGAGAGGGCCCACTTGTGGCCAGGCCTCCAGCTCTGGCCCCTGCTGGTGGCAAGGGCTGGGGTGGGGGCTAAGGAAGAAGCAGAGGTAGGAGTGGCCCAGGCACAAGAGAAGAGTCGCATGGCAAATAATTGGGCAGACAGTGGATGGAGGCTGGCTGAGAACAGAGGTTTGGAGGCCCTGTCATGGGAATTAGCAGCCTGGCAGCCATGTAGGTGCCCAAAGATCCAACCCATGCACCTGAGATGCTCATTATAGGCCCCAGGACTCATTCTAAGGTACAGTCCCAGGTGGGCAAAAGACCAACCTAACTGAATTTGCCCCCTGGATGGGTGCAAACCAGCTTCCAGGCTGAAAGTTTCAGGGAGCTGCTGCTGGGTGAGGCCAGGCTAGGGTTTGACTCCCTTCCCACGCAGACTGCACCCCACCATCCCAACGTCTGCCCCTGAACTGGTCATGGACAGCATTATTAGCCTGTGAGCCTCGGATTCAGCTCACCCAGGCTCCGAGCCAGAAGATTGGCCTAGAGGGACACAGGGAGCCTCTTCCCCTGCTGGCAACCAGAGGCTTCAGGTCTTGGTCTAGCAGGCTGGTGTGGCAGAGCTGAAGTATCCCCAAGAACCTCTGGAGGCAGCCCTCCCCACCCCACTGTCCTCTGCCCCTGCCCCTGGTTCCCTACTTCCATTTCTGCTCTCTGCTGGGATGGAAGCCTCAGCTTTCTGTTCCAGGTTGCTATACCAGCCCCTGCCCTGGCCCCCCAGAGCCCCACCTTGGCTGCTGTCTACCCATCCTTGGTGGCAATCAGTATGGAAGGCCAGGTCATTTATACCCCAAAGAGAAAAGATGGTGCCTCTTGGGCTATTTCCAAGCATCCTCAAAATGACATTAGCCCTAAAGAAGAGCTCGGTGGGGTTATTTCTGAGGTGGAAGGGCACCCTAACTCCCCACACCTAGCCCAATGTCCATTATCAGTTTGGAGTCATATCTGGGACATCAAGCAGCCCTCTGTCATTTAAGGTATAACAATGCCTTCCAACGCCAACCAGGAGTGCTCACCCTTCACCACCAGCATTTTGGATGACCCAGGTCAGCACCGGCTGAGGGCAGGGCTAAGGGAGCACCTGTTGGTTTGTCTGTTCTGCCAGGGTAGCACAGACTCCTTGATTGGATGGGAGATCTGCCTGTCCCCACCCACTCCAACTCGAAGTTATTCCCTGTTATTCTGTCCTTCGACTTCCATGCCACCCACCACACCTCCCACCTGAAACATGAACCACTCTCAGTTTCAGCTTACAGAACTTTTTCTCCTCATTTAAAGTTTTCCATTTTTGTTTTACTTATTTCTTTGTTTTAAAGATGGGGTCTTTCTCTGCCACCCAAGCTGGAGTGCAGTGGCACAATTATAGTTCACTGCAGCCTTGAACATCGAACATCTGGGCTCAAGTGATCCTCCTAAGTCTCCTCCTCTCATTTTTAAAAGCAATTTCTTTTCTTGTCCCAAATCTCCTCTCTTCCACTGCCTACCTCAGGCCTTCACACATTCTTTTCTGAACTCTAAAGTTCTTCCTCCAAGGTCTTCTGTCTTCCCTCCCCCTCTCTCCACCAGTGCAGCTGTTCAGAAGAACAATTATTTATTGCATGCACGCCACCTACTGTGTGCCCCAACCCACAGGAACTAGAGGCAAGACAGGTCTGTGTTTGGGTGAAGAATGGATGTGAACCAATAAATACAGCCCAGAATATGCCCATGGTACAGTCTAGGTCCCAGAGATACGGAACACTTCCAAACAGAGAGGCAATACCTGAGTGGGTAGTGATTTCTCCCTACTCTGCTTGGCTTCTCTAAAACATAATGGTATGACTGACAAAAAGGAGCTCCCTGTCTTTTCCGTTTGTTGGATGTTCATCCGTACTTCTAGGAGATGCTTAGCACATCTTCTTGGAAGATACGTACAGTGCCTTCTGATCTCTCGCTCTCTCTCCCCACCTTTCTCTCCTCTCTCTCCTTCTCTCCCTCTCCCTCTCTCTCTCTCTCTCTCACACACACACACACACACACACACGCAATTGTCCCATACAAGGATGAAATTGCACCATTGAGAGCTGATGCTCTTTCCAGCCTTAGGTGATACAGGATAGACAGCAGAGTCTTCCTTCCTTAATGAGTGCCCTGCAAGAGGAATGGAGATCCACTAGGCGACAATGGTGTTCTCAGTTGTGGGAAGCCTGTGCAAAGCTCTGATGCTAAACTTCAAGGTCTCCCACACTCTCTGATCACACTTACTTTCTGTACTGGTTAAGGCTCTGCTGGCCATATGTGACACAAAGTTCACCCCAGACTGACTTAAACAAAGGGAATAGGTTAACTCTCAAAGCTTGACAGGTTGATCCAGAGAAGCTCAACCCAGTCACCTAAAGGATGTCACCAGGGACTGTTTCTCTCTAGGTCTTTGCTTTGTTCTCAGCTCTGCAAGGTGGCCCTTCAGCTCTCCCCTCTGGACAGCCATGCCAGATCCACTTTCTGGCACACTGACCAAGAGAGAAGAAATTCTGTGCTCATTACACACTCATTCTCTCTCGCTCGCTGGAGGTTCACTTTCACAGAAATTCAGCAATGTTTTATTCACGCTTATTGGTTCTGACTGAGTCAAATATACATCTCTACACCCCTCACTGAGGCCTGGAGAATATGATCCTGACTGGCACAGACAAGATTGTGTGCTGCACCCTTGGGCATATAGGCTGAAAGTGGGGCACGGCGGGCACCATGGCCAGGAGCACTTAGGACAGACCCAGGGCCGAAGAGCAACAGACAGCCTGGGCACTGTCTGTGTGATGTGGGTGAGGCGGTCACCTGGGATTTGCTTCAGACCAAATGACAAGTCACCTTGAGAAGGAAGACTCTGCTATCTATCCCATATCACCTAAGCCTGGAGAGAGGGAGTGTTAGCTCTCAAAGGTACAATTTCATCCGTATATGGGACAATTTGTGTAAGAGTGGTGTCTGTGTGTGTGTGTGTGTGTGTGTGTGTGTGTGTGTGTGTGTGGAGAGAGAGAGAGAGAATGGAGAGAGGGGGGAAAGAAGGGAGAGAGAGAGAAAGGGAGGAAGACACTGTATATATACAGTGTTCATTGTTGTCATCATCTTCCTCTGGAATATGGGAAAATTGGAGGCTTGAAAGCCCTTCCTTCCAAACACTAAACAGCCAAGAAAAAAAAGACCACACATACAATGTGATGCTGACACTGAACCCAGCCCAGCCTGAGAGGCTGCCCCCATTGAGCATGGCTCTGGGAGGCTGAGGCAGCTCCTACAGTCCCACAGCCTGGAAGGATATGCACCTGGAAGAAAATAGGGCTGGGACTCTGGGCACCTGTACCCCCAGACTAAGGCCAGTTTCTCTTTGCCAAGGAAGAACCCACAGCCCCAGCCCTCTGGCGCTTGCAGGGACAGACTGAGGTGGGTGGGGAAGTCTGGAAGGGTCCCGGGCCTCCAACTCCACAAATCATCCTGTTTTAATGTAAATGATGATTGCCAAGAGTACAGCATGTTTGCCTGCGTCAGCAGCTCAGTGACTAATGCGCCAAGATAAATGGCTTTGTTTTGCCTTGTTTGGAGGGATTCTGTAACCTTTCTCTCCTTTCCACAGAGTGGGCTCCCCAGAATGCTCCCAGTCACAGCCTGGAGCTCAAGATACCACCCAGGGTTCAGGGCCTCTCACATGTGGCGGGGTCACTCCCAAGTGCAATGAGAATCTGGGAACCTGGCCCACTCTGGAGGCTGAAGGAGTCTGAGCCCCCGAGGCAGGGGCTGGTGAGAACCTAGGCTGAATGGTCTAAAGTGATCTACCCTCAGTTCTCAGCAAATGACTTCAGAGGCACTGAGAGCAGGATTTGTGCCATCCAGCCAGGCAGGAACTGGAGTTGAGGGGAAGCTCCAGAGGGCCCAGGATGATTAGGGAGAAATCTGGGGCTTGGAATAAAAGGGGAAGAATAGGCAAGTGGGATAAGGGAGAGATTACACTGCCATCTTGTGCCATGTGGGTGTTACTAAGCCAGGATTTTTTGCCAGTGGAGACAGGATTTTGGCAGACACACGGGCCGTGGACCCAGATCCAGGTAGCTGGAAATCTTGGCAGCAGCACTTGCTGGCTGTGGCACTCTGGATGGTATTGCTTCCATTTAATAGATGAGGAAGTTGAGGCTTATAGTAGCTAAGCAATTTGCCTGAAGTCACACATCTAGTTCGTGGTAGAATGTAAACTTAAACCAGGGAAGTCCAGCTCCAAAGTCAATTGTGTTGAATGAAGGAGAATACATCTCCCCAGCTGTCTGTTGACCTCTGACCACCCACATGAAACCCAGCTCCTCACCCTTCCAGAAATGTGCCCTTGCTTAGCCACATGGCAAGTCTTGTGGTTGACTTTTGCCGCCTTTTGCTCTCTGAACACACTTCCTGGTCCATGTGGTATGTGTCCCTTCCAGGCTGGAGCTTGTCATTGTCAGTGTAAAGCCCTCCAGAGCTCTTTCCCTCTGCCACCAGATAGGTTCCAAAGAGCCTGCTCTATCAGCCTGGTTCCTATATAAGGATAACATGGAACAGGCTCCAGCCAGTCCACAGTGGACAGGAAGCATGAGTGAGAAATAAATCTCCATTGTTTTAAGCCATTGAGATGTTAGGCTTGTTGCTGCAGTATAACTTGTCCTATCCTGACTGACTCTCTGCTCTTTCTGGAAGGCAGAAGCAGGTGAGTTCTTCTAGATGTACCCAGAAGCATTCAACAAAGGGAAAGAACAGGGAGCCAGTTTTTACCAGTTGCCATCATGTTTCAGAGAAGCCAAGCAGGGTGGAGAGAAATGGGCCTAGGGAAGATAAGGATTCCAGGGGCTGTGAGCCAGAGAGAGCTTTCAGACTGCAGGAAGATGGTGCGGTCCATTTGAGGCCAGGGAGAGCTGGACCAGGGAAGTCCTCTCTCACACAGTCCAGATCCAGCCTGGAGCCTGGAGCTGCCCAAGCCTCACACGAAAGGAGTCAGAGCCTGGCCTCGGGAAGGGCTGGATCACCCTCAGGCCTCTCAGCTGCAGATGGGCATCTTGGCAGACAGGCCCAGGGCACTGGTGCTGAGACTCCCAGGTGCAGATTCCCTCCTCCAGGCAGACATTGTGTACAATGTACGGGATCCTCAGTGGGTATGAGCCCTAGGAACAGAAATTGCAGCATCAGGCATTGGGCAGTGGGACCGTGAAAGGAGTTCCTGTTAATGGGTCTGAGCCCTGTGGAGAAGTGTGGGCATTAATCCTTCTCCAGGATCATCTCCTCCCCGCTCCAGCATAAACAGAGCCCTCTATGCAGCTCCATGCTGGATTTCTAAGACAACTAAAGGGAAAGTGGTTAGACTACAAAACCACCTTTTCTGGGCAAGGTGGTCTGAGGCTGGATTTGAACTGGGAGAGATCCTGGAATCTGGTTCTCAGAAGGGACACCTATTAGAAGAGGATGGGGAGTAGAGACTTTTCTCTTAAGTGGCAGATGTCTGATTGGTGTGGATAGGGGGATGCCTCCAGGTGACGTGACCCCAGTACATGTTCCCACCACTTTCACCTTTCCCTCCAGGCAGGGCTAGTCTATGCCCATTCTTCCCCTGCCCATCTCCCCCTCCCAGTTCCCCAGCACCAGCCCACTCCCCAAAAACTGCATAAAAGATCTGATCATCCTTCCTACACAATGCATAAGTTTCTCCCAGAAGATCTTAGAAGTGTTGTGCCATTTCCTGGAGAAGCAGTGAATTGTGAAGTCCCCTCTAGCCCTTTCCCCAGCCAGGATTAATGATTTGAAAGCTACCTTGGGCTGGGCATGGTGGCTCATGTCTATAATCTCAGCACTTTGGGAGGCCAAGGCAGGTGGATCACCTGAAGTCAGGAGTTCAGGCCCAGCCTGGGTAACATGGTGAAACCCCGTTTCTACTAAAGATACAAAAAATTAGCTGGGCATGGTGGCAGATGCCTGTAATCCTAGCTACTCAGAAGTCTGAGGCAGGAGAATCGCTTGAACCTGGGAGGTAGAGGTTGCAGTGAGCCAAGATCGCACCACTGCAATCTAGTGTGGGTGACAGAGTGAAACTCTGTCTCAAGAGAAAAAAAAAAAAAAAGCTACCTGGGAAGCCACTTGGGAGTTAGCTTGGAAGCTACCATTAGCATCACATTTGACTCTTGTATCTGTTAGCAGAAGAGTATGGAAGAAACAGCCCAGCCCTTGAGATCAGACAAACTTGGGTTTGATTCCCAACTCTACCATGGGCCAGATGTGTAAACTTGGGCATGGGGCTGAAATTCTGTAGGCCTCAGCTTCCTCATCTCTAAAATGATGATCTCAGTCTCCACATCATGATAGCATCCAATTAAAGGTGAAAAAAGGATGAAACAAGACAGCCCTTAGCATAGGGTCTGTCTGACATATAGCACATAGAAGTGCTTAATAAATGATGTTTAGTATTAGTGTGCTGTTTCAAGGGAGCAAGAAGCAGAAAGCCTCCTGCAAGCCTCCCCAAGCAGTCAATAAATTTGCTTGATTCAAAACAGGAGGTAGGAGAACAAAACAGGATTGGGGAAACCATGCAAGGGGCCTGGCAAGGACCCTAAAAGCCTGGTTAGCTGCAGCATCCAAGTACTCAGCACACTGGTGACAAAGTGCAGGCAAGAAGGAGGCTCTGGGGGCTGGGAGTCCTGTCAGCCAGCAGCCCTGGAGCCTGCCCAGTGCTACCTCGGGTGAACATCTGAACCTATTTGTTCGATGTCCGTAAGAGTTCAAAACCCAGCCCTGGGAAAGCTCTTCCTTAGTTTTACCTCATCCATCTCTGTCATCACTCTTTTGTTTCTGTTGCATTGTTATGTTCCCTTTTTTGACCTTCAAGTTGCTCATGGGTATTTCAGAAGCTGTCAGGCTTCTCCATCCAAGCCAGCGTGCATGAGGAGCAGAGGCCATGAGGAGCCCAAGGTGCTGTTCTGGAGCCCAGAGAGACCCAGAAAGGCACAAGATGAACCAAGAAGATGCCACCTTTAGTGCTGCTTGAAGAAGACAGGGCCCCTCCTTCCTGGAAGATAGCTGCCTGGATGAAGAATTTCATCCTAAAGTATTCTAACATGTGTCAGTCATTTAACTCCAGCCTAGTGTGTATGCAAATCGATAATATGGGACTTTCAGGCCAAGGTAACAGAGCGAGCATGTACCCAAACCCTACCCCTCCATCCCAGCATACAGGAATGACAGATTTGTCATTTAATTTAGAATATATGTGCGTAACTGTGTTAAAGAGAATAAAGAAAGGAAGATCTTCACATGTGAATAATGGCAGAGGAAACCAAAGCAGGAGCTGGAGTGCAGCTAAGAACTTGGCACAGAGAAAGGTCACTGGGATTAGGGCTGCTATGCCAAGACTGGGCACCTATGCGAAGCCATGAACACATAGCCCACCCACAAGGGGAGGCAGCTGACTCTGCTCACCCACCTACCCATGTGTCTGGAAACGTACTGCTTATCCATGGCCAGAAATAGAGATGTGGCCTAAGAAAGAAATTGCTCCCTGTGTCGATATGAAGTTCAGAACTACTCCATCCACATGGACAAGACCACAAGACAAACCTGTTCACATGATACCTGGTTGACAACTCCAAGCCCTGGGGAGCTGGGGCTAAGGAAACTGCAAAACCACCCTATAGAGAATGGCATTTAGGGAAATACCTCCATAGAAAATGAACCGTCAAATGAGATTATCCACAAATAGGATAGAAACAGATGTGTAATTTACAAACATGTAAAGGAAAAAAATAATGAAGTCAATTCAACAGAAGGCAAGAATGAAGGGGAAATGAATAAGCAAAGAAAACCCATGGTGAATAGGAACAAAAATGGTATTGCCAAAGTAAGTGAAAATATATTTATACTCATAATAAATGGATATAAATGGGTCAAATCTTTATTCAAAGACAGAATTTCATAATGATCTTTACCCTCTTTAATTCACTTATATGCTGTTTATGAAAAAAATCTAAATTGGGAGAGGAAGAATGGAAATAAAGTTATGCAAAACATACACATGTAAAATGCTATCTAAATAGAGGCTGGTGAAATGTTAATGAGAAGAAGAAAACATTAATTTTATAGAAACGCAGAGGAACATTTCCTAGTCTTAAAAAGAATAATCCATTAAAATGGTATAACAGCCAAGCACAGTGGTGCACATCTTTAGTCCCAGTTACTCAAGAGGCTGAGACGGGAGAATCTCTTGAGCCCAGGAGTTCGAAGTTACAGTGAGCTATAATTGCATCTGTAAACAGTCATCACACTCCAGCCTGGGCAACATAGCAAGACCTCCATCTTTAAAAATAAAAAAATAAAATCAGCCAGGCAGGGTGGCTCATGCCTATAATCCTAGCGCTTTGGAAGGCTGAGATGGAAGGATTGCTTGAGGCCAGGAGTTCAAGACAAACTTGGGCAACATAGCAAGACTCCGTCTCTACAAAAAAATAAAATAAAATGAAAGTTAGCCAGGCACTGTGGCTCTTGCCTGTAGTCTCTGCTACTCAGGAGGCTGAGGCCTGGAAGTTCATTGTTACAGTGAGCTATGATGGCACCCTGCATTATAGCCCAGGCCACAGAGTGAGACCCTGTCTCTAAAATAAATAAATAAATAAACAAATAAATAAATAAAAATAAATAAATTTTTTAAAATGTAATGGCATAACCATAATGCCTTATATTCAACTAACAATGCGCTTAAAGTATGCAATTGATAGCATCAAAAAAGAAATTGACAAATCCACAATCAGAGTAGGTCGCTCTCTCAGAGATGAACAGAACATGCAGTCAAAATTTCTAACATCATAAAAATATTTAAGTAATAAAATCACAAGAGATTTGATATAATAGAGCCATATAGCACTTTGCACTCAATAGAAAGCACATACTCCTTCTAAGTATATATGGTCATTTAAAATATTTGACTTGCAATGTCTGTCAAAAGAAGTCTTATCAATATGATACAGATACAGACCATGTGTTCTGACCACCACACAATACAACTCAAACTATTAACGGAGGCCCTATTCCAAAAAAAATTTTAAAAAAAGACCCATATATTTGGAAGCAAACAAGCAAAACAATCCCACTGCCAACTAATTTATGGGTTAAAGAAGAAACCACAATAAAAATTATGAACCTTTTAGAACTGAACAATGATGAGAGATGAGAGCAGAACAGCATGGCACATCAAAATTTGTCAAGCTATAACTAGAGAGATGCGTCTAGACCTAAATATATTTATTAGAAATTGAGAAAGTTTTAAAATAAATGGATTCGGGATTCAACTCAAGAAGTTGAAAATAGAATAATGGAAAAAAACAAAAGGAAATAGAAAAAAAAGGAAATAATATAGATAAAAGCCAAAAATAATAAAACGAAAAGAAACAAAAAATAGAAAGGAATAATGAAATAAAAAGTGGTTTTTGAAGAACTTAAAACAGAGCTGCCATTCATCCCAGCAATCCCATTACTGGGGCCATACCCAAAAGAAATAAATCATTCTACCAAAAAGACGCATGTACTTGTATGTTCATTGCTGCACTACTCACAACAGCAAAGACATGGAATCAACCCAGGTGCCCATGAGTGGTAGATTGGATAAAGAAGATGTGGTACATATAACTATGGAATACTATGCAGCCACAAAAAAGGATGAAATCATGTCCTTTGCAGCAACATGGATGGGGCTGGAGGCCATAATCCTAAGCAAATTAACACAGGAAACCAAATACTGCATGTTCTCACTTATAAGTAGGAGCTAAGCATTGAGCACACATGGACATAAATATGGGAACAATAGACGTGGGCCACTAGAGGGTGGAGCGAGTGGGGTGGATTAAAAACTACCTATCAAGTAATATGCTTACTATCCGGGTGATGGGATCCATACTCTAAACCTCAGCATCACACTATTCCTGTGTAACAAATCTGTACATGTATCCCCATATCTAAAATAAAAGTTGAAATTTTTTTAAAGTGGCTGTTTGGAAATACATAAAACTAATGAAATACAGTTATGCATCATTTAACGATGACGATACATTCTGAGAAATGCATTATTAGGCAATTTTGTCATTGTGCAAACATTATAGTTTGTATGTACACAAATCTAGACGGTACAGCCTGCTACACACTGGACTGTATGGTATGGCCTATTGCTCCTAGGCTACAAATCTGGACAGCGTGCTACTCTACTGAATACTGTATGCAGTTGGAACACAATGGTTATGTACTTGTTTATCTAAACATAGAACAGGTACAGTAAAAATTTAGTATAAAAGATAAAAAATGGTACACCTGTAGAGGACACTTACCATGAATGAAGCTTGCAGAACTGGAAGTTGCTCTGGGTGAGTCAGTGAGTAAGTGGTGGGTGAATGTGAAGGCCTAAGACATTACTGTATACTACTGTAGACATCATAAACAATTAGACTACACTTAACTTACAATCAAATTTACCTTAAATTACTTTAAATTACTGTAATTGTTTTTACTTTATAAGCTTTTTAATTTTTTAACTTTTTGACTTTACACATTCAGCTTAAAACACAAACACATTGTACAGCTTTACGAAAATTATTTATTTCCTTATTCTATAAGCTTTTTCCTATTTTAAAATTTTTTCTTTACTTTTTAAACCTTTTTGCTAAAAACTAAGACATAAACACACACATTAGCCTAGGCCTCCACAGGGTCAGGATCATCAATATCACTGTCTTCCACCTCCACACCTTGTCCCACTGGAAGGTCTACAGGGGCAGTAACATGCATGCAGCTGTCATCTCCTATGATAACAATGCCTCCTTCTGGAATACCTCCTGAAAGACCTGCTTGAGGCTGTTCTACAGTTAACCTTTTCGTATAAGTAGAAAAAGTACACTCTAACATAATGATTAAAAAGTACGGTATAGCAAATCCATATACTAGTGACATAGTCATTTACTATCATTATCAAGTGTTATATACTGAACATAATTGTACATGCTATAATTTTATATGACTGGCAGCACAGTAGGTTTGTTAGTAATGTGTTACACTATGACATTATGATGGCTACACTATCACTAGGTGATAGGAATTCTTCAACTCCATCATAATCTTATGGTACCACTGTCATATATGCAGTCAGTTGTTGAATGAAATGTCGTTATGAGGTATATGACTGTATACAAACCTTTGGCAGTATGGAAAGCAAAAGGAGAGCTAAATAATATGTTACAATAATAATCTTTTCTTTAACATATTATCATTAGAAACAATCAAGCGTATATATAACTACAGATACAGCAGAGTTATTTAGGGGGCTTCTCGTAACTACTTCTGTATTCATCATGCCTTTTTATTTTCTGTATTTCTGGGGCTTCAAAATCTGGGGCCTTGCTGACCCTGGAGAAAACATCTCTTCCTAGTCAATTTCTAGAGCTAGTAAAGAACTTCCTTGGAAGCGTGCCTTTCAAATGCAAACTAATGAATCCAGAGCCCAGACCCTAACCATCTCCTTTTTAGGGTTCTCACAGGTCTCTCACACTCTGGTCACTATCCATCCACCCTAATCACCCCAGAGCCAGGTATCAGGCATCTAGGAACAGTCTCTATGTCCCAGAGCTGCTGAAGTTATTCAATTATTCAGCATTATTCAAATTACTCAAACTAGCTAATTCTAAGCATGCCTACCCTGCTTCACCCATTCCTTCCCACAGAAACTACAGTAAAGGCTCTTGCCCACATGTTCCCCACTCCCTCTGCCTCCTGACTGACCCTGGTGCTTCCCAGTGTCCCTCCCACTCACACCCATGGCATATTATGCCTTCTCCTCTTGGGACTGTGAGTAATAAACCATCTTTTCAATGGTGGTTGTGTCCTGATCTGTTGGCCTCGCCACACCTGAATAATAATAAAGCCCGTATTTAAAAACAACTTCATTGCCATTCCAGAAGGAGAAAGAGGAGCAGATGGATCAAGGGGGAAACATGAGAGATGGACAATATCTTTAACCACAGAAACAAAAGTTCCTGTGAAAAAAACAAGCATTATTAATGAAAGAGGGGCCATGCTTAAATATCTCCTGGTGAAAGTTTAGGATGTCAGGGATAAATTTTAAAATCCTTGATGTATTTGTGGGGTGGGAGGAGGGTGGTGGGTTACACGTCAGGGTGAAGAGAATTGAACTGGAATCAGACTTCTCCTCTACAATCCTACATACAAAAAGAAATATGATAAATATAATATCTACAAAGTTCCAAGGAGAAAAGACTGCAACTGAAACATGAAGCTTATAATTCATTTGTGATGGCAGTTAAGACATTTTGAAGCATGTAAGCATTTAGAATGTATATCACTCCCTCAACCAACCAGAAAAATTTGTTCAAAGCAGTGCTCCAGCTAAGCAAGAAAAAATGAAAAAATTAGTAGAAATTAGATACATAATAGAGTGAACTTATTAAAATTGATAGTAACATGATTTTAAAAGTAATAGAAATGTCTAAAGCAATTACTAAAAAAGATACATAAATGTAAGAAACAAATTCATAATAATCATCTTAATCTAAAATGTCATTATATCAAGAAAAAATGGGAGGTAGAAGTAGTGATGCAATTAAAAAGCATGAAATTATCCTACACAGGGGAAATAAATGCATACCATGTTCTTTTTGAGGTTGATGAAGAAACAATGTACAGTATATATAGTATGTGTCTATATATATAGACATACATATATATACACATATACTACTTCTTCCCTTAAACACATACACTGCATATATACGTATACATATGTGTGTATATATGCATATATACACATGTGTGTATGTATATGTGTATATATGTATACATATGTGTGTGCATGTATGAATGTGGATATGCGTATACATACGCATATATGTAGGTGGATACGCGTATACATACGCATATATGTAGGTGGATACGCGTATACATACGCATATATGTAGGTGGATACGCGTATACATACGCATATATGTAGGTGGATACGCGTATACATACGCATATATGTAGGTGGATACGCGTATACATACGCATATATGTAGGTGGATACGCGTATACATACGCATATATGTAGGTGGATACGCGTATACATACGCATATATGTAGGTGGATACGCGTATACATACGCATATATGTAGGTGGATACGCGTATACATACGCATATATGTAGGTGGATACGCGTATACATACGCATATATGTAGGTGGATACGCGTATACATACGCATATATGTAGGTGGATACGCGTATACATACGCATATATGTAGGTGGATACGCGTATATATACGCATATATGCTTGTGGATACGTGTATATATACATGTATACACATATATGTTTGTGGATACGTGTGTATATACATGTATACACATATATGTTTGTGGATACGTGTGTATATACATGTATACACATATATGTTTGTGGATACGTGTGTATATACATGTATACACATATGTTTGTGGATACGTGTGTATATACATGTATACACATATATGTTTGTGGATACGTGTGTATATACATGTATACACATATATGTTTGTGGATACGTGTGTATATACATGTATACACATATATGTTTGTGGATACGTGTGTATATACATGTATACACATATGTTTGTGGATACGTGTGTATATACATGTATACACATATATGTTTGTGGATACGTGTGTATATACATGTATACACATATATGTTTGTGGATACGTGTGTATATACATGTATACACATATATGTTTGTGGATACGTGTGTATATACATGTATACACATATATGTTTGTGGATACGTGTGTATATACATGTATACACATATATGTTTGTGGATACGTGTGTATATACATGTATACACATATATGTTTGTGGATACGTGTGTATATACATGTATACACATATGTATGTGGATATGTGTATATATACACATATATGTATGTGGATATGTGTATATATACACATATACACACGTATGTGGATATGTGTATATATACACATATACACACGTATGTGGATGTGTATATATACACATATACACACGTATGTGGATATGTGTATATATACACATATACACACGTATGTGGATATGTGTATATATACACATATACACACGTATGTGGATATGTGTATATATACACATATATGTGGATATGTGTATATATGTATATGTATATATGTATATGTATATATACACATATCCACATACATATATGTGTATATGTGTATATAAGTGTGTATACATACACTTTTTGTATATATGCTCATATATACACATATATATGTAGTGTGTGTGTGTTTAAGGAAAGAAGTAGACTAAAAATAGAAACTATAATTTCCTATATATACACATTATATATATGCACACACATATATACACACATATGTACATATACATACATATATTTATATATATGTAGTGTGTATATGTGTAAGGGAAGAAGTAGTTGACTAAAAATAGAAAGTGTAATTTCCTAATTTCTAAATACAGTCATGTGCCACATCACCACATTTTAGCCAATGAAGGACCGCATATGCAATGGTGGTCTCATAAGATTTTAATACCATATTTTCACTGTACCGTTTCTATGTTTAGATGCACAGATACTTACCACTGTGCTACAACTGCCTACAGTATTCAGCACATAACATGCTGTACAGATTTGTACCCTAGGAGCAGTAGGCCATACCATATAGCCTAGGTGTGTAGTAGGCTATACTATCTAGATTTGTGTAAGGATGCTCTATGATGTTCACACAATGACAAAATTGCGTAGAGATGTATTTCTCAGCATGTATCCCCGTCGTTAAGTGATGCATAACTGTATAAAGAAACTTGCAAGGCAAACCTGAGGAGATAGGAACACGGTAGGGGGAGTAAAAGGGAGAATGAAGAAGAGAGAGCACTATCATGAGATGAATGATGAAATTCCCTGACTCTAGAGGCTCAGAACTAGAATGACACAGGGAACTCCAGGCTGTTAGGAGTCTTTCCCATCTCTCATCCCTGGGTTTCTTGTGCATCTCCTTCATTTTCCACATTTGCACCAAGCCATGTCCTCTGCTTTCCATCTTTTCCTGGAGGAAGACGGCCATAGCACAGGCATCCCCAAGTGTGTATCCCCTCAAATCTAGACAACAGCAAAATGAAGTGTAACCCATTGGTCCCAATTCCCACCAACTCAGGGAGTATCTGATTGGTCCAGCATGGTCACATGCCCATCTCTGGAGCAAACAAGCATAGCTTGGGTCAGGGCTTTACAAGGCTTCCTATAAAGTAGACCACCTTCTGGGAAAGAGTGAACAATCTACTGGGTATCCTCTACCCAAGTGCAAACAAAAAGAAAGCAATATTAATATTAGACAGTACAATTCACAACAAAAAAAAGCATTGCAAGGGATATTGGTAAGTGAGGTAAACTAGATGAGGATATAAGATCCATTAATCTGTGTGTGCCAAATAAAGCATCAAATGTACAAGTACAAAAAGGTTAAGTATTAAAGAGAAATTGAATAAAACCATGGCTGTAAAAGAACACCAAACATGCCTCGCCATTTCTGAGAAATCAGGTAGACAGGCATTTCAATAAGAAGATAGAATGATTAAAAATTACTATTAAACTTTGGCTTCACAGATCTATATCAAAATGTGTTCCTAGAAACAGACAATACATATTTATTTCAAATGACCAAGAAACAGTTACAAAATTTGATCATATCTTAGGCCACAAGGAAAATCTCATTAAAATCTAAAAAGTGGAAATAGTACAATGCACAAACGCAAACCACAATGCAGCAAAACTACACTTTAAAAACAAAAAGAAAAACAAAGAAACAAACTGAAGCCACTCTAGAAGGGTGTAGAATAGTTTTAATAGCCCTAAAGTCAAAGAGGAAATCAAGACTGCAAGTAATGAATGATTATTTAGGAAACAATGAGAGCCACAGCAAAGAGAACATATGAAGCTCTAAAGAGCAAAATATATAGAGTTTTATGTTTTTCTCATTAAACAGAAGAAATTAAATGAACTAAGTTTTCAACTCAAAAAAGCAAGTAAAAGGGCAAAGTCAACAAAGCTATGAAAAGTTAGAAGAAACATTTTATCATCATCTAATAAATTAGATGATGATAAAAATAAAAACTATAGATCCAAGAAATCTAAGAGTTGGGTCTTTGAAAAGACTATAATTAGGATAATAATAACAGCATTTATTAGGCATTCAGCTAATGGCCAGGTACTATGAGGTATTAGTCAGGATTCTCCAGAGAAACAGAGATGAGAGAGAGAGAGATTTATTTTAAAGAACTGGCTCACCCTGGATGCAGTGGCTCATGCCTGTAACCCTAGCACTTGGGGAGGCCAAGGCAGGGGGATCCCTTGAGCCCAGGAGTTCAAGACCAGCTTGGCAATATAATGAGACTTTGTTGTGACCAAAAACAAACAAACAAAAAAATTTAATTAGCTGAATGTAGCGGCACGCGCCTGTAGTCCCAGTTACTCAGGAGACTGAGGTGGGAGGATTGCTTGAGTCCAGGAGTCCGAAGCTGCAGTGAGCTGAGATTGGGCCACTGCAGCCTGGGTGACAGAGTGAGACCCCGAATTAAAAAAAAAAAAAAAAAAAAAAGAATTGGCTCACATAATTGTGGAGGCTGAGAAGTCACAGGATTTGCTGTCTGCAGGCTGGAGGCAAAGAAAGCTGGTGGCGTAGTTTGAAGGCCTGAAAGCCAGAGAGCCAATGGTGTAGATTCCAGTCTGTCTGACAGACTGAGAACCAGGGGCACTAAGGGCCGGAGAAGGTCAATGTCTCAGCTCAACTTGTTGGGCAGAGAGTGAGTTGACGCTTCTTCCACCTTTTATTCTATTCAGACCCTCAATACATCAAATGCTGCCCACTCACACTGGAGAGGGTCATTTGCTTTGCTCAATCCACCAATTCAAATGCTAATCTCTTTTGGAAACACCCACATTAGGCACACCCAGAAATACTGTTTAATCAATATCTGGGCATCCCATGGCCCAGTCAAGTTAATTCATAAAATTAACCGTCACACATGATAAGCACTTTAACGCTGGCACATTCGGTTCTCACAGTTGCCTCATAAGGTAGGAAGTACAGTTAATCCTGTTGCCCAGATGGGAAAAGTGAGGCTTTGGAAGTTAAATATTTTATCTCAGATCTGTCCACCACCAGAACCCATACTGTTGGTCATTACAAAACTGCCTCTAGCAGGGCAAATCAAAGAGGAGATGGCAGCCACAGACACACAGCACAGTGAAGGAGAGAGGCATGCATCCCTATAGAGGAGAATTAAAAATTAGGAGAAAATACTACGCACAATTTGATGAATAGGATAACTTTCACTTAATCTTTCTTTATTGCATGTTTTTGTTGACATAGGATCACACACCTCGTTGAGTTTTGTATCCTTTCTTTATCTTTTTTTATGTAGAAATAATTTCAAACTGAAAGTTTATAAGAACAGTACAAATAACTTTTCCTCCTTAACCATTTCAGAGCAATTTGCCAATAGGATGTCTCCATACACCCCAATATTTGAGCGTGTAGTTTCTTAAAACAAGGACATCTTTCCACAGAATCACAATATGACCATCAGAATCAAGAAAATAATATGAATATGTTACTACCATCTGATCTGCTGACTTCATTCAAGTTTTGCCAATTGTCTCAATAATATCCATAGCAAGCAGATCTAATCCAGTATCATGTGCTACATTTTGTTATCGTTTCTCTTTAGCCTCATTCAATCTGGAATGATTCCTCAATCTTTTCTTGACTCTCTTAACCTTACACTTTTGAAGATTTGACTTGTCTGATGCCTCCTAATGATCAGATACAGGTTCTGTATCACATGCATCTCAGTGCATCTTATCAGGGGTCACATAATTTCAATTTGAACTTGATCACTTAATTAAAGGACTGCCTTCCACTGTCGAGTGACTCTCTTTCCCTTCGTTATCAATAAGTACTTTGTAGGGGCGTGCTTTGAGATTTATGTAACTATCTCATTCCTCATCCACAGTTTTAGCATCCATTGATGTTTCTTGGCTGAGTCATAATACTGTGAGTGTTGTCAAATGGTGATTTTCTAAATCTATCATCCCTTCTGTAGAGTTGGCATTCTACTCTCAAGGACAGATTTCTCTCTTTTCCCCATTTATATATTCATTTATTTATCTATATCCGCATGGACTCAGGGATTCCTATTTTATTCAATGGTAAAAAAATAACAAAAACAGTTACTATTCTTTTGTATCGTGTCAAGTTATCCCAGATTTGGCTAGTGAGAGTGGCTTCAATCTGGTTTCTATGTCCGTTTGATCTGGACTCATCATTCTCTGAGCACTTCTTTACTTTCTGGCACACCACGATGTTCCAGGCTCACTGTGTACTTTTTCTGCCCCAGTCCTGGAATCCACCATTCCTTCAAAAGCCCTGGTTCCTTTTAATGGATAAAGGTACTTAAAAACAAAGATTTGGGCACTATGTGTGCTCAGTCCTATTAGGATGTTTCAGTACACAGAGTTGAGAAACCTGTGTATGTCTATCTGTATCATTTATCTATCTACCTGTATCATCTACCTCTATCATCTATCGCTATTATCTATCTATCCATCTATCTATCATCCATCTAGCTATCATCTATAAAGGTACTTAAAAACAAAGATTTGGGCACTATGTGTGTTCAGTGCTATTAGGATATTTCAGTACACAGAGTTGAGAAATCTGTGTATGTCTATCTATATCATCTATCTATCTACCTATATCATCTATCTCTATCATGTATCGCTATTATCTATCTATCCATCTATCTATCATCCATCTAGCTATCATCTATAAAGGTACTTAAAAACAAAGATTTGGGCACTATTTATGTTCAGTGCTATTAGGATATTTCAGTACACAGAGTTGAGAAATCTGTGTATGTCTATCTATATCATCTATCTATCTACCTAAATCATCTATCTCTATCATGTATCGCTATTATCTATCTATCCATCTATCTATCATCCATCTAGCTATCATCTATAAAGGTACTTAAAAACAAAGATTTGGGCACTATGTGTGTTCAGTGCTATTAGGATATTTCAGTACACAGAGTTGAGAAATCTGTGTATGTCTATCTATATCATCTATCTATCTACCTGTATCATTTATCTCTATCATCTATCGCTATTATCTATCTATCCATCTATCTATCATCCATCTATCTATCATCTATCTATCTATCTATCTATCTATCTATCTATCTATCTATCTATCTATCTATTATAGGAGCTACCAGTGATTTCCACCTCCTAGTATTCAAGTTCTTATATAATCCCCTCCCCTTAAGTGCAGCCTGGGCCTACTGACTCACCTCTAACAAACAGAATATGATAAAAGTGATGGGATGTCACTTTCAAGTTTAGGTTACAAAAAGATTGACTTCCAACTTGGGCATTCTCTCTCACTCAAGAGAAGCCAGCTGCCATATTGTGAGCTGTCTTCTGGAGAGGCTCACAACCAACAGCTAGTGAGGAAGTGAATCCTGCCAACCACATGAATGAGTGTGGAAGCAGATCCTGCTAACGGAGCCTTCAGATGAGACTACAACCCTTGATGACAGCCTTGTGAGAGATCTTGGGGCCCCTGGCTATGCTACACCTAGAATCCTGCTATACAGAAATTATGATATAATAAATATGTCCTATTGTTTTAAGCCAGTAAGGTTTGGGGTAATTTATTATACAGAAGTAGAAAACTAAATACACAGAAATACATATATTTATTTCTATATCTGTGTATTAAAAACAGTGAGTTCACACCCATAATCCCAATTCCAATTCAACACCACAGGATTAATTCTAGTTCTCTTCCCCTTCCATAGTTGTAACTCCCTTCTCTGAAAACGTGAAACTTGGCTGTCATTATTATTAATATATTTACTTATTGGATCAGTCTCTTCCCCCGACCCAACTTATAAGCATTTTTCTCTCACTGTCACACCTCACCCCATGCAGTCTTCTTCTTCATCCTGCTCAGATCCTGACACCCCAACTTAGAGCCGTGGTCACCACCTTGCCTGTATGGAGCCCTATCTTGTTCAGTCCCACCTAATGGCTTCTGGAAGAATAATTCAAGAAAGGAGAGAGAAAGAGGCAAGGAGGCTGACAGGCAGGCAATATAGAATATCAAAATTGATTTCAAAAAAGATAGAAAGACAATAAAGAAATAAGCTTGAAATAAATGGAAAAATAATTAGAGACCTACTCGTCAAAAGGTATTTCAGATTCTCAAGCAGTAGATCAATCCTGTGCTATTAAACTGTTCTAAGACCCAGAGAAAGAATTAGTATCTCAAATCATTTTACAAAACCAGCAAAACTTTGGTATCAAAACCAACTAAAGAAACAAAAACTACACATAAACGATAGTAAACTGAATTCAGCAATATATTTCAAGATAAGTGCATGACCAAATAGATTTAACTCCCGGAATGCAGGGTTAGGTCAATCTTAGGAAATACCTTCACTTAAAGTTATAAGTAGAAGGAGATATATGGATATAACAGTTAATATCAAGAGGATTTATTTTTTAATTCAGACTCTTTTCCAGATGTGTAAGTCAGGACTTTTTTGGTTGCAAGTAACATAATCCAAGTCAAGATTAAGCAGACATGGATATCAATAAGTCAAAAAAAAAAAAAAAAAAGAATAGAATAAGTGTTGGAAAGGAAAAAGCAAAACTGTTTTTCATATCTATCTATTACAGAATAAATATTCTAATCAACAACTTTCCCACCAATCAACAATAACCAGCTTGAAAAAATAATGGGGAAAAAATCCCATCTACACCATCAACAAAAACCATTAGGTACCTGGAGGATTGAATCTAGTAATGTCTTATCTATGGAAGAAATGTAGAACACACTACTTAGGGCGATGAAAAGGTGACTTGAGTAAGGGAAGAGATATAGATTGTTCCTGGATTAAAAGATAGATTTATAAAAATAATCATCTGCCTTAAATAAATCTGTAAATTGAATGCAATTCCAATGTGACCGTTTTTAAAATTCAATAAAACAATTCTAAAGTTGAGTTGGAAAAATTAATGAAAGCAAGGAATTTTCGAAGATGTTGCCTACCAGATACTAAAAACTTAATTTAGTTCTTACGCTATATGTAGCACTGTGGTTTTTCACAAGCATTGTGGATTCTATTTACTCCTCCCCAAAACTCAAAAAAGTACAATAGCCTGCAGTTTAGCAATGCTAAAAAAGTTTTCCAATATTACAGAAGTACTAAATATCAGGAGTCTATATTTGAACCCAGGACTCATTATTTTCAAGCTTAAAGTTTAACTACTATGCTAATTAAACATATTACAAAGCTAGAGAATTAAAAACACCTGGTATAGAAAGAGGTCTCAATTGCACAAATTAATAGGAAAAAAATTGTATACATATCTCATTCCTACCATAAGAATAAAATTACAGATGTATTTTTTCTTACACTTTATTTCTTCTATGATTTATTATGGTGAACATTATAAGGAATAATTTGTTTTATTACTTTTTTCAAAGGAAGAGTTATTGAATATATTTAGCAATTCTATTACTTTTCCCATCCTTATTTCCTTTTGTACATTTTGTTCTTATTTAAGTTTCTTGAGCTGAATGCTTAATTTTTTATTTGGTAATGAAGCATTTTTTGCCGATTTGTTTTTCCTAATAAACTTTGTATTTTCTTTAAATTCTGAAAATATCTTATGGGGAAATTTATCTGAATTTTATTAAAGGTATCAATTAATTTGCCGTGAAATGACACTTTCACTTATTGAATCTTCCCAATGAGGAGTATGTTTCTCCATTCATTCAAGTCCTCTTTTACGTCTTTCAGCAAAACTATAAAAGTTTTTTTCCTATGGGTCTTGCACAATTTTCAATAGTTTATGCCAAGGAAATCTTTTCCCCTAACTAGCTATTGCTATTTTATAAGAAAACTCTTGACTTTGTTAACTGAATTCATAACTGATTCCCTTATAAACTCTCTTCTGCAACTTCCCTAGAATGTTCTAGGTAAAAAAAAATTATATACAAATCATAATCATTTCATTTCCTGTTTCTTAGTTACTTCTTTCTGTTTCTTAAATAATTGCATTAGCTAAAACCTCTACAACAATGTCAACTAATACTGGTTACGGTGGGCATCTTTGTCTAGCTTTTGATTTTAATATTTGTAAATGTTCGAATGTTTCATTTTTAATTACCCTTTTTATTTTGAGAAAGCTGCAAATGTACATGCAGTTGTAAGAATATGTACAAAGAGACCCCATGTACCCTTTACCCAGTTTCACACAAACTTGTATCTTAAAAAACTGTAGTTAATATCAATAACCTTGATATTAACATTCATCTAATTGACTCATCTTATTAAGATTTTCCCAGTTCTTGTATTTGTGTGTGTGTGTGTATTTAACTCTACAGAATTTTAGCACATAAATAGATTGTTATATTCACCACCACAGTAAAGATACAAGTCCATCATCACAAGGGCCCTTCAAGTGGCTCTTCTACAGCCATATCTACCTCCCACCCCTTAACCCCATTTACGCTGTCCCTGACCCCTGCCAGCCACTAATCTGTTCTCCATTTCTATAATTTTGTCATTTCAAGAAAATTATATACAAGAAATCATACAGTAGTAACCTTTTAGGAATGGCATTTTTCACTCATCATACTTCCCTGGCAATTCATCTAAGTTGTTGTATCAGCAGTTGGTTCATTTTTATTGCTGAGTGGTATTCTACGTATGGAGGTACCACAGTTTGTTTAACCATTCACCAGTTGAGGACATGGGGATTATTTCCAATTTGGGGCTATTATCAATAAAGCAACTAATGATGTTGGCCAGGCGCAGTGGCTCACGCCTGTAATCCCAGCACTTTGGGAGACCGAGGCAGGCTGATCACGAGGTCAGGAGATCAAGACCATCCTGGCTAACACGGTGAAGCCTCATGTCTACTAAAAATACAAAAAAAAATTAGCCAGGCGTGGTGGCGGGCGCCTGTAATCCCAGCTACTCGGGAGGCTGAGGCAGGAGAATGGCGTGAACCCGGGAGGCAGAGCTTGCAGTGAGCCGAGATCGCACCACTGCACTCCAGCCTGGGCGACAGAGCGAGACTCTGTCTCAAAAAATAAATAAATAAAAAATAAAGCAACTAATGATGCTGAATATTATTTCATGTGCTTGTTTGCCATCTGCATATTCTCTTCATGTGAAATGTCTGTGAATGCCTTTTCCTCACTTCTAATTGGGTCTTTTTTTAACTGTTGAATTTTGAGAGTTCTTTGCATACTCTAGGTACTAGTCATTGTCAAATACGTAGTTTGCAAATATTTTCATATTTTCTCCCAGTCTGTAGCTTGTCGATTTCTTCTCTTCTCATGGATTCTTACAGAGAAAAAGCTTTTAATTTTGAAAAGATCAAGTTTATCATTTGATTTACTGTAGGGATGTGATTTGGTGTCAAATTTAAGCACTCTTTTCCTAGCCCCAGATTCCAAGATTGTCTTCTATTTTTTTCTAAAAGTTTTATGCTTTTATGTTTTACATTTAGGTCCATGATAAAGCATTTGACAAAATCAAACACCCATTCACGATAAAACTCTCAGCAAATTAGGAACATAAATAAATTACCGCAAGTTGATAAAAAGCATCTATTGAAAAACCTACAGCTAACCACAGTACTGCCATAACACTTAATGGTAAACGACCGAGTGCTTCTTCTCTTGGATCGGGACCAAGGCAAGAATGTGCTCTCACCACTTGTGTTCAGCACAGTACTGCAAGTCCTACCTCCTGCAATAAGGCAAGCAAAAGGAATAAAGGGCTTATGATTAAGAAATAAAACCGTCTCTACTTGCAGATAACATGACTGTCTATATGAAAATTACATGGAATCTCCAAAAAAACTATAATAATATATGAGTTTAGGAAGGTTACAGGATATAGTATCAACAAAAAAATTAATTGCATTTCTATAAAATAACAATGAACATATAGAAACTAAAATGTAAATCATAGTATCATTCACAATCAGTCAAAAAAATAGGCAAACATTTACCAAAATGTGTATGATAAAAAGTATGAATCTGTAATTAAGGATTTATATACTAAAAATTATAAAATGTTGCTCAAAGAAAACCTAAATAAATGGAAAAACATAGCATGTTCATGCCCGTGTTATGACTCAACATAATAAAGATAGCAGTTTTATCCAAATGGGTTTCTACATTTAATGCAGTTCCTATCAAAATCCAGCAAGATTTTTTTGTAGACAAAGACAAGCTTATTCTAAAGTTTGTATGGAAGGCACAGGCCCTAGAATAACTAAAACAATCTTCAGAAAGAAGACTTGTGTGAGAATCATTAACTCAGTTCCATGCTGAACATCTTCCAGTACTTTTCTAAAAGAAAAAATGTGGATCACAAACTCTTACCTGCAAAACTAAAAACTGTAAATATCACTATACTTTCTGTTGGCAATTAGTGTTGCAGATCAGGAGTCTGAAGTCATCCTAACTTGTAGATAATCTATTTTTTCACTTCTTAATTCCTATAGAATATTTTATCCCAGTAAATATTATTATATCCTTTTTAGAATTTTATGATTATATAATTTTATGAGTTAATATCCTATTTAATAGAATTACTTTTAAAATTTGTCTAGACGAGATCTCCTTTTATTAAATCATCTAGAATACAGTAAAACATTTCTGAACACATACTTGGATTCCTTTTTGGCTTCTAAGAAATTAAAAAGGAATTGTTTTGACTGATCACTGCCTTTGTTCCAGTTAACCTGCTTTTCCCCCAACAGCAATACCTATTAGAGTTATCCTCAGTATCTGCAGGGATTGGTTCCAGAACACTCCCCCCAGATACTGAAATTGGCAGATGCTCAAGTCTCTTATATATAATGGTGTAGTACTTGCATATAGCCTATGCATATCCTCCAGTATACTTTAAATCATCTCTAGATTATTTATAATACATAATACTATGTAAATGCTATGTAAATTAGTTGTTATCTTGTGTTGTTTTTATTGTTCTATTGTTATTTTTATTATTTTTTTTAGCTATTTTTGATCCACAGTTGGTTGAACCTGCAGAAACAAAAGGCCAACTGCATTCTTTGTTCAGGTGCTTGCACTAGTCAGGGATCTTACTTCCAAGCAGCAGAAATTAACTCTGGCTGTCTTCATCATGAAATAATTTATTAAAAGGATATTGGGAATCTTACAAAAATATCAATAAGGTCAAGACCCAGGCTTAGAAAATGAGCAGTACAGTACGAGGCTCAGCAGCAGCCAGAGTGACAGCCACGTTACACACAGAACACATTTAATGAGGACTCAAGGTATGATACCACTGAATGCTAGGGGCGTGGCTTGCAGCATTACTGCCGCTTGCTCCACGGCTTTTGCTGCCCTGGACGTCATGCTGTCAACCTCAAAATGAATTCTTCCTTTTTCTTTCATCTCTGTGCTACAAGCTTCCTTTTCAGAGTCCTGGATGGGTGTGCCTGATTGGCTGGCATAGTTCACGTTCTGGTACCCCAGCAAGCAGCCTGAGAAAATGTGATTCCGCCCTTTTCAGATTCTATGTGTAAGGCAGTTTCTGTCACCACGACACCTAACATGGAGGATTCCATAAACACAGAAAGGGGGTCCCACTATGACCTTGGTTCCCTGTCCTCCATCCTCTCATTCATTATTTTATCTCTCTATCCATTCATACTTTATGGGAGAACTACTCATGTTTGTCTCCCACATCATTATTCCAGTTTTCCACAGTGTTAATTCTGCTCCTCACACCCTTTGGTGTGGATAGTAAGTCTTTTAGTTTCTTTCTCATCCTTTTTTGAACCTACAATTCCCAGGTAGGTTGACCACAAAGATGGCTGCCAACAACTCCTCCTGAAGCTGTATGCATATGCACCTCCTCCCAAGAGAGGAGATGATTTCCCTTCCCTTTCATCTTGGCTGATCTTGAGACTTGATTTAACCAATAGAATTAGTGGAACTAATGTTTTAGAAGACTTCTGATCCTGGATTTGGCACTTTCTACTTTCTCACTTGGGGGATCCAGCTGCCATATAAAGAAACTCAAGTCACATGACAGAAAGGGGGTCCCAAAATTCTCTAGCTACCAGGTGCCAGATGTGCACGTGAAGCCTTCTGAGACATTCCAGCCACAGCCCAGTTCTCAACTGCTACCACCCCTTGGAGCAGGCCATGGGGAGCAGAATTGCAAATGACCCTGTCCTAATTCTTTCCCACAGAATTGTGAGCAAACAAAATGGTATGTTTTAAGCCACTACATTTTAGGGCCACTCATTACATCACAATAGGTAACTTGACACACCTTTATATCTTTCCTAGTTCCCTTTCCATCTCACTTTGTCATCTTTTTATCTCATCTTACTACATCTTGGTCTTCTCCCTCCTTACGGTTTTCTTTAGTTATTCGTCATAGAGATCACTTTTTTTTTTTTTTTTTGCAAGTTAGTGAGGGTTCCAGACAGTTTTCTAAAATTGTCTTCTAGTTACTCTCTGCACTTCTGAGTCATCAGGATGAGGTTTCCTTCTCGTGCTTTGCCCTTTGCCTTTTTTTAATAGACCAAGTTGAATGTTTTCCTTTTGTATTCATTTTCAAAATAAAGGAAATATATCAAGACTCTGTTTTAGTGATGGACAAAATATATAGATTTCCCTTGGTTCCACCACTGCCCATGTGTAATCAGTAGAGTCTCCTTATATCTGTAGCAACAGGGCTTTTGCGGGCTCTGTATCCACAGAGGTCTCAGCCCAACTACCAGGGACTGGTTTCTAGGCTTTCTTTTAATACAGTGCTGCTGTACTGTGGTGGAGTCTTTTTTTTTTTCTTTCTATCCCAGCTAGGTAAGCATATGAAGGAATCTTATCCTGCTCCTGAAACTTCCTGAAACATTGTGCCTATGATTTCCCACATGCATTGCTACCAGGTCTGTGTGTCCTCACCCACAGGCGTGGAGCTGCATATGAGGGTCGTACACTTCCTCAAATGCAAAACACCCCTTTGGGGTCACCCCATATTACCCTGTTGTTTTCCAGCAGTTGCAGTCTCCAAATGAATGTAGAAACATTAGTGGAAAGGCAGAATAAGCAGCACCCACACAGTAGTGGGTCAGCTTCCGAGTTTTTAAATTAGTTTGGTCTCAGAATGGCTTAGGGCAACTAGAGCAGGAGTAAAGAGGTATTCTGCTTTCTTTCAAGAGGAGCATCGGTATGTCACTTGTTTCTGGTTTTGTGATACAGCTTTATCTGTATTGCATTTAGTAACTTCCTCCTATAATCTGACCATACGTTGTACATCAGCCTTGCTTTTCAATGATGTTAAACATTGTCATGTCTTCCTAAGTTGTCACGGATTTTTAGAGAGAAGGTCCTGGAGGCCACATCAGAGACAGCCAATTGAAAGTTCAAATTGATTCATTTTAATTAATTAATTGTAATGGACTAGGAACCCTGCCTTCATTAAAATCATTAGCAGTCAAGAATAACTATCTGATAGAGGTCTGTATTAGCTCTGCTAGAGAAATTGCATGAGTAGCAATAATTCTAAGAAGACATTGTGCAGAAAGAATTTTAATTCCACTTTCTCAAAAGGTGCAAAAGTCCTGTGGAGAAAAAATTGGGAAGGAAAATGTCCGAGGTGAAGGAGAGGCTTGATGGAAAAGATTCCTTAGCTGGAGACAAGATACTGAACCAGGAAATTATAGATCATCACAGTGCCAAACTTTAGGCTTGAACTATATCAAGGTAGGGATCTTGAACACTACAATTGGGATGTTGAAGTCTATCAGTACTTAAATTTGGGCCAATAAATTTTCAAACCACAGACCCTCCTGAATCTAAGTATAGATACAGCAGAAGTAAGAAGCCATTCTAAAATCAGGGTATTGAGTGAAAATCTGCAGATTATATCATATGATGCAGCCCCAGGCTCTCATCCTCCATTGTTTTAGTTATCTATGGCTGCATAACAACCACCCCAAAATCCAACAGCTTAAGACAACAAGTGTTTTATTGCTTACAATTCTGTAGATTGGCTGCACCCAGCTAAATATAATCATATGCCACTTAACAATGGGGATAGCTCTGAAAAATGTGTCAGGCAATTTTGTTGTGAGAACCATAGGGTGAACCTTATATAAACCTAGATGGTAGAGCTGCCATACAGCCACCTAGGCTGTATGGTATGGCCTATTGATCCTAGCTACAACACTGTACAGCATGTCATTGTACTGAACACTTGGCAATTAGAACACAATGGTTAAATATTTGTGTATCTAAACATATCTAAGCATAGAAAAGGTACAGTATAAAAGATAAAAAATGGTCATCTGTATAGGGTACTTACCATGAATGGAGCTTGCAAGAGTGGAAGTTGTTTTGGTTGGGTAAGTGAGTGAGTGAGTGCTGAGAGAATATAAAGGCCTAGGACATTACGCTACCGTAGACTTAATAAACACTGTACATTTAGGCTACACTAAATTTATTTAAAGTATTTTTCTTCCTTTAATAATAAATTAGTCAGCTTACTGTAACTTTTTTACTTTATAAACTTTTTAAATTGTTTTAACTTTTTGAGTCTTTTGTAATAACACAGCTTAAAACACATTGTACAGCTGTACAAAAATATTTTTTCTTTATAACCTTATAAGCTTTTTCTATTTAAATTTTTTTTTTTTTTTTTTAGTTTTTAAACTTTTTTATAAAGTCGCAGACACACACACACACACACACACACATTAGCCTAGGCCTACACAGAGTCAGGATTATCAACATCACTGTCTTCCACCTCCACATCTTGTCCCACTAGAAGGTCTTCAAGGTCACTAACAGGCATGGAGCTGTCATCTCCTATGATAACAACGCCTTCTTATGAAACACCTCCTGAAGAACCTGCTTGAGGCTGTTTCACCATCACTTTTTTTTAAGTAAGTAGGAGTGAACTCTAAAATAACAATACAAAGCATGGTATAGTAAATACATAAACCAGTAACATAGTTTTTTACTATAATTATCAAGTTATTATGTACTATACATAATTGTATGTGCTAGGCTTTTATATGACTGGCAGCACAATATGTTAATTTACACAGACGTCACCACAAACACATGAGTAATGCATTGTGCTACAACGTTATGATGGCTACAAGGTCACTAGGTGCTAGGAATTTTTCAGCTCCATTATAATCTTGTGGGACCACTGTCATATATGCAGTCTGTGATTGACCAAAATGTCATTAATGTGTGCATGACTATAATTCTTCTACATTATGCAATGTTGGCTGGGCGCTATCATCATCTGAGGGATCAACTGGGCTAGAACATCTAAGATGGCCAACTCAAATATCTGATGCTTTGGTTGGTCTTGCTTGAAGGCTAGAGTCTACTGGGGTGCTGGGATGGCTGGGCCTCTTTCTCCACATAATCTCAGGGCCACTTCCTCTATGCTTGGCCTCTCTACTTGGCTTCTTTAGGAAGGTGGCTAGACCTCTCACATGGTGTTAAAAGGATTTCAAAAGTAGGAGCTTCCATTAAATTAATTCCATTAAATTAAATTAAGGCTTAGAAGATTAGATTCCAAAAGTAGATGCTACCATGTCTTCTTAAGGCTTAGTCTCAGAACAATTATCCATCACTTCTACCATATTCTACTAGTAAAGCAGTCACAAAGCCAACCCAGTTTGAAGAAGAGAGAAAATAACTCCACCATTTTAAAGGAGAATTCCAAAAGCTCAGTGGCCATCTTTAATGTACCAAATCAACAAAGTTTCAGAACACTAGCAGCATCCATATGGTATAAGTGAGGATACTTTAAATTTTTTTAAAGTTTTTTGGTAGGGAAATTAAATTACCTTAAAGAATAGATGCGTTGGAGGTTCATAATAAGACTCTGAGCTATCTGACTACCTGTCCACAAGCCCTACCTTCTTTCCCAGCTTTTGATTCACTTTGTCATCCTCACTTCTAAATATAAATGGATAATCAAATATTTCCAGATATCTGGGGGAAATCCTCCAATGAAAAACAGAGAATTTCTTTTCTTACTATCTTTGTTTCATCTGATTAATTTGGATGCTATAGCATCCAAATAAAATAAATGGGATGCCTCAAAAATGTATATAATTAACATTTTTAAGGAGATAAAAGAGAAAATTGCATCAATGAAATATAAAGCATACCTATAAATACAGAACAACCAGACAACAATGAAGAGCCTTTGAAAATTAAACATATGAACAAAAAATTAATAGGAGAGTTGGAGGATAAAGTTAAGAAAGTAACTTTTGTTATAAAGTAGAGCAAAATGACAAGGATGTAGACAATATAATAGAAGATTCAAAAATTAAAGAATAAATTCAGAAGACTCCATTTTCAACATCTGGAAGTTCCAGAGTAAATAAATAAAATGGTACAAAAGTAACTATTGAAAGAAAGAAGGAAAGGAAGAAAAAACTCACATGAGGATCCATCATCATGACATTTTAGAACACCAGGCATAAAGAAAACATTCTAAAAGCTTTTTGAGAGAAAAGATAGCCCAAACAAAGAACTGAGAACAAGAATGAAACTGGAGTTTTCAACAGCAACAATGGAAGCTGGAAACTCTAATTGTTAACTATTCTCAGCCAAAAATTCTCTACCTATATTCCATCTAGACTGTGGGTAGAATAAAGACATTTTCAGGGATTCAGAGTCTTCTGACATTTCCCTCTGTTGTGCCATTTCTCAGGAAGCTATTGGAGGATATGCATCCCCAAAGCAAGGGGCAAAACAAGAAAGAGGAAAACATACATGGGATCAAAGAAACATGGAATAAACATAAGAGAGGGTCAAAGGGAATGCCAGGATGTTAGTGAAAGAAAGAGTCAGGATGAGGCTGTGCAGAAGCCATAGATCAGTGAGTCCAGTTGGAGCAGTAGATCACAGAGTACAAGAAGACACGATTTCAGAGGGGAGAGAATGCAAGTAATGAGTTATCTGGTAGGTTTAACCTATCTGGTAGGTTTAATCAGACTATACCATTTGTGTCAACCAATCATAAAATTATATTAAAAGGTACTTTACAAAGCTGTGAAAGGTTGTGAAATTAATCCAATGTTAAAAGGCAAGTAAACAAATGAAAAACTGAAGCAATCATTAACTCCAGGAAAAACCAAAAGTTGTCCAAGAATGAAAGTGTAATCAGACTATACCATTTGTGTCAATGCTAAGCAAAATGTATAGCCATAATAATGAAAACTCTGACAATGATTTAAACTAAGAATTAAGATATAATGATCTTAGGAGAATAGATACAGAAGAGTATTTATAAATGAGCCTAAATTTTCAACTATCATGATATAAAGTCAATAATGTCTGAAATTGGTGGACAAAAAGAAGGCAGTGTATCCATTTAGGTTACAAATATGGCTATAAATACCAAAAGAAGCACTTTAAAAAGTTTAATATGTTTCTTTCTGGGAAGTATGTTGGGAGAGGAATAGTTAAGTACAGTCTTGAGGGGAGTTAACAGGGCCCTTTGCTGTAGCATCCAAACAACCTGCTCCTTATCCTACAGCCACTTCCCTTTCCCAGCCAGACACCCCATGCCCGATTATAGCTCCTTGCAACCCATTTCCACTCTGTCACAAATCCCTTTCCACATTAACTACCCCCATCACCACTCCAGGCCCAGATATTGCCCAGACACACTTTACTGTCTGTTTGAACTTACGATTAAGCCTTTGAGACAAGCATGTCTGTTGTCTGCAAGTCCCAGAAGAAAGTGCAAATGAGGGACTGTAAAAAACTAAGAATCTGGGACCAATAAGATCAGGGGAAGGGTTTTTCAGCCTAACACATGGGAGGAAAGTGGACAGCCACATTTATTCAGTTTTGAAAAGATTGTTAATCTAGTATGGACAGTCATGTTTACTGGTTCATACTCCTTCCCAAATCCATCTTTCAGGTCTCACCTCCAGCACGAAATCTTAACCTCCCAACTTGCAGGGTCATCTCCTTTTCAGGACAGCAGTACCTTCAGACTTGTCTAACCCACAGCCCATCATATCTCTGGGTGTTTCTCCAGACAGCTTTGGGAGAGAAAGCACAAGACTATGCCTTTCTATTTACTTTAGATCATAACAGTGAGCAATGAGGGCATTTAAAGACCCCCAAACAGGGGCTGAATTTGTTGAATTGCTTGACTCACCTCTCAGCAAATGCCTTCCCATGTGTCCTCTTCCCAGCTGAACTGTGAGCTGCCTGGGAAAGCCAGTGCCTGACTCTTCGTATCTGTGTTCACAGCTCAGAGCACAGCAGGGCCACTTAGTAGGTTCCAATAAATGCTTATTGAACAAATGAATGAATTTAATGATTTGTATATTTTACTAATAGTTCTTGCCCTCCTTAGGTGATGTTAGCACAGCAAAGCTTGGTTAAATTACACTAAGGTAGTGGTTCTTAATGTGTGATTCCTGGACCAGCAGCATCAGCATCACCTGGAAACTTGTTAGAAATGCCAGTTCTCAGACTCCACCTGAGAACTGCTGAATCAGAAACATTGGGGGTGGGGCCCAGCAATCTGTGTTTAGACAAGCCCTGCAGGCAATTCTGATGCACGCTCAAGTCTGAAGACCACTGCACTGTTTCTTCTCACACACATGGCTATATCTTGCCGTGCATTTTTCTCACACACAGGTATTAGTGAGTGAGGTAAAGTAACCACTGCAAAAAGTAAGACTAGCTCATAGGGGCCCTCATTGCCAGATGGCAGGACTTTAGGCAGATAATTTGCTCTAAAGAAATGTGATCTGATATTTTTAAGTCCTGTTAAGAAATTCCTCTGGCATTCTGGCAGGAACCGTGGCCTTCAGCCATGATTAAAGGTAGCCAGGTTAGACAAGAGGAAGGTTGCTGGACCTGAGTAACCAAGGGAAGACCTAGAATCTCACCACTGAAATGCAAGGGAGTGGACAAGATGATTCATGGGGCCACACACCAGACCTAAAGAGCAAGCGTCAGATTCCTGTTCAGAACCCATCCTGCCTGCCAAACACCTCTCCTGTCCTGGCAGCTGCTGCTCTTCCCCCACCACCCTTCCCTCAGTCTTCATCCTCCATGGCCGAGCCAGCAGCTAGCTCCAGCAGCAGATTTATGACTTACCACCATGAATAATGCAGCAGCCTAGCTCTCAAGGCAGAAGCTTCTCGGCAGTCCATAAATCACTACTGACACTGTGCCAGGCTCCTTAATCAGCTGTCCCCAGGGCACCTCAGCAGAGGGAAAGAGGGCACCCTGGCCACATCCAGTACCCCATTAATAAGGCCCAACGCTACAGCAGCTGACCCCTCCCTTCAAGCCTCACAGTCCTCACATCATGGCCCTGCAGGGGAGGACATAGAGGAGACACAGCGTTTGATCCGGAAGCCCCAGCACACACCCATGTGTGAGTATCTGCTCTAGAGCTCAGGGCCACAGTGTGAGGCTGTACAGGTCATGCATTCATTGCATGATGGTCCCAGTAGCCCAGATAGCACCCAGCAAGCTTTGTGCTAGCTCAGGGCTATACCCAGCCAGAGGGGGTATCTATTTCTGATTTCCACAAAGGTGTGATCTTTGTCCACAGTTGCAGTGATGAGCGCACACCTAAATTCCCACCTCCTTCCTTGCCCCACCTTCCCTACCTCAGGACACTGGTCCTGCCTCCTTCTAGAACCCCAGTCTCCCCAGCTGCTTTTCCTTCTCCTGGCCTATAAGCTAAGGCCCTGCCCCCCATGCCCCATCATCTTTAGGCACTGACTATGTAACAGGATTTTTCAGTGCCATTTGCCCCAGACTCACCACCACCTGTAAACTACTAGAAATGGGATGCCCAGAGCTGACGCTGCTGCAGATTGCTGCAGTCTGCAGACACACAGAGCCATGGACATGACTTTCCCTGAGACAGCCTGCAGCAGGGTCATCGTGAATTCCCTGATAGGCAGGTCAGGGCAGCCCCTTGCTGTGAGTAACTAGACAATAGATGACCCCCAACCAATAGCAGAGTATTCAAATTCTCTCCAGTATATTTGCCTTCCAAGTGGTGTACATTTCCTACCAAGACCCTTCAGGCAAGTTTTAACCAAAATCTAGCAGAAAGACCTTCTCAGATTAAGAGATAATTCTCAACCCACTAAAATCTGATTCAGGAATCTACTAATGATTCTTATTCTTCATTGGGAAGAATGATATTACTCATAATAAAAGGGTATGTTTGGGATGCGGGTGGGGGGTATGCACAGGGGAGCGGACATCTGAAAATAGAGTTAAGAATTCTAGAAATGCATGAAGTTCCCGAACCATGTCTCCTATCACATGACCCACATGGAAAATTGGACCAAAGCAGAGAGACACAGCTTCCCCTGGGAGGCGGGAAGGCTGGAAAGCAGAGGGCCGAGCATCCCTGGGAATGGCGATTCCCTTGGACGTGCGGTTTCATGAATGAGCCAGGTTGCCTGCTCTGGGAAGAGCCTCTGAGGCCCCAGAGGTCATAGGGGCAGCCAACCCTGGCCACAGCAGGCCATTTCCTGCTTTGGCCACACTCCCTTCCCCAGCCACTGCTGACTCCAAGCATTACATGACTCAGCACCCAGAGCCACTGACCAGTGAGTTTATCAGCAACCCTGGGAAGGCCTAGGTACCCAGAAGTCCCCAAGTTCACTAATACCCACTGGCTACCTGTGAAATGATGCCCTTGTCCTGTTGGAGAAAATGCAGCCCTGCCCTCAGTGGGGGCCTGTCCTGTGGCCACACTGTTGGCCATCACAGCTGGGCACTCAACAGATATTCATCACATAACCACAGCAGCCAGGACTCCATGGGGGAGCCAGGCCTATGGTCCTTTCTCTAGCTATGAGTCTGACCATCATTTAGTCATTCAACAAATGCAGCTGAAGCCTACTCTGCACCAGGCACTGGTAGCATATGGTGTGCAAAGATAAATAATAATGGCTACCATTCAGAGAGCATTGCTGGGTCCCTGGCACTCTTCTAAGCACGCTACATGTGTTAGCCCTTGTAAGCCTGACAGCTACCGTGTAAGATAGGTATTATTATATTATTCATATCATCTTTATTTTACTGGAGACTGAGGTACAGAAAGGTTAGGTAATTTGCCCAAGGCCACATAGCAAAGTGACAGAACAGGTTTTGAAACCAGATCATCTGGTTCGAGTTCAAGCTCTGAGCACAGCATATCTTACTTCTCCAGGAACAGGTCTCTCTCTCAAGAGTTCATCCCCGAGACAGTCAGACAAGGAATCAAAGAATTAGAATACTGAGCACCCTGAGCCAAAAATACTAACTCTGCAGGGCCCTGGTGCCTGAAATGGGTGTCAACATAGGGTTGCCAGGGCCACCAGGCCCTTCAGCAGTCTGTGAAAAATATCAGAGGGATAGAGCTTGGTAGGAAGTGGCAGACTCTCCACAGCTGTAATCTAGAAACAGGTGAGCCATGAGTCTGGAGAGGAAGGCTGAGGCCTGAGTCGAAGCCCTCAGTGCCAGTCAGGGATCTGTGGGCTCTGCTCTGCCTTGTGGGCAACGGTAAGCCACTGACAGTTTCGAGCAAGGCAGTAACATAACATCCCCATACAAAGAGAGGCCCTGGCATAGAGGGGGTGGGGCATCTGTGGCTAGCTGTGGCTGAGGACCTAGTGGCTGGCTTCCCCGGGGCCTGGCCTGGCCTTTGCCTGCCCTGGGCCCAGGGCGGGGCTGGGGGAGCCGGCTGGCTGTCTCCAGATGATTAAGGAACTGGCAGCAGCTCCGTGGTCCAGGGAGGCTCCAGCCAGCAATGCAGTCTTCCCTCTTTTCTTTTTGGCACCAGGCGGGCCTATTGATGTTTATCAGCCCGTGTTTATTATTCTTAACGCTGTTCAGGATGTTCCTCCCGGCTGGGGAGAGTGAGGCAGGCCAGGGAGAGAGCCTGGGGCCGGGACCTTGGCCTCGCTGCCACCCAGGGTGTGTGTCAGAGCTGGAAGGCTCACAGCTCAGCCAGCTCAGCAGCCTCATTGACAGATAAAGAAGTTGAGGCCACAGAATGGGAGTGATTTGCCCAAGATCACAAGCAAATTAGGTGCAGGGGATTCTCTGCAAAGAGAACTTAGAGAGCTTGAACTCAGCTCTCTCAGTTCCTATGGCCCCTGAGCAGTGTCTGGTGTTTGGTTCAACACTTACGGCGTGCCTGTTACGTGGGCGTGCTCTGGAAGACCAGGTAGGAGTTACCCAGAGGATGAAGGCTGAAATGGGGGTAGGAAGTTGGTAGAAAGGGCAGAGAAAACAGCCTGGGCAAGAACTGGGAATATGTAGATCCTTCCAGAGTTGGATATATCTAAAAAACAGGGTGAAGATGGGCCGAGGCAGAAAACATGGCTGGAAAAACCAGTAGTACCGACTTTTTTCCAAACTGGAGAACCCCCTGAGAGCCCTCGCTGTTCAGGTGCAGTGTGCAGAGGCAATGCGACCAGCCTGCTTCCTTCCTCGAGCATTATTTATACTCAAGCTCATGGCTGCTGCCTCAAATCCCACCTCTAGAACTGTATTTCTCAAACACTCATTCCCCTACTTATGCAATTGACCCCTACTAGGATAGGAGAAAAGATGGACTGGTGGTTGTATCTGCTCACTGGGAGACTGCGTGTCTCCCTCCAGAGTAACTGTTTGATGGGTATTTTAGCTCATTTGTGCTGCTAAAACAGAATACCTGAGACTGGAACATTTATAAAGAACAGAAATGTATTTCTCACAGTTCTGAAGGCTGCACAGTCTGAGATCAAGGTGTCAGCATCTTGGTAAGACCTTCTTGCTGTGTCCTTACATGGCACAAGGCAGAAGAAGTGAACCCACATGCACTTCATATAGCAGCATGACTCCATTGGTAAGAGTGATGCCCTCATGACCTAAACAACTCCCATTAGGCCCCACCTCTTAATACTGTTACAATGGCAACTGAATTCCAACATGAGTTTTGAGGGGAATAAACATTCAAGCCCATTCAAGCAATGGGCAGTGGCAGCAGCTTAGGCTGAGACCTGGCTCAGGAGGGTCATGGTGGGGAGGTAATGTCCCTCTGGAACCTAAGGCTGAAGATTCCATGCCAAGGGCTACAGCCCAAGACATCAGCCTGAATAACCCCTCTAGGTTGAATCTAAGCCTCCCGGTCTCTCCCACCCTACAGAGGATGAGGCCTTCCACTCCCTGAGCTAAATATGGTGACACTTCAGCCCCAGCATTAATCGAGGTCCCAGGACTAGGGGGACATTCTTCCAGCTTCTGTCCCTCCTCTTCTCCCAGTCCACCTTCTCCCAGGTTCCCAGTGAACTTTCCCAGAGTTTATCTCCTCCAGGAAGTCCTCCCAAAGTGGATCCTCTTGATGCTGAAAACTTAAGTGGTGAAGACTCAAGAGTCAAGCACAGAGTTTGCCTCATATTTATCCAAACTTGTCTCTCTTCTGTTTATGGCCTTTAGCCGGGTGTGCTCTCCCTCCCTGATCAGTGAGCACCCTTAGCCCCACTGAGATGGATGAGCCTGTAGTAATTCCACTCTGGGTCCTTCTCAGCCCTTTCTGAGCCTGCGAGAAGTTGAAACAGGATCAGCGATGCACCTGGATGACCTGCTGACTTGAATAAGTCCCAAGAAGGTGATTCTAAGCCCTGGGATTCTGAGACCCAAACCTGTTATCACCAAGGCTGAGGTCTCTTTGTCCCTGCAATAGATTCTATGCCCCACATACTAGATGGGAGGCAGATAACTATCTGCAAAAATAAACAATAAACAGAACTGGAAAACAGTGAGGCTGGCAATACCTGGAGAGAGAGTTTGTAGGCAACACTGGCTGAATGAGAGGGAGCTTGAGCAGCCCAGGGCTCCTGAACATCAGGAGGAGGGGCAGTGGCAAGAGGAGACAGCTGAGGGAACTGCCGAGCATGAAAGGCTCACTAGTGAGCATGGACTGGGAGTCAGGAACCTGGGATTCTAGGGCTGCCTCTCACCAACACGGGGGACTGCAGGTCGAGCCCTTGCCTCCAAGGACCTCATCAGTACAGTGAAGATGTTGGTCCAAAGCACTCCTGTGACGCTTCTCAGGTCTGAGTGTCGCGATTTCATTCTGCTTCAATGCTCATGCTCTGTGATTGCAGTGCACATGGAAACACACCTGGGGGGATGCATTTCCAGCCTCGATATCTCAGAACCAGGACCCTGGAAACACAATAAATGTTCCTGACCTTCCTGCAGTGTCTGAAATGCCCAGCATAGATCAGGGTAGAAGAGTGAAGTTTCCCTAACAGCTGAGGTAGCAAAGATCAAACAGCTGACCCACGCACAGAGCTTCCATTAGTCCTCTGTGTGTAAGGCCAGTCATTAGTTAGGGCCAGAAGAAGGCAATGAAAATAGGGCACAGTTCAGAGCAGGGAAGCAGATGCAGCACACATTCCTGTCTGTGCCAAGAGCTGTCATGCAGGCAGGATTGATTCATCACTTCATTCATCTCTTCAGCCATTCATATCATTCACTCCTTGAGCTCTCCCCAGCTGTCATTTGCAGGCCAGGTTCTGTGCAGCCAGGAAGGATTAGATGAGTAAGATGGCCCCTGCCTGAAGGAGTGCATGGCCAGGGTGGGGACACAGATGAGTACGAGCAGTTAGGGGCCACCAAGGCTTCGGGAGGCTAAGGGAAGTGTCTGCATGGGCAGGGACTCTGAGGAAGGAGCATGCAGAAGGAGGCGCCAGCCCCTGGCCTTGAGCCGTGAACAAGAGAGAAGGAATAGCACCACCAGGCCTGCATTTGGGGTCTGAAGAGAGTGGACTTGAGCCAGAAGATCAGGGGAGGCCACCAAAGGGTTGGGAGTGCAATGTGCTCAGACCTATGCTATCGGGTGAAGGATGTCAGTGTCCTGAGCCAGGGCAGGGGTGGCAGGGGTGGGAGGGGTGGCAGGGGTGGGAGGGGTGGGGACCAAGGAAGAGAAGTTGGGGAGAGCAAAGGTCATTGCTGCAGGAAGTAGGGGTGATGTGGGGTATCAACCTAGACACACATTTTTCTGGCCTGAACAACTAGGGAGGTGGTGTTGACCACACACGAGTGGGTTTAGGGGGAGATGATGAGTTCAGCCTTCTCAGAACCACACACAGTTGTATTTTCTTCAAGCACAAAGGTTTTATCAACAGTCCACACGATTTATTGTTCCATCCATCTGCATCTATTATCCTTTAGATTCTGAGTCCTTTATAATCAGAGACAGAGAAGAGCACAGAGACAAGGGGAACAACCCAGAGGGAGAGACCAGCAGAGCCAACTTTTCTCTTCTCTTCTCTTTCCTTCTTCCCTTAGACCATGCCGCTCATGGCTGTGAGCTCATCCCATGGGCTTGCACGGTCCTGAGTCTACTCCCCCACCTCATTCTGACAGCGGTCCTGGAAGGTTTGTGAAATGGAGGCCTCAGGAGGAGTCGTAACTCGTCAGAGGTCACACTTCTCAGGCACTAAACGTTTCCTGATGTCAGTGGGGCCACCGAGACAGGCGGTTCTGCCTCCCCTGGTCGCCATCAAAAGTATCAGGGGCAGGGGATGGTGGAGTGGCCCCCAGGGCCTGGGAAACAGCAAGACTCCTCCTGGCCCATGGAACTGGGTGGCCAGGGGATGCCTCTGGTGGATGTAGCAGGGGTCTCCTCCCCACATGAAAGTTTGAGAATATGAAAAAAATGTCAGGTCTGAATTCCTGTGGAAGGGCCTCCTGACCTTCTCTACTGTGGTGTGGTTTGAGTTTCCTGGAAACCAAGCCCCCGACTAATGGTTCCACTCTCTTTTCTAATAAATACGTGGCCCTGGGCCCGGCTCCCTTCTCTGCTTTGTCATGAGGGACCCGTTATTTATGACTTGGAGATGAGTCACAGGCCTTGGCAAGGAGTTCACTGCTCTGGGCTCAGTGTATTTTTCCACTCAGTAGCAAGCGAAGGAGGGCGCTTGTAAATTCTCCTGTCGAAACGACTCCGTAGGTGTCTTCACAGGGATGCTCCTCCTAGCTTGGCCATAAATCTATTCCCTGTTGGACATTCCTGGTGGTCTTTCGTTGCTGCCCAGGAGAGTGGGTGGGGGCTCTTATGGACTCTGGACTCAGCTCCCATCCCAGCTCACAGGCCACACAAACAAAACTGCCATATCTTCTTTGGGGATTTTTCCAAGATACCTTGGGGCACAGTGAGTTGGGGAGATGGAGGGGTCAGGTCAGTGAGTCCTAGAGAAGAAAAAGGGTGGAACATGAGAAAAAAAGGCAACACGATATAGGGGCTTCTAGAACTCCCCATGACCCACAGAGCCCAGTCTGCATTCCCCAACTGGGCACTCCTGACTCTCTGTGTTAGGGCCAACCCTCACCTAGCCCAGGACTGTCCTGGACACCCTGTGTTTACTCCCTGCTTTGCTCCAGATCTTCTTCACACCTAAAATACCCTTCCCTCCCTCCCATCCACTCTCAGAGCCTCTACTCAAGGACTATGCTGTTATTCATCAGGCAGTGTTGTAGATAATTTCTTATTTCCTACTCATTTGTCTTATTTCCTCAAGTAGATTATGAGCTCCCGAGCAGGAAATCTCATGTCTCTTTTCATCAACTACATGATGACCACGGACTTTGGGGTGGGGGATTAGGGAAGAGGTGTCAAGAACTGTGAAGGAGCTCAGATTCTGTCCTTCTTGCAAGCCAGCAAGCTAGCTGCCACTGTTTCATGGATGCTGGCAGAAGACACAAGACTCCTGGGTCAGAGACAAAGGATAGTTCATTACTCACAAAAATAAGCAGTAACCAGAGAATCAACATTGGCACCAGTCCCGTGAATCCTAATTCCTACAGGGTAATGTAAAGAAGGCCAGGTGATGCCTGCACACACAGTGGGTTGCATTACAGGAGAGAAGGGATCTCTAGCTTAGGCATCCTGAATCTTTTATAATAGGCATAATAATGCCTAAATTTTGATCCAGAGGAAGGCCTTGTCTTTATTATATTGGATAGTAAACAAAGGTGTCCTTTGCTCCAGAGGGAGATACCTTTATCTTCTCAAACTATTAACTAAGCAAACAACCTTGAAAAGGTAGTCAGGAATAAAAGGAGCCTGTGCTTTTCCTGGCAAGATGTGCAGAAACATGACAGACCCATGGAAAACTGTCTCCCACAGGGCACTTCATTAATTTTTTTTATTCATCTCATAATGACCATCTCCAGCATTATCCAAAAACCTTGTCATAGCACACCAGCACAGTGATTCCTAACTCTGGATTGCACATCAGACTCTTGGTGAGGTTTAGGGCAAGGGTGGAGGATGTACCTTATTTGTAAAATCATATTGCAGCAAGCTCTCTTGGTCCCCTGTCCAAAGCCCCTCAATACTTCCTCCACAGACCAAAGACTGCCTGCTATACAAACCTGTGACTCTGCTTGTGCATGGGACAAGCCAGAACACTGGAGAATTAATGCTCCCAGAGGTAGCCCTCAGAAAAAGAAAGATGGGAAGATGGAAGATAAATATCCCAGCTTCCTTCCTCCTGGCTTGGAAAACTCTGTCTTCCATAGTTTCCCATAGATGGAGCCCCAGTTGCCCACATTGATAGCTACTTGATAATACTCCTTTTATCGGCTTCTTCTCTTCTTTGTCTCTCTTCTTCCCTCCCCCCGGTGCTTTGGGGGTTACTTTCCTGCTTGCATTTAAATCCTTGTCTCAGTGACTATTTCTAGGGATCCCACCTAAGATACTTAACTAGCATCATGATGCGCTATGTTTGAAAATGGATTTTACATTTCAGTCTTTAATCCATATTGAGTTGATTTTTGTATATGGTGTAAGGAAGAGGTACAGGTTCAATTTTCTGCATATGGCTAGCGAGTGTTTTCAGCACCATTTATTAAATAGGGAATCCTCTCCCCATTACTTGTTTTTGTCAGGTTTGTCGAAGATCAGATGGTTGTAGGTGTGAAGTCTTATTTCTGAGATCTCTATTCTGTTCCATTGGTCTATATGTCTGTTTTTGTACCAATAGCATGCTGTTTTGGTTACCGTACCTTTGTCGTATAGTTTGAAGTCAGGTAGTATGATGCCTCCATCTTTGTTCTTTCTGCTTAGGATTGTCTTGGCTACTCAGGCTCTTTTTTGCTTCCATATGAATTTTTAAATACTTTTTTTCTAATTCCGTGAAGAATGTCAATGGTCATTTAATGTGAATATCATTGAATCTATAAATTGCTTTAGGCAGTATGGCCATTTTCACTATATTGATTCTTCCTATCCATGAGCATGAAATGTTTTTCCATTTGTTTGTGTCATCTCTGATTTCCTTGAGCAGTGCTTTGTAGTTCTCTTTGAAAAGGTCCTTCATTTCCCTTGTTAGCTGTGTGCTTAGGTGTGTGTGTGGCAATTATGAATGGGAGTTCATTCATGATTTGGCTCTCGGCTTGCATGTTGTTGGTGTATAGGAATGCCAGTGATTTCTGCACATTGATTTTGTATCCTGAGACTTTGCTGAAGTTGTTTATCAGCTTAAGAAACTTTTGGGCTGAGACAATGGGATTTTCTAAATATAGGATCATGTAATCTACAAACAAAGATAGTTTGATTTCCTTTCTTCCTGTGTGAATACCATTTATTTCTTTCTCACCTGGTTGCCCTGGCCAGAACTTCCAATACTATGTTGAATAGGAGTGGTGACAGATGGCATCCTTGCCTTATGCCTATTTTCAAGGGGAATGCTTCCAGCTTTTGCCCATTCAGTATGATATTGGCTGTGGGTTTGTCATATATGGCTTTTATTATTTTGAGGTCTGTTCCTTCAATACCTAGTTTATTGGGAGTTTTTAATATGAAGGGATGTTGAATTTTACCAAAGGCCTTTTTTGCATCTATTGAAATAATCATGTGGTTTTTGTCTTTAGTTCTGTTTATGTGATGAATCAAAACCCTAGAAGAAAATCCAAGCAATACCATTCAGGACATAGGCACAGGAAAGATTTCATGATGAAAATGCCAAAAGCAATTGCAACAAAGCAAAAATTGACAAATAGGATCGAATTTAACTAAAGAGCTTCTTCATAGCAAAAGAAACTATCATCAGAGTGAACAGACAACCTACAGAATGGGATAAAAATTTTGCAATCTATCCATCTGACAAAGGTCTAACATCAAACAATTTACAAAAAAAAAACCATTAAAAAGTGGGCAAAGGATATGAACAAATACTTCTCAAAAGAAGACATTCATATGGTCAACGAACATATGAAAAAAAGCTCAACATCACTGATCGTTAGAGAAATGCAGTTAAATACCACAATGAGATACCATCTCACACTAGTCAGAATGGCTATTATCAAAAAGTCAAAAACCAACAGATGCTAGCAAGGTTGTACAGAAAAAAAGAATGCTTTTACACTGTTGGGAGTGTAAATTAGGTCAACCATTGTGGAAGACAGTGTGGCGATTCCTCAAAGACCTAGAGGCAGAAATACCATTTGACCCAGGAATCCCATTACCAGGTATATACTCAAAGGAATATAAATTATCCTATTATAAAGATACATGCACCCTTATGTTCATTGCAGCACTACTCAAAATAGAAAAGACATGGAATCAACCTAAATGCCCATCAATGCAGATTGGATAGAGAAAATGTGGTACATATGTATCATGGAATATTATGCAGCCATAAAAAGGAACAAGATCATGTCCTTTGCAAGGACATGGATGGAGCTGGAAGCCATTATCTTCAGCAAACTAATATAGGAACAGAAAACCAAATACTGGATGTTCTTACTTATAAGTGGGAGCTGAGTGATGAGAACACATGAACACTTCAAGGGGAACAACACTCTGGGGCCTGTCAGAGGGTGGGGGTGGAGTGGGAAGAGGAAGAGCATCGGAAAGAATAGCTAATGGATGCTGGGCTTAATACCTAGGTGATGGAATGATCTGTGCAGCAAACAACCATGGCACACGTTTACCTATGTAACAAACCTGCACATCCTGCACATGTGTCCCTGAACTTAAAATAAAAGTTGGAAAGAAAAAAAAAAAGAAAATGACGCGTGTATTGTTCTGACAATACAAGGTATAGAACGTAAAGCTTACCACTCTCCTCTTGAGAGGTGCAAAAGCTAGCAATAATTCCTTTCAAGAAAAGGGTAAATCAGTGGATGGCAGAAAGAGATGTACAGGATTAAAGAGGCTGAGATACCCTAATGTAGACCCTGTACTGGTTCTTGAGAACATGGAATCTGAAACCATCCCAGCCAATACAAAAAGAAGACACACCAGGACCACTGGCATTTGCCTGCAGTCCTCCCTTCTGTGAAGCTGTCCCCTTTTGATCCAACTCCAAGTCTACCCTTCCTTAGTCCAGACTCTTCCCTTACAGAAATCTCTTTCATACACAGGTGTGAGAATCTGAGAACAGCTGTTAATGGAATCTCTGGGGCGTTGACTTTATAACAAGCCTAAAGGCCTTGAGCTAAAGTAAGAAATAACCAAGAAGAAGGAGGGGACGCGAGTCAAGAGCATCAGAACTACTCAGGGAGCTTGTCCAAACCACACACCTAATGATTTGGAGACCTCCCAAAGTGGGTTGAATGTTTTCAGTTCAGCCATATCCCTGTATAATTTACATTCTGCCCAGGACCACTCTGCCCAGCTTCCTCCTTGCCATATACACTGGAAATTCTCCCCTCCAACCCTTAACAAGTGAATGGAAGCATGTTAGAAAACTACAGTCATGCACGACGTAACATAAGAGGAGTGTGACATTTCCGTTAACAAGGACCACATATGCCACATGGTCCCATAAGATGATAATACCATGTTTTTACTGCATCTTTTCTGTTTAGATACACAAATATTTCCCATTGCACTACCACTGCCTACAGTATCCATGTACAGCAACATGCTGTACAGGTTTGTAGCCCAGAAGCAATGGACTATGTCATACAGCCCAGGTGGGTAGTAGGCTCTATCATTTAGGTTTAGGGAAGTACACCCTATGATGTTCACACAACAATGAAATGGCCTAACAATGCATTTCTGAGAACGTATCCCCATTGTTAATTGACACCCTGACCACGAGCATTAATTAGCACCTATAATTATTGCTCAGCATCATTATCCATTGAATTAAAACAGTTTTTTATACTATTTAAAACTTTATCACATTGACCATACATCAATGGAGCCTCTTCCTTTCCCTCTGCCCATAAGATAATTGAGAAAATAATATTATCCTCACTTACAGATAATGAAACGTTGGTTTAGAAAAAAAAACTTGATAGAAATGCTCTCATTTTACAGATGAGGAAACTGAGGCTCAGAGAGCATGGCTAACCCAAGGTCATGCAGCATGTTAGTGTCATGGAGTAAGAGGAGCATTCTGTCACATAATACTAGCAGTAGCTGTCATTAGCTCAGTGTTTACTGTATGCCAGTTCCTGCATGCAAGATACATCCAGCACACAATCTTTGTTCATCCTTATGACAACCCTTCCAGTAGGTGCTATTATTATCTCTGTTTAATGTATGATGATGTCAAGACTCAGTATGGTTAAGTGATTTGTCCAAGGAGGGATGCAGTGTCTCTCAGTGATACTGGCTGGGTGGGCACGGAAGTGCATGGAGTGAGGCTTCCTGTCCTGCCAGCTCCCTCCACGCATGAGCTCAATTAGACCTGACAGCCAGATGTCTGGGGTGGTGATGTCAGGGATTAGGGCAAGGGCTGGGGGGCAGCCAAGCTCTGGTTGGTAGCCCCCGCCCAGACAGTTCCCCATGTGCTGGGAGCCACATGGGAGCCAGAATGAAAGAGTATGGCTGTTCCTCCCAGCTGAGTACACCCCGCTGATGAGCCTGTGGCTGGTCTTTGTACACCAAGAACAACTAAGTATTTGTGGGTCCCTGGATGGAATGGGTCCTTGGAGAATGCTGGACTCAGTCCCTGCAGCTCCAATTTCAGTGAGGTAGCTCCACCTTCTTGCCTTCACTAGAAAGGGCCCCTCAGGGACTTCCCCATCCTAGTGGCTCCCAATGCTCCCAGTGAGCAGAGAATGGTGCCTTCCTCTCCTCCATCAAAGCCCCCTCTGTTCAGCCACGACCATTTTGCCATCCTGTTCTATGGACCTGCTCCATGGTTTCCTCCCAGAGGAACATCTCGCTCCTCTCCCAGGCCTGGCCCGTGCTTCAGAACATCCACCCAGGCTGACCTCACCACTGTACTTCACAGACGCTTTGGTTTGAGTGCCGGGCAGTCTCGGGTCACTGGCGGTGAAAGTCTCCTGTAGCGTCCCTTTCCCCAAGCCCTGACACTTCCTTCTGGCAGAAGCCCTTGAAGCCTCTCCAGTGTCCAGATGTTTGGTGTCCTACAACCTGGCTGATCTCCAGCCACACGGCGGCAGCGTTAATGGACTGTGCAGGCATGGAGGTTTCTGCTGGGGAAGATGGTGGTCAGTTTACTTAACTCAACTGTAAACAAAAGCAATAATTATCCCAAGTTAGGGGGGTAAGGGAAAAGGAATAAATTAAACCCAGGCTCAAAAAACCACCTGTGGAAAGGGTTCCCTGGCCCACGGAAATAGTGGCTGTAGTAAACAAACCATGAGTGACCTCAGTTCACAGACTATTAATTTGCTGATTGTTGATGGGTTTACACAGCTTAAAATGGGAATAAAGCCATGGTCAGGCAGCAGCCCAATCTTCCTGTGTGTGAGCATTTAGTCATTGAATTAGCAAAGGTGGATCAGCCCTGGTCTGGGCTATGTGCTTGGGTGAGAAGAGACCTGGACCCTGCCGTAATGGGGTGCACTCAATGTGGCTGTGTCCTCTACAGACTTGGAGAAAAATAACGGAGGAGTCTTTTTTGTACTCAGATAGCTACACTACTAAGTAGAACCAAATAGGTTTAAGTACTAGTTAGCACTCTTGAGTGCAACTTGAACCAGATTAGGAAAAGAGATGGATATCATCCACTCAAAGAATCCAACCATGTCATGGCAAGAGCAGGATGCAGCTGGGCTTCAGGAAACCTTCAAATGCTCCAGAACACTCTCCCACTCTTTCTCTCACCCAACCCCATGACTCTCTTGGTGTTAGCTTCCTTCTCTTACTGAGCAATGGCTCCCTTCCCATACACACATAAAAAGGCCTCCAATAGCTTCCTGGCTATATATCCTACCATTTCGATCTCATTCTATTTCTCAGTTTCTGTTTTATTTATATATATATATATATATATATATATAAAATATATATTTATGTATACATATTTATATATATTTATATTTATATATATTTATATTTTTATATATTTATATATTTATATATATTTATATATTTATTTATTTATATTTATATATATATATTTATATATATATTTATATATATTTATATATATATTTATATATATATTTATATATATATAAATAAATATATATATATATATATCGGGCTGGGATCAGTGGTGTATGCCTGTAATCCAGGACCAAGAAATGGTCCTTCCTTCTTCTTCCTTTTGGTCTATCTTCCCCTTTATCCTTCCTCCCTCCTCCCTGGATCCCCAGCCTGCCCCAAGCCCTTAGTCTTGCTTTCCCCAAAGGCTAAGCTCAGACAGAGCCAGCATCCCCAACACTGATGACATCGATGAAACCTGCAACTTGAGAGGGACAGCTGTTTGATGGAAATTTCTGAAAACTTTACTTATCCTTTTCTTCCCAGACCCTTCATGGAGCACCCTACTCCAACCCTTGTCCAGCCTAAAGCAGCCACTGCCTCCAGCACTTCAGGAGGCAGAGACAGGAGGATCGCTGGAGCCCAAGAGTTCAACACCGGACTGGGCAACATAGAGAGACCCTATCTCTTTAAAAAAATACAAAAAATAGTCAGGTATGGCGGCATGTGCCTATGATCCCAGCTATTCAGGAGGCTGAGGTGGGAGGATTGCTCAAGACCAAGAGTTTGAGGCTGCAGTGAGCCATAATTGTGCCACTGCACTCCAGGCTGGGTGACAGAATGAGAGCCTATCTCTTTAAAAAAAATATATATATATATTTAGATATTTATTTTTAAATTAAATATTTAAAGAAATATTTAAGTATATTTTTATGTAAATATATTTTTTAAAAATATTTAAATATACAAATATACTTTTTATATAAATATATTTAAATATATATATTGCATGTATGTATGTGTGTATATATCAGGGAATAAATATATATGTGTGTGTGTATATACACACACATGCACACACACACACACACACACACACAACATATATATATCAGAGAAGGAGTCTGATTGGCCTGAAGGACACATGGCTGGTCTGGAAGCAATGAGCTAGAACCCGAAGGGGAGGAGTTATGACTGGCTTAGCTTGAGAAAGTCCATCAATTGCGATCATAAAGGTAGGGTTGTCAAAGACCAGGGCAGTCCCCTCTCTTCAGCCAGGTGAGTGGTGGGGGCATCAGGGAAGGGAGAGGACGCCACATGAAAGAAGGAATGCTGGATGTTACTACCTCAGTGAGGCACTGCACTGATGACAGACAATAAGAACTATATGGCAATGTGAGCAGCAGGGTGCAGAGGGAACACTATGTGACTGAGTTGGGCGGATCGAAGGAGGTGGCATGAAAGTTAGTCCAAAGGATGAGCAGGTGTTCAACAGGTGAAGGAGGAGGCAAAGGCACTCCAGGCTGAGAGGAGCAAATGACAAACACTGGAGCCCAAGAGTGGGTGGTAATGCAAGAAACGGCATGTGCAGGTGATGAAGAGGGAGTTGAAACTGAAAAACCTGATGGTTCCTGATATGGTTTGGCTGTGTCCCCACCCAAATCTCATCTTGAATTGTAGTTCCCATAATCCCCATGTGGGAGGGATGTGCTGGGAGGTAATTGAATCACAGGGGTTACCCCCACGCTGTTCTTGTGACAGTGAGTTCTTGCAAGATCTGATGGTTTTTTAAGGGGCTTTTCCCCCTTTTGGTCAGCATTTCTCCTTGCTGCTGCCATGTGAAGAAGGATGTGTTTGCTTCCCCTTCCACCATGAATGTAAGTTTTCTGAGGCCTCCCCAGCCATACTAAACCGTGAGTCAATTAAACCTCTTTCCTTTATAATTTACTCAGTCTCAGGTATGTCTTTGTTAGCAGCATGAGAATGGACTAATACAGTCTCCAACTGAAATGCCTTGGAAAACAGCATGGACTTTATGATATAGTCAAGGAGACGCTATGGATATTTCCTGAGCCAGGTTTACATGGTTACCATTAGTACCTCATTCTATTTCTCAGTTTTTGTTTAAAATACATGTATATCAGGCTGGGCTCAGTGGCTCATGCCTGTAATCCAGGACCAATCGATGGTCCTTGCTACATGGTCATGCATTCAACAAACACCTTGAGGATGCTTGTTATCATCCAGCATCGTGCCAGGTGCTGAGGACTGGGAGAGGGAAAGCATGTGATTTTGCCCTCATAGAGCTCCTGGGCAGGTGAGAGACAGATTCATAAATGGATCATCATAATTCTGGTATGGGACAGAGGTTGTGCTATGCAGGCCAAGGATCAGAGATAAACCGCAGCCCCCCAAAATTCATGGAAAGGGGAGTGAAGGGGCTTCCCAGAGGGGTTGACACTTAGGCCAAGTCTTGAGGGCTGAGAGGATGTTTGCCATGTGGTTGAGGAGAAGGAGAATGAGACGATGCAGAAACCCAGGCAGAAAACAAGGATGTGCAGTTTTCAGAGCTCACCAAGCTGTTTGGAACAGCAGAGCACGACGAAGAAGAGGCAGAGCCCAGGGGTTGGACGGGAAGGAGCAGCCAGCGGGAGGTCCACTGTGAGCAGTGAGAGCCAAGGAGGTCTATAAGTAGGCAACGGCTTGATTGAAAGCACATTTTGAAAGAGTATGGCTGCATCATAGATCTCCCAAGGTGAATGCAAACAGAAGTCAAGGGGACAACCAGCAGGCAGCTACGAGGCCAGGTGAGAAATGAACAGGACATAGACCAAGGCAGTGGAGATGGAGAGAATCAAAGGCTTTGAGGGAGCTTGAGGAATGGATTACATGGGAATGATGGAGAGAGACCAGGGGAGGGTGCCAGACACAAGAGCAAAGGCCCCAGGAGGAAAAGGAGATTCAGGAAGCAAATAATGAGTTAGGTTTGGGGAATATCAATTTTGAGGTGCTAGTGGGACCACCAAAAGAAATTTCTCAATTGTGAGGTGAAACTGTGGGTGTTGTGTCAGGAGGTACATCTGTACTAAAGTTAGCCACTTGGAACACATAGAGAGAGAAGAGAGTAGGCCTGAAACAGGAACACTGGGAGCAGCAGCACTTGACGGGGCAGACAGAGGAAAACAGCCCATGAAACACACTGACAAGGAACCATCAGGGACAGGCACCCTCCCTCCCCTACCCCCGCCCCTGCATCTGTTCTCCCCTCCTTACAGGCAATAGGATTTTTAGCCAGGTACATGTCCACCTGCCTGGAGAGTATCGTCCTCGGTGAGACATGGCCAGGCGCTTGTGTTCTGGCCAGGGGGAAGGGAGTTGATGTGACATTGCAGCCTCCAAGTCCTGTCTTTCAAGAGAAGCTGCTGGCATCCCCTTCCTCTTCTTTTTCCCCAATGACAGGGTCTGGAGCATCCATTCCAGGCCAAGAAATGAAAGCACATTGAAGATGGCAGCACGAGTAGAAGGAATAGATCCTGACACCATCAAACCACCGCACCAGCCATGCACCTAGCCTTGTACTCAAGAATGGAAGGAATTTGTGTCTTGGTTAATTGTATTTGAGGTTCCATCAGTTCAGAGGGGTAACAGAGAGGCCAAGGAGAAGATGTGGTCCGTGTAATTGGCTTTGCAGAGGTCAAAGGAGGACTTGGCAATGAGGCACTAGTGACTGCAGTGAGCATAGTCCACTAGAGTGGAGGGGCCTGAGTCTGAGTGGAGTCAGCCACACTGTGGATGGCAGGTTGAGTGGAGAAGCGAGGGTGGACAGCAACTTCAAGAGGCATGGAGAGCCAGGAGATGAGGTGTGGGTAGGAGAGAGGGGGTAAGGAGTCACCTTTTCAGGAATGATGTGGAAAACATTAAGCCCTCGACTAAAGCAGTGTGGCTGGGTTAGCCAAGAAGGGGGCAATGAGGGGTGCTGCCAATAGGTAGGGACATCCCAGGCCACAGGGACCCATGAAACACCCTAAGGTCATGAAAGGGGCCAGGAGAAAGGAGAGCATTGCCAAGGCAATGGCTGCTTTGGACTGGACAGAAGGGGAATCTAGATAAGGCCTGGAGTAAGGTGCTTCATGAAGGGTTTGGGAAGAAAAGGATAAGTTTCCAGAAAGGTCTGTCACACAGCTGCCCCTCTCAAGTCACAGCATTCGTGGACGTCATCACCATTGAGGATACTGGCTCTGTTTGAGCTGAGTCTATGGGGCAGGCAAGGCCAAGGGCTCGGGGCAGGCTGGGGGTAAAGGGAGGAGGGAGGAAGGCTGAAGGGGAAGATAGACCAAAAGGAAGAAGAAGGACCATCTCTTGGTCCTGGGCTTTCCATCCCTGGAACAGGAAGAGTGGGGACTGGAAGAGTCTGGGTCAGGAGTAGGTGCCGCCTGGATGGCCAGCCACACGCTGGGCCCCAGGCTCCCCTGGAGAGTAGCCGGGAGACAGAGGGTCATGGGCTCTGGTTCTCACGTCGCCAGGGCTGAGGAGAACATGGCTGGAATGCACCACAAGCCAGCAGTCATCCCTCAGGGAGGCCAGTGGGGAATCTCCAGCCCTGAAGTCATCGTCACCCGAGGAGCCTGGACCCCGACATGGAAAAAGGGTCCCGCAGGGGCGCCCGGCGCCGGCCGGCACAGATGAGCTCATCGTGCTTGCTGCCTCTTCCCCTCTTTTCCAGGCATCTCAGATTTCTAGATGTCAGGAGCATGTGACAGACAGTGAAGAGGACAAGAAGGGGGCTGGATGTGGACTCAAGGTGGAATGTGGGATGTGGGGGGCCAGAGATACGCCCCCACCCCAGCACTGCTTCTGCCTCCCTTGCTTTATCCTGGGCCAGAGGCAGGCGTGCTACCTTCCCTCTTCACTTCCCATTAGGGTACCAATGGAGTCCTCCATGATCAGGCCCCTAAGAAAAGACACTTGTGTTTCCTGGAGGAGAGCATGCACCTCTGTCCTCTCCCATCAGCCCAAACTATTATCACAGATTTGCTCTGGAAATGAGAGGCCTGGACTCAAACGGAATAGGAGACAGGAGGTTAGTGGCAGGAGCCTGGTGGGGCTGGGAGCATCATGGTCGGAGACAAGGAACTTTCACATTATGCTACAGACAGAGCACTGTGCTAAGAGTCAGAGATACGGCCCTAGCTCCTCCTCCACCACTTCTTAGCTCTGTGACCCTGGAGAAGCCACTTTCTTTCTCAGAGCCTCAGTTTTCTTTCTATTAAATGGAAATGCCACCTGACCTTAAAGTGAGGATCTATTGAAAGCACAGAGGTGAGCTTTGAGACCTCAAAGTTCTTTGCACTCAAAGAGAACATAACATTAATGCAAATAAAAAACAATGGTGCCCCCTGGCACCATTCACATTGTAGCCTTTAAGCCTGGCTCCCCTAGGAGCACAAGCCCATTTACAACTGCAATGTGAAGGGTGCTCTAGGAAGTGCTGCAGACCTGCAGACCTGACATGGTTTGGCTGTGTCCCCACCCAAATCTCATCTTGAATGGTAGTTCCCGTAATCCCCATGTGTTGTGAGAGGGACCTGGTGGAAGGTAATTGAATCATGGGGATGGTTACCCCCATGCTCTTCTCGTGATAGTGAGTGAGTTCTCACAAGATCTGATGGTTTTACAAGGGGCTTTTCCCCCTTTGCTCGGCACTTCTCCTTCCTGCCACCATGTGAAGAAGCACGTGTTTGCTTCCCCTTCTGCCATTACTGTAAGTTTCCTGGGGCCTCTCCAGCCCTGTGAACTGTAAGTCAATTACACTTTTTTCATTTATGAATTACCCAGTCTCAGGCAGTTCTTTATAGCAGCATGAGAATGGACTAATACAAGACCCAATCCTACGGCTGGGAAAATAACTGTGCAGAAGGGTCCTTGGGTGGGGAGTGGGACTGCTATAGTCATCTGACCATTTGGGTGGCTAACTGGGAGCCAGGTCCTTGTAGAAGAACAGTTCTGCTAAAGACATTCTAGTCTAAACAAATTCATGCTGCTTCCCAAGAGGGTGCTGCAGAAGGAAGTCAGCCCATTGCCACCCCATTGCATCTCCGAAAGCCAAGCCAAGAGACAAGGAAGATACAGGAACACCTTGTCAGATCTGGCACCTAGGGGGCTAAACCAGACACCCCTGGATCACTTTGCCCAGAACCCTGTGAGTTTATCAGTTTTAAAGACTAGATTTCTTGTCTTACAGGGCATACCAGATTGTCAGGGTTATTGCCATTGTCAATCAGAAATGTTAAAGGCCAAAAGTGGCCCTGAAGTTTGAACACTTGGGCCTGACCCCTCCCCATTATAGAGTCTCCATTGTGGGAATCTGAGGGACAAGGGGCAGCCAATCCTTCAGCTGGACAGCTCTCTTTCAGCACCCAGAACTAGAGGTTTCAAGGTGGGAAGTGTCATTTCACCAGCAGGGAGGATTTTCTAAGGGAAGAGAGGGAAAAAAATGAGTTACCAGTCACTGAAGCCTTGATGTGTGCTAAATATTTTACCTACTATTGCCCAGCATACAGTAAGTGCTCAATAAATAAGGTGCTAAATGAAAAACTAGATGAATGGGGAGAGGGGTGGGAGCCAAAAGTCATTTAACACCCTAACTGCAGTAATTCCATTTCCTATGATATAATGCCTCTTTTAAGTAGATACCTTAGTGTTAAACTAAGCACCTCGGAGGACCACATGGTGGCAAAGCCGGCCTCGGAAGAGAGACGGAAGGCAAAGTGAAATAAATTGCCCAGCATAGAAAAACAAAAAGTTGACAGATTTTGGAGAGAATCCAAGGGACCAAAAAAGGATGCCTGGGACCTGGGGAGAGGGGCTGGGCTGGGCAGTACAGCAGCAGGGCCGGGTCTGCAAAGAAACACAGCCAGTGAGAATGAGCAGCAGACTAAAATACTTTTCAGAACAGTAAGGTCTAGAGATCACTCTTGACGCTATCACCTAAGCTGCACTTGCAGGGATCTAACCCCTAAAACATCACCCCCCGGAGCATAAGTAAAGGCTGCCGTGCAATTCCGTGTGAATTAGGCCATCAGAACTTTTAGGAAATGGAAGAGGTTGCTCCATACATGGAGAGTGCTCCACTGCTGGAGGTTTCTAAACAGAGTTCTTAGAAGCGGGGTTCAAGCCTCAGAGGTGGGTTGAACTCCCAGGTCATTCCTAATCCTGATAATTTGCGATTCTGATAAAACGGTCAAGAAAGTCCTTCCTTCCATTCATTGAGCCAACGCCTGCCTCTTTGTATGTTTCTCTCTTCTGAAGCAATACTCAGAAAGTTTTGGCCCTTGTTCACATTCAAGTCCTTCAAAGATTTGAAGTGAGTTCTCATGAAGCAACTGTTACATGTCCTCCAAAATCTCATCTCTCTGGATTTGGGCAAACATTCAGACTATACTTCCCAGCCTCCCTTGTCATTAGGTGCATCTATGTGACTAAGTTATCTCCAGTGATATCTGAGTAGAAGTGATGTGCACCACTTCCTGGCCTGGCCTATTAATAACCTCCCATGGGCCATTCCTTGTTCTTTTTCCTCCCATTGACTAGGATGTTGACACCCGGGGTGACTTTGGAAGCCCTATATTGAGGATTGCAGTGTTGTCACCAGAGAGCTTCCTGATGTAAAGAGAACCAATGTACAAAAGGGGGACAAAGCATACAGCATTCCCCAACCTTATTTAACTATGGTGCATTTTATTTATGGTTTATGTTGCAAAACATCTGAGCATGGCATTTGAATCCCCTTCAGGCTCTGGATCTACCGATCTTTCCATCCTTATCATCTGCTGCTTCTCTCAGTGAATGTTGTGCTCCAAACAAACATTCTCAGAATCTGTTGGATTTCTGGGAAACCAGAAATACCAGAAAAACCAAGGACCAATGGCAAGCAGGTTTGTGGACTTTGCCATGACTTGTCCTGTCTCTTGCTCCTGGTGTTTCCTTCCTCTAAATTGTTTTCCCCTCATCCCTAAGCCCCTCCACATTGGCCAAGTTCCTCCCCCATGACCATACCAGCCTTACGTAATTCCTCCATTGCTCTTTCTACCTCCCACACTCCATGAGCAAACAGTGCCTATCATAGTCATTAGAGAGTTCACAAAAATTCCAGTTATCCTCTTTCCAGGCACCTAAGAAGATTATATTTCCCTGTCTCTTTTGAAATTAGTTTTGCTTTAGCCAATAAAATGTAGGCAGAAATGATACGTGTCACTTCTGAGCAGAAGCTTGAAAATCCAGCACATGTTTAACCATATTCTCTTTTTCCTCTGCCACAAGACTGGCAAAGTTACAGATGGAGGCTGAACCATCAGCCTTGATCCCAGAGTGAAAATGATGAGGAGCACAGCCACGGCCAACCCACAGTGTCTAGAGAGTGTGAGTGAGAAATTCTGTTGGTAAAGGCTATAGAAATTTTGGAGTCTTTCATTACCACACTATAACCTAGCCCAAGCTGACCAACACAGAAACAGTGCATAACTCATTACATTCTCTCCTTACTGCCATGGTGATCCTAAGAGCACACCAAATTGGATCCTTCGTCAGCACAGGTCCATAGGTGACAATGAGAGCAGGTCCCCCTTCTAACCTATTTTAAACATTTCGTATGAGGATTTAACTTTTGCTGTGCAAACTCCCTAAGATGTGGGAGCTGGCTGTTACTGCAGCATAATCTAGCCTGACTAAACTAATGACTTTAGATGCCCTACATATATATCTGTCTTTGATCTTAATATCCTCCTGTTTACAATAGTGTCTGCGATTGCTGCAGCTACCATCATTGCCGTCATTTCCAATTCCACCATCCCCACTACTATGAGATTCAATCATCTTTGCCAACATTCCCATCGCTACCACTTGCAACAACAATTCTGCTATCACTCCCACCATCCCCATCATTGTCATCACTAAGTACCACCGCTTATTTCCACTTTCATTGCCGTAATTATCAATGCTATCCTTATTCCTAACCCCTCCCCTTGCATCACCCTCATTACTGCCATCAGTCCCATTATTACCATCTCTCTCAAACCACCACCACTACTGCCACTGTATCACCTCCACTATCTTTGCTAATAGCACCTCCTCTGTCATGTCTGCCTTTGCTGCCACTATCACTTCTATCGTCACTAATACAATCACTTTTGTCATAGCACTGTACCTATTTCACCATTATCTCCAACAGCATCATCAATATCATTTTCACTATCACTGGCACCATCACTGCCTATACCTTCTCCTGTCACTTCCTCTCTTATGCTCATTATAAAAACCCCCACTGTCATTGCCACTTTTTCCACCTCTGTCAACTCCATCATCACACTATCACCTTCAACTTCACTGCCACCATCACTGTTGGATTCTAGGAGTCATTCACAGCTCTCCCTTCCCCTTGTCCTACCCTCAAGGAGGAGGATGGCAATAGTTACTCAGGTCTGAGAAGAGCTTATGGTGCACTGTACTGAAGAGACAGTGTGCCAGACTAAATGTCTAGCCCACATGGATGAAGTATGAGGGCTGGGGACTGCTCCCCCAGTGAGAAGGCTTTTGGCTTGAACCTTTTCTCCCCACTTCTCTCTCTCCCATGTGGCAGCCACATGGTCCTGGAAAGGCCAGAGCAATGGAGCAAATGCAAGATGTTTCTGTGTTTCTTAAGCTCCCTTTTGTGGCTTTCTGGTGAGTGTGGACATATCCAAGACTTGGGTTTGGACCTAGAGGCAGTAGATGGAGCAGGTCTTTTAGCTGATTTTGGTTCTGAGCCATTTGGACTGACTTATTTGGTCAATATGTTCTCCACATCATCTAGCATGGCTCACTAGAGTTCTCATTTTTATATTCTATTTAAATCTTTATTTTTATCAAAGTAATTCATGTACATATTTTTGAAAGTAAAATGTTCTACAAGGTTTATAATAAAAAACATCAGACTTCTGCTCCAATCTTGCTCACTTCTGAGTCCTCTTCTCCTGAGGCAAGCATTTTGAATTGTTTTATTTCTAAGTGACATGATAATATATTTTTGCATTTTTCAGGTTTAGATTTCATCTTTTAACCTATCAATAAGTATTGATCTAGATGCTTCTGGAAGATGAGAATTAAGTTCTCTTGCACTACCACTTACCCACACATATCACCCTCTGACACACACACACACACAGACACGAATATTGATACTGATCACAGCCATATTCAGGCTTTGCATTACTATTACTATATGACAATGACTATCATTCACAATTGAGCCACTTTCCATTCTTATACAACTTTTTTGTTCTCTAGGAGTTAGTAATTGCCTTGTTTTGCCATTTGCTCAATTTTCCATGTATCATTTACCAATTCATTCCCAAACTGTCCAACAGAACTGAAAATTTCCTTTGACTGTAAATTACAATCAGTTCCATTTTATTCTTGTGGATCTCTTTCCTGATGAGTCCTCCATCCTTATGGCCCATCTGACTGATTGTTCTCTACATATTTGGATGACTGTCATCCTGAAACTTTCCTTCCATGATTCTCAGACTTCCCTTTGACTCTATCCTGATTGTTGGATCCTTCAATTCCTTTCTCTTCCTTGGTTTACTTCCTAATTCAAAATGGATAACATTTGTCAATATCCTCCTTAAAAAACGATGCTTAGAAAGTAGTTTTTAAAGATCATTCATGTCTAAAATTATCTTTATTTTTACTGTCACACTCAATTGTTAGTTTGGCTGGGTATAGAACTCTGGTTTGGAAAGCATTTCCCTCAGAATGTAAAAGCATTGTTTATTTTCTTCTAGCTTATATGGCAGTTGTTGAGAACTCTTATGCAATTCTGGCTCCCAATAATTTGTAAATAAACTATTTTCCTCATTCTGGAATTGTTAAAGTTTTTGTCTCCAGAGTTTTGAGATTTCACTGCAGTGTGCCTTTGGCTGAATTGTTTCTTGGTTTGGTTGATATTTTTTAATTCAGCTTGTCATGTACTCATAGAAAATTTTCCATCTCTAAATTCATGTTTTATAGTTCTAGGAAATTTCTTATATTTTTCTTTTGGTAGTTTCATCTCCTTCCTTTATTCTATTTCTCTCTAGGACTTACAGTTGTGAATGCCACTCCTAGACTGATAATCTAACTTTTTCTGTCAATTTCCATTTCTTTGGTATTTTTGTTCTACCTTTTGGGAATTTGTCTTTACTTATCTTCCAACCCTTCTTCTGTTTTGATTTGATCTTTAAATCAAATAGGAATGTTATATTTGTATTTCTTTTTTATGTTCCTTTAAAAAATATAACATTTGATTCTCATTTAAGAGAGGCATTGGCTGAGTACAGTGGCTTACACCTATAGTCCCAGTGCTTTGAGAAGCCAAGATAGGAAGATCACTTGAGGCCAGGAGTTTGAGACCAGCCTGAGCAACAAAGCGAGACCCCATCTCTACAAAAAATTTAAAAATTAGCCAGGCATGGTAGCATACACCTGTAGTACTAGTTACTCAAGAGGCTGAAGTGAGAAGATCGCTTGCACCCAGGAGTTCAAGCCTATAGTAAGCTACAGTTGTACTACTGCCCTCCAGCCTGGGCAACAGAGTGAGACCTTGTCTTCTAAAAAAAAATTTTAAAATGGGCAGGGTGCGGTGGCTCACACCTGTAATCCCAGCATTTTGGGAGGCCAAGGCTGGCAGATCATGAAGTCAGGAGTTCAAGACCAGCCTGGCCAATATGGTGAAACTCGTCCCTACTAAAAATATAAAAAATTAGCCAAATGTGGTGGTGCATGCCTGTAATCCCAGCTACTCAGGAGGCTGAGGCAGGAGAATCGCTTTAACCCGGGAGGCGGAGTTTGCAGTGAGCTGAGATCACGCTACTGCACTCCAACCTGGGTGACAGCGTCTCAAAAAAATAATAATAAATTTAAAAATAAAAGTAATTTCACCTCATTTCATCATTCTGAAAATGTTAGTTGTAATTTCTGTGCTGTTTTTTTTCTTCATTGTTTCCTTTACCCTCCTTTTTCCTCTTTGTTTTGAACTCTGCCTTTCATGTTGAAGGACTTTCTTAAATGTCAAGTAATTATTAGGTCCCCATTTATGTCAAAGTGTGAGACATTAAAATCTTGATTGAAAGCAGTGGGAGAAGAGAGAAAGGTACCGACAGGTGGGCTTTACCATCGAGTGGCTGAGTGGGCTCACAGTTTCCCTGGGAGACCAAATGTCAACAACTCTTAAGTCTTTTCTCTTGGGAAAATCAAGAGAAGTTTTTCTGAGAAAACTTTTCCCAGGAAAGTTTCTTCGAATGTCTTGCTCATGTAATATTAACCTGGCTACCAGTATTCTGGGATTTGAATGAGAAGAGAGCTAACAGCCTCACCTTTCAGAAAACAAATTTATCCTTAATATCCCTGTTTTCAGATTGGCTCCTCTCTCCTCCCTCAACTGTGTCTGGTGCCCCTGTGCCCAGAACCTTTCTGGTTTAACATCTCAGAGCATAAACTCTCTGTTTTCTGCCAGCCTGGGAAGGGACGATTACCTGAATGAACAGAGTAAAGGAATACATCTGGGATGGGGAGGTTCTTACTGCTTCTTTAAAAAACTTGCAATCAACCCTCCCATTTTTCAGCCTTACTCTGAATCTGTGCCTTCAGAAGTAACTGGTGCCTCCAACTCCCAGTCCTCTGTAGGATTCTGTGGCTAGAAATAGTTTGCTACCTGTTGGTTTCTACCATCTACCCGCACACCCTTGCAGTCTTGGGTTTCAGTTTTCTGTGGTCTGCTAAGTCAGATACCATTCATCCATCTACTTTCTAATTTCCAAATTGTTAGCTTCTCTTATTTGCTGATGTTTCCTTTCCCATTCTCTTTTTCCTTGTGGATTTATGCCTTTAAAAAAAACTATATTAATGACATTTTAGTGGGGCTTCTGGAGGTAGCCAAAATAAACATGTGTGTTCAATCAGCTACAATTAAGAAGTTTAATGTCCCCTATTGTAGTTTAGGGCCAAAGTAACAGTTAATCATAAAGCATTCTTCTACCTTGCTTTGCCTGCCTTCTCTGTGCCTTCATCTACTGGAGTGGAAGACTGGTTGAGGTAGTCCTGATCACAAATCACCCTGTCTCACCATGACACCAAATCAAGTGTAACTTATCCATCATCCTAAACAAGCAAACATTGTCACCTCTAACATAGCCTTCATCACCACCATCACCATCAATCACTTTTATCCCCATCACCACCACTATCCTCACCTTTACTTCCCCATTACCTGCATCATAGCCTCCATTACCACTTTTACCACTACCTCTACCATCACTTTATGAACCTTCTCCATCATCTCCTCCATGATTTTTATCACTACGGTCACTTCTGCCACCACCACCACTCTCTTCACCATCATTATCTCACCATCAACTACACTGTCATCACCTCCATCATTTTCACCAAGACTTGAACCATCCTCCAGCATTATCTCCTTTAGAAAGATGTTTTACGTTCTTTATTGAATATATCCTTCTCTCATGAGTTGCCATAGTGATTTTCAGTAACATAAAGAAGTGATTTCCACATTTGAACACACATACTCTACTTCTTTCAGAAAAGAAAGTGGTAGAAAAGAAGTTACTGATTTCTCCAGCTCAAGTCACATTCATGGGTAGAGAGAAGGGGACAGGGAACATGTGTTGAGCCCTTTCTAGGCAAGAGGCATCATACTAGGTGTGTTAGAAAGAGGATCTTCTTGGGTAAGAATCATTGCCCCGGTTTTATAAGGAGGTAACTGAGATTCCCAGATGCTAAATAATGTACTCAAGGCCACACAGTTAATAAGCAGTGGAGCCAAGATTCCAACCCTGTGTGACTTCAAAGTCCATGTTCTTTCCATTACATTATGCTGGCAAGAAATCTCAGGAGCTTGGTTTAAGCACGATGGGATATGACTCTGAGCAAAAAAAAAAAAAAAAAGTCATAGTCATGGTCTCTAATCCCAGGGCAATCTGGTCTGATGAGACAGGAAGAAGCCCCTCTCTCAAACAAAGAGATAATCACTGTTATCTGATGAATAAGACTAAATTCCTGCCTTTACAAAGTAAAGGCAGACCCTTTACTTTGCCTGAAGTCCCCAGCAACTCTTCCCAATACACAAGCCCTGCCACCTCTCCCTGACCTTGGGTTCCCTGAGGGAAAGAGAAGGAGTGTGGACATCCAGTCCTGGGAATGCCTGGGGTTGGGAGAGCTGAGTTATTTTGGGATTGTTTACATTTGGAATCTTCCTGATCTTTGGTCCCAGAAAAACACCCACATGTTGGAAACTCTTCCGAGTTATTCACTGTTGGGGTTTTTCTTCATCTCCTTCAGCTTTTTCTTCTTCTTGGATGGAAAAAAAATCTGCTAGTGATTAGTCACAACCTGTGAGGCTCAGCTTTTGACAGCCCCACTGAGAAGAGAGAGACAAAGAGGCTCAGAGAGGGGCCCAAGGGCAGATGCTGCTGGGAAGGAAATATGGGTTCACAGCATTGACCTCCCCGGGGTGAAGGATGGTCCGTTCACCTCTATCTACCAGGGGACAACCACTCCCTGGATGTAGGGCCCTTAATGGCTGTTCCATTCCAAGCCCTCATCCCAACTTCACTGGGGAGCATGGGCCAGGGCATGTGTTAGAAAGAAGCCAGGGGGTCAGGACTGGACAAGCAGGCTACAGAGAGAGGAGAAGAGGAGTGGCTACCAAGAGCAAAGGATGCTTGCCCCATGGGGTCCCTTTGACCACAGCCTCCACGGATAACCCAGAGTGCCCCATATCAAGGTGGAAATAATAGCTGTAGATGAAAATCCCAAACCTCCTTGGGCAACCATGTGATCTCTGGCAGGTTTTATCACATCTTTGTTCTCCTGGAAATCCCAGGGTGTAAGTGGGCCTCCTGCTTTTTTGCAAGAAGGCTAAAGGTCGAATGGGGCTAAGCACTGTCCACTGAGGCCAGGACAAAGGGATATTGTTGTAGCTGAAGAACTAGGGCCTGGAAGTCAGATCTGGATTCAATTTTAAAATCTAAGGATTGTGAAACATGGTGGGGAGGGGGTAATAAAGGGAATTTGGGAAATCTCCCTTGGTGTAGGTCTTTCTAAAGAGGTTTCAAAGCAACAAAGGGAAAATCAATTTCAGTACAATAAGCAACAATACAGCAAGATGGCTTAATGTCAGGGAGATGGCAGAGCCTTCCCTAGGGTGAATGGGACCCTGGGCAAATATTTTCTTGCCAGGCTCCTGTCTATATAAACAATTGAGTCATTCAAAATCAGCATGTCAGCACCATTCTGAAAGCCCAATTTCATGTGATCCCACATAAAAAATTCTTCACCAGCCAGGGGAGCAATCCACTCACCAGACTGCCTGCCAGGAACCAAGTCCAGCTATGTGGCCCCAAGATGACTGCACAGGCATGAGGCCCATTGCTCCTTGGTACATCTAGTCAACCTCACACATGGGTTTGAGTGTCAGAGGGTACCCCAAGGAGGAGAAACAGGGACTGGGGCCCACACAGGTGCCAGTTCAAGCTGAGGATGCCCCAGCTAGATGGCACTGCCAGTCCTGGTCAGTTCCAGCTACAGATAGAAACCTAGAAGATTTCAAGGCGAGTGCTACAAGGCATGAGGTCCTTCTTGCCCAGGTCTTAGGGTGGTCCTGGGGCTGGAGGCAGTAGTCTCTCAACAAGGCTCTTTATACTTCTACAGTGAAGGAGGCTGAGGGGCAGGCAGCAACACCAGGTTTTCAGTCCAAGCTCTGTCTGTTATTGGCTATGTGACCTCAGGTCACCCTCTGTTCCTCTCTGAGCCTCAGGTTCCTCATCCATAAACCAGTGATGGCAATGCCCACCCCATAGAGCTGTTGTAAAGACTAATAGTCCAGTTTCCTGATCCTGCCTTTGCCTGCAAAGAGCCGACTTGCCTATGGGCAGTGTGGCCCAGGTCTAGAATCTTGGCCCTGCCTCCAGGGGCTCTGGGGCAGGCCTGTGCTAGCACCATTTCTCCTTGTCCCTAGTGCTAGCCTTGGGAACATGGCTCAGCCTCATTTGAAAAGAGGGGCCGCCAGGCCAGGGGGGAAGCACAAGGCCAAAGTAAAGGCCTGTTATCCAAAGTAGGCAGTCGAGGGCAGTGAGTCCAAGCTGCGGGTCTGACAGGAGGGGAGGAAGGCCCAGGCTGGGTCACCAAAGCAGGGTGCTTGAGGCTGTTATTCCAGCAGAAATACTGCCAGCTTGGACTGATGGAGACAGAGAGGAGAAAATAGGAGAAGGCAGCCTGACAATGAGAGCAGAATTGCAGTGATACAGCCAAGAGCCAAGGAATGAGGAAAGCATTCACCCTGGAAAAAGAAAGGAAATCACTTATTCTTTATGGGAACTACAGGGCAGGGGGCTGAGGAAGGTTCTCGTCTGGGGGTCATGCTGACCTTGTAGGAAAAGGAGGTGGCAGCTGAGCCCTCGGAGAAAACTATTCAAAACTGTTCAAGCCTCCATCTCCATCCAGTGCTATGTATGACTGAATCCTGGTGGTTGCTGAGCACAAGTCCACATTCTCTTCTACAAAACTGCCCCAGGAGCTGGCTGAGGAGCAGCCAGGACCTGGGGCCAGCTGGGAAGTAGGGATCTGGAATAAGCTAAGCATGCCCTCTCTCTGTCTCTCTCTTTCTCTACTGATTACCCACCCCCACTCTCCAATACTAAGGGAAAATCCCCTCTGATGGCACCTGCTCTTGCCTGTGGAGATAGATGGAGGTCCCCTAGGACCTTCAGAATTGTCAAACCAAGCTAGAACAGCCCCCAGAGGAAAACACAAAGGACACCCTTGGCAACGACCCAGCAAGGACTCCCCTGGAGCCTGTCATGGAGACACTCCATGGACTTGCCATCTCCACAACTCTCCCCTGCCAGGCAGCTAGCTTGGTCAAACACTGTGGAGCCCTCTGCATTCCCAGCCTGGGGAACAGACCCCTGCCCAATTCTCACCTCCACTAGGGAATGCCCCACTACCCCATTTATGGCCACTTTTTAAAAAAATCCAAAATGTAGTCTGTCAAAGAATCTTTTATCTTACTCGAAAATTTAAATGAAAAGTCTTACCAAGATATAAAAGTCAATTTCATCTCATTACAGTACACATTTAATGTACCAACATTATCAGAAAGAAGAGGCTCTTCTGTACATAAATGGCCCCAGAGCAAGGGGTGGAGCTGCAGGTGCAATGCCATAGCTGGCAATGCAGTCCTGTCCTGGTGACAGAGTATGGGACAGGTACTGGCCCTACCTGAATAGGGGGAAGAGCTAAGTTCCTGCTGAGTTTAGAGTTCCAAATGGGTGGAGGAGAGGTCTCCATAGTTGTATCCCAGATCAATCAGTCATCCAGGCCTGAGATTTGCCAGAGTGAAGGGGAAGGGTGACAAAGACCACTGGGCGAGGAGAGCAATGAAAGCGTCTGCACCCAAGGGGAAAACGGAGACACAGTGTATGGGGATTGAAGCCACAGGACTGCTGGGGTTTGGCCAAGTTTGGTGACATCGGGAGGCTACGACCCCTCAGGTCAACCAAGGCCTTTCTGCTCAGAATGTCATTCTCATTTATTGTGATAATGAATGATTGAATATCCTTTTAGATCACTCTCATACCTAACAGCTCCAGAGAGGGAGGCTGTACATTATTTCTGCCATTTGACAGTGGAGAAACTGAGGTGAAAGGATGGCAGCATGTCCTTCCCCTGCACCACCCTCTTCAGAGGCAGGAGTGTGGTGAGGAGCCTAGGGCAGCTGTATGGCGCCCCCAGGGCCTGGCCCACCCCAGCATTTGGGTGGAACCCTGACATCCCTCCTTACCCTCCCCTGATGGAGGGAAAAAGAGCCAAAGTTTCCCAAGCCAGGGCATGAGAAGATGGCTCTCCCCAGGATAGGAAGGGCCACTAGTCACCAGGAAGCAGCCCAACCATTTTCACCAGGCACCCTTGCCCACACTCACCAACCAAACAGCCTGGGTCAAGGCCTCTGACCTGGGCCTGTTCTCCGTGATAACTGGCACCTTGGGAAGCAGCCCTCATCTTGTAGGAGAAAGATTTAGCCTCATCTTGGGTGCCTGTGACCAAATATGCCCACTTCATCCTGCTTAGGCCACTTAATGCTGAGATCAAACCTAGGCACAGTCCCACCAAAAGACCAGGAGCTCCCAAAAAGCAAATTGAACTGTTACGCATTTACTCCCAAGACTAGTTCTTGCCCATCTATTTCCTGTTTGCCATTCAGTGAATGAGCCTGAGTCTCCCCATTGCCCAGATGGAGAAAGCAAGTCCCAGAGACATCAGGTGACTTGCCTGTCAGAAGTGTTCTTAGTCCTGGACCTCTGGCCTCCCACCCTGGGGTCCTCTCCTCCAGACAACCTCACCATGGCCTCATGGTGTTCACCCCAAGTAAAATCCTGGAGCCAGGACAGGAACTGGGACAAAGAGGAGGACACTGGGGCCCAGGCCTTGACCCCAAGTTCCTATTTATAATCCTTGTTCCGGAGACGGCCACTTAAACACACATTCCTGATAACTGAATAATCTTTGGCACCAAGCAAAAAATAGCCTGTGGCCCAGACCACAATTGCACAGCTGGAGCAGGGTGAGCAAGGACGGCGCGGCCCCAGTGGGACAGGACAGGCTGCTGAGGGGGAGGGGTGGCGGGCGGGGCCGGGTTGGGACAAGTGAGTGGGACAGCAAATATAGCTGGTTAAATATAGCCTTGCCGACCCGGACACAGTGCCAGACTCCTCTGCAGTGAGCATTTCCCAAATCGGCTAGCATCTCCTGTTCCCAAAGGAAGTGATATCCAGAGGCCTGGAGGGGAGGGGCTTGAGGGGCCTCGGTGACGATGGACCCCAAGGCTCAGGAGAAGTCTGCAGACAAACCGATGCTCTGCCAGCGTCTCCTGGAAGTGCCACTTTGATGGAGGAAGCGTGGCTGTGCCCTGAGGTGGATAACAGAGGTTATCTCTTTCCCCAGATGAGCTGGTCAAGACCCAGACACCTTCCCATCCCCGGAGGACTGACACTGAGGCCTTTTCTCCAAGAGGTCTCAAGTCAGAAATGGAAATGAGAGAAATGGAAAGTTTTGAAGTCCAGAGCCCAGAGGGGTCTCTGAAGCAAGCCAGGGTCCTGACCTAGGTGGGGGCCTCAGAGATGGCAGCCATGGACCTCCCTACCCATACCCCCTCCTTCCCCTGAAGGATCCTGGCCATGCAGGCTGCTTGGGCTGACAGTCTTGCAAATCTTTCTCTGCACCAAGCAGTTTCCTCTCAGGGCCCCTCAAGTTGCTCCTTCAGGGCCAGAGCTTGGTTCTGAGTTGTGAGACTTGGAGAATCCGTCGTGTGCCCACCTAAGGAGTTATGACAGTGGTAAACAAGGCAGACAGCTCCAGATCTCAGCCCCTCTGCATGGTGGTGTCTCCTACACTCCCTGGAGGTCCCAGGGAGCATCTCACTTGTAGTTGAGAACAAGCCTCCTCCTCATCCATGTCTACTCACCTGTAAGCCACCTGAAGAAGGCTCACCCCAGCCCTTGCTGCCATTGTCCCCTGAGACCCCATCCATACCCAGGTGTGTCCCCAAGCTCACAAGGTCACCAAGCTGTACTACTTTTCTGCCAGCCCTTCCTTGGCTGGAGTCATCAGGGTCCCATGGGGAATTTGAGGAGAACATCCCTGTCCTCATTACTATCCTCACTGCCTACGCCTCCAAATCCCACAAAGCCCAGCACTTTCTCTCTAAGCAGGATATGATCCATACTTATCATACTTCCACCATTCCTGCCTTCAGCCTCCTTCCAATCCGGGGGAATCCTCCTTGTATGTGCTCTTGTGGGAAGTAGTGGCACACTCTCCCCACTCAGAAAGTAAGATGTGCCAAGCCCTCCCCATCACTGTTCCTGACAGTCAGGCCAGGTACTCTATGTCAGTTCAGCAAGGACCCTGCAGAGAGGAACTGCTAAACCTCCCCAAGCTGCGGCTGTTAAGGTTTCTGCAGTTGTGTGGGGGAAGGGGCTAGGGCATGCAGGGTCGGTGCAGCCAACTTTGGGGTCCCAATGTCAGACACTGGGCCCTTCATTCCACAAAGATGCCCCAAGAGCCCACAATATGCCAGGCAGCACTGTGTGTATCGGAGGGAATGAGACCCAGGAGCTATTCTGGCAGATGCTCAGAATCAAGTGTGCTGAGAAGGAGAGCGTGAAGATGAGGGACGTACAGGAAGCCTAGCCAGGGGATAGGGTCAGGAGAGCCTCTGGGTGGCAGGGGCCAGAGGGGTGAGGGACTCCAGGTAGGACCCCTGTGTATAAAAGGGCTCCAACTGCAAGAAAGGGGGCTGTTTGAGGATGTGAAAGAAGGGCAGCCTGGCTGGCGCTCAGAATGAGACAGAGAGAGACAAGAAAAGACAAGAGAGACAGGAGGAGGCTAGAGAAGTGTGTAGGGGCCAAATCATGCCTTGGACTCTGTGTTAAGGGAACTTCTCAGGGCAATAGGAAGCCACTGAAGGGTTTTAACCAGGGGGTAGCCTGATCTATTTATATGTTACAAGGATCCTTCCAGCCACAGTATGGAGAGTGGATCGGAGAGGGCTTGGATGGGATGTGGGCAGGCCACTTAAGAGGCACTGTGGACATCCAGGGGAACAATGGCAGCAGCCCGAACTCAGCTGATGGAGGTAGGAGGTAGGGAGAGGTAGGCAGTCCCAAGACATCAATAGGAAACAGAAACCACAAGACACAGTGAATACTTGGAAGACAGAAGGGGAGATAGAAGTAAAACACACATTCATTCATGTATTCAGCAGCAATGCAATGAGTGTCTAACGCACATCAAGTTTTTTGCTAGGCACTGAGGATACAGTAGTGAGCAAGACAACAAAGTCCCTCCTCCTGGGGTTTACACTCTAATGGCATGGGAGCAATGTAAAATAAATAAACACACACAATCATAAGCCACAGGCCAGGAAGACAGAACAAGTTGAAACTGTTTGCAGCCTTCCAAGCCGCTTGTTGTCCCTGCTTCTCCTTCTGGAATAGGCAGTTTCTGGGACAGCATATTAAAAGACATGAGCTTCAGACAAAGAAACTGCTTGATTGCCACTTTCCTTGGGCAGAGAAATTACCTTGAGTGAGGTCCCTGGTTATTTTAGAGGATGAGGTTGTCATTCAGCCTTGCTAAAGGCTTACAAAGAGTCCATAGTCAGCTCTTCAGATGTGAAGAGCCCTAGCCATGGGCCACATTCCACTCCAAAGCCTGGCCTCCAGGTGTCAAGCCCAGAGTCAGGAAAACCATTCGCCATAGCCCTCCCAAGGCCCCTCAGACTGAGGCCATATGCAGGAGGCCCGCCAGTGAGAAGCTAAGGTCATCCAGTTATGGGGACACATGGCCCGGGAGCCCTGCTGTCCACTGCCCCAGGCTTCACCAAGGAGTTTGGAAGTGAGAGATGCTAACATCGGGATATGGCAAGAGTATCCATCAGAGGAGTGGGCGGGAGACCTTTCAGCAGCTGAGGCCTCGCTGCAAGTCTCATCCACACCAGCTACACTGAGGATCAACTGCTTCCCAGCCACACTCAGCCCTGATTCTAGTCACATCAATTTGACCTCAGACTGACCACAACCATGGCCACAGACCAATCCCGAAACTGACTCAGACTGATTCCAGTCCTGGCCAAGACTAACCTCTGATACTGGCCACAAAACTGACCTTGTCCAAAGACTAACCCTACCCTGGCTACAAAACTCACGCTGACTTGGACCAGAGACTGACTCCTGACCTCTGAACAGGGTTAGTGGTATGTACCATGCCATCACAAGCCTCACAGGGCCCACAGGTGACAGTCTGGCTCTACTTGAGTGACAGCCACATGTGCCAGAAAAAGGAGGATCTGTCCTGTGCAAACCTAGGGTCACCTACAGCAATCAGGCTCCCAGGCAAGAGGGCTCTGAAGCAGCATCCAGAACACCAGAAAGAAGCCACGCAGTTGTCCAGCATACCAGCTTATTGGCCTGTGGATCTTTGCAGGGCAGTTCCCCGCCAGGCATGCTTCCTTCTCCTCTCTGCTTACTCTAATCCTGCCACCTGCAATCTCACCCACCCTAGGAAGCTAAGCTGACCGCTCCACATAGCTTTTCAAAGATCTTTGAAATGGGCAGGAAATGTCTTCTAAGAGGGCTACTGAAGAGTGTCTTTCTCCAACCTTTCAATCCAAGAGTGGATGCAGGACCTGCCCCTTCCTTCCTCCAGCAAAACTCAGTGGAGACCAGCCTGGAGTTTCTAAAATAAAGTTTCACTGTTTTCTTGTACATATCATTGCTCGGGAGAAATCTGGTGTCAATTTGACTTGGATTTCCTTTTGTAGGTTATCTGTTATCTCTCTCTAAATAAGGCAGGAAGAAATGGGTTTGGGACCAAAGGATCAAGGAGAGGCTCATCCCTTGGGACAGCGGGTATGGACAATGAAGTGGGAGCCTGGTTGAGGGTTCCTGGGTCATGCTGTCCCCCACACTCTCCGCTGTGCCTCTGCTCCAAGCGCCACTTGTTCTTCCTGCTGTCGTATTCCAGAGCCTCCAGGTTCCTGGGAACCAGGATGCTCTCCATACACAGTCCCTATTCTCAGAGCTCTGGACCCCCCTTATTTCATGTCAGGGGGCCATCCCCCATTCCTGCATGGCTGGCCAAGGGACCTTGCATATATGAGTACCTCTTATGCAGAGTGTGTGAATAATTGTATCCATGCATGTGGATGTACATGCATGTGGATATGAGTGTGTGCATGATTATATGTTCCCATGGGTGCATGGATATGCCTGTCCATGAACATGGATGGGAGAGTATGTAGAAGGCATCTGTATGTATGTGAATGTTTGGTATGCATGTAGACCTACATGAGGTATGTGGGTATTTGTGAATGTGTTATGTTTCTAGGTGTGTCTATATGTGTGCATCTGGGTGTGTGTGTATGTGTTTTAGATGTTGCTCTTCCATCCCTGAGCAGCAGTGTTCTCCTTGCGAGAGACTCCCTCCAGTGCGCCCTCACCTGTGTTTCCTACATACTCCTCGGACGGATGTGGCGGATTCCCAGCAAAGCTTCAGGGCTTGGGTTCAGTGGGACAAGATCCCAGGCCTCCCCTGTCTGTGGACAGTAGGCTTGACAGAGCCAGAAGCCTGTCAGCAGTTCAGTGACCATGGGTGGCCTGGAGAAATGGGAATATCAGAAGCCTTTGGGGTGGGCTTGTGCCTCAAAGTTGTTACCCCAGTGCCAAATCCAAGTTCAAGGGGCAGTTACTGCCAGTATATGCCACCTGCAGCTAAAATCCTGCCCCCAGGCCCCAAGACCGCCAGTATGCAAAGTACTAGCTCCGGCCCCTACTCCGCCCCAACATCATCACTAACTCCAAGGTCCACCTGCCCCACTCCACCCTCCACACACACCCTTGCAGAGAACAGAAAGAAACAGCCTGTGTGTCTTTTACCCCCAGGAAGTTAAGGCTTCCCACAGTTGGGATTCTGAGCAAGCCTGAGGGGTAAAACCAAAGAGCACCAGTGAACAGATCCTGCATCCCTCCCTCTCAGCCCTGCCCACCCGTGAAGGAAAATCAGAGGCTTCAGAAACTATTTAGGGTCCTACCCCACCCTGAAGGCTAGGAGAGATTTTTAGAAGGTGAACTGACTCCCTCTAGCTAGCTTTCAAGTTCTGGAAGGAGTCTAGGATCTCAGCACACAGGCTCACACACTGATCTACACTATCCTTCCTGCCAGGTGGAGGGAGAAGCAGAAAGTGAGACATCTTGGGAGTGCCGTGAGGCATCCTGGGAGGGTTGTGAGGCATCCTGGGAGAACTGTGAAGCATCCTTGGACGGTTGTGGAGCATCGTGGGAGAATTGTGAGGCATGCTGGGAGGGCAGTGAGGCATACTGGGAGGGTTGTGACGCATCCTGGGAAGGCTGTGAGGCATCCTGGGAGGATTGTGATGCATCCTGGGAAGGCTGTGTGGCATCCTGGGAGGGTTTTGAGGCATCCTGGAAGGGTTGTGAGGCATCCTGGGAGGGCTGTAGGGCATCCTGGAAGGGCCATGATACATCCTGGGAGGGCCGTGGGGTATCCTGGGAGGGTTGTGACACATCCTGGGAAGACTGTGCAGCATCTTGTGCAGGCCATGAAGCATCTTGGGAGGAGTATGTGGTTTGGGTCTGGTGCCAGCTGAACTGCTTGTTAGCTTCGTGACCTTTGGCAGGCTCTTTTGTTTTCTTATATACAGGGATGAAATCATTTGAAATCCAAATTGGAGCACTCTTGAGAGTGAAAGGGGGGTAGTATTAAGTATACCCAGAGAACAGGTATCACCTCCAAGTGTTGGAGGGAAATGGATCATATGATCACCCTACATCATCTAGAGTAGTGATGATGATGATGATGATGATGATGATGATGATGATGATGACGACGACAGAAAAGGACTGTCCCTGGTAGATGTTCAGGCATTTCTATTTGGCCTGGAACCAGGGGATGAACATGAAGGGAGGGAGAAATGACTGCAGACACTCCCTGCACCTTCCCAGCGTTGGCAGCCTGCCTCCCAGCCCCTCTGTCCCAAAGCCTTCTGCCCTCTCCCTGCCCTGTTCACCTCCACTTGCCCCAACTCTACAATAGCACTGATGCCTTTAGCAGTAGCCTACGTTTATCTCCAAGCGAGTGCGAGGTTCAAAGATCAGATAAATTTTCTGGCAGACATGGGCTGATGGCAGACTGCCAGAGGTGGGAAGGGCCCTGCAGGCGTGGGGTCAGTCGGGTTATTTTGATTTCTCCATACGGAGTGAGGGGATCTTGGGAAAGAAAAATCTACAACGTGGAGGGAAAGAGACTGAGTCTCCGATGAGCTGCACTTGGCTTTGCCATCTAGATTGGAACAGGAAAGGAAGAAGAAAGAATCCCCAGGGCAAAGAGCTGAAAAGGCAGGGAGGAGAAGGAGCCAGGGAAAAAATAAACCTGGAGAACCTATTTTAAAAGTCATTCTTTTTGGTTCCAGCTCTCCCCCACCACACCCCAAAGCCCAGGCATTGGGCCACAGGGTGTGGGGACAAGGTGTGTGTGGTCAGTGATGGGAAACCCTTAGACATCCAGAACAGCTGGGGAAAGGCCAGGTGGAAGTGACGCGGTGGGCAGGGCCAGGCAGAGGTCACCACAGCCAGTCCCCTGTCTCCCCACCCTTGAGTGTGCCTTAGACTTTTGCCTTAGACTTCAAACCTTTTTTTAAAGTGATACACATTATATGCCACAACCCAGGATACACAAAATTTTCCTCCAAAATACTTGCCCTTATTAAGTTGATGATCCTATATTTTTAATTCTACTGTTTTATTTTTTTTTTTAACACTGATTGTAACTCACGACATTGCTTTCACAACCCAGTATAGGTCAGGACATGTGGTTCTGAAAAATCACTACTCCGGACTGGTACTTCTCAAACCTTAATGTACCTGCCAATAAATCACCTGGGAGCTTGTTAAATGCATATTCTGGCCCAAATGGACTGGAATGAGACCTGAGACTCCGCACATCTAACAAGCCCCCAAGTGACACCAATGCTGCTGGTCCTCAGACCCTGGAGTAACAAGGCCCTGGACCACATTTCCTGGGCAGTACCAATTTCAGCAAAGTGTTTTGGGGATCATGCATGAAAAGTCAAAGGGGAAGATGGAGGGTTATCCCACTGAGGGCTGTCCATCATTCAGCCTCCAGGCAAGGCTGCAACTGAAATGCAGCAAAGACATGGTGCCATATGATGGCAAAGAGCTGCCTCCAGGGATCCAGATCAACTACTATGATCTTAGGGCCAAGTGAGGGTACAGTGGCCAGTCAGCATTAGGAACCTTACACAAAGAAGAAATTTGTGGCCAAGCACAGTGGCTCACACCTGTAATCCCGGCATTTTGGGAGGCCAAGGCGGGTGGATCACGAGGTCAGGAGTTCAAGACCAGCCTGGCCAAGATGGCGAAACCCTATCTCTACTAAAAATACAAAAATTAGCCAGGCGTGGTGGCGGGTGCCTGTAATTGCAGCTACTCAGGAGGCTGAGGCAGAGAATTGCTTGAACCCGGGAGGTGGAGGTTGCAGTAAGCTGAGATTGCACCACTGCACTCCAGCCTGGGTGACAGAGGGAGACTCCATCAAAAAAAAAAAAAAAAAAAAAAAAAGGAAAGAAGAAAGAAAACAAAAGAAAAAGAAAACAGAAACCTGTAAGTCTGGGGCCCTCACTCAGCACTCTAACAAGTAGGATTGATAACATCACAAACTGAGATTACTCATTCAAGGTCTAGTATTAACAAAGAAGAGCTCTCTGGTTACTGTCCCATTCTCTGGGGAGAACAGTAATGTTGACCCTGTCTGTAAGGTACTCAAGTTAGAAAAAATTATGCAGGAATTGATTAGGGCAGCAGGTCCCAAACAGAGCTCCAGAAAACACTGGCTCTGCAAGATGATCAACCAGAAGTGAATTCCAAGGCAAAATGTGTTTGAGAAACACACAGCATGTTATTTATCTCCTCCAGTCATTCACAGTGAAAGGTTCTGAGAAGACCTGCAGTCAAGAATCCTGTTCGATTTGTTTGAATTCATCCTTTCCCAAACTTACTCAACCATGGAAGTCTTTTCTTTTCCTTCATTTTTAAACCATTGTTATAGACTGAATTGTGCCCTCCACCACCAGAATTTATATGCTGAAGTTCTAACACCCAATGTGACTATTTGGAGATAGGGCCTTTAAGACAGTAATTAAGGTTAAATGAAGGGCAGGGTGGGGCCCTGATTCCATAGGACTGATGTCCTTGTAAGAGAAGGAGACACCAGAGCTCTCTTTCTCTCTGAGTGCACACACCGAGGAAAGGCCATGTGAAGACACGGCAAGAAGGCAGCTGTCTAATAGCCAGGAAGAAAGACCCACCAAAAACCAACCCTGACAGCACCTCGATTTTGGATTTCTGGACTCCAGAACTATGAGAAATAAATTTCTGTTGTTTTAGCCAACCAGCCTGTGGTATTCTGTTATGTTAGCCTGAACAGACTAACACGCTTGTCTACTAATCATAGATTATAGATAGCAAGAAGTGACCCAAAGTTACACAACTGTGCAGAGCCGGGCACACAAAATCCAAACTCAGCTCCAATTGAATCAGAAGACAACATCCTCAACTCTCCAGAGGTTTCAATCCAGTTGTGTACAGATATGATATACCCACTCATGATGAATAGACAGCTCATCTTCCCAGGCACAAGACCATGTATTAAGAAACACTAGTGTTCTCAAAGGTTTCTCAGAGAAGGTTGATTCTAGAAGGGGGTACAGAAGTGACTACATGAAACTGGTGAGATCAGCTCATGGCAGGAACTTAGGTGCTAGGCTGAGGACCTAATATTGGCACAGTTAGAGAATAGAGAGCTATTGTAGGTTCATGAGCGGCAGGGGCATGATACGGCCTGAGTTGGCCAAGACGTGTGCGATGGCCAAGGAGGAGCTTGGATCTGGGATGCCTAGGGGCCAGACTAGCCACAGAGTTATTCTGCAGTGGTAGAACACGGAGGGGGTGAGGAGGCTAACTTCACCATCCTGCCCCAGTCTCTGCCCCTATGATCTTGCCACCTGGGGTAGGAATGTATGGCCCCAAGTTGGATTTTCCAGGCCTTGACATTTAGAGTTGGTCCTGGCAACCAGCCCCTCCCAAAGTCTTGCTGGGGAAACACAGTGAGGGGTGGAGGGCAGGTGGAAAAACTCTTTAAGGTAACACACACACACACACACACACACACACACACACACACACACACACGTCTAGGATGGCTAGGGGGGCTCTCTCTGCTCTGCTCCTCTGCTCCCCGCATATGAGTGAACCCCAGCTCAATGCTGTCACCTCCATGTGTTCTCCCCAGGCCAACTCACTCAGCTCAGAATTGTCATCACATGAGACAAAGGAGAGTGGCCTAAGTCAGGCTCAAGAGAGACTAGCTGGGACATCAACCAGGCCACCATCTGCCCCCTGAAAGATGCTTAGTTGGTCCCCTCAGGACAATGACTCCCCAGTGTGGGGAGTCCCCAGGCTTAAGGTATTTGGGGGTGCCCAAAGGGGCCGGGTACCCCAGCATCAGCCTCCTCACCATCACTCCCATCCAAACCAGACCTAACCCAGCTCAGGTCTGCTTTTACCTGTTTTAATAAATTGGGGTCCTCAGACATTTCACTTAGTGAAAAAGATCTAAAACTCAAAAAATATCCTAGGGTTTGGGGGAGCAGAGGTGCTGAGCTGCAGTGGATACTTCTATCCTTCCAGGCAGGGATTGGAACTGTAATATGGAGGCCCTGTCATTCTCTATGTAATGCTCAGTTCCAAGCACAGTTTTCCCATTTTACGCTACACACTGAGTATGCAAGAAATAAACTGCCTTGCCTGGCCCTGGCCATGCAACCAGGATCTCCCATCTCCCCCAGGAGGGGTGACAGTAATTCCAGCACCTATTGGTTCCTGGAGGGAAAGGCCCCAGGGCCACTATTGCCCCACTCCAGGGAGTAGCATGCACAGTGTGTATTCTAACGAGGCAATCAGGCACAAGGACAGAGAGCAGAGATGACAGGAATTGGGATCCTGTCACTGCCAGCCTCTTATAACTCACGTGAACTTGTGCAAGCCATTCAACTATTCTGTTTCTCATCTGTGGAAGGGGGACAGTAATAGTACCTATCTCATAGGGTTAGTGTGAGGATTAAGTGACGATATTTGCAACCACTTATAACAGTTCCTGTCTCCTCATAAGCACTCCTCATACGTGAGTGTTCAATTAATTCATTCACTTGAGTCCACGTGACTGGTGCCCAGGAGTTGGTGCAACTCAGTGGACCAGGAAAGAGGACAGCCACTAGAGACAAGAGAGTTCAAGACTGGGTCAAGACCTTGGATGTGAACCCTCTGACACTCACTGAATGATGATTTGGGCTGGCAAATCCTCTAGGAATTGCCCCTCATCGGGAAAGACTACTAAGATTAAAGCCACAGCTTCTTCCAGCCCTCTTTTTGAGCTCTCTGATTTCCCTCACAGACCTTTCTTGTCCTCTTCCCACACACAGATGGCAAACACTCTAAGCCCTGAGCAGGTTCTCTCAAGTGAGGTCCTGCAGGGAGGGCCTAGGCATAGGGAGACACTGGCTCTTCTGGCCATGGTCAAAGGGGGCATCTGACTTCTTGTCTCCTGTGCTGTGGCCACAACTCACTTCCCAGCCTTCCCTGCAAGGGCCAACATGGCCAGGGCTGGGGAGGCACCTCTCCTGCAGCCCCCACCGCCCTCAGAGGAAGGTTCTGTGTCTCTTCTGGCCCCTGCTGTTAGAGGCCACAGGGAGGGGCTGCTATTTGGGGGCCCTGGCTGGAGGCTTCGATGTCTTCCAGGTGTGGGGAGGCCCAGCTGGATGGGCAGGTGTGGGGAGGGCCAGAGCAGCTGTGAGTGTCTGGAAGGCATTCGGGCAGCTAATGAGTGCAGGATCTAATTAAAAGATTGGAGGAGGAATCTGGGTCCAAGCCACGTGGAGCAGGAAGTGCAGACCAGGGGCCTGCCTGAGCCTGGGTTCGGTGGGGTAGGAGGAGTGCTTGGCTGAGGAGCTGGGGCCAAGGGGGAACACAAATATGGTCCTGACCCTACATTCCCAGCCCTGCCTCTTCCTTCAGGACCTCAATCGTATGGATTCTAAAATGGCTGGGGATTTTGACACCATGTCACTAATCTCTGCAGAGACAATGGGCTCTGGGCTGAGGAGAGAGGCAGGGGTGAAGAGTAGGACCTGGGCCAGTGAAATTCTCCAGGCCTAGCCCAATTCAGCCCACACCTGTTTCCAGGACAGACACTTAGGTGGGGGCTGCACTCAACCGAGTCCCATGGGGACAGGGGCCAGGTCTGCCTTTGCTGTGACTCAGAACTCCACAGCTTCTAAATTAAGATCTCCAACTGCGGCCACTTCCCTATGGTGTTTCTGAGGGCTGGAGATGGGTGGACGGGGAGTGCTGAAGAGGAAGCTGAGGAGGGTCACCAACCTGATACCCCCTGAACCCCATGAAAGTGGGCCAAGCAAGGACATGTCTCTACCACTATCACCGCATCCCGCTGTCACACGGTCATTGTCAGCACTGTCACCGCCACCTCAATCCTCCACATCACTGTCACCACCACCGTCACACCTCTAATGCTGGTCACCAGCCAGCAGTGCCCTAAAGAATGTCCCCTCTGTTGGACTCCCACCTCACTCCCTGCAGGCTTCGTGTCCCCCTCCTGCTCTGGGCCAGCAGACCCCGGCTTCCTCGTACACAGTCCAGATCCAAACGTATGCTCCATCCTCACCTCACCCCCGCCAGGGTCCCGGACAGGGATCTTCGGACCCTCGAGGGCTCAGGTGTGGGCCAGGGCAGTGTGGCCCCCAGTGTCCACAGACAGGAGCTTCCACTGGCACACACGCCCCGAGAGAGACCTGGCTCTTGGTTCCACCCTCCCGAAGACCTCTGCATACCCTAAACCTGGAATTCCCTTCAGTCTGGATGGAAAGATGCCCTGTGGAAGACCTGTTTCCAGATAATGGGCTCAGGACCCCAGAGGTCCAGTGAGGGTCTTCCCAGGCTCCTCCACACATGCTCCCTCCCACCCCCACAGGCTTCCTCCCAGTGTCCCTGCCCCTCACCACCCCTTCCCATCTGCTCCCAATCACTGCAGCTAACGTCTCCCAGCATGCCTTTCCCCTCCTGGTCCCTGAGGGAGGCTGGGGAGCACGACGCCCCCAGTTCTGGTCCCTGACTCAGGGTGTTAACGAGGAACAGGTTTTCACCCCAGCTGTGGGCTGGGCCCTGAGACGGGAGTTTCCTCTCTCCTGCCTTCTCCTTTATTCTTCAAATGGCCCAATTTCCCCAACAGATGCTGGGGGATGAGAGGAGAGAGGCAGGTGGGGAAAATGAAAGCTGCTTTCTGGAGTGGAGGTGACAGGGAGGGGAGGAGAAGGCAAAGAAAAGGGGGTGACTGAGAGGCGCCTCAGTCTTGAGGTGAGTGGGAGGGGAGGTCATGCAGAGGTCAGATCCACAGACCTAGAGGGAAAGCAGGGTCCTAGGAGAGAGCCAGATACCAGGGTCCCTGCAACCAACCCACAGCTCCTCGGCCCTCAGCCTCAGCTGCCTCACCAGGACAGCCTGATCCCATCCTCCTCATCCCACAGGTCTCAGGGCAGGCGTCTTCCTAGGGACATCCCACCCTCCAGCAGGACAGATCATCCTCCCTGTCCCAGAAACAGTCTCTGTCACCCCGCAGGGCACAGGGACACGTGCTTGCCCAGATCTTCCTGCCTCCCCAAGGGCAGGGGCAGTCTTATTTATCAGCTCCTGGCATAGCCTTCTGGGCTCAGCACACACTCAGCACATACTGGCTGATTGAATAAATGAATGAAGTAATCACACTCATGCAAGTGGGCGGCAAGAGAAAGAGTGGAGCTCTGCCTTCTGCTCCCCGCCGTGTGGCTGTGCGGGCCCAGGCAGGCTCCCACCGCCTCTGGCCTCACAGGTGGACTGGATCAACTGGGTGGGGGCCCTGCCATCTCCCCCATATGGAAGGATCTGAGGGCTAGGGCTGAAAGGTGTATGCAGAAACTGCTCTTCCAGGACAGAGAAGGCAAACACAGCTGTGGGGGATTGAGCTGATCCCTGAAGTCAGCACCCAGGTTGGGGGAAGAAAGGGAAGAGCTCCTCCTCCCCCGAGAAGGTTGGCACGTGGTCCACCCAGCTCTAGATGTGGACCTGGGGGTGTCTTTGCCCTCAATTTCCAGGAAGGAGAAACCCCACACATGCCTGGATTTCTGGTGCAGGATGCATTACCAAGTGGGGCCACCCAGAAGTCCCCCTTGGTGTCTGACTGCCTTCCCTTCTGCTGCCTGACCTGCAGAGGTGCCATTCCGAGGGGCAGGCAAGGACAGGGAGTGTAGCAGCAAGGCCCCCGCTGCCGTCCTCCATCCTCCCCTGTTCTGCCACACATCCCCCAACTCAGCTGCTGTGGCCACGATGGCAGGGATCCTGAGGAAGGGCTTGGCATCTTGGAGCTCACTCTGCTACATCATGCACAGTGAGCATAACACCAACAGAGCTGGGTCTTGAGCCAGGCAGGAACGGTGCCCGGGGTGCCTGATTAAGGGACAATGTCTGCTGAGAAGGCAGGCCTGGGTGGACTCGATGGCAGAGGTCCCCAGTTCTACCTCACCTGGATGCATACAGTCATTCTGCAAAGGTTAAAAAGTCTTTTCCCAGCCCCAGACCGAGCCCTCACCCTGGTCCCCAAGAGCATTCTCTCCACCATCTCTCCCTCCTCCCTTCTCTCCTCCTCAACAGCCCCTGGTCTCCAAATTCCTGGTGAAAGGACTCTTCCTTCGCCCCATGGAGAGTTCCCTGCACACTCTGAGCCTCACAGTCGAGATCAAACAAGCCCCATGGCCACTACCAAGCATGAGGTCCAACCACTTCCCCAGGCATCTCTCTCCCAGCCTTCACTGGGGATCGGGTGTTTGGTGGACTGGCTGAGGCCAGCTCAGGGTAGGCTGTGGCCCCCAGCCCTTTCCAGGGGCAGAGCAGCACAGTGGCCGTGGCCCCTGACTATGATTTAATTTGCTTCTCACAGACCACACAGGGGTCTCTCAAGATGCCGCCCAGGATTCTACATGGGAAAGACCCTGAGATGCTTCTGCAAGCCTTGGCTGCTCTGACCTGGGGTTCCAACTCCCGGCCCCCCTTGCCAGGCCAAAGAGAGGTATAAGAGGCAAGTCAGCGGCCACAGCCGGGCTCTGGATGAAGGAAGAGTCGGCCCCACGGCAGAATCCTCACACTCATGCAGGGGGAGCTGGCTCCAGGGCTCCGCCTTGCCTGCCACTCACCTTTGCACTGTAGCTCCTCACAGGGCAGGGGAGCCCGTCACCTACCAGAGAGACCGCTCCTCACCATCTCTAATGTGGGCACCTCTTGGGAGTCCTTTCATACTAGCAGCCTTGAGAGGACAATGTGCACCCCGAAGAATAGGCAGGCTGATGGACAGACAGAGACATTCTCAGAGCCCCGACCCTCCTGCCACCTCCTCCAGGAAGCCTCCCTTCATGGGGAACTGCCCCCTGTGATCCAGGGTCCCTTGGCCCTCAAGGCTTCCAGAGGAGCTGCTGCCATGCCACTTGCTCCCCCTGTGGCTGGGGAGGCAGCTGGCCCTGCATCCAGTCACCAATCACTTTCCCCTTCACAGGACCCTAGTGAGGCCCCCTCATACCCACCCACTCCCAGGGAGTTCAGTGGGTCATAGGAGTTCACGCAAGGGTCCTAGTCCTCTGGGCCTGCTGCGCTCCCAGCCTCCACTGCAAGCTGCACCCCAGCCCCGGGCAGGCAGGGCCCCAGCCCACATGCTGCTCTGCCAGGAAAACACCAGCCTCTGCTATTCTGGGGCTGACACCTTCAGGAGCATCCAAGCTCTACCATGCTCCCTGGGTCCTCTGAAAAGTCCTTCTGATCCTCCCAGGACCCCATCACAAGCCAGCGTGCACCCCCACAGGACCCAGATGCCGGCCTTCCTCTCCTGCCAGGGCCTGGCCCCAGCTCTTCCTCCTTGGCAGCTCACTCATAGCGGTCTGTGTCTACCCAGGGCCCTATGCTCTGCCCTTGGTCAAACTCCCCCATACCCTGAATGGCCTCGAGTCTCAGCAGGGACTAACCCTGCTATACACATGTGCATGTGTGTCTATCTGGTCTTTGCCATGGGTCCTAAGGGCCCCCAAGGGCAGGGCCAGTATCTCCACCATTTGACTGTGGGCTCGGTAAAGGCTCTGTCTTCCCCATCAGAATACACGTTTGCCAATGGCAATGGCCATGCTTTCCCTACCAACATCTGAGCTCTCCAAGTGCAGGGGCTGTATCTCCCCATCAGACCTGAGGCTCTCTGAGAGCACAGATGGGGTCTCCTACATAGGCCTGGGGGCTCACAAGGGGCAAAGGCAATGTGTGCCCCATCAGTGTGCATTCTAAGGGCAGCCATGCCTTTTTCTCCAATCTAAGGGCTCCCCGAAGGACAGCAGATGCTCTCACATCAGACCTGGGGCTCTGCAGAGGCAGAGGCCGTGGCTCCCTCATCAGACTAGTGGTTCCTAATAGAGCAGGCCCACCTACGTAATTCATAGGGCCAAGTACAAAATACAAATGTGCCTTTTTCCAAAATTATTGGGAAAGTCAAGGTGGTGATAGTAGGGCATTAAGCCAAGCGTGGGGCCCTTCTGAGCGTGGAGCCCTGTGTGACTGCATAAGTCACATGCCCGTAGAGCTGGCCCTGTATGGAAGGGACTGTGCCTCCCCTGTAAGATGAGGCGGCAGGTGAGGAACTCAGAGGCCAGGCGGGCACAAAGCCAAAGGGAATGGGAAGAGGCCTGGAGGTGAGCAGGGCAGGCCCCAGGCCCCGAGGAGGGACACACAGGGTCACTTCCCCAAACAATAGGGCATTCATGAGCAGCCTGGCTCCACAGCAGGGCCCTGACGCCAGGCCCCGACGCCAAGCTCAGCCCTGTAATTCATGCTCCAGTCCCTGAGCCGAGCACTGGCAGGGGCTCAAGTAGGAGAAAGTTGATGCTGCGGAGGTGGCCGCAGTGGAAACATCTATTTTTACCCTGGCAGACCGGGAGACAGGTCAGCGGTGGCTTTGAGTGAATCCCAGTGCAGCCACCCAGGGCCTAGTCCCAGCCTAGGGACAGCCCAGACCAGCGGAGGGCCACCCAGGCAGCCCCCATGCAGCACCAGGTCAGGCGGGCCTCAGACCAAGGAGCGAGTCAGAGCATCCCCGGAAGGGGCCCCACCAGGGCCGTCACATTTCTCCCCGGCTCTGCCCCTGACACTCACTTCTGTCCCTGCCTTGTGAACAATGTCAGCTCAGAACAGAAGTGGAGATTCCTGAAGCCCTTCCCCAGCCATTCCTGGTCAAGCCCCACCTCCCCCTCCCCCGCCTCCCCCCACCGCCTCCCCCGGGGTTCCTGGGGATGCCCTGGGCCATCAGAGTCTGAGAATGGAGAAAGCAGAGGGAGGCGTACAGGGTCTCATCTCGCCTGCCCTGAGGTGGGGAGATCTGCTCAGTGACCCTTATCCGGGAGAGGTCGTTGCTGAAGCCAGTGAATGAACACTGATGGGTGACTTTCAGACTCTGCACCAGCCTGGCTGGCACACCGGTTAGGTGGCTCCTACCTGGCTCCCGGGTGAGGCCAGCTTTTCCTCAGTTCTTACCTCCAGCAGCCAGCACTTGAGGCCCCCACCTGTCCCCCCTGCAGGTGGAACACTGTGTGCTGAGGTGTTTACGTTACATAAACCCAACCACGCTCGTCAGGAAATTTGTAGCTCCCCTGAGGAATGAAAACTCAATGCCTTCTTGCACAGGGCCAGGCAGGGATCCTAGCCACAAGCCCCGGGTCCACCTCTGGCTCCTGGATTCCTCTGGTCTGCTGCCAGAGGGAGTAGCATGGGGCGGGTTGGGGAGGGCAGGAATGTCCCCAGCCCACTCACCTCTCTCTGCTCTGGTGGGCAGACAACCAGCCCCTCTGGCAGCCAGCTAAGACTGAAGCAGAGGAGGACCTGGGTCCCCTGCCCTGGGGTTCACCTCCAACCTGGAGATCTGTTGGAGAAGCCACCTGCCTTTGAGTGGCAGTTTAGCATCCCCACTCTGGGAAGCTCTCTCCGCGTTTAAGGACAGTCTGCAGTCCTCATAATCTCCAGTGTTGCCACCCAAGTCTTCTGGGCCCACTCCTCAGCCACCCATCCTGATCCATCGCCTCCTTGACATACTACAAACACTCCTATCCAGTTCTAAGCATGTATTAGCTAGTGTACTCTCAGGTCCAATTTGCCCTCCTTCCTCCCTGTCCAAGTCCCCTTCCTTTGGGGCTGAGGAATGAACAATTGCCCTCCCCAGATGAGAAGGTTGGGGTCAGAGATCCTTGGGGCAGGAGCTACCCTGGAGGATCGGGCAGGGATGGAGAGCCAAGAACCGTCCATCCACATATGGCTGTGAAGTCGTGTCCAACACAGCCCTGGGTTGGGAGGGTGACACCTACATCATTGTCCTTCAAGACGGGGCCCTTAGAGGTGTGCGGTGCTCTGCCAACTTCTGAGGAATAACAGAGGATCTGGGCTCCCCAGGGGCATCACTCACTTTTTATAGGTCTTCTGAGCAGCCCTGAGGCCATCCCCTAACGAGTCCTGCCTGTTCTATGGGGCCTCCCAGATTAGGGTCTCGCTCATAAACCACAGAGGTCTGAGCTTCTATGGGAGGAAAGAAGGGCCATGCCCCAGCCCCAGCTGGGGGAGGAGGGAGGAAAGGGGGCTGCAGACAAATGGTTTTTACACTTTGAGTTAATGAGGGTCAGGCAGGGGCACCCACTGGCAGGAGGGAATAAATGAGAGAAAAATTGATGGGGGGGATGGAGGAGAAGGAGGGGTGAGGGCTTTGAATGAGGGAGGTGAGAGGAACGCCTAGTCATAAAAATCTCTTACAGACGCACACTCACACAAAGACATACATCAGCCCGTGCAAGCTTCCTGAGCCCCGCTGTGTGCCCAGCCTGGGGCTGGAGGCTGTGAAGCGGTGACCTCCGAACGCACTGATAGCAAACCTCCACTGGTGAAAAGTCTGAGCATGCACTCCCCTAGATGCTGATTTATCTCCCCACACGGTCTATCCATGGACAACAATGAGGACTTCAAGGCAGGTTCTAGGTCTAGGATGAGGGCCACTGCTGCAGGTGACCCATGCAAGGCCTCTGGGTCATCAGCAGTGTCACTGACTTCTTGGCAGATCTGATTATGTCCTTGTTGTTTTTCAAGCTGGAGTGCAATGGTGCGATCTCAGCTCACTGCAACCTCTGCCTCCCGGGTTCAAGTGATTCTCTTGCCTCAGCCTCCTGAGTAGCTGGGATTACAGGCGTCCACCACCACACCTGGCTAATTTTTGTATTTTTAGTAGAGATGGGGTTTCACCATATTGGCCAGGCTGGTCTTGAACTCCTGACCTCAGGTGATCCGCCCACCTCGGCCTCCCAAAGTGCTGGGATTACAGGCATGAGCCACCGCACCTGGCATGTTTTTTACTGCCTAATGCAGCTTCTCTGGGGAGCTCCTGCATGCGGTGGATGCATGGGTTAGCTGTGCCCTCGTTTCTACTTCACATGGTTAGCTTATCTCCCATCCACCATTGTCACCTGTTTGTACGCTTAGCTTAATTTCAATCAGAGTAGTTCCATGGCAGGAATTATTTTAAGCTGTGTGTCCATTTCTGTGAGGGTTACTTTAGTTAAATCCACAATGTGTAATCTCTAAATCCCCTTAACTAACCAGGTTCACACCAAAAGCTAAGACACAAAAAGCCATACACCAAAAGCTGAAAAACAAGGGTGGCGCTACCACTGCCTTCCCTTAGGACTCCTATGCACTTAGCATAGAATACATGACCATAAGTCACATGGCATAAGTGGCGTCCAAGGTCTAGCCAAACATCATATATTAAGAAAGAGTAACAGATTGGATTTGTGAATGTTTTCTTCCCATACCCCAGTGAAGTGTTGTCCACCTCCCAGGGAGAGGTTTAGAGACAATCCCTGGGGAGGCACAGAGATGAAGATGCTTTACATCCCCTTAAATATTTAGTCAAAGGTGGGATAAGAAAATGTAAAAGAAGATTTTAAAGCTGAGCATCTACCAGGTGCCACATTCCACATTCCTGGCATCTGAACCTCATAGGAACTGAAGGAGCTCTGATGACCTGACCGCGTTTGACTAGGGGGAGCAGGGACAGAAATGCCCCAGGCCTCACAGATGGCGGGGAGAGAAGCCAGAGAGCTGGAGTCAAGTGCAGGCTGGCCCGAATTATTCCTGTTAATGTAAGCAGCAGGGGGTAAAGGCCCTGAGGAGATACAACCATGAAAGCAGGAGCTCCAAGCCCGCCCTGATGGAGAAATCAGAGGCAGCCTCATGAAGAAGGCAAAGGAGGTTTTTCACCCTTGGTGACACCCAGACAGCCCCTCTCATCCACGCTACATCTACACATCCCTGGGGGCCTCACCTCATATCCCCCACCCGCATCCCCATCCCCAGCTTTCCCGTAATGCCTTCTGCAGAGGAGGCAGGTGATCCTCACCACCCCACCCCTCCTGACCGGTGACCTCATTCCTCCCACTATCCCCCACCCCAGCCTACTATGGGCAGGGGTCGTGGAGGTGCCCTGAGGCAGGCGGAAGGCCAGAGTGTCCTTCCTCTATGGCGGCACTGCTTGTAGGGAAGACACCACTTTCCCGGTTTAATCCTATCTCCTCAGTCTTTCTAGTGATTCACCTTTTGCCTAGGGGTGTCTGAGACACTTAAAAGATCCCTGCCTTAGACAAGGAAGCAGGGACTCACCTACACACCCCAGACCCGTCAGGACCTCTGGCCTTCTGAGGCTTCTTATCCTGCCCTTATATCTCAATGACTGCTTAGCCACTTCAAAACAGCCACCTAGGATGGCCATGGAAAAGCCCTGCAGACAAGATGCTCAATAAGAAAGCAAAAGGAAACTACCTAAAATCCATCAATAGGAGCCCTGACTAAATACACCATGGTTCCTCCGAGTGATCAATGATTATACAGCCATAAAATCATGTTATAGATGAATATGTAGACGCGGATGGGTGTTCATGGTACAGTGGTTACAAACCACTCTGCACAGTGAGATCACATTTTTAAAAAAATACTAACATATACTTTATACTCACATGGAAAATTCTGGAGATACCCAAGTGCCAGCAGTGGTTCTCTCTGGGTAATAGGATTAGTGGCTGTTTTATACTCTTCCTTTTGCTAGCTGTTTTCTCCAGTTTCTATAATGAACAAATATTACTTTTGTAATAAGACAAAAACCAACAAAAGCTATTTTTAAAAATAAAACAGTCTCCCATGCCCATCTGGAAATAGTGTGCTGCCCTGATCGCCAGCGGGGTTCAGAGTGGGCAGTGAGGAGTGTGAACTCCGGAAGCATTTCCCAAGCCCAGGCCGGGGGCCAGGTGGCCAACCACGGGAAAAAGACGGCCAAGGGGGCTCTGTACTTGTCTTGCCAGCTCAGCCTAGAGGGGTTAAAGACACCCGCTTTGGTCCTAGAAAGAGCCAAGCAGGGAGCAGATAGGAATGAGCAGAAACACCTTCCCTGGCCCAAAGTTTCCGATGAGCCACAGAGGGCTGAAGGCCCCACTTCCAGGCAGTACAAACACAGTCAAGCCAAGCTCAGTCCTGCCTCAGGCCCTTGGCAATTGCTGCGCCCCCCACTGCGATGCTGTCCCCCAGGTTTTGCATGGCTCACTTTTGTCCTTCAGCCAGGTTTCTGCTTCTGCTTCACATTTCCAGAAGGCTTCTCCCCTCTCCCATCTAAAAAGGCTCATTCGTTTAGTTCCCATCGTAGTGATTTGTTTATTTATCTCCTCACCTGGCTTTATTTTTCCTCCTAATGCTCCCTTATCACCGCTTGAAATTGTTTCTCATCTGACTCCCTGACCAGGAGCTTTTACAAGGGCAAGAAGTTTGTGCTTAGAACAGAGCCTGGGCACAGGTGTTGTTCAGTAAGTATTTGTTGAGTGAATGAAAAAACTGCAAGCTTCACAGTGCCAACACTACCTCTACACAATGGCCCCCACCTGCCTCCTGCATCCCACCCCTACCCACCTGGTGGGAGTTCTGGATCCAGCCTGGAAGTCAGCAGATGTGAGATTGGTTGGGGCGGGGTGACTGTGCTGGGGGCAGAGTCAGGAGGTGGGGTAGCACGAAAAGCAAACATTTTGAGTCCACGTGGCTGGGGTTGCCTTTCGTTAACAGCTGCGTGACCTCCCTGAGACTCACTTTTCTCATCTCTAAAATGGGGCTCATAATAGCTATCTCTCACAGGTGAGGACTAAAGGTGGCATCGTGCCTAGCACAGTGCCTGACACATAGTTGGCACTCGGTAGCTGGGGCTCCCTCTCTGACCAGCCTGGAGGCGGGCCAGTCTCAAACTTCATCCTCAGCCCTGAATGAGCCATCTCTGGGGGGTGGGGGAAGGGCTAGCTTCTGGGGAGCACCCTGCTCCTGCTCCTCCCTCCTCTCCAAAGCTCCCTTACCTGGTGCAGATAGGAGGGAAAAGGAAAGGGGTGGAGAGGAGGGCTCGTCCTGGGTGAGGGCCCGGGAGCCTGGCCTGGTGGGATGTGAGTCCCAGGCACCTGAAGCAGCCTGACTATACAGGGTGTGGAGCCTCTGCCATGCAGAGACCCCAGGGAAGGCAGACTGGATGCTGACCCAGGGCTGGTGCGGCTGCCCACAACACACACGGGCCTCTGCTCCTTCCCTGTCCTCCTCCCTCCTCCCATCCATGGCGGAGGTGCTCCCTCAGGCCCATTCTTTTCATTCTTCTGGCAGCCTGAGTCTTACTGTGAAAACCCAGCTCTCCTTGGCCAGGCCTAGGTTACTTAAGGAGGCCCCAGAGGACCCCAGGGAGCGGCAGAGCCCCCGCTTCCAGTCTGAGGCCTGCTCCTCCAGGCCCTGGACTTCTCTCCAAGGGACCGCTTCCTGTGGGGGCTTTCCCCTGGGGGCCTCGGCTCCCCTACCAGGACCAAATTTCTCCATCACTCTCCTTCCTCCCAGCCTCAGACACCCCGACTGACCACTCACACCACCTCACCACCACCTGAGAAACAACAGCAAATCGAATCTCCTCCAATTCGTCTCTCCTCTTTCAAAACTGGCTTCCACCTGGCCTCCTCTGGGCATTCTTATGCAATCAAGCCCAATTCAAAGACCGTAAGGGATTCCCTTAAAGTAACTGACTCCCCATCGCGGCCCTCCCCTCTGGAAGAAGAGGAGGAGGCAGCTATGTCACAGAGGACTGCTCCTAGGTCTGACAGGAGATGCACCTCATTCCTAGCCTGGGTGGACATGAATGCCCAACCTCCCCGATCCCATGAGATGGGCGTCTCCAAGGAGAGGCTGGTCATGTCTCCCCCGGCAGGCCTCTCCAGGGACATTCTCGACCTAGGAGGGCTCCTAGCCTAGGCATGCTTGCAGGCTAAGACCCCTGACTGTGTGGGTCTGAGGAAGGTGGGTCCAGAGTGTGTCCCCAAAGGGGCAGACTCTCCTTAGCAGAGCTCAGAGAGGGGCATAGAAGCCAAAATGCCCCCATGTGAATGCACAGTGGGAAACACAGCTTGCATCAGCATAATTTACACATGCACCGCCTGCAAACAGGCCTGTACCGGGAGCCACAGCACCATCAGAAGGCTGCCTGGGAATGTGGAGGGCAAGGGACATATCATGGCCACACCCCAATAGCCATGGGGGATAGAAAGTCTTGCCCTGGAGTCACAAGCCAAGCCTCTCTTCCCTGGACATTGTCAAGGTGGGTGTCTGAGACTCACGTTTTTCTCCCTGGGTGGGTGAATGCATGGGCCATTAAGAGTTGCCAGGACCTGGGACCAGTGGCCTCCTCGGCAAGCCTTTGCCAGTCTATGCTCTGAGCCCGCACGCAGTCCCTTCCTAGTTCAGCTCCCAGAAGGCAGCTCTGCTTCCATTAGCTCCACATCTTGGATGGCACCTTGCTGCTGCCCCATGATCTGACTGGTGTAGGGAATCCAGGAATCCCTGCAACTCTCTCCCGGATCCTGGACAGCAGGGAAGCGGAATGAGGGTGTGGATTCAGAAGGATCCCCTGCCCTGTCCCATTTTCCAGGCTCAGCCACGTACTTGCTTGTCCCCTCAGTTCAGTAGCTGGCAGAGAGTCATAATTGAATTTGCAGTAGGGCCGAGAATGAAAAAAAAAAAAAAAAAACCCTTTATATGTCTGGGATTAATTTATCCCTGATGGCCACATTCACATGCTCCTTTCTGCTTGGGTTTCCAGAGCATATTCTGGCCGACAATGTGAAGCACGCACACACGCACACACACACGGAGAGGAAATGTATGTGCGGAGAGCACACTTGGGTGCTTGCTGTGTTGATGCCTGTGCTGTGAATGGGTCTGAGGGAGTATGGGTGTGTCCTGGGTGAGTTGGAGTGTGGCCGGGCATAACCAGCTGCATGAGTGGGTCTATACAAGGGGTCTTCAGTGTACATATCTGGAGGGTCCCCCATTGTGATCATCTGAGGTGACAGCACACCTGAAGGCCGCATGTGGAATAACCAAAGTCACACTGCTAGCTAGCTGTGAAAGGAAAGCCCAGACATGATGGCCGAGACAGGGTTGGGTGGAGGGCACTGCCGGGACATCAAGGCAGCTGCAGTTTCTCTGCGGTCCCTCCCCATTTCTAGGGAGAAAGCCCAGCCCTTTCTAGATGGAGAAATGAGTCAACATCGCCCCACACTGGAGGAGCCTCCCAACAAGGGGAGCCATCTCCCCACTGCTCCGTCTTCTTTAACCCTTGCCTCCTCCCCAGCACGCAGGACAGACAGAGCTCCTTGTTTAAGTGAATGATTACAGATCTCATATGTTAAGTACCTGCTATGCATCATCTCAGGTAGTCCTCACAACACCCGATGAGGGAAAAGCCATCATCATTCCCATGTTTCAGATGAGAAAACTGAGGCCTAGAGGTCACACGACTTGCCCGAGGTCACATCGCTCAGTGGCAGGGGCAGGACTTGGGCCACTGTGTGACTGATTCCAAACTTCATGCCCTTAACCACCAGGCTGGAGGAAGATCTCTGCCGTCCAGGCATCTGTTAGGCTGGGAATCCCTTTTTAGACTGAAGAAGGCTTTGGCCCTGATGTGCTGCTGCCACACGGAGCCTCCTAGCTGCATCTGGATCTGCAAGGTTGGGGGAGAGCTCCCAGGCCAGTGGCTCCAATGAGAGCTGAGAGGGGCACTTTTCCTGGGGTTTCAGGGTATCTTTCTGTCTTCTGTATCCTGAGGCATCTTTGACCTCGTCCTCTTCTACAGGCAGTAAGCCCGGATGGTAAAAGTGCTCCAGGGGAGGGAGAGGGAAAAACAGATCACAAAGAGGCAAAATACACCAGCAGGTATTTTAAAAATGTATTACCCTTTATACATGTGAGTGATTTGTGTATTTCGCTCTTTTGTTTTGCCCTTGGTTCTCGGTCAAGTTCCTTTAGAAAAGATCCCAGAACACCTCTGTTGACGTAAAGGGAAGAGTGTCCTACCTAGACCTGAGCTCAATGAGGACACAAGTGGGCTCCACAAAGTCCCCCCAGGGGGGCCCCGATCCCCCACAGGAATGCGAGGTGGGAGTCTGAGGAGGGAGTCCGAAGAGCATGAAGCAGAGGCAGGCTCCAGGCTAGGCGGGTGGTGGAAACAGGGAGAACCGGCCAGCAGGGGCAAGCGGTAAGCCTGGGCGCCAGCAGAATGGTGTGGCTCCGGAGCTGCCTGGATGAGGAGCACGTGGAGGAAATGCTCCGGCGATTGCGTGAGGTTCTTGGTCTTGTTCCTGTCCCCGGCTGCCACTGTCATTCTGTCTCTGCCCCTCACCATGAGTCTGTTTCTCTCTGCATCTGCCTCATCTGCTGTCTCTCTGTCGCACACACACCCCCGACCCCATGAAAAACCGAGACCAAAACAAAGGCAGAGAAACAGAGTCTGCAAGCCATGCTGGGCCAAGCCACAGGGAATAGGAGCCGTAGCTATTTTTCCCTGGAGGGAGGAACAAAAGCACATGGGGAAAGGGGAGAGGGGAAGGTTGGCGTCACTCATTTCAATAGCTCGCAGCCGTGTGAGGACCTCGTGTGTCGGGGTGAACCCTTGCCCTCACCCAGTTCTCTTTCCAAAGCAGGAAACGTTTCCTGGGCTGTCACCGGGTCCCAGTCAGGGGATGCCCACCTGGCTCCTCTGGAAATCCCATAATCCTAAATTTATGAAACACATGGAGAGAGGATTGAGACAAGTTTGAGTTCCCTGGGGGTGGAGGCAAACTGGGGAGGGGTTGTGGGCTGGACAGCAGGGGCTACACTCAGAGCCCTTTCTGTCTGTCCACGCTCCCATCACCCCATCCTGGACTATCCACACAGCCCTGGAAAAGGAGCAGAAAATGGTGTGTGTGTGTGTGTAATCTCTCAAAAACACCAGCAGACATCACCCCATCCTGGACTATCCACACAGCCCTGGAAAAGGAGCAGAAAATGGTGTGTGTGTGTGTGTAATCTCTCAAAAACACCAGCAGACAAAATAAAGGCAGGGAACTGAGTATTCCGGATACAAAAGGCTTATCAAGCTTTATTGAACCGCTTTTCTTTCACAGATGAGAGTTATTCTCCACCTTGCTGCAAGAATTGGTCTCAAATGTTGAGAACTAACTGAATTTAGGAACATAAAACCCTATTTGAAATGGCTCTGAGAGCCTGGCTATTTAAAGAAAACTTGCAATGAAACACTTAGTAAAGTCCCTTCAGTGAAGGAAGCAGACATCTCATTAAGAATTGAGATGTGATTTCAGCCCTGGAGGCGCAGACTCCAGGGGTGGGGGTGGGACAGTCAAGTCTGCCGGTTTCAATGGAGTGTTAACAAGCCCTGTAACCGAAGAGGGACCGCGTTGACTGAGTGTGGCAGACAGGCACCAGGGCAGGACAGGGGGAACACCCGGAGGAAAGGGCCAAGCTGAGACCCAAGAGATGGGCACGGCAGAAGGAAAGGCAAGAGGTGAGCAGGGAGAGCGAGCAGGGCTGGCCTCCCTCCTGAGGGCAGTGGAGAACCACGCAGGGAAGATCTGAGAGAGAGGAATGGCCAAAGGCAGTAGCATTTGGGTTTCAATGACGTTGGCCTGCTAGGGGCCTGATCATAAGTGGAGATGGTGGTAATGGGAAAAGAAGTAGCTTGACTCAGATTCAAGAAGCAGAATTTGTGGGATTTGGTGATGTGTTGGATATGAGGAGTAAGAGGCGATAGGCCTCAAGGATGCCTCCCACAAGTGCAGCTCCAGGGACTAGATGGGTGGAGGGAAAAATAGAGCAGGAGTTTTATAATGGGGTGGAGGATGGAGACTTTGAGTGGGAGGGTTTGAGTTCATAGTGCCAGTGCGTAAGCAGTACACTAAGGCGCCTGCAGCGGAGGGGAGAAACTGGGCTACAGTGAGGGATTCCGGGTTCATTCACCTGTAGAAGGCAGAGAAAGTGGGGCAGGTGAGGGTGCCTAGGAGCCATACAATACGAGAACAGCGCCAGGGAAAGAGACCTGGGGAACATCACAGACGAACAGAGAGGGACGCCAAGCCACAGGGAGAGGAGGACCACCAGGCGACTGTGGTATCACAGAAGCTGGGTACAGACAGAAGGTTGATCAAGAAGCAGAGAACGTCCGTGCTGTCAGCCACAGCTGAGTCGTGAAGGGTGAGCGCCCACAGATTTAACCACCAAGGCTAGATTGTGCCCTTGTGTGAATTAGAAAAAGGTGCCCCTTCCTCAAGGTAATTTACTTCTATCAGAAAACTACTGTAACACACTGATTTTATTAGAACAAAACACTTTACTGCCATCTGTGGGAAAATTGCTATAATAAATAATAAACGTATGATGTCTTAGATGTGGTGCCTGTGCACGGCAGCCGTGGTTATTGCAGATGGCAGTGAAAACCGGTTTCAGAGGAGCAGAATGAAATTCGCCGGCAAGGAGGCTTGGAGCTGTGGGTAACACAGGACCCAACCAAAGATGGCTTACGCTACAAGGAATGTATGGCCCTGAGTCACAAGCTGTCTCCTCTGGTGGTAGGGTGACTTCAGGGTTGGTTCTTCCTCAATAGCTTCACCAAGAACCAGGTCCTCCCCACTTCCTCTGCCGTCCTCTGTGTGCTGGCTTTCTTCCTCAGGCTGATCGCCTCAGGATCACAAGATGGCAGCCACAGCCCCAGTCATTACATTGTTCCATAATATTAAGAGGCAGAAGATGAGGATGTGTCTCCTTTTGTGCCCCTTTTTACTGGGGAGAAAACCTTTCTAACGGTGCCTCAGTCCCTCTCATAACCACCACCCCCTGCCCCCACTAGTTGTGAAGTCAAAAATATCTCCAGACATTGCCAAACGTGCCCTGGAGGACAAAAGTGCCCCTGGCTGGAAACCATGGCCCCATGCCCATGTAGCAACTCCTAGAGATCTTTGAACCAGCTTCTGGTTTTGAACTACTGCTCCCTCTATTGTCTTTTCCATCCCTGCTCTTGACTCCACAGCTCCTGCTCATCATCCACCAGTGTATTGTAATTGCCCATCTACTTATCTGCCTCTTCTACTCAACTGTGAGCTCTAGGAGGGTGGGAACCATGTTTATCTTACTCAAGATTGTATCTCTAGAGCCTACCACCCTGCCTGGTACACAGATAGCCCCCCCAATGCATATATGATATATATATTTCTTTAATGCGCGAATGAATGGATGGATGAATGGATGAATCACCCTGAGCCCTGCCTTTCAGACCTTTCCCATTTGGCTCCTGGATTAGCGAACCACTCTTCTAGAATGGCCCTCTGCAACCAGCCGCACAGCAGCCTGAGAAATTGTCCTTTGCCATTTGTGACCATGGACCATTTTAAGAATCGAGTGGGATCACTGGGCCCTCACCCCATCAAAGGCAGTTTGACAAAATGTTTATATACCTGAAGCTCACCCATGTACCCCCAGGGGACTCCTGTCTCCCAAGAACAAAGCTAGAATGGTTTTTCAGAAAAACATGATTCTGATCAAGGTCTGTTCAGCTTCGAGTCCTTCTGGTCTTCCTCAAGTCTCCATAATGAAGTTCAAACTCCTCAGCCGCACACGCAAGGCCCTCCCCACCTGGCCTTGCCACCTGGCCTCTCTTCCTTCTCTGTTGGGCCACTTCCCTCCAGGCTCACTCTCCCCAGCCATGCCCTGAACCAGCTGAGTTCTTCGACAGCTCCACCACTCAGCCTCCACTTCTGCCACTGAGAACACCTTTCCTCTCTTAGCCGCCGGGCCAGTCCGATGCTCCACTCAAATGGTATCCCTTCTTGAGAGAGTCTCCTGCCCCTTCCTTCCCCAGGGCAGTGGGCACTCCTTCTTTGATACTCCCAAAAGGGAACAATTTCCCCACCGTGCTGGGAGCTATGGAAGGCAAAGAGTCACATGCAACTCATCCTCAGACCTTGCTCTAGGCCTGCCACATAGAGCATCTCAAGGCGCGTTTGCTGGGGATGGTGTCCCCTTGCCATCCATTCCTCATCCCCCTCTGAGTTTTTCTTAGTGGTCTATGTGGTCTCAGAGAGCAGCTTCAAGCCCAGCACGATGAATGGAGCCAGCTTTAAACTGAAGCCAACCTTGAGAACACAAACTCTCAATGATCTCACATTGAGGAGCTGGATCAGCCTTTACCTGAAACCAATCATCTGGGTGTTTCATTTCTGTAAAGCCATTGAATTCCCTTTCGTAGCTTGAGTGGGGTTTTCCATTACCTGCAACCCAGAGAATCAAGAATAAAGTGAAGGAAGAAATGAAAAAATGAGCACAATGACCCCTAAAGCTCTTTTAATCCAGCTGATAGTTGCATGGTATTCATTCATTTCCTCTTGCCTTTCCGCCCTGGAAGACAAAACAGACCTTCTTTCCAAAGCAAACCCCCTCCTCTCCTTCTCCAGAAACTGATTCCATGAATTACCTCATACTCTTTCTTGTGTCTTTGATCTTTCCCTAACAAGTGGCTTCCTCCTTCCTCCCTTCAAATATTCTCAGGTTTTCCCTCTCCTAAAAATCTCGCTCGGGGCCTCCTGAAGTGGTGGCCCCACCCCTTCCTTCCTCTCCCTCTAGCCCTCCCTAAAGGCCAGCCTCCTCTCACTGCCTCCCCACAGGCATGCTTAGTGTGCTCAGTGAAGGCTCAGCACCAGACTGACCTTCCCAGAAAAGCTCTGACCCCAGTCCCTGCTGTGTCCTACGTGCGGCGTGGCCCCTGGCTCTAGGGTTCAGGTGTCAGGGTCTCAGGACTCATAGCCACCTCTAGCCTGAAGCTCTCCTGAAGTAAGAAGCACCCTGCTTTCAAGGTGTAGCTCCCTCACCCAGGCAGGTTCCAGACATCAACCCTGTCCCAACCACCCCCAGTCCTGCCAATCAGTGAAGAGCCAAGGAGGACTGGGCCAGGATGCAGGGTCACCGTGGAAAACCGGGGACACCCGCTGGGTAACGGGAGTGGAGGCTGCCAGCTCTGTGCTCACAGAGTTCAGCCCCTCAGGCGAGAGATGCAGGAGACTCTTGGAAACGTGATGTTTTCAAGCGCTTGGCTTTCTCTCCAAGTATGTTCCTGCTGCTTCTGTAGATTAAGCCTGATTCCTGCAGGAAATGTCAAACCAATGGCTACAACTAAGCTTTAGACCACAAGAAAAAGGTGTCTTTGTCCAGATCGGATTCTTAAAGCAGAGAGAGGAAGCAGAGAGAGAGAATCGCAAGAAATCCCAGGATTCTATGGGAATAGGCCAAAGCCAGAGGTACAGTGGCCTCCCTGCCTAGGGGATTTCTGGCCGAACCCTCCCCACTGGAGTTCCCTTTCTATAAAATGGAACCTCTTCCCTAGCATGGTCAAAGAAACCAGAAGATACAGGTAGCTGCCCTCCTAGGCAAAGGGCAGCCTGGGAGACGGGGGGGGTGCCCGAGTAAGGAGAAGGCAGGGGGAAAGGGGAAAGTCCTGGATTGGAGAGGAGGCAGAGGAGGCCGGGGCTAAGGCAAACCAGACACCAAGCCCCAAGCCCACCCCACCCCCAACCAGTCTTGTGAAAGAAGAAGCAGTTCCACGGGCCCCACCCACTGCTTCTCAGCTGCCTCTCCCTCCAGAAGGCTGGGCTGGAAGCAGCACCCATACCCCGTCCACCCTCCCCGCCCACCCAGGCATATCCCCCTTCACAGTCACTCCCTGTTCAGGTACTGTAGAGATACACACACTGACACTGCTGTGTGGTTCCAACTGTTTTATACTGAAATATGTCTGAGCTGATCCAAAAAAGCGTTGGGTTGGGGGAGAAGGAAATGATGGAAGTGGGGTGATCTCAGAGCTCCATGTTAGCAACTCTGGGAGTGTGGGCCGGTCCATCTGTCTGTCTGCCCACCCTGGCAGGACAATCAGGCCTAGGAGGTCTGGAGGAGCTCGCCGAGCTGGGCGGAGGAGGCAGGCCAGTCCCATGCTGGAGGGGACCCCACGGCCCCTTCTACAGGGCAGGAGAGTCCTCAGCTGAAGGGCTTCACCAGCTTCATGGCAGCATAGTTCTGGAGGGAGGGAGGAGACAGGGACCCATGGTGATCCCACTGGGGCAGGCACAGCCAGAGCAGCTGTCCCAGACCTGGGGCTCAGAGGATGGGGCTAAGCTGCCAACAGGCAAGAGGCTGGGAGAGGACGCTCGTGGCTCTTCAACCACCTGCCCACGCCTCGCCCTCACCACTTGCCATCCATACCATGTGGGGCTCAACACTCCGCCCTGCCTAGTGCTCCAGCCCATCAGGCAAACCCATACCCTCCGAAACTCCACCCGCACCCTCCCACCTGGGGGCCAAAGCTGCCCAAATTGCTCTGTCTTCTCCCCCATCAAGCCAGGCCCATTTCCAGGTTCCAGCTGACTGCCCAGAGGACTCTGAGCACCCTGGACCTGGCCTCTTCCATCAGACAGGTGCTGAAGGTGGGGCCCAGGGTCCTCCCCCACATGGCAGCCCAGGGCTTACGGGTCATCACACCCCTGTCCAGAAAGCAGAGAGAGAGTTGGGGATGGGCTGTCGTGGATGACCCACGGCACAGCCCAGCACTAGAGACAGGGCACCCTTGATTGAGCCCTGCCTGCTGCAGGATTGACAGTATCCTCCCCTCCCCACTTCTCCCCCCAAAAACCATGAAAACACATACAACACAATACAGGGCTCCTAATTGGGACAGTATGTTCCCCAGCGCCGGCTGGGGAAAGCCAACTCTGGAAACAGAGCCGGCCCTCCTTCCCCGCCAAACGCCTCCTGCCTCCCCACGCTGGCCCTGCTCCCGGCTGGCTCTGAGGGGGAAGCTGAGAGGAATCAGACAGGCTGCCCCCTCATACCCCTCCCAAGGGAATTTCCAAGAGGGTAGGGGATTAGGCCAACTGGAGGAAGCTGCCCTGTCCTTGGGCCCCTCTCCACTAGGCCCTGGCTTGGGGCAGGCAGCCTCTGTCCCATGGCCTGAAAGCCAGGTGAGGGTCACCAGGGCCCGGCCCTCATCATCTGGTACTGGCCAAATGAATGAGTGACTTGGGTGGAAGGAGGCAGGATGTGCTCAGCTTGTAGCAAAGACCTGTGAGCAAAGCCAGTCTGCAGCCTCAGGCCCAGGCCACCCCCTTCATCCCTAGACCCCTTACCTAGGATCTGACATCCCCACACCAGCCCTGGGAGAGGGGAAGCAGGGTCCATATTTTAAAGAGGACAACTTCCAGAAGAACTCAAAGGAGAGTGGCCCGCTGCTGGGGGGACAGGAGACAGGGAGGAGCTCTGACCAGGCCCCCCACAGTACCACTCTGCTTCTGCCCACAGCGATGAGGAAGGACCACAGGCTGGAAGTGACTGGAAATCTTTCCTTCCTCTCCCAGCCAGGCAGCAGGGCCTCCTTCCCCAGGCCCCTGGAGGCCTAGATCTGCTGCCCAGTAGCCTAGCAGTGCAGGGTGCAGCTGGCAGGGGCTGGGCTTAGGCATGTCATGGGTGGTGGTGATGCCACTTTGGACCTGCCTTTCCCCTCCCCTTGGCTTTTCAGAAGGAGGCTTGGCTTAATATACAGCAGCCAGGGAAGATGACAGTGCTCCCCTAAGCACAGTCCCAGCCACAGAAGGCCAGAGCTAACCTAGTGCAGCCCCTTCCTCATGTGAGCAGGAGGGATTTGCCAAGGTCACAGGAAGAGTCCATAATCCTGACTCCAGCGACAGAGCTCTGTCACATCCAACAGGGTTTCTCCAACCATCATGTGCCTACATGCAGATTCCCCCTCAGCAGGCCGGGGCCGGCCGGGGACTCTGAGTTTCTAGTGAGTTCCCTGGTGCTACTGCTGCTAGTCCTCCGACTACACCAAGGGCGAGGGTCTGCAGCAGCTCTTCTCTTCCTAAACTCCCACGGCCTGAGCCTCCCAAAAGAGCATTTGATCATCCACAGTACTTTTCCTTACTCTCTGGTTTCAATGTCTCCCCAGGGAAGTGAGCACTCCCCAGTGGCATGAGGCCTCATCCTCTTCTCCCTCATCCCCAAAACACGCCCTTACCTCCCAGACGCACACACGTGCTTAGAGTCTCTGTGGCTAACTGAACACTGGCCAGCTGGGCTCCGAATGGGAGGAGGAGCTTGAGGCAGGCTGGGAAGGGTGCCCCCTGGGCAGGAGACACCAGGCAGAAGTCCTGGGGCCTGACCCCGGATCTCAGGTCACAGCAACAGCTCATGCTGCAGGACACCACACGTGCACACACTCTTCCACAGTCCTGTATCTCAGCTTATATTTGTAATCTCGTCTCCCTTGGCTTAAAGAGGCCTCCCACATCGTACACACCTCGAGTCCCTGCAACCTAGATCTACCCTGGACCACAGTCAGATTTTGCTGATGGACAAACCTCAGAACCTCAGAAACATTTCTCCATTGCGCCTCAGGTGACCACAGCCAGCTTAGCAGGCCTGGCCTGTAGGCAGACCCTTCACCACCCTGGTTCTAGACTCTCCTTAGTCACTATGGCCCAGATGGTAGCTGGTCCGGACATCCAAACCAGACATCCTTTCCCCAGCTCCTCTCAGTTCAGCTGTTAGAACTGCATGGAAAGCTGTGTGGTTATAACTCTCTTCCTCTCTGAGATGCATTCTGCAGACATGGGCATAGCCAGCTGCAGTGGGATGGAGGGGCTCTTGCCCTTTCCTCCTCCTGGAGGACTCACAGAGCAAAGAGCTCACCTGGGGGCAGTTCCCCAAGCAGCCTGTCTGCCATGGGATCAATGCTCTGGGCCAGTGGCCTGGTGCTGACCAGGACTGAGGCCTGAAGTGGGAATCACAGTGAGCCCTGGATTGGGAGTGTGCATGGAATACTGTGCAGCCTACGGCCAGGCCCTTTCCTTCTCTGGGTGTTTGCGTCTTTGCCACCAACATAAGGTCCTCAAGGGGTGGATTACACCATTCTCTCCACTTTTATATAGGGTTGGAGTTTTCATATTAAAAAGATTTCTTTTAAATTTTAAAGAGCATTAGAAATCAGGTGTCAGCCTGAGAATGCTGCAACCCCTTCAAGGTCTAAAGTATCAGAGACACTGGGGGAGGCTCCCTGGTGATCCGGGTTCCCTGATGAGCTGTGCGGGCTGGGGAAGCACAGGCAGGGACCTTCCTCCCCCAGGCAGGGCCCCACAGAGCAAGGGCACGACAGCCACCTCTGGTATGGCCCCACAAGCTCATCAATTGGCTTCTTACCAAGTGAAAGGAAACCCAAATGGGCACCGAGCCAAGTAAGGGCTCCTGGGCCAGCCTCCCGCTCCCCGACAGCTTCCCTATGCCCACCTGCTGCAGGAGGCAGGACACACTCTATTGAGTGCCTCAGGTGGACCCTGAGATGCTCTCCCAGCCCCAGCTCCTCCCTTCCTCTGGATTTGCAACTGCTGTTAAGACAAAGGGACCTTCTCTGCTCTGCCATCAACATCTCACCTTCCTTTCAGACCCAGTTCCACACCTCCCTTCCAGAAAGTCCCCCTGCCCACCGCAACCCAAAGGGCCTCATCTTCTCCTAACCCCTTCATTACAAATTCTAGGGGCTTGCTGAGGACAGCTTTGTCTCACCATGAAGGGCAAGAACTCAGTTTCTCTCACTGGACTAAGAGCCTCCAAGGGTAGAACTTTGTACACCTACCAGATTGGAGACTCCCCAGAGCTGGGCTCTGTATCCTCATCAGACCAGGGGCTCTCCAAGGACAGAGGTTACTTCTCTCCATTAGACTGGGAGAGCTCTTTGAGGACAATGATGAACTCCCCCATTAGACCCAGAGTTCCCCCACCACAGTGTCGTCAGGCCTGCTCACCGGGAAGGCGTAGATGAAGATGGCCAGGAACAGCAGCAGGATGAAGAGGATGATGAAGAGGATGATGGCCCACCGGAAACGCCGCCACAGGATGAACTTCATGGTCTTGTATGGGGAGGTAAACCACAGGAAGGAGGTGTCGGGGCGCCTGGAAGCGAGATCCCGGAGGTCAACTGGGCATCCTTTACTAGGGCTGCTTTCTCCAAACTCTTCTCTCAACAGCAGGTCCAATGGCCTGGCCCTCCACAGTCCACCCCCAGCGCCTGCCCAGGCCCTGTCCCTAAACTAGCCCTTTGCACCTTGCATTCCCTCTCCCCCAAGCCCTTGCTACAGTATCACCCCCACCTGTGCTGCCCTCCTCTTCTGGGTGCTGCCAAGCCCTAAGCATCCTCAGTGGCCCAGTTTCTCTGCCATCCTCTCCAGGACACCTTCCTTGGTGCCCTCACCCATTCCTGACCCAGGACTTAATCACAAACTGCAGATTTAGGAGCTGGGCAGTGCTTCAAAGTGCTCTCCAGCCCACCGAGCCCCAGATAAGCCAAGACACCTGCCCAGATGCACATGGCTAGTCCATGCTCAGGGAACAACGGTGGGAAGAGAACATAGGAAGCTGGTTCTCTCACAACCAAGAATCTCAAAACCTTTCCCTAGGCCAGCTCCACATCTCAAAATACGTGGAGGATTCTGGGTCTCCATCATGGCCCCGTTAACATCAGATTGCACACTGGTGTCTCACGGGTCTCTCTTTTCTTCCTGTGCAGATCCCAGCATCCTTAGGCAAGGGTGCCTCTCACTGCTCTGCCAGCCCCATGGCACTCAGGCACACGGTGCTAATCACAGCATGGTGACTAACTGAGCCATCTATGCTAAATCCAACTTGAGCCAAGTAGGCTGGTGGGGCGGGATCCAGCAAACACATTCCTGAGCCCCCACAGCCATCTTTCAGTGACTCTGCCCCTGTAACTGCCTTCACAGCATCTACATCCATTGGCTTGGTCTATCTCCCCAAGAGGTCTGTGATGTAGGGAAGACAGGGATTGGGCTCCCCATTTCACAGATGGAAAAATGAAGGCTGAAAAACCATTTGAAAGTCACACTGGCACCATAGGAGAGCCACCGAAGGCAGCTTGGTAGGGTCAAGACCTTGATCGGGCTCTGGAGCCAATCAGACCAGGTGAGAGCATTTCTGCTTCACCACTGTCCTAGCTGGAATGCCCTTATTTAACTTTGCTGAGATTGTTCCTCATCTGTAAAATGGGGATAATAACAACTACCCTGCAGGGAAGGTTCCATAGCACAATGTACACATGCATAGGATAGCATGCTTGGCACACAACCAACAGGTACCCAATAGCACCTGCATCTTGAATTCGCTGAGCCCAGTGTTCTCTGGACAGATGCCCATCACCTTCCCCCTAACTTACTGTGTGGCCTTGGATGAGTCGTGCCCCTCTCTGAGCCACGTGGGCTTTGTGACTTCTACATGGCCATGCAATGGGATGCCTCCTGGACTGTGGCCTATACCCCCAGACCTGTGGGCATTGGGGCTCAGGGGCTGGGCACTGACCTTGGGTCCTCAAGCTTAGGGTTCATGTTGGGCTCATCCCGGCCCTGGCCAGCAGGCCGCTCCTCATGCTCACTCTCTGCTACAATCTCCAAGGTCATTTCCAGCTTGCCCTGAGGGGACAGAGAGCACTTGGTTAGGGGCACGAAGGCTCTGCTCAGTGGCCTGGAGAGTAACCAGGCCAGAAAAAACATAAGGGCCACTTCATTATTTAAAAAAAAAGATGTAGGGTTTCTGAACATAAAAGCAGCACCTGCTCTTTGTAAAACATTTGGAAACTTCAGAAATGTATAAAGAAGGGAGACTGCCACCCCTACTTCCACTACATGGAGACAAGCACTGTTAACATTTGCATGCATCATAGCTGATTTTCTCTGCAAGCTTATGAAATGTCACACTGTGCATATACAGTTCCATAGATGGCTTTTTTCACTTCGGAATATATTTCACTATGTAGTTGTCTATTCTTTAAAGTTCGGTTTTTAATGACTGCCAAACATTGTATGGGATGGTTGACCATAATTATTTAGTAAACTACTTATTTTGGTTCATTTAGGTTGTTTCCAACTCTTTGATAGGGTAAATAATGCTGCAACAAATATCCCAGAACCTAGACTTTTAAAATTTATTGGGTTATTTATTTAGAAGGATTTTAGAAGTCGGATGACAGAGTCCGAGGGCATAAATATTGTTAAATCTGTTACTATATGTTATCAAATTTCTTCCTCCACACAGTAAAACCATTAGTGCTCCCAGCAGAAGTAAAAGGGGGGCCTGTCTTCTCTCTGCATGCTCAGCAGCAATGAGCATTTCTGTTTTAAAAATATATATAATTTAACAGACAAAAAAAACACATTTAAAAATACAGTAGTCCTCCCTTATCTTTGGGTTTGATTTCTAGGGTTTCAGCTACCCGTGGGCAGTACAGTAAGATATTTTGACACACAGAGAGAAAGACCACATTCACCTAACTTTTATAACAATATATTGTTATAATTGTTCTATTATTAGTTATTGTTGTTAATCTCTTACTGTGCCTCATTTAGAAATTAAACTTTCTCATAGATATGTATAGATGGGAATAAACACAGTACATAATACGGGTTTAGTACTATCTGTAGTTTCAGGCATCCCCTGGGGGTCTTGGAACATATCTCCTCCAGATAAGGGGGGGACTACTGTATCCCTTTATTTAATTACTGGAGAGACTAAACCTTTTTAAAAATGCTTTGCAGACATTGGTAATTATTTTGTGAATTAGCTATGCATGTCGTTTTCTCATTTTTCCTTTGGGGTACTAGTATTTCTTATTGTTACCACTCTTTATATAACAAGTATATTCAATTTCAAGGACCACTTTCAGGGTTGGCTGGCTGCCTGAAATTTCTAAGTAAACTTTCAGGGATTAACTTCCTCTCCATGGCTGCTGTGGACTCAGGGGAAGGACGGTTCTCTCGGGCCCTCCAGTCACCCCTCTAAGCAGACCTCTCAGAGAGCAGAATAAGGATGGTCCCTTGGAGGGTCCTGCTCAAATGGGAGAGGCATGACCCCCGCCCATTCACCCAGGAAGTCCAGATCAGAGGGAACCCAGGACACAGGTCACTATTAAAGCCAATGAGTAGAGTATAAACAGAGTAATCTTTTGGTTTAAATAGGCTTCCCCTGGGATGTGAGCCGCAAAGGAGAAGGCGACCGGGAATTGGGAGGAAAGAGGGAGAATGCCTTGGAAAATAGAGAGAGAGGGGGGATGGGGGCAGGAGAGGGGGAGAAAGGAGGAGGAACAGTAAGCATGTATTTTCTGATGACGTATTTTCTGACAATTTCTATGGAAGAAGCTTCCCCCATGCCCTCCACTGGGGCTGGAGGAAGTAGACTTACCGCCAGTATTTTCTTCTCACCCTCTTCTGCTACACAGGGCCACCAGCCCTTCACTGTTTTCTGCTCAAAAAGGGACACAAACCATTCTGGGTGGAAAGCATCATCCAGCTGGTCCAAGGAGCACTTCTTGGCTGTCTTGGCTGGCTTGGGCATGCGGTTGAGATCGAGCTGCAGGGAGCCTGCAACAGAGAGGTAGTTTTTGGCCAAGGGTTTCTCGATCACTGCCAGCCTGTAGCCACCCTTAGGCAGGGCAGGTTCAGGAAAAACTCAGTCACCTCTGTCACCAGCTTCTATCCATGGCCGAGCCACAGGTAAAATCTCACGAACTCTCCACCTCCCTACCCATTGTCTCCCATTCCATCTATACAGCTTCCCATTCATCTACTCATGCGTTCATATGCATGTTCATCCACTCCTATTTACTCACCCTTAACAAAGCCACCCACCTCTTCAATTACTCATCTATGTACAAATCCATTCATACACCGTCTATAAACAGCCATACATCAATTTTTTTTTAATTATTTTTATCATGGTAAAATACATATAACATGAAATTTGTTATTTTAACCATGTTAAGTGTACAATTCAGTGGCTTTAATTACAGCCACAATGCTGTACAACCATCACTACTATTTCTAAAACTTTTCCATCCCCCAAACAAAAACTCTGCACCCATTAAGCAATAACTCCCCATTCCTCCCTCCCCTTCGCCCCAGTAACCTCTAGTCTACTTTCTGTCTCTATGAATTTGTCTATTCTAGATATTTCATATAAGTGGAATCATACAATATTTGTTCTTTTGTGTCTGGCTTATTTTGATTTCCATAATGTTTTCAGGGTTCATCCTTGTTGTATATATCAGTAGTGTTTTTTTAATCTGTATTTTTTTTATGGTTGAGTAAGATTCCATTCTAGGCATATACGGGTTGAACATGCATAATCTGAAAATCTGAAATTTGAAATGCTCCAAAGTCTGAAAGTTTCTGATTGCCAACATAATGCTACAAGTGGAAAACTCCACACATACGTACTTAAACTTTGTTTCATGCATAAAATTATCTTAAATATTCTATAAAATTCCCTTCAGGCTATGCTTACAAAGTATATATGAAAAAAATTTTGTATTTAGATTTGGGTCCTATCCCAAAGATATCTTATTAAGTATATGCAATTATTCCAAAATCCAAAAAGCATCAGAAATCTGAAACACTTCTGTTCCAAGCATTTCAGATAAGTTATATTTAACCTGTACCACACTTTGTTCATTCATTCATCTGTTGATGGACACTTGAGGTGTTCCCATCTTTTAACTTCATATTATGAATAATGTTGCAGTGAACGTTAGCACACAAATGTCTGAGTCCCTGTTTTCAATTCTTTGGGGTACACACACACCTGGAGTAGGATTCTTTGTTCATTAGCAATTCTATGATCAGCTTTTCAAGGAACTGCCAAACAGTTTTCCACAGCAGCCGAATCATTTTACACTCAAACCACCAATGTCCCAGCACACCAGCAATTTCTCCACATCCTCAAAACACTTGCTATATTCTGGTTTATTATTATTACTATTATCTTAGTAGGTGTGAAGTGGTACCTCACTGTGGTTCATCCAACAGTCTTTTTCATCTACCACCTAGTTATCCAAGCAGCCATCTTTTTTTATTGTTTTATCTAATCATCCCTTTTATCTATCATCTCCCAGGATACCTTCAGCTATTAGGTTGAACCATATGAAAATTCTTGTATTTAACTATCTTTGACCCATTTAAACAGCAATTTCATGTGGTTTCGCCTAATCTAATCATAATCTGATAAAGTCAATGGGATTGGAGCATAGGTTGCCAAAGGGATTAAGAGAGATCAATAGAAAAATTATTTTCTGAAGCCAAATTAAAGAAATTCTCAAACACCATGCAAAGGTGTTTCAATTTTTTTCAGTGTAGAATGCATAGTTACTATAACCGAACATTAAATATAACTCTTTTTCTAGTTTTCTTTCTTTCCACTCATCCATTTATCAATCCGTCCTTCCATCTGTGCGTCTGCTTTGACCTAACTATCCACATTCCTCTATAGCTACCATTTGTTAAGCACTATATCTATCCATTAATCAGGTTATTATTCCACCTGTCTGTCCACTTATTCAACTGTATATCGGCATTCATCTATGCTCCACCCACCCATATATTTCTCCATCCCTCCAGTGCAGATGAATGAATGTTTATTTTCTATTTGAAATATGGTGCCAATATATTAAGCAAATGTCAGAATATTAAACCACACACACACACACACACACATACACACACATTATCTCAGCATGATCTACATAAAAGACTGTAAGGAAACACAGGCTATCTGGATGGTGAGCTTATAGGTGCTTAACCATTACCTTTAAAATTAAAAAGTAATAAATATTCAAAAGACACAAGTTATGTAATTAGAAAACAAATTATGAAGGTGGAAAAGAAAAATTTCATGGATATAAAAGCTAGTATTCGTTAATGGTTTTATTTTTTAAAACAAAGGATGAGTCTGTTTAACTTTACTTTGAACATGATTTACTCAGTCAGTAAAAAACACAGGGTTTTTTTTTTGTTTTTCTTTTAAAAACTAATTTTCTAAAGCCTCACTTCATAAAGGAAAGATTGATGCCATAAATTCACAAAGTCTGTAAGAAAAAAAGTCTCCATAAAAATTTTAAAGCATAAGAAAAATTGGGAGAAATTATTTGCAATGTATTCTTAATACATAAAAGGCTCTGAAAATCAATAATAAAAGATGAATATTGCAAAACCATGAAGAAAATTCCACAATACGGATAATAAATATATTTTAAAGTTCTACCTTAAATGCAATAAAAAATGCAAATAAAAAGGAAATATCTTATTGGCAATTTTTTTTTAATGTACAGTGGTAGCAAAAGTTTAGGGAAAATGGCACCCTGTACAAACAGGGCACAGGTGGGAGTATAAACAAGTAAAACCTTTCTAGAGGGCAACTGAACAAAATGTTTCAAAAGCCATTAAAATGTACAAAGACATATCTACTTCTCAGAGTTAAGGAAAGATATGCACAAAGGATCGAAGGATGTGCATATGCCGAGGGTGTTACTCACATTGGGAAACCTGGAGATGACCTGAATACCCACCAGGAGAGGATTAATCAAAACAGGGCCCACGTCTATGACAAAACATAGGCAGGCATTAAGTGTGATGATGGAGATATAAATGCAGATCGATACCTACTGACCAGAAAGGATGTTCTTGGAATATTAGGTTTTTCAAAAATCAGGATATAAAACAGTCTGTGTAATAGAAATCCATTCATATACATATGAATATATGTATATATTATATATGTATGCATGTACATGTGTATATATAAATACATATATAAAATACTTATGTTTGTTTAAGTCTCAAATAATATATAATACAATAATACATGCCAAAATGTTAGTAGAAATTGGGTGGTGAGATTAAGGTGGGGAGGAAGCATTGCTTACCTGCATTTTCTAATTCCTTACCTGCATTTTCTAATTCCTCTACAGGAATTATGTACAAAATAATAAGTAAAATAATAGAAGTCAAACTTGGTGCCACGCTTTTTGCACCTGATGCTTTTATAACAAAGTTCTCTGGGCATTTGGCCAGGCCAGGTGCGCAGGGCGGGGGAACAGTCAAGTGAACAGGCAGCCTTCTCCCCACTGCCGGAAGCCGCGCCTCAGAATATCCCCTGCAGGGGCCCCAGGGCTCAGCTAAGAACGACTCACCTTCTCCAGTCAAGGGCTACCCCAAGAGGGCTCCAGGCCACCCTGCTCCCAAGTGGCAGAATGGATCTAGAAACCAGGGATCCTGACTTCCTGGGTTGCCGTTTTCACAAGCTCGCTTTATTTTTTAATCAAGGTAAAATCCACCTCACATAAATGCACCACTTTAACCACTTTAAGTGTACAAATCAGTGCCTTTGAGTATATTCACAGAGTTGTGCAACCTTCACCACCATCTAATTCCAGAACCTTTCCATCACCGCAAAAAGAAACCTCTTACCCATCACAGTCACTCCCCATCCCCCCTCCCCCAATCCCTAGCAACCACTAACCTATTTTCCGTCTCTATGGATTTGCCTATTATGGACATTTCATATACATGAAGCCATATAATATTTGACCTTTTGTGTCTGGCTGCTTTCACCTGGCATGTTTTCAGGTTCACCTACAGTGTAGTATGTATCAGTATTTCATTGCTTTCATGGCTGAATACTCTCCCATTGTATGGATAGACCACATTTTCCAGAGTTAACCTTTATAGCCATGACAGGGCTATCTTGAACTCACTGCTCTCACAGATGAGCGTGCAGGCCCCATACAATGTCTTCCTCCTTGTCCCCATATCCTAACCCTACAAGGCCACCATCACCACCTTCCATTCAACCCAGCCTCCCTGCTCCCCAGTCCCAGATTTCATCACAGCCCTTCCCACTAGAACCCTGTCTGGGGGTAATGGGGATAGAGCCTGGGTTTGTTCACTCAGTCGGTCACACAGGCACAAGGATGAAGACTGACTTGAGACCCTCACTCACAGGGCTCAGTCTGTGTCAAATGTGAGGCCAGACAGCTGGCGACAGGCAGCACACACTTGCGTCCCTCGCTTACTTACATATCTGAGTCCCATCATCCAACATGGCCCAGTGTTCAGTGCCACCTCTACTGACAGGCCCACCCTCAGTGGCCACCAATCACTCTGACACTGCTGTGTGTCATACACCTCACTTAACACTGGGGACACATGACCCTGAGCTCCCTGAAAGCAGAAAGTGGGATCACTCCTCCTGCTAGGCTTCCCCAAGGGTCCAACAGTGGCATAAACACACAGTGTGGGTTCTGGGGCAGCCCCCATGTGCAGAATGGGATTCTAGCAATAGCGCTTACCCAGAAAATCATCAAAGGAGAACTTGTCATTGTCCCAGATCTGGAACACCACTCGTGCTGGGATTTTGCTCTCAGTCTTGTCCAGCCTCCAGAAGGCATCCTGACCCGGAAGAGGAACAGAGAAGGATGCAAGGAAGCAAGGTTAGAGAGAGGCAGTGTTCCCTTCCAGCCTGGAAGGCTGCCTGGAGGAGGCAGAGGAGTAGGATGTCCCCAAGGGACCTGCCAGAGCCAGGTCCTGTGGGAAGACTGGGAAGGACAGATCCCAGAAGGCAGTGTTCAAGGGCCCAAAAGGGCACCGTGCAGGCTCAGTTCACATAAGATGGCTCCATTAATCCTCCCAACTCTGTAAGTCAAGGTTATCACTCCCATTTTACAGATGATGAAGGTGAGGCTTGGAGAAGTTAAAGGAATGTGCCTGAGGTCTGACCACTAATAATAATAACATTAATATAGTGCTTCCTATGCGTTGGCCCTCTACTGCTATGAACTCATTTATCCTTCCAACCACCTGTAAAGGAGATACTATCTTTACAGTGGAGGAGACCAAAGCAAGTAATTTGTCCAAGACCACATAGCTAGGAAGTGGCAAGCTGGACTCAAACCCTGGCAGCTGGGTTCCAGAGTCCTGCTCTCTACCTTAAACCTTGCTCTGTACCTGGCATCTCAGGGTCAGGGTGGGGTAACTGAGACCCTGAGGGACCCCACCCTACCCTGGCTGTCATAGAAGGATCTCCCAGCACGCTGCTGTAAGGAGCTGGCACTGGAATCTAGACCCCAGCTCCTCCCTCTCCACCCCACCCAACTTCACTCCAAGAGCTTGACCCAGGGCAAAGCCAAAGCCTGAAGTGCTGGGAAGTTCCGTCTCCTGCTGAAAGGAGAGGAGGGGCCCTTCTCTCCCCACCCCACCTCCCTCAGACCAGCTCGCCTGGAACAAGGTCATCTTGGGCTTCCTCCCACTGAGGCTTCATGGAGCAACTGAGCGGTGTGGGACTGCACATGCGGAGGCCGGGGAGCACCCCTCAGTCCAGCCACACTCAACCCACAGCACTGTCACTAGGGCTTTCCAGCGCAGTCTTGTTCTCTGTTTTCTCACTATAACTCTCCCCTGGGTGAGTGGCAAGGACAGGAAACAGTGTGACCACCCTGCAGATGGTGGGTGCCAAGTCCTGAGTGCCGGGTCAGAGCAAGGGCCTGGACCCAACTCTGCAGGGGAAAAGCTCCACCAAATGCCTGGTAAACCCACCCTTGCTGTCCAGCCAGGGCCTGCTGTGTGGCCACCCCAGCCTCAGAGGTTGGCCACGGAAATCCCAGTGAGCTCCCGAACCGAAGACCATGACCCCTGCCCCGTGAGGACTAGTCCCCGTGCAAAGCACCCAGCCACGGCCTGGACTGCTGCCTGGGTTGGGGAAGGGGCTCAGGTCTCCAGCTGGCCCCTCACCTCCAGCCCTCTGTCTGGTGCCTCCCCCCTTTTCCGGGCCCCAGCCCTTCTGCAGGTGCCTCCCTCCTCTGGCGAGCTTTTATGGCCAGCTCCGCAGGCCCGCCTGCATGGCCCGCCAGCAGCCTCCATTCCTCTGGCCAGCTTGGTTTATGGGCTCGGTAATGAGCCAGAGGTTCAAACGGCCCCTGGTGGGAGCAGCTGGGCTGGGGCTCCAGCCTGGGGAATGAACCCCCCCAGGTCCCAGGCGCTCATTATGCTCCTGGCCTGGGCGCTTTTACTAGCTGTTTATTTGCAGGGTGGGTGCCTGACGTGCAGGGTGTGCTGGGCTCCAGGTGGGGAGCCTGGCCGGGGCAACCAGTGGTGGTTCAAAGCCGCCGGATGAAAGGAGACCTTGTACTTTACGACAGTCTCGTCTGGTTAATGGGGTCCCTGGAGGGCCTGCCTGCCAGAGGCCCTGAACCCCACGGCAGAGGGCTGGCTCCGTGGCAGGCCCAGGGAGCCCAGAGGCTGTGCAGTGCCCCTGCACGAACCCATCCAGACTCGATCCTTCAGCCCAACCCAGCTAACTGGTGCCCCACTGTGGCCACTGCTCTGCCTGCCTCCCAGGGTCCCTTCACTCCAAGAGGGACCCTCTGGCTCTGCCTTCGGCCAAGCCAGTTTCTGTCTCCGCCTTCGGCCGAGCCAGTTTCTGTCTCCCACCTCTGGTTGACTTCAGAGCCACGTGGCCTCTGTTTCTGTTTCTCAGCCTCCTCTTCTGACCTTCTCCGCCCCTCCTTCCAGCCACCTTCTCCCCAGAGTCTGGCATCACGGAGAACGTCCCTTCCCCTCTGGCCTTCCCTCCCAGTGAGCCTCTCCTTCCACTCTCTGACCTCTCTTCCTCCTCGCCACCCCTGCTCCCCTGTGGGCTTCTCATTCTCCCAAGTCTGACCAAGACCCTCTTGGCCATCAGGCAGTCCCTTCCATATCCTCGACCCCTGTCTTCCTCTGGAACTCGCCCACGGGTTGGCCCCACTCTCCCCTTCTTCCTTCCTCCTGACCAGGCCCTATGATGCAGAGACAAAACCACAACATTGCCAGAATGGAGCCACCCCAAATTCTTAATCAGCAACCACAACTGGGTCCCCAGAACTGCCGGGTAACCCTCTCTGTGCTGCCAGTCACATTCCCTCCCCATCTCTCTGTGTCCCTCCCTCACTGTCACTCATAGCAGCTCTTTCCAGCCTTTTCCACTGGTCTCAAGTCACCTGCCCCAGTACCAGATCATCTCTCCTCTTACTTCAGAGACAAAACAGCCACTCCTAATCCACATCTCCACCTGTCATGAGGAAGGGGCTGTCCCACCTCCCATTCCTCTCGGTCTCAGTCTCCAGCCCTTGTAGGTGAGCCCTGGGGGTGCCACGGGGGGCGCAGCCCTCCCTCTCCACTCCCAGGCCCCCTCTCCCTCTGTCTGCAGCAGAGCTGGCTGGGGCAGTGCTGTGTCTTGGGGCAGATGCAACCTTGGCTTTCTGATGGAAACAGGCTCATGTCAGGGAAGCACACTGAACAGCAGCAAATGAGGCTCAACCTGCAAACGGCCCATGCTTTCCTTGACCTCCCAGAACCCTGTTGCTCAATTCTGCTTTCTGCCAGTCACTCCACAGCAATGGCTCGGTAAAGGGATCCACTTAACCCTGTTGAATCCATGTTTTCTTTTGTTTCATGGTTTCAGAATGTTCCGCGGAACATTTTGCTTTCTCTAATGTGCAGATGATCCTGCATGTTAGGCTGGGAAGGGCCATGCAGAGGGGATGTAATGAAGAGAATCAAGAAAATGCAGGCACTGGAACGCGTCATATATCCCCTTCCTTTCAGGAGACAAGGAGTCATAGGAGCTTTGAGGCTTAAAGCCTTGAGCCACCTCTGGAAGGAAATCGGGCCAGCAGAATCTAGATGCCAGAGAGGCATTTACCCCCTTGAGTTGGAGAGCACCTCAGGGTGGAATTTAATGCCGGGTGGGACAAGGATGGCCAGAAGCTACAGCAGAGACCCCTCTGCCTCCAACCAGCATAGCCCTGAAGTCTCCACTGCCCTCAGCACCCATTCTGTGCTCTGGGGGCTGCTCTCTGAGGGCAGGCCTGGTCCTACCAGGAAGAGGCTGGCTGTCCTCGAGTTCTGCCTAGTTCAGGGGTAAAAAGTTGACGCCCCAGATGAGACCTAAACTAGCAGATGCTGAGACACAGAGACCGAGGTCCCCAAATCCAGCCTCCCCTCTGGCTGATGCAAGCCAGGTCTCCCTAGGTGCCTTTGGCCTGTAGTGAGAGGTGGGAGTGGAGAGAGGAGGGTGATGGCTGTGGGCCTTGCAGGCACACTTGGACTGTGACCTAGCTTGGACGGTGACCATAGGCACAGATGTGGAAAATGGGATATGAGAAAGACTTAGCCAAGCAACTCCCAATCCTGTGGACACCATGATCTATAGGCCAGACTGGCCTTCTTGGGAAGCTCCCCCATGGGGTCTGCCCCACTGCCCTTTTGAAGGCCATGCTGGGTGTCCCTACTCTACCCACTCAGACCCCATGGTCCTTCCTGCTGCTTAACTTGTCTGAGGTAGGGAGGGAGGCAGTGACTTTGGGATCTGGATTTAGCTGCAAATGATGGATATGGCACTGTGTGATCATGAGGTGGCCATGGGGTGGCGGCAGGGCTGGGGATGGGAAAGATGGTGGAAGAGAGTGGAAAAGGGGTGGATGCAGAGATGGTGGAGGTGGCTTTGGGGGTAATGACAGCAGGGGTGGGACCACGGTAGTGCCATGAATGACAGAACAGTGGTGGTGACATTTGGCAGTGAGGAGGCAACAGTTGTGATAACACCAGTAGTGATGGAACAGCAGCCACGGTGACATTGGCTGTGATGGGACAGAGGCCATCACACAATGCTGAGACAGCAGTGGTGGTGACACTGGCAGTGCTGGGACAGTGGAGGTGGTGGCCATGTGGAGATGGCAGTGGTAGCTCCAACATGGTGGGGCAGCAGTGAGATTGTGACAGTTGCCAGGCAGGGACGTGGTGGTCAGGTCAGGCTAACTTTAGAAGCCCTGGTGCTGGCACCACAGGGAATCGGAAGGACACTGACCTTCTTGGCAATGGTACAGACTTGCTCAGCTGGCAGGTAGTCGAAGGGGAAAATGAACCTCCAGTTGAAGTTGCCTTCACCTCCCAGGGAACGATAATGCACGTCTGTCTTTTGCTTGTGTTCTTCAAAGCCAATCATCCAACTAGACATACATGTTTTTAGAGAATAGTTCTCATTAAGATTTCCAACACAGTATATACATCGTCAACTTAGGCAGACAAGGAGTTAAGAAGGTAAATGAGCTTATCGCAAAAAGAATTCCCAGGAAATCGGCACGATGTACAAAATGTGCCATAAATTTGAAAACATTCTAACTTCCCAGCCACTAAACTTGTAAGTTCAACCCAAAGTTCAGTGCAGAAAAAGAAATCTGGTGGGAGAGCGATTTCCCCAAAGGCAGGGACCACCCCCAGGAGCCCTCGTTGGAAGTTTGTTTGTTCTTCCCTTCCCTGAGCCAGAGCCCCCCGTGCTGTGCACAACCCAGAGGGAGCACGGGAGCTGCGGGAAGCTGGACAGGCAAGAGGACGCTGGCTCCCTACCCTTTCACATAAATGTCGCTCATCTTCTCCCCCGTGAGGCTCAGGTCATCCAGGATCACATCTCTGGTATTCCAGATAATACAACGCAGGAAAAACCTGGGGAAAGGTATCACTCTAATCCACCTAGATTTCCTACCAAAGGATGGGAAGGCCTTAAGAAGCCAAGAAGCCAAGAAGCAGACTGGTCCAAGAGGACTCGATGCCTGCCTGGCTGGACACTGGCCCAGGCCCAAACGAGAACTGTATTCCATGGCCCAAATAGCCTGAAGCCCGGCAGAAAAGAGCAACCGCCTAGTCCCGCCCACAGCAGGCTGCAACGCCCCCACCCCTCAGCCCAGCTCAGAGCCTGTGGCTGGGCAAGTCACCTTCTGGCTCTCCGTGGGGTGATGTTGAAGGGAGGTCCAGGCCGCCCCAGGGCCTTCGGAAATAGGTCGACCCACATCTGCAGCTTCCCCTGCGGAGACAGGGTCCGTTCTCTCCCCACCCTTCTCATTTAACCAGCTGTTACCAAGCACCTGCTCTGGGCCAGATGCTGAGGGCACAGAACAGAGAAACCCAGGCCCTTCCAGAGAAAGCCTCACTGCCCTAAACAGGGGACTACAGGGTCAACCGCAGAGGTGACCACTGCCCCACAGGCCTCTGACTTGGGCCTGTGCCTGGGGGTCAAGGGTCAGGGTGGGCTTCTCAGAGATGGTGGTGGCTGAGCTGAGTCTTGGCAGCCAGGGGAATGGCATGTGCACAGTCGTGGCGTGTCAAAGAGCACCGTTCAGTTATGGAGGGCTCAGAAGGCTTCCATGGCAGGACATCACTCTCCCTGCCCACCCCTTATCCTCCTCCCTCTCTGCAAGCGAGGTGTGAATTTGTCTCATCTTAGAGCAGAAGGAGCAGGAATTGAAGTAATTCAATTAAGTCACTTCTGCAGGGTCACAGAACTAGAAGATGAAAGAGCTGAAGTTTCCACACCTGTTGTGCCACTTTGGGGAGGCCGGTAGCCAAACCACCTAGGTGGAGAGAGAGCTCAGTTCCAAACAACAGAGGTAATGTCCTCTGGCATTCACAAAGGCATCCTCATGGCTCACTTTGGCCTTTCTCTTTGCCTATAACCTTGTCTCCCCTTCTCCTCTTCCAAAACCCAGCTCTGAGCTCACCTCTTCCAGGAAGCCCTCCCTGTCACCATCCCAAGGCTGCTGTCTCTGTGGTCCCCGCCCTTCAGCGTGGGAGGATTCCCCTCCCACTGAGGACTGCTCTCTGTGGGTGGCTTTGTCATTTGGTCATAGGATGCCAGGGCCACCCTGGCTGCATACCCCACAGCCACCCAGCACAGGGCCGGGCATCTGAGACTGAGTCACTGACAGATAGTGGTTGGATGGGGGAATCCAACCTGAAGTCAGGCTGAAACAGAGAGGCTTCAGGATGACAAGGAGAGGTCGGAGGCCAGGCCTACAGGGGTGAGGGGAGAAGCTCAGCCTCGTTTCGCAGGCCCTGAGGGATGGAGGCAGCCAGAGGAAGCCAGGACCTAAAGATCCCCTCCCAGGCCAACCATGGCCGCACTCAGACTGTGAAGAAATGGGTCAAGGAAGGA